>NC_000002.12:219989618-220614618 GCF_000001405.40 Homo sapiens | reverse complement strand
TAAAAATAAGGAAACTATTTCCTAAATTAAAAAGAATAGATATATAGGAAAATAAAGGTCTCACAATGGCAAATGAAGGAGAAATAATACTAAACCGTGTAAAAAGCAGATTCAGGAGTGATATATTCAAGGTAAATTAAAATACAATATTTGGTAATCTGACTTGTTAAATGAATGAAACTGAGAACAATTGGAGGAATAGGTAGAGAGAATGTAATTTTATCTTACATACACTCTAAAACATCTATGAAACAGTGGAGAAAAGCCATATTTATTATTGCATATCCATAAATAAAAAATGTACAGCTATTAAAATTATGTTTTTGATTAGCAATAAAGTCAAGCAAAAATGCTGATTATAACATTTTAAGTGAAGAAAGGAAAGCATAAAACTAGGTATATGGTAAAATCTATGTTTTATAAAAACTATAATAGACATAAGATCAATACGATATATTATACATTTAATTAAATTAGACTGGAAATAAATATATCCTTTTTTTTTTTTTGAGATATAGTCTCACTCTGTTACCCAGGAAGGGATGCACTGGTGCAATCATGGCTCACTGCAGCCTCTGCCTCCTGGGCTCAAGTGATCCTCCTGCTTTTTATTTTGTTGTTGTTGTTGTTGTTGTAGAGACAACATCTCACTATGTTGCCTAGGCTGGTCTTGAACTCCTGGGCTCAAGTGATCCTCTTGCCTTGGCTTCCCAAAGTGCTGAGATTACAGATGTGAACCACCATGACTGGTAAATATATCAATATGTAAAAAGCAGTTATTTTTCGGTGAAAGGATCATGGCTGAGTTTTTAAAATTATATTTTGAACATTCTAAATGATATATGTAAAAAATATTATTAATACAAATAAATGAATGCAATAATAAAATAATACATATTTGTCTCTACTGGGCTATAATTTCATACAACCAACCTGAAAATTATACATGATAAAATAACTTAAGTGATATCAGAAATCCTTGGAAAATCAAATATTGGAGGACAAGATTTAATAATGTTACAAGCATGGCTATCCTAACTGTTTGGATAGTGACGGTACCATACTTCTTCATAAGTCTAAGACTGTGAGATGGGCTCCTGTTGGATTCCTATTCTGTGAAGCTCTGGATACCCTTATTCCTTTAGTAAAAACAAATACATAAATGAGAATAATTGCTATTTCACAGGTTGTTGAGGGAGAGATTGAGATAACTTAAGTAAAGCAACACTATTATGATTAGCACATATGGAGTTTTAATAGATATTAATCACCCTATCCCTGATTTCCTTCTTGTTTTTCTATAAAGATGGAGAAATTTTTCATAGAAACATGTAAGACATACTTAAAAATACTTGATTTGCCATAAAAAGCAAGCATTTTGGCTGGGCGCGGTGGCTCACACCTGTAATCCCAGCATTTTGGCCGGCCGAGGTGGGTGGATTACCTGAGGTCAAGAGTTTGAGACCAGCCTGGCTAACATGGTGAAACCTCATTTCTACTAAAAATACAAGAAATTAGCCGGGCGTGGTGGTGCACGCCTGTAATCCCAGCTACTCAGGAGGCTGAGGCAGGAGAATCACTTGAACCCAGGAGGCAGAGATTGCAGTGAGCCGAGATCGCACCATTGCACTCCAGCTTGGGCAACAAGAGCGAAAATCCATCTCAAAAAGAAGCAAGCATTTCTAAAATTATTATTAAAAATTGCCTCTCTTTAAATATGACAATTCATTCGTTATGGTCTATATTTCCATGTGTTATTAAGAATAAAAATAGTTGTGAGCTCTACCAACTATCACCCGTGGAGATAGGCCACATCCAGTAGCTTGACCAAAAACAACTGTTGACATGCTTCTTAGAACCATTTGGCAGTTTGTCATGCAGAGCCAACCACTTCTCTGATAAACCAAAGAAATGTTGAGGGACTCTTCTTTTCTTTCCTGTTTCTTCTATAAACTTTAAAAATAAGGCTTCTATCAAGTTTAAAAATAAGGAAACTATTTCCTAAAATAAAAAGAATAGATATATAGGAAAATAAAGGTCTTACAATGGCAAACTTTAAGTCTTAATTTAATCCTTTTTTAAATGAAATATGTGGGAATGTTAATGAAATGTATCTAAATCCTCTGTATACACCCAAATTGTTTATGCAGGGTCTGAAGAACAGATAATTGGCAGTTAGGAACTGAGACAGACAGAGGGAGAAAAAAGGAGAAACAAGAGACAATAGATTAAAAGGCAACCTGCAAGATGCTGTTCCTGTGTGTGATGTATCCCATCTCCTTAATGAAAGCTTGAAATCAAAAGTTGCTTACTTAATTGTGGGAGAGAATGAGGGAGGTTGCATTTGTCATAAGAGTCTGAGAAACACACTCCATTAAAGATGTATACACCCTCTGTTCTCACCAACTGTGACCAGCTGCAAAATTCAAACTTATTTTTCACAGCAGGAATAATTTCATTATGGAACTATATGTATGCAGAGGAATAAACCACTTGATTTCCCATCATTTTATTTTAAACATATTGGCTAATATGTCAGAAGCAATCACATTTAAAGGGGCAAAGAAATTAGATGCAACGTTATCAACAATTTCAAAGACTTAAAATCTTTTTAAACTAAAACACGACAAGAATAAATATGTAGAAAAACAGCCTTTACTTTTAAAGGGACTTCATTTTTTAAAATGTATATATTTAAAATACTAATGACTACTTACAAACAAGATGTTGACTTGTATCCCAAATTTAAGTTGTGTCGATGCTAAGCAAAATATCTGCTAAAATCAGTAGGAGTAAAGAATCTGTCAAGTAGAAATATGGTCATGACTGGGGCTACTTACCCATGCTTCTGATACTTCTTTAAGACACTCATAAAGTCAGGCAGTCTTGTGGCTTTTTTTTGACCAACAGTATCTGAACAGAGCTGATATATGTACTTCCATGTGGATGCTACAAGAGCCAGCTAACGACTTGATAGCCTCCTCCCTGTGCCGTGGTGACCAGTGATGCTCCAGATGGAGAACAGTGTCACTTGGGTTCCAGGATGAAGACAACACAAGATCAAGCACTAGCTGTCCCACATGTTGATAAAAGCTGAATGAGAAGTAAACCTTGCTGTTTTCAGCTGGAGAGTTATTGCACCTCACCCTGGACTATCTTGATTAATATTGACATTGAAACTATACTTTTAGCTTTGCATGTGGTTGTCTTTATATTGCACAGAGACAACAATTATTCATGTGTGCAGTTGCTCAGTCAATCATTTATTAACTTATTATGATTGAGCATGTACTCTCTGCTGGGTTCTAGGGAGACTGTGGTAGGCAGGACAAATTATCTGTTCTCATGGAGTTTGTATTTAAGTGGGAAGAGATGAACAATACATAGGTAAGTGCCTTTAGAAACTGATTTCATATTATGAAATGTCCTATGCAGAAAACAAAGGAGTAAATGAAAGAAAGTGACTGGTAGTGGGGAAGAAGCCTTAGGAGAGGCAATGATTTTTAAGCTCAGATTTGAACAGTGAGAAGGAGCCAGCCATGGAAGAATTAGGAGAAGTATAATCCAAGAAAAAGAAATAACATGTACAGAGGCAGTAAATTTGAACTGTTTAAGGGAAAAAAAGAAAACAGGTAGGCAGAGTTGAGATGTGAAGGGCAGGAAAGAGCTGGAGCCACTGATTTGTGGGTTCATGGAAGTGCTACAGCTGGAAATCCCCGTCCCCTCAGCTGCCATTTTCTTTTTTATCTGTCTCACTCCTTGAGAGACCTAATGCAAATGTGTGTGGATAACCCAGAGCACATGTCCATAGCCCCCTCCCAAATAGCAAACACTTGGTACCCCTGAGGCCTAGGAGTATTCACAGTGGTGGCTCAGTTGGCCTTCAAAGAGCAAACCAGAAAAGAAACCTGCACAGCCCCAGGAAGTAGGCTCTCAGTCACTGGGGCAAGGAATTCTAGAAGCCTGGTCCAGAATAGAGGGATAGGGAGGAAGCCTGGTCTCTGAGCATCCATGTCCCCTTGACCCTGCAGACTCCTGACCCTATGGTGAAAGCTATGGCCACTTTGAGTCCAATGGCAAGGACCATACCCAGTCAGATTCTCATGGTAAAAGTTTCCAAAACTTGTTTTGTACAAAAAACAAATAAAAATTTGCTTGGCTCAGAGAAGGAATTAAAACAGTCTTTTCTCCCCAAGTAATATATTTCATTTGCAAAGACTCTCCCAAATAAGAAATATATTTCCAAATAGCAAACTCCCCCAAATAAAAAATATATTGTTAAGCCAAGCTGGAGAATATTGTCAATAATCTCTTATCTCTGGTACAAAGAAATGACAAGTTTAGCACTGAGGGAAGATGTGCATATCAGGAGAATGGTTCAAAGAAAAAGCAGCCAGTCTTCACATGCAGAAATTCCCTACCACTAAGAAATCAAGGAATCAGGCTGGGCACAGTGGCTCATGCCTGTAATCCCAGCACTTTGGGAGGCTGAGGCGGGTGGATCATCAGGTCAGGAGACTGAGACCATCCTGGCTAACACAGTGAAACCCTGTCTCTACTAAAAATACAAAAAATTAGCTGAGCATGGTGGCGGGTGCCTGTAGTCCCAGCTACTCAGGAGGCTGAGGCAGGAGAATGGCGGGAACTCGGGAGGCGGAGCTTGCAGTGAGCCAAGATTGCACCACTGCACTCCAGCTGGGTGACAGAGAGAGACTCCGTCTCAATCAAGGAATCATAAATTTAAATGGCTACTGGGTCTGAGCAGATAACACACATGAGTGAAGTAGGCCTACTGAGACGAGGATGGAACACATAGTATGTGCCCCTTTAAGAGATAACTACTACTCAGTGTCAGATGATTGAGCATTTGGTGTGACCAGATATTTTCAATTTTTCAGAGGAAGGCAGATATTAAGTTTACCTAGAAAATATCCCAAATTCAAAAACGTAGCAGGAAGAATAACAAAGAAAATTTTAATCCCTGGGCAGTACCAATATGCATAACTAAGAACCACATATAATTGTAAATGACCAGTTGTAACTTCTGCAAAAGATCAAAATCTATATTGGGGAATTCAGGTTGAAATGAGTAGAGTGGCAGAAATAATGTTTCCTTTCAAGGGGACATTCAAAAAAGTCTACATTTATGTGTCATATTGACCTATTTGTTTTGTCTGACTTTTCCTTACATTTTCTGATTACACTTTTCTGAATGTCGAGGCCTCTGTAAACCTGGGTTTTCTTTCTCAAGCATCACTTCTTGGGGTTCTAAGGACATATCCTGCCCTTGCAGCCTCCACTACATGGACTAAACTTATCTATAGGTAAAATGAGTTTATGTGAACTTAGAATTTTTTTGCCCCCAAACCTATAACCACATGGCAAATGTTTATAATTAGTAATATGGATTAAGATATTAACATGGTTTTACAATGTCCCCACCAAAATCTCATATTGAATTGTAATTCCCATAATACCTATATATCGTGGAAGGAATCTGGTGGAAGGTAACTGAACCATGGGGGCAGTTATTTCCATGCTGCTGTTCTGGTGATAGTGAGTGAGTTATCACGAGATCTGATGGTTTTATAAGGGGCTTTTCCACATTTTGCTTGGCATTTCTCCTTCCTGCCATCATGTGAAGAAGAACGTGCTTGCTTCCCCTTCTGCCATGATAGTTAAGTTTCCTGAGGCCTCCCCAGCCATGCGGAACTGTGAGTCAATTAAACCTCTTTCCTTTATAAATTACCCAGTCTCCAGCAGTCCTTTATAGCAGTGTGAAAATGGAATAATACAGTAAATTGGTACTGGGTAGTGGGCACTGCTGTAAAAATACCCAAACATGTGGAAATGACTTTGGAACTGGGTAACAGGCAGAGGTTGGAACAGTTTGGAGGGCTCAGAAGAGGACAGAAAGATGTGCCAAAGTTTGGAATTTCCTAGAGATTTGTTGAATAGATATGACTAAAATGCTGATAGTGATATGGATAATGAAGTCCAGGCAGAGGTGGTCTCAGATGGAGATGAGGAACTTTTTGGGAAATGGAATAAAAGTGTCTCTTGCTATGTTTTAGCAAAGAGACTGGCAGCATTTTTCCCCTGCCATAGAGATCTGTGGAACTTTGAACTTAAGAGAGATGATTTAGGGTATCTGGCAGAAGAAATTTCTAAGCAGCAAATCGTCCAAGTTATGACTTGGGTGCTGTTAAAAGCATTCAGTTTTATGTATTCACAAAGATATGGTTTGAAATTAGAATTTATGTTTAAAAGGAAAACAGAGAAAGAAATTTCAGAAAATTTGCAGCTTGATGATGCGATAGAAAAGAAAACCCCATTTTCTAAGGAGAAATTCAAGCCAGCTGCAGAAATTTAAGTAACAAGGAGCCAAATGTTAATCACCAAGACAATGAGGAAAATATCTTCAGGGCATGTCAGAGGTCTTCACGGCAGCCCCTCCAATCCCAGGCTCAGAGGCCTAGTAGGAAAAGATGGTTTTGTGGGCCAAGCCCAGGGGCTTGCTGTTTTCTGCAGTCTTGGGACTTGGGGCCCTATATCTCAGCCATGGCTAACAGGGGCCAAGATACGCCTCTGGCCATGGCTTCAGAGGGTGCAAGCCCCATGCTTGGCAGCTTCCATGTGGTGTGAGCCTGCAGGTGCACAGAATTCAAGAACTGAAGTTTGGGAACCTCCACCTAGATTTCAGAGGATGTATAGAAACACTTGGATGTCCAGAAAGAAGTTTGCTGCAGGGTCCTCATGGAGAACCTCTGGAAGGAAAATATGGGGTTGGAGCCCCCACACACAGTGTCCACTTGGGCACTGCCTAGTGGAGCTGTGAGAAGAGGGCCACCATCCTTCAGACCCCAGAATGTGAGATCAACTGACAGCTTACACTGTGTACCTGGAAAAGCCACAAACCCTCAATGCCAGCCCATAAAGGAAGCTGGTAGTGGGGCTGAACCCTATAAAGCCCCAGGGCAGAGCTGCCCAAGGCTATAGGAGCCTACCTCTTGCATAGGTTTGACCTGGATGTGAGAAATGGAGTCAAAGGAGATTATTTCAGAGCTGTAAGATTTGACTGCCCTGCTGGATTTTGGACTTGCATGAGGCCTGTAGCCCCTTCATTTTAGCCAATTTCCCCATTTTTAATGGGTGTATTTAACCAATGCCTGACCCCCATTATATCTAGGAAGTAACTAACTTGCTTTTTATTTTACAGACTCATAGGCAGAAGGAATTTGTCTCAGATGAGACATTGGACTTGGACTTTCAGGTTAATGCTGGAATGAGTTAAGACTTTGGGGACTGTTGGGAAGGCATGACTGTGTTTTGAAATGTGAGGATATGAGATTTGGGAGGGGCCATGGGCAGAATGATATGGCTTGGCTGTGTCCCCACCCAAATCTCATCTTGAATTGTAATTCCCATAATCCGCACATATTGTGGGAGGGACCTGGTGGAAGGTAATTGAATCACGGGGTTGGTTACCCCCATGCTGCTGTTCTCATTATAGTGAGTGAGTTCTCATGAGATCTGATGGTTGTATAAGGGGCTTTTCCGCATTTTGCTTGGCACTTCTCCTTCCTGCCATCACGTGAAGAAGTATGTGTTTGCTTCTCCTTCTGCCTTGATTGTAAGTTTCCTGAGGCCTCCCCAGCCATGAGGAACTGTGAGTCAATTAAACCTCTTTCCTTTATAAATTACCCAGTCTGGGACAGTCCTTTATAGCAGCATGAGAATGAACTAATATAGTAAATAGGACCTGTTCCATCATGTAAAGGGCACCAGTTTGTCTCCAACAGAATAGACACTTACTCTGGCTATAGGTTTGCCTATCCTGCATGCAATATATCTGCCAAGACTACCATCCATGGACTCATGGAATTCCTTATCGACCATCAAAGTATTCCACATAGCATTGCCTCTGACCAAGGCACTCACTTTATGGCTAAACAAGTGCAGCAGAGGACTGATGATCATGGAATTCACTGATCTTACCATGCTCCCCATCATCCTGAAGCAGCTGGTTTGACAGAATGGTGAAATGGCCTTTTGACAATACTTTGCAGGGCTAGGGCAAAGTTATTCAGAAGGCCGTATATATTCTGAATCTGCATCCAATATATGGTACCGTTTCTCCCATGGCCGGGATTCATGGGTGCTGGAATCAAGGTGTGGAAGTGAAAGTGGCACCACTCACCATCACCCCTAGTGACCCACTAGCAAAAATTTTGCTTCCTATTCCCATGACATTACATCATGCTGGCCTAGAGGTCTTAGTTGCAGAGGGAGGAATGCTGCCACCAAGAGACACAACAACGATTCCATTAAACTGAAAGTTAAGATTGCCACCTGGCCACTTTGGGCTCCTCCTACCTCTAAGTCAACAGGCTAAAAAGGGAGTTACAGTGTTGGCTGCAGTGACTGACCCAGATTATCAAGACAAAATCAGTCTACTACTCCACAATGGAGGTAAGGAAGAGTATGTATGAAATACAGGAGATTCCTTAAGGTATTTTCTAGTTTTACCATGCCCTGTGATTAAGATCAATGGGAAACTACAAGAACCCAATTCAGGTAGGACTACAAATGGCCGAGTCCCTTCAAGAATGAAGGTTTAAGCCACTCCATCAGGTAAAAAAACCACGAATTGCTGAGGTGCTTGCTGAAGGCAAAGGGAATACAGAATGGGTAGTAAAAGAAGGTAGTCATCAATACCAGCTGCAACTACATGACTGTAATTGTCATGAGTATTTCCTCTTTATTAAGAATGTGTTTCTGCATATATACACTTGTACTAAGAAAAATCTTCATTTTATTTCCTTTATTTGTCCTTTATCATGTGACATAAGATTTATTGATTTTTATCAGCATCTAAGTGTTGTTAACTTTATGTAATAGCATTTGGGGTGAGAATTTTATGCTTCCAGTTGTATGAGGGATAGCTGTAATTATGACCTTATTATTTTATCTGAAGATTATGTATGATTTCAGGAGATGTGTATGGATTCAAGTTGACAAGGGGTGAACTTATGATGGTTAAATGTTGAGTGTCAACTAGATTGGATTAAAACATGCAAAGTACCGACCCTGGGTATGTCTGTGAGGATGTTGCCAAAGGAGATTAACATTTGAGTCAATGGACTGGGAGAGGCAGACCCACCCTCAATCTGGGTGAGCACCATCTAATCAGCTGCCAGTGTGCCCAAAATAAAGCAGGCAGGAGAAGATGGAAGAGCAGACTTGCTGAGTGTTTCGGCCTTCATCTTTCTCCCATGCTGGATGCTTCCTGCCCTCAAACGTCAGACTCCAAGCTCTTAATCTTTTGGACTCTTGGACTTGCACCAGTGGTTTGCCAGGGGCTCTTGGGCCTTTGGCTACAGACCGAAGGCTGCACTGTTGGCTTTTCTACTTTTGAGATTTTGGGACTCGAACTGGCTTCCTTGCTCCTCAGCTTGCAGACGGCCTATTGTGGAACTTAACTTTGTGACTGTGTGAGTCAATACTCCTTAATCAACTCCCCGTCATATATGCATCTATCCTGTTAGTTCTCTCCCTCTAGAGGACACTGACTAATGCAGATTTCATCTTTAAGAGTGAAAAGGTGTAGAATTAGGTCCACACTAAAGTGTGAGGTCTTTGCCTGAGAGCACATCACCAGAGAGGACATTAAAGAGAAGCTAGGAAGCCTGAATCTTAACATATATAATGATAGAAACCTTATGTTTCTATCAAGTTTATAAATTTCAAATTGTATTTGCATATTTTCTATTTTATCTAATTTTATCTTCAAATAGTTACCACCCAGTTATGGGATTTTTACGTCCTCTTTAGAAAAAAAAATTTTAATCCTGTTTGCAAAACTTAAGAGCAAAAACTTCATAGCTTAGTATTTTTCTTGGTATTTGATATGCATTCTTACATATGAATATACTGTCACATGAAGATTGTCATGGACTGAAGTGCGTCCCCTTCCAAAATTCATATGTTGTTGAAGCCCTAACCCCCAATGTGACTGTATATGGAGAAAAATCTTTAAGGAGGTAATTAAGGCTAACTAAACTCATGAGAGTGGAGCCCTAATTCAATATGACTCGTGTCATTAGAACAGAAGGAGACATCAGGATGCCTGGGTGCAGAGGAAAGATTATGTGAGGACACAGCATGAAGGCTGCTAGCCAAGGAGAGGCATCAGGTGAAACCAAATCCGTCACCACCTTGATCTTGGACTTTCAAAATTCCAGAAATGTAGGAAATAAATTTTTGTTGTTTAAGCCACCTAGCCTGTAATATTTTGTTACAACAGCCCTGGCAGACAAATACAAAGATGTTAAATGTAACCATGATTTCCCTATGTTTTCTCATGCTCTGAGTTCAATCTCTTTGTAGGGCGTAGGTTCAATCAGTGTTTATTGAGCAAGCATCATTCAATAGAACTTACTATACAGTGACCCAAATTAACTATTGGAATGGCCTGAAGCGCTGGAGGAGTTATTTCTCAATTTACTGATCTATGAATTGCGATCATATCTACATATAATCAACCTTATCTCCTTATTCTGAAATATGGTCAAATTGTTTTAGGCTCTATTAGCAATTAAATCAAACAGATCCTATGCTGAACCAATTATTGTTAAGAAATCAACTAAATCTATCTCAAAATAATTATTGAGCCTGTGCAGACTAAAGTTAATCATATTCTGTGAAACTTTTACAATAAATCCTATTATAGCTCATAAAATTAGAAATTGTAAAATATACTTTATTAAGGTACTTTTCCCTTCAAGTTTTTATCATTATAGTTCTTCTTTGAAAGCACTAAAATCATAATGAGTTATCCACATAGTCCCTAATGTGCTCATCATAATAGAGTGAGGTCTCAAAAACCTGAATGCATGAGACAAGACAAGTTCACAGAGAAATTCATTGTGTAAGAGAGCAATTTGTGGAAGAATTATAGCATGTATGGAAGACTTGAAATAAGAAAGAGAACAAAATTCACAGATGTCACTTGAAGTTGGCATAATATTCAAAAACAATCCTAAAGCAATACCAGAATGAGTAATAGGAAAAAGGTAAGAAATTTCTACATTTTACCTCTCTCAGAAAACAACCATAAAAAAAATTTCCCAAAAAAGCATATATTGGCACTCTGGTTTTAGTTTTGACAAAGGAGTATCAGACTTGATCTCCTGCTATAAATATTTATAAATATTGGACAAAATATAAGAAGCAATTCTGTCTGTGCATTGGAAAACAGAGACACGGGTCTATAATCCTTAAGAGAAAGTATATTCAGAATGTTAGTGTCACATTCACCTGAACTTTCTGTGTTCACATCCAAACATTGGTACGAGACTAGAGTCAAACAGGTAGCAGTAGGCCCACTGTGCAGAGAAAGTCAACACCAATATCAAGGCTACTGAGGGAGTTGGAAATATGGAGCAGGATAACAGCAGGATAAAAAGCTGTCTAGAGATGATACCTCAAGGATATGAATAGGGTTCCCCTTCCATCTTTGGCTAAATACTAAGCTGTGGATGCAATAGGTGAGATTCTACCAGACCTTCTGGAAGCTGTGAGAAGAATAGAGATTTTAGAACTTATATGGTGCAGGAAAATGTTAGAACTCCCTCCAGGTAGGATGAGGTGGCCTTATTAAGACAATGGTTATTCAGCTAAAACACTAGAAATGACATGCCTTAGGGAAAAAACTATGCCCTAGAGTGAGGGCTCTACTGGATTCAACCTAACAAAGCTTAAAACCAAGTATTGATGAGATCAAGCTGATGTAACAATGAAGTAATTGTCTGACAAAATTAACACTGTCTAATGAAAATAAAGTTCAGAATTATAGTAAAACATCAACAATTTCCAGCACTCAATGAAATCAATATAAAATATAAAAAGAAGCACGAAAATGTGACCCATAATTGGAAAAAGGCCAGAGATGTTAATGTTTAGCAAATGTTAATATGTTGACATATATGTATGCTTATATGTGGGTATATGTATAAGTGTGCATATGTGTTTGTGGGTGCTTTAAAATGTTTTATTAGTAGATAGATATGACAATGCCAACAGATCAGGAGATGACTGACATTGAAAAGGTCATTTGTTATACTCACATATTCCAAGAGAAGGGGTATACCATACCCTGGGGGAGCCAACTGGGGAATCACCATGATCAGTCAGGAGGCAGAGGGATCAAGGGGAAAGCACAGCCTGTATTTTCCGTGTCTGTGTTCAAATGTTTCACAATGAGACGTGACTTTCATCAAAATGGCTAAAATTTAAAAAGAGTGACAATACCAAATATTTTCAAATATATGGAGCAACTAGAACTGCTAGACTTTGTTGAAAGTGCAAAATGTTGTAATATCTTTGAAAAACATGTTTGGCAATTTTTTCTTATAAAATTAAACATACACATACCCTATGACTAAGCAATTCTAACTCTTGGTATTTATCTAGGAGTAATGGGAATGTATTTTTACCCAAAAACTTGCATAAGAATATTTGTAGTAGCTTTAGTCATAATAATACAAAAGTTGTATTATTGAAAACAAGTTATACTATATTCATGCAGTTAAAAATAAATGGTACTATATTCATACAGTTGGGGCAGAGTAAGCAGGCTTAGGACTGGCTAATCTGAATAATTTTTGTGGGCTCTAGGGCATAGGGACTGCCCCTAGTTGCCTGGTACTTGGCCCAGGGGTAATTACGGCAGGTGGACAGTTTCCCAGAGTATGAGAGCCCAGTAGAGGAGGTGGCTGGGGGCGTGGGCTCTGGATTGGTTTGCATATGAAAGTTAGGCTCAAAGACAAGCTATTTACTATCTGAAGGAACTGACTAGTCCCGAAAGAGGTATTTCTTCTAGGGTCAGCAAGGTCCCCAAAATAGAAACAAACATACACACACACACACACACACACACACACACACAGCTAATACAATACATGTGTGCTCAGGATTTAACAAAAATCATGATCACAATGAGTGAACAGAAAGATAATTTCAGCCAGGAAATGAAAACAAACAAATTTAAAAAGCCATATGAATATCCTATAACTGAAAAATACAATAATTAACATGTCAAATTTAATAAATGGGCTTGATAACAAACTAAAAACTCTAAAAATGAAAGATCAATAGACTTGAAGACAGAGCAATAGAAAGCATATACAATCAATCAAGAGAGAAAAACACTGAAATAAAAAGAATGAACAGGGCTTCAAAAATGTAGGGCATTGTCAAGGGTCCTAACTTGTTTATAACTAGAATACTAGAATGGAAAAAGAAATGAACTCATTTTAAAAAACTGAAGAAATAATGGCTGAAATTTTACCAAAGTAGAAAAAATAATCAAACCACAAATCTGAGAAGCTCACAGAAGAAATATAAAGGAAACTACACCTGTGTATCATAGGGAAATCTCTAAAATCTAAAACTAAGAACAAAAATCCTAAAACAATCAAGAAAAAAAATATTATACATGAGGACCAAGGGGGAAATAATATAAAATATTCTGTCTTCTCATCAGAAAAAATGAAAGCCACAAGATAATGGAATAACATCATTCAAATGCTGAAAAAAATACTAAAACTATAAAAACAAAAATTCTGTATTTAAAACAATATTTCTACAAAATGAAAATAAACTATAGGCTTGTTCAGGTAAACAAAAGCTGAGATACTCTTTCACCAGTTTTTTAAAAGGAAAAAAATAGATTGAGCATTCTCTTCCCTTTTTCAATGTGTATAAAGGAATTCTCTGTACTTTCTACATTTCTGTGAAACCAAATCTGCTCTAAAAAAAGTCCATTAATTTAGTGAAAGTCACCAAAAAGGAAAATAAGCAAGTCACAACCTGGGAGAAAATATTAGATAGATAGATAGATAATTGATAGATGATAAATTATAGATATATAGATATATAATGTATACTATATATGACAAAGAACTTTATGTTAAGATGTAATAATGAACTCTTACAATTCAGTAATTGACCTTAAAGATGGTCAAAAGACTTAAACAGACACTTCACAAAGAAACATAAACAGCTGGCCAATAAGCACATGAAATACTCCTCATCACTATTAGTCGTAAAAGGAAAAAAAGAACACAGTGAGACATGATTTGAATAAAAATTGCTGAAATTAAAAAGAGTGATAATATCAAATATATGGAGCAACTGGAACTGCTAGACTTTGTTGAAAGTACAAAATGTTGCAATATCTTTGAAGTGTTTGGCAATTTTTTCTTATAAAGTTAAACTTATACGTACCCTATGACTAACCAATTCTACTTCTATGTATTTATCTAGGAGTAATGGAAATGTATTTTTACCCAAAAACTTGCAAAAGAATATTTGTAAGAGCTTTAGTCATAATAATATAAAAGTTGTATTATTGAAAACAAGTTGTACTATACTCATACAATGGGAGATGACCTGTAGTGTGTTGGAGCCAGCTCATGCTGGGTCACAAGAAGTAGCTGTTCAGTTCTCAGTAATTTTTCAAAATGATGGAGGACATGTTAGTAGCATGAAATTGGCTACCCTCAGAGTATTTACATCATGGGAATAGACAAACACTAACACTCAGTTTTTGTTTGTTTGCTTGAAATCCAGTTGTTAAACAGTTATCACCAAATCACTGAATCCAACTCAAAAATAAAAAGAAACAAATTTCTAGTATCCTAATTACATTGCTGAACCTCAAAAGCATTATGTTGAGTAAATGAAGCCAGACATAAAATACATATTTTATTCATACTGTATTTCTATAAGAAGCTCTATAACAGAAAAAAACCAATTGGTAATCATAAAAATGAAAACATCTGATCATAAAAATAAAAACAGGATAGTTTGGGACCTTTCTGGGATTGTGGAAATATGCTATTTTTTTATATAGATGTAAGTTGCATTTTATGCATTTATCAAAACTCGTTGAACAGTATACCTAATATCTGTGCATTTTGTTGTATGTAAATTACATCTCAATAAAACATATTGCAAAAAAGCCTACATTGACACTCATTATAAAAACACTAATCAAACAGATAAGTAATGTAGACACTGACAGAACAAAAAAGACAGTGATTTACTTATGAAGTAGCACTCGGGGTCACTATTCCTACTGCTGCCATTTTATTACTCCTACTACCACTGCTGCTACTACTACACTACTATATGGAACATGAAAATACTTCCAAATTACTTTCGCACACATTTCCTAAGTACATTAGCAAATTTATGGACAATATGCCAGCTAACCTACGTGACTCCCTTATTAGCACATTAGCTAATGTATTGGGACAAAAATAACTTTTCCTTTGTTTTTTGCAGTGCCATCTTTTAGCCCAAACTTGGCACATTATATGACATGCATGTTAGTTAAACTCCAAAATTGTGTGAAATAAGAATGTGGCACCATGGGAAAAATCCAGTCACTTTTTTGCCATTTTCTGTATCAAGTTTTGCAGTATCTCTCACTAAAATTCAAATAAAAACAGTTTTTCTTTCTCCTATCTCACAGCAGCACACTGTTTCTACCTCAACCTAGCGTTTATTTTATTCTGCTCTGTTTTATGGGTACTTTATAGCTTATTTCATATCTCTATCAAGTTAGTTGCACCTTCCTTAAGGGCCAGGACTCTTCCTGTTCATCTTTGTGTCTCTAAGCACACTTATAACATGCAGGTTTATGCAGGATTTGGGGTGCCCTAAAATCTCAGATAAATTGACTTGATTTCTTTCCAGAATACTTTTATATTACATCAGCAATATTCCTACATAGCAAGGGCTTCAACCATCAATTTATAAGGCATCAACTCATGTAACCTTATAAAGTATATTATAAACTTCTATTTTTTCCCCACTACATTCTACTACACTTTCAGCATTCTTGGGGATCAACAACAACAAAATGTACAAATTATTCTCTCAGAGGAATCAAGAAAAGGAAAGGAAAAAAGAGAAGAAACTATTGACTAACTTTTATTGAGAGACTGTTATGTGCCAGACATTATCTCTTACCATTGTTTATTTAATTTTCACAACAAGCATGTTAGTTGTTTAATTGAGATGAAAAGAAAACAGTTTCAGATAGATATTCTCCTGATCAAGATTGCAGAGCTATTAGGTCATGAAACTAACTCTAAATCCATATTGTTTTCTTAAGAAAAATGAACTTTACGAAAAGATACAGATAAAAATCCATTCCATTCACCCCATTTACACAACCAATGGTACTCCAGAAGAACATATAAGTAGAGAAGCCCAGAAAGTGCGTCTCCTTGTGATAACTGAAAAAGCATGTAGAAGAGAATGGAGCCAAATACACTCAATAATAACATATTTCAAATGTGACACCTGTAAAATAATATCCAAGAAAATTAATTTGTTTACTTACATGGCTCAGCTTCTTGTTTTGTCATTTGGAACTATCATTTAA
Organism: Homo sapiens; assembly: GCF_000001405.40. Lineage (NCBI taxonomy): Eukaryota > Metazoa > Chordata > Mammalia > Primates > Hominidae > Homo > Homo sapiens. The sequence continues at coordinate 220,598,159 of NC_000002.12, read as the reverse complement.
TTTTATACATTTATATCCATTTTCATAGTAATTATTGTTGTCAGTGAACAAAATAATTTCATCAAGTCATTGAAAATGTATATCAAAAGATCTGAACTCATGAATGATCAGGATAATTTGTATATACACATAGGAGTCACTTGAATAATAAAAATGCATTACATCAATTAAAAAAATAATTTTTGAAAAATTTTATAAATGTACATTAAAAGTGTGTTGACATTAGTATAAGTAAAAGGATATCAGTATTTACTTTCTGACAAGTGAAAAGGATTATAATGATTAATCAAATTAAAAATGTGAGAAAAGATTTACAGTGGATTCATACTACTCTCTGTTGACTGTCTACTGTCTTAGTCTATTTTGTTCTGCTATAACAAAATACACAGGACTAGGTAATTTATAAAGAATAGAAATTTGCTTAGCTCATGCTTGTGAAGGTTGGTAAGTCCAAAACCAAAGCATCACATCTTGTGAGGTTCTTCTTCCTGTGTTATAACATGGCAGAAGGCATCACATGGTGAAAGAGCACACAAGAGATAGCAAGAGAGGGCTGAATTCACTTTTATGACACATCTCACTCTTGTAATGAGGAAGCCACTCTCTAGATAGGAACATAATCAGTTCATGAGGTCAGAGCCCACATGACCTAATCGTGTCCTAAAGGTCCCACCTCTCAACAATGTTGCATTAGGGATTAAATTTCCAACACATGAACTTTGAGAGACACATTCAAACCATAGCAATCACCATATTTTAAATTTTTAATTGATATCTATTTTGTGGAAATTGCAAATTATCTGTCTTCATGTAGATATCTGTATTTATGAAACTCAAAATCTTTCATATTAATTCTTACCTTAATCATGTTCTTTGGAATTTTCTAACAATCTCTACTTAAGTTTCATAATTTGATTTTCAAGATTAGCCTTTGTGAATTCCAGTTGCTCCACATCTTTGCCAGCATTTAGTATTATTAATATTTTTCATTTTAGCTATTCTAATAAGAATTTGGTGGTTTATAATTTTGGTTTTAATTATTTATATTTTCCTAATGACAAATGACATTGAGCGTATTTTCATGTGTTCATTTGTCATCTATATATCTTCTTCAGTGAAGTGTCTGTTCAAATCTTTTGTTCATTTCTTTACATATTGTTGAATTTTAAGTGTTCTTGATATCATCTGGGTGTAGGTCCTTTATCAGATATATGGCTTGCAAATATTTTCTCCCTGCTGGGGCTTATCTTTACATTCTCCTAACAGGGTTTTTCATTGAGCCTAAGTTTTTAATATTGATAGAGCCCAACTTATAGGTTTTATGGATCATACTTTTGGTGTCACATCTAAAAAACCTCTGACAAACCCAATATGACAATACAAACATCATATAGATTTTTTCCTATGTTTTCTTAAAGTTTTATTTTTTAATATTTTACGTTTAGGTCCATGATCTCCTCTGAGTTAATTTTTGTATCAGGAATAAATAAGGTAGGTATTGAGATTCCCTTTTGTCATGTGAGTATTTAAGTGTTCCAGCAACAATTATTGAAAAGACTATCCTTTCTCCATCTAATTGCTTTCACGCCATTGTTAAAAATCAGTTGGTATATGTTTATGGGTCTATATATGGGCTAGCTATTCTCTTCCATTGATCTACCCATTTGTCAATACCACATTGTCTTCATTACTGTAGTTCATAGTATATCTTGAAATTAGGTAATGTGAGTCCTCTTTGTTTTTGTTTTTTTTTTCCAGGATAATTTTGGCTATTCTACTTCCTTTTTCTTTCCACATAAATTTTAAAATGTTTATAAACATCTATAAAATATGCTTCCTTGGATTTTCAATGGCAATGCCTAAATCTATGGGTCAAGTTGGGGGGAATTAAGATTTTGGAAATACTGAGTCTTTTAATCCATAAATATGGTATTTCTCTTTATTTAGATCTTTGAATAATTCGTTTAGTTTTGTGTAGATTTTAGCATACAGATCTTACTACACATGTTTTCTTAGATTCATATCTAAGCACTGTTTTTAATACCTTATGAGGGTATTTTTAAAATTTTAATTTCCAATTATGGACTGCTTGTGTATAAGAATATGATTAACTTTTGTGTATTGACCTTGTATCCTGCAACTTGTTGAATTCACTTATTAGATCTAGGGGCTCTTATGAAGATTCTTTGCAATTTTCTACTTACACAATCATTTAGTCTACAGATTAAAGCAATTTTATTTCTTCCTTTCTAATCTATATGCTTTTCTTTGCCTTGTTTTATTGCACAGCTAGTGAGCTAGTGCTTTCAGTGTAACATTGAATAGGAGTGGTGAGACAGGACAGTCTTCCAACTTTTCAATCTTAAGGAAAAACAGTCCCTCACCATGTCACCATGAGGCATAATATTAGTACAGATATTTTCAGAGATGCCCTTTATTAGATTAAGGGAGTTCTCTTCTTAGTTTGCTGAGAGCCTTTTTTTTAAATTTTTTTTTATTTTGGAGACAGAGTCTTGTGCTGTTGCCCAGGCTGGAGTGCTAGTGCAGTGGCACCATCTTGGCTCACTGCAACCTCCACCTCCCGGGTTCCAGCAATTCTCCTGCCTCAGCCTCCCAAGTAGCTGGGATTACAGATGCACGCCACCATGCCCAGCTAATTTTTGTGTTGTTAGTAGAGATGGGGTTTTACTATGTTGGCCAGGATGGTCTCAAACACCTACCTCAGGTGATCTACCCACCTCGGCCTCCCAAAGTGGCGGGAATACAGGCATGAGCCACAGCGCCCAGCCTCCTGAGAGCCTTTATCTACAATAGATTTGAATCGTGTTGAATGTTTTGTTCTGCATCTACTGAGATAATCATGTGTTTTTTTGGTTTACTAATATGGTGAATTACATTGAATATTGAACTTTTTGTATTTTGGGATGAACGTCACTTGTAATGATTTTTATGTATTTGTTTATATAATTATATATATAAATATACATAAATTTTTATATATTTTATATAAATATGGCCATGACAAATGGGGTTCATCCCAAAATACTGTACACACACACAAACACACACATGAATATATATACATTTATATATATACAGTGCTACATTTTAATGGGATTGAAAATTTTTATGTATGTTGATGATGATGTACTGCTATATAGTATAATTATCTGATTTTTACATTAAAGCAATGTATATTTTTCTCTTATTTCCTGGGAGAAACTATAAAAGATGAATTATGTCTTTCTTAAATTTTGGGTAGACTCTGGAACAGAAACCACCTGAGCCTGAAGTTTTTATTTTTGGAAGGTTTTTATCTATAGTGTCAATCTTTAGTAGATATAGTAATATAGGAACGCTTAAGTTACAACATACACACATATTTATTTTGCAAGTTTTGACAGTTTGGACATTTCAATGACTTGGCATTATTCTCTCCATTCTTAAATATATTTGTAGCATGCTCTTATTAGCTTTTGAGTATCTATGGAGTGAATAGTGATACCATCTCTCTCATTCCTAATGTTATTTTTTTGTCTTCTCTTTCTTTTTTTTTTTCTATGTCAGTCTGGTTAGAGGTTGTATTAGTCAGGATTCTCTAGAGGGACAGAACTAATAGGATAGATGTATATATGAAACAGAGTTTATTCAGGAGAATTGACTCACAGGATCACAAGGTAAAGCCCCATGATAGGCTGTGTACAAGTTGAGGAGCAAGGAAGCCAGTGGTGGATCAGTCTGAGTCCCAGAACCTCAAAAGTAGGGAAGCTGACAGTGTAGCCTTCAGTCTGTGGCCAAAGGCCCAAGAGCCCCTGGCAAACCACTGCTGTGAATCCAAGAGTCCAAAAGCTGAAGAACTTGCAGTCTGATGTTCGAGGGCAGGAAACATCCAGCATGGGAGAAAGATGTAGGCCAGAAGACTAAACCAGTCTAGTCTTTCCACGTTCTTCTTTTTGCTTTATTCTAGCCAGGCAGTTGCCAGCTGATTAGATGGTGCCCACACAGACTGAGGGTGGGTCTGCTTCTCCCAGTCCACTGACTCAAATGTTAATCTCCTTTAGCAACACCCTCATGGACACACCCAGGAACAATACTTTGGATCCTTAATTCCAATCAAGTTGACAATTAACCATCACAGAAGTTTATCCATTTTATTGATCTTTTCAAAGTATCAGATTTTGGTTTGAATGGTTTTTCTCACTTTTTTTCTGTTATCAACTTTATTGATTTCTGATATTACCTTTATTATAACTTTTCTTTCTTTCCTTTAGATTTAACTTGTTCTTGTGTTTTTTTTTTTCTCTTTAGGCCCTTAATGTGGAAGCTTAGGTTACTGAATCAAGATGTTTCTTCCTTTATAATATAAATATTTAACATAAAGTTTCCCTGTAAGCACTGCCTTAGCTGCATTCCACAAATTTTAATACGGTTTCATCTTCATTTAGTTAATTTCCTTTGAGACTTACTCTTTGACCTTTGGGTTACTTAGAAGTGTATGGTTTAAAATCCAATTGTTTGAGGATTTTTCAAATATCTTTCTATTGGTTTATATTTTAATTCCATTGTGGTCTAAGAACATATGCTATATGATATCTCTTTTTAAAAAGTTTATAAGGTTTGTGTTACATATGTATCTTGGTGAATGTCTCCTGCCATACCCACCAGGGCTGCTATATAAGGAAATGTTGTTTACTTTTCCATTTTATTTTAAATTCCCATGACCTTTTTTGAGTTGTGGGGTGCCTTAAACTTTTTTGAGTTGTAGAATGCCTTAAACCATATTATAAACATCTTGGGACTAAGAAAAATCATTAGGTTCAGGACACAAGAAAAAAGTTGACACTACAGAAACAATGTTGAAGTCCCTGTTTTGCGCCTTATGTATGCGCAATAAAGCAAGTGCAAAACACATCAAAATACCCTATTACATCCTCTTATCCTTGGGCATTTAACATTCACAGGGTCTAGTAGAATGACAAGCATTAGCTAAGTTCCTGTGTACAGTTATTTAAAGCCATTTTCCAACTTGTGTTAAAGAAGAAAAATTAAAATAATGTTTTACTATCAAATAACTCATAATAGGAAACAAGTATACTTCACAAATAAAAACATGGATAGAAAGGAGAAAATTAAGCAGAGAAAAAAATGAACACTTCCTGAATGAGGTAAATCTTCTGAAGCAAATTAAATACATATCTTTATTAAATATTCTTCTATATATCTATGATTATAGATAAATGTAGTTGATAAATCTAAATTGCATATTTTATCAGATTTTTGCTTCTATTTCTAGAAAATAATTAACTGCTTGCTTTCATTTCATAAATGTATATATTATCTTTATTTTTGGAGAAATATCAAGCCGTCTGGAAACTATTAAATGTCGAATGAAAAATTATTATTAAATTACACTTGATATTGTTGATGACTTCATTTATTTTTACAGTTTTATCTGAGAACAGAAGAGTTTGCTGTATTTATAAGTCTCTTGGCTTGACAATTTGTGTTCTGTGTATGTTCTGGACCACTAGGAAATGATGTCTGTACTTTTACTAAATTCATATATCATTTAAAATTCTCCCTATACATGTCCAGTGTCAGTCACTATGTTTCCAAAAGGGTATCATCCTTATATTCAAGTTCGAAATACACTGAATCCTATTTTTCTGTTAGCAACATATCACTTGTATTATAAGGAAAAGAGAAAATACTGTATTTGGTTTGTCCCTTAGCTCATTTCAATTTCCCTTCACCATATGTTATACTTTTGCAGCAAATATGTACCTGCTGTCTCACAGAGCTGCATTCCAAAGGAACACAGAAGACATCCTATACCTGATTGTCCTCAAATTCAAGTCCTTGTTCTTGACCAATTATGTATAGTTTTATTTGCTATGCTCTGAATTACCTTTCACTAAGACACTTATAATGATCTTTTCCCTCATCACTTTCTCTCATTACATGGTGATATCACTGAGGCAAGAGAATAGTACAGACAAAAACGTTGTTTGCATACTATCAAGGTTAATCTATTATGTCAGCACTAGGCTTTGCAGCAGACTTTCAGGTGGGCTTCCAGTTGGCACATTTGTTATAGAGCAGAAAAAGTTGACATGTGCAGCTATAACATTTCTTCTATAAATGCAGTTCTACTTCCAAGTGAGTTCACTCCACATCTCCCTTCAACATGGACCAAGGGGCTTTGCCTGCCACTACAATCTTTGGTGAGAGAGTGTAGTTGGATTAGTATATTAAGACAACATTTTCACTTTCGGAAAAGCAGTACTACCTTCTTTCAGCATCTTCAGGTGAGAACACCAAAAAAAAAAAAGTATGACATTGGCTAAGTTAGTTATAATTTCAGCTTTACAATTTTCTTCTTGGGATACAAATAAGGGTATTTGGCAACCAAAAATATTCCTCTTTTTCCAATGCTGAGAAGAAGAGACTGTCATTCAGAGATGCCAAGGTCCTATCAAAGATTCCTTGACTACTTAAAAGAAAAAGCTGACTTAAAAAAATAAACTACGTCCATGGTGACAGTACTTCTCAACCTTTTTTTCCATTTAGTTGCCTTTATTAATAAGTTGAATGTACATACAAAAAGATTTTCATAAGTTAATTTTATATTGATGCTAATTTCTTTTAGATAGGGAAATACATTACTTTGAAAGTTACATGTAACTAGAGTTGCCAGATTTTGCAAATAAAATGCAGGGCAACCAGTTAAATTTGAATTTCAGGTAAACAAGGAGGAATTTTTTAGTATATGTCTCAAAAATTGCATGATATGCTTTATTTTAAGGTAAGTACTAATTTTACTTTAAGGTATTATTTTAAGATAAGTACTAATTTTCATTGGAATTAAATAGAGCTCCTATATTAGGACCAGAAGATTTAGAAGCAGGAAATAAGAGCAAAAGTTGGAAAAAATGTCTTGACTAGAAGGAACTTTTAACAGAGCTTTCCTACCTATAGTACTGACAAGAAAAAGGCAGTTAAGTCAACCAACACCATTTGGAGAGGGCCATAACCCTTGTGTCAAGTGATGCTGAATCTATGCCTCTCTTTGGTGAAACATTTAGTGCCTTGCTATATTCTGAGGTTGGTTTTAGACAACTTTTTTGGGTGAGTGGAGAGACAAGGTCTCTGTTGCCCAGGTGGTGCAATCATAGCTCACCATATCTTCAAATTTCTGGGCTAAAGCAATCCTCCCACATCAACCTCTCAAAGAGCTGGGATTACAGGTGTGAGCCACCACACCTGGTCACAACTTACTGATTTAAGAGAACTTGAGGTATGATATAAAAGTATATGAGCAAACTTTAAAAATTCTCTGGCCTTATTTATGACCTTCAAAAGCCAGAAAGACCCAGGTATGACACCAGGAAGAAATCTAGTGTCACAGAAAAGGAATCCATGAGGCACAAGACATCGTTAGCTACCTTATGCAAAGTTCCATAACTGCTGAATGTGCCTTCAGGGCCAGCTGGTTGATTGGGCAATTTAGAAGAATGAGGAACAAAATAGGTACCATTCAGCACAGAGGACTTGGAAATGTGGGAGCTATGATTGTAATATTTACCTTGAGAGACATAAATGGGTATGTCATCCCCACACACTCTTTGATCACTAGTGCAGTACATCATGCTTGGTTTCTGCTAGTGCACTCACTTATTGCAAGATGGTAATTGATTAATAAAATCTTAATTTACAAGACATTGGTTTTTCAATAGAGTCATTCTTTCCTAAAAGAGGAGAAGGCTGTCATTGTCCCTGAAGTGGGAATTATTCAACTGAGTTCACCTAGTTCTCCTTAGATAAATCTTGCCCAAAGCTAGAAATAGGACTATGAAAGCTAAGTCAAGGTGCTCAATGAAAGAGAGCCTGCAGTCCTTGCATAAAAGTGGCAATGAAAGCAAGGAGTATGAAATAAAGTAACGTTACTGTGGTGGTGCTTTATTCTTTGCAACCTGATTCTGCCTCATGCCAAAACCTATGCTCTTTTTTGGGCACTGTGTCATCAATTATTCATTCATTCATCAATTAACTTATTCATTTAGCAATAGCATACAAGATAGTCTAATTTTCACCTAGCATGAAGCATGCACACACATACCGTTACACACACACATCCTTTGACTTTTATCCTTCTACTTCGTGGTAATAGCCATTTGTTGAAATAACATATATAAGCATCATAGTGCCTAATATCAAGATTTACTAGCATGGCTGTGTCATGAGCAGGTACTCTTTATTAGTGGCACAATTTGGACAGGGGTTGAGGAATACTGGTGAAAGGTGACTTCCACTGCTCCCAGCTTCATGCTACCAATGAATGGTATTAGTTCTTTGCCTATGAGTGTGGCCGTGATTTGCTGTGATGTGTTAACTTTGCTTAGCCTAAAGGACATTTGAGGTAGATAACACCTAATTTCATCCATTGCTAATTTATTCTGCCACATGGGACCATACATTATACTGATTCTAACAGGAAGACTGAATTTGGATTAAGAATAATAATGTTTTGGTGGTACACGGCATCATAGTGGCAGAAGAAAGGGTAGAACCAACTAATTTGTTTTTTTTGTTTTGTTTTGTTTTTTGCCTTCCTTCCCAAATATAGGAGTGGGAAATAGCTTTTATCCTACTTACTATATTTGTTTAGTAGGACTGCCATAACAAAGTATCAGAAACGGAGTGGTTTAAACAACAGTAATTGATTGTTTCAGGGTTCTAGAGGCTGGAAGTCCAAGGGTAAGATGTCAGCCATTGGGGTTGGTTTCCTCTGAGGGCTGTGAGGGAAGATCTGTTGCTTCCTTCTCTCTTGGCTTCTGGTGGTTTGCCGGAAGGCTTTTACACTTCTTGGCTTGTGAATCTCTACCTTCATCTTTACATGATATTCGCCCTGTGTTCATATCTGTCTCCAAATTTCCCCTTTTTATAAGGAATCCAGCCATATTGGATTAAAGCTCACCCTAATGACCTCATTTTACCTTGATTACCACTGCAAAGATCATATCTTCAAATAAAGTAAGATCCTGAGGTATTGGGGATAAGGACTTCAACATACGATTTGGGGGGAAACACAGTTTAGCCCACGACATCTGCCAAAGCTGGCTGGTTGTAGGTACAGCATTCTCAGAGCACTGTGTGGAGAAGACCTCACTGGCTATACCTGGCACAAGCAAAGCAGAATGTGGTGCTTGACTGATGATGTCTACCATGGGACAGATTGAGTTGTTTTGATGTATGCAATGTATGTGGTGCTTGATTGGTGATGTCCAGCATAAGACAGATGAAGTTGCTTTGATGTCTGTGACACTACTGGTTGTCCCAGCCCTAGTGAAAGAGAGGTAGTAAAGGTATTAACATGGTAAGTTAATCAAATTATCATAATTTATTTTTATCTATATTAGATGTCACTTATTCTTAATGTGTAACAAATATGAGCTTGGATTCTCGATTCCAGGACTGTATAGCAGAGATATAAAACCAGGTTTATAAAGGAGAAAGAAAGATTGTCTCTCTTGGTGTTAGGATACAAATGGACTTTGGAAATAGACACACCTGTGAATCCTGCTGCTGTCATTTACTAGTTCTATGATCTCTGGAAAATTATTTTACCTCGGAGACTCACCTATAAAAGGAGACTAACATGAAGTAGCTGATTCAACAGCACAACCCACTTGAAGCTCTAGCACGCATGCAGGCTGCTCATGTGATGATCAATGCACAGGAATGGTTAGACTGCTAATTTCACCCCACAAGAACGCCCTGAGTTCCAGCGCTGTAAGTGTTGCCTATTCTGCCGACTGTGCACATCATGCTGTAACAGTCACTTATTTTCTTGTCTGTCTCTGTCCTCTTCATTAGAAAACACACACATATAATCCATAACAGGAATTCATAGGTGCTCAATAAATGAGATTGGTGAATATTCACAGAAACAATGTCACTCCCTAAAGCAAATAAATAAACAGACAAACAAATAAATGGAGCTCTACAGACCTCTTAAGAGAGATGCCACTCAAGAGTAAGTTGAAGTTGGACTTTTCTTAGATAATCTGTTGCAATGACCATTGTCTAGAAGCCTAAGAGAGCAGCAAGAAGCAACTGTAAAAGAAAAGTCAGCAGGATAAACGGTGCACAAAGGAAGAAACAAGCACTGAATAACGAGAGCTGGTTTGATGGAGAACAGATCTAACAAAGAATGACGGCTGTGCCTGGAGGAATCATCTAGGAGGCTGTTCAACGCAAGGCAAAGACAACTACAAGGGGTGAAAGCACATCAGGCAGAAGTGAGTACCTTCCACCATAGGACACACTGATGATGATTTTCCCTGCATGACTGGGTGGACACAACCTGGGACACTTCCTAAAAAGGTACACACAAAACATTAAAATAGGTTCAATCTGGGGATTTTCCTTCCTTGTCCAGAATCGGAAGGATAAGTGCTTTGACAGTAAAGGTGAGGGAGCAGGGAAGATTCAGGACAACCTCATGCACAAGAGAATTTCGGATTGGCAGCATCCCAACCCTTCAATCACTCAAGATCTGGTCAACTTTTTCTTTACTAAAATCCTTGGTTAATGCCACTGATTTATGACGTATCCCCTCTACTGAACGCGAAGAAACATGTGACGCTGGAATGTCTGATGGGAAGTTCAGCCAGTGCATCTCTTTACCATGCCCTGATTTCCCTTGTGTTTTTGTAGAGGTTGGAGGGAATGACACTCTGTATGTTTAGGGCAGAGTCTTCTGCTAAAGGTCAGGTTTTTAATTTCACAGTGTTCAGCCTGGCTGCTCTGCTGTGTAAACTTTGACTAAATACAGTGTATGTTGTTATTGTTGAAAATGTATTGCTCATGGATATATAATGCAGAAAATTCCCGTGTAAATTTCTCTACAGCTTGAAGTGTTGAAACTGTAGCCAGTTTATCAAAAACACAGCTGCCTTCCTTGGGGTTTCCAAAGGCTCATAACAATTTTTTTCCTTATGAACTTGTGAGAACACCCTGAGGAAAACAGCTGCGTTATTGCAGAGATGAAGAAATCTCAGATGAGTGTGAAGTATTGTAATTTAAATAAGAGCGCTATTTTCAGGCCTTTTCATTTTTAAGATCATTTCATTATTTTATTTTCCCCTAAATAAGTTATCCAGGAAAATAAGAGAGCAATTACTCCAGGGACTGCAGGCACTATAGCAGGCAAATTAAGGGTTTTAATTGAGAATATCAAATGTTGTACTACATGATTAATAGAGACGTGACACCAGTATTTACATATGTGAAATATTTACTATATTCATTTTGTTCTGTTTAAATTTGGAGCTAAAAGCAAATGAAAAATAACAGATTTTGTTGATTTTAAAATTGTCTTCAAATGTGGTGTCTGTTTCAGCCATTCACGTGATGCATGACAAATGTTAAATTTTCCTTATACTACTGTTTGTAAACCATACAAATTTTATAAACAAATATTGTATAAGTATACTGCTGTTCACAGAATACAATAAGAAAGATGCTTTCATGTTTAGAAACTTAAGAAACTTTATCTCAAATTGAGTCATCTATTGAATATGACTTATTCAGATCTCCCAGAAAAATTTAGTTGAACTATCTGTGTCTAATAAGAGTGCTCTGAAAAATATGTATTTTTTATGTTGCATGTCCCTTTAGATTACAAATTTACGTGCTTGTATTTATACCTTGAACCTTAATAAGTTAATTCATTCAAGTTATCATGTAATAAATATTTGGGGTATCAATGACAAAAACCCAACTCAAACTGGCTCAATTTTTTAAAAGGTATGTTTTCATGTAACTAAAAACTTTTATGTATAAATGTGGCTTGAGAAATTTTGAATCCAGTTATCAAAAATTATCATCAAATTCTTCCCTAGATCTCTCCCTCTCTCTCTCATTCTCTCTCCCTCTCTTCCTCTCAGCCTCTCTTGCACTCTTGCTTTCATTTATTCTTCTATATTTGTTTTGGCCTCTTTCCTCCTGCAAACAAATTCTTCCAAATGATTATGGTTAAGAAAGCCACAGGCAACTTCTGTATAAATTTTTTTTAATCACGAAGAAGGAGGCTCTATCTTCTTTGCAGCTTCTATATATCAAATCTCAAATATCTGACAAGTGTCTAATTGGCTTTCCTTGAGGCAGATATCAACACTTCACCAATTACCATATTCAGCTAGCTGGGTTACTCTGTTTAGCCAGATTTCTACCTGTGTCTTCACCTGTGGCTGGGTAGAGAATTGGGAAGGAACGGCCATGCTCCTCTTTACCATATAAAGTGAGGGAAAGAAGAATCAAGAAAAAGAGGAGGAGAAAGAGGTGCTGGAAAGAAAAAAAGTTGTTTGCTATAACTGATAAATGATGATGCTGTGATGATTATTTAAAAAATTGGAATAGGAAGAATAGAAGAAAGGGAAGGAAATGATGAAGAGGAAGAAGAAAAGGGGGAGGAAAAGGGAAAGAAGGAGAAGGAGGAAGACAGAGAGGAAGAAGTAATAAGAAGGAGTGAGAATAATTTTTGCTGATATATTTCCAATTTGTCTAATCACTGACATTCAGAAGCACATCTGAAAAGCAAGCCCATATCAATAGAAAAAGATAGATGTTGAAAAATCTGGTTTTTGAATGACTAAGGCTCACACTTATGCTGAATCAGTGGCTTTGCAGCCATGCCTGCCCGTGGGGGCATTTTTTTTCACTCTCCTTACGGTCATGGAATGAATGCTTCACCATCAGAGGGACTGAATGTTTTTTTCTTGACTTAGTTACATTTACCCAAATATAACTCTATTAAAACAATCTTAAAACCCCAGAGTTTTTACTGGAAAACATTGCACTGTTTAAAATACAGAAGTCCCCATCTCATTATCATTTTTCTCTCCTTTCTCATCATCATCATCACCTCTAACATCTATTGAATGCTTACTAAGTGCTAGATGCTGTACTTGGCACTATGCTTGCATTATCTCATTTAATCCTGAAAATAATCCTATGCTATAAGTAGTATCTTTCTGCATTTACAGATAAGGAAACTGAAGTTTAGTAAAGTCAGTTAAACAATTTCATGGCTTAATGTGGAACAAATACCTTCAAAAAAATCTTTCCCCAAGAAAAACAAAGTAACAAACCAAGCAAAAGACAAACAAAAACTTTCCAGGGATATTTTGAACATTTTTTAGATCCAGTACATGAAAAAGAATTTACATATACCTTTATTCACATCTGTTTCTGATATTGTGGTAACTTCATTCAGCTTCTTGAACTTCTTTTTCTAAATGTTCTTATTATGATCTATTCTCTACTTTCTGTTCCGTAACCTACAAAATTATGCTGTCTTCTAAAACTACAGAGAGAGGAAAACCTTTATTCTCTAAAACTAGTCCAATGTTCAGGGAATCTTATGACTTCTGTGAAAACATGGTCCAGGCTGTACAAAGATTTAATGAAAATGTATAGAATTTAAATCCAAAAGAATCTGTTATTACAGATAAGGAAGTTGAGACATAGAGAGTTAAGGTGACTTGTCAAAGATAGTGCATGTACTAAATTGAACTACCTGACCTCCTGGCCCCCCATTTTCTGCTATTTATTTTCTTTGTTAATTATTCATACTTATAAAATAGTGTATAAAGCATTATTGTATATTTTAAATAATAATAGAATTAGCATCCATTTACTCACCACCTATCTAGGTTAATAAATAGCCCCTTGTGTATCACTCCTCGATAACATTTTCCACAGTACTCCTCAAAGACAATCATTATTCTGAGTTTTAGATTATTTGATATCATAATTTTACCCTGTATATAAATCTGCAAATATTGTTTAGCATTGAATGTCTCTGTGTATGTGTATGTACACAAATATGTAGTATCTTTCCCCACTTTACATATGTATATATATATATGTGTGTGTGTATATATATTTGTGTGTGTGTATAGGTATGGAAGGGCACCACATGCTATCTTCTGTGACATTATTCTTTACTTGAACATTATACTTCAGAGCTTTATTCATATTGATGCACATAGCATTTATTAGGACAGGGGCTAAGCTACTATAACAAAAAAAAAATGCAGTGGCTTAAACAAGACAAGTTAATTTCCCTTTCAGGTAAGATTTTTTTAGACAGCATTGCAAGCCAGGGTATGGCTTTACTCTACATGGTCATACAGGACTCAGGATCACCCATCTGGTTGCCATGGCACCCCCTAGAGCTATGACCACAACTGTCTGCTCAAAGCTGGGTTCGTTCTAGGCATGGTCATATTTCATCCCAGAAAAGAGAAAAGAAAAAGTCTAGACCAAGAAATGCTAAGATCTCATTGTAAAAGCAAAGTTAAAGTAAAGCGTATCACATTTACAAACATTTACTTGGCAGAAACTTAGTTATAGAGAAGGGCCTAGCTTCACTGGAGGCTGGGAAAATCATTTCTAGCTGACAGAGCTGACATGTGCCAGGAAGAAGAAAAGAACAGGTTTGGGGGAATGGTTTGTTCATTTTCACTCCTATACAGTATTCCAATATATACATAACCACTATTTGTATATCCCTATGATATTTGAATGAATGAATGAATTAATTAATTTTTATTTAATTTTTTTGAGAAGGAGTCTCACTCTGTTGCCCAGGCTGGAGTGCAATGGCACAATCTCAGCTCACTGCAATCTCCACCTCCCAGGTTCAAGCAATTCTCCTGCCTCAGCCTCCTGAGTAGCTGGGACTACAGGCACACTCAACCATTCCTGGCTAATTTTTGTATTTTTACTAGAGATGGGGTTTCACCACGTTGGCCAGGCTGGTCTCGAACTCCTGACCTCAGGTGATCCGCCCATCTCTGCCTCCCAAAGTGCTGGGATCACAGGCATGAGCCACTGCACCCGGCCCAAATTTATTTTTTCATGCTGCTTCATGCTGTCCCTTTGAACCTGCTTCCCCTGTTCTTCATTGCCTTCTCTCAAAATTATTGAGGGGTTTTTGTCATTTTTGTTTTGCTTCTTTTTTCATTTTCTAATTCAATTTCCCTCTTTCTGCTATCACTGGTTTGGAAGTTATATGTCCTCTGCCTAATAATCTAATGCTATTTTAACACAAATATTGATCAAGGTCCAAAGATGATCATTTATTTTACCCTTCTCCTGAAATTAGAAAGACTTTAGTTGCTTTAGACTTATATACTATCGTACTTTAATAATTTAGTACTAAACATCTTTTATCTAAAAAATGAAATATTATGTTTCATTGCTTTAAGGAATTGACAATGTTTAGCTGCACGCAGCTATTTACCAATTTCCAAGTCCATCATTCCTTCTTACCTCTCAGACTTTCTGCCTTAGATCCTTTTTTTCTACATGAAATATATTCTGCATAATATCCCTTAGAAATGGTATTTAGGTTGTAAACTGTCTCAGATCATGTTTGACATGTCTTTGTTTCACCCTAATTTTGGAAAGATAGCTTCACTGGGTAAAGAATTTTATAAGCAGAGGAGTTTTTCTTTCCACAGTGTCTTCTGTCTTCCCTTAATGTCATGGAGAAATCAGTTGCCCACCTAATCTCTTTGCAGTTTGATCTTTCTCTTTAGCTGCTTTTAAGATTCTTTCTCTTTGGGCTCTTCAGTGTCTGGTGTTTGCATGTGGACTTCTTTTTTTTCCCTTGGAGTGGGGGTGGGGTACAGTGAGCTTCCTATATCTTAAGTCGGTATCTTTTAGCATATGAAGCCATTATATGTTATCAAGCTATTAGATATTAAAATGTTTTCTCTGTTCCGTTCTATACATTCTTTCTGAAATTTCATTCAGGCAAATATTAATCTTTCTCACTCTATCATACCTCTTATGATCTCTTTCACATCTTTTCATGTTTCATCTGTCTAGACTGCTTTTTGGACAAATTAATCTGGATCTATCTTGCAACACACTAATTCTTTACCTATGTCTAAGTTGTTTATTTCATCCATCAAAGTTTTAATGTTAATTACTATTGTACTTTTAATTTCTAGACGTTCTATTTGGTTCTTATTGAAATCTGTTTATTCATTTCTTAATGTCTAATATTTTCTATGCATGCCTTCAATCTCTATTCAAACATATTAAACATATTTATATTTCATATCCACTAATTCTGGCAATTGAACACCTTACAAGTTTTTACAAAATCAAGACACCTCCAATATTGAAGTCTTGGTTTTGCTATCTCATTTCTGCTGGTTCTCACTGATGGAGGGGTGTGTGTGTGTGTGTGTGTGTGTGTGTGTGTGTGTGTGTGTACTAGCTTTTTGATGCTAAATGTGGGAAGCACCTTTTCCTTATAAATTTTTCAATGGGAATATCTTGAGGTCTAGGTTAAAACAGAATTAATCCGGGGGGAATTTGAGTTTGCTTGCCATTTCTCTTACTGTAGAATAAGAAAGGGAAAATAAACTTGGGAGACTACTAGCTCAAGACTATGTTAAAATAAATTAGCTATTTATTTTAGATTATACAGGTAACATAATGTTTGACCAAAAAACTGCATGAAGACTGGCTTTTAGCTATGCATTCTTGGTGACATTATTTTCCCCCCACAAAGAGCCATGTTTCAGAAGGGCAAGTTTCTTTGCTATGTTTGTCTGAATGACAGGTTTTATTTTTTTATTCATACTTGAGCCTTATTCAGAAATTTCCTTTTAAATTCCCTCACTTTAGTGGGCTTAAAATTTAATTTCTGTACCCTTGTACCCACCTCCAACCCCATAAAGCAATCAAAGTTGAAATTTCAGAGTTCCCAGGGTTCAACAGAGACCTTTAAGGTAAAAGCCAGCTTTGGTGCCTATTTATATCCCAGGATTCTACTTTCTCCTTGTATTTAGAGTATATACATTTGGTTATTTCAATGACTGCTCATAGATATGTGTTTTTCATATTTTACATGGCTACCCAGGGCTAGGACTATGGCTAGTATTTTAAAGTATTTAAGTTCTTCAAGATATTTAACTTGTAGTGCTAGAGATATAAGCTGAGTCTATTATTTCCTTTCCAAGATGCCTCTGAGGTTAAAACTTTACATTTAGAAAACGTGTTCTTAAAAAACAGGAAGAATCAAAGCACTTTCCTGAGGAAACACAAAAATAAAACAAAAATACGCTGTTTTCTATTTAACTCATTTTTTACCCCTCATCTTGCTATGCTTTCACGTAGCTAAAGGTACATCTGTAAAATACAAACTGTACTTCCTGAACACAAAGATAGAAAGACAGCTCTGTGCTAAGAGTGCATTCAGGATACTTCGTCACCTGTGGCAAATAAAGTCAGATACATTGATTATTCCAAACTTTTTGAAGCATTCAGAAGATGTACAGCACTAATCAAATTATTTTGCTAATCCTTTCTTAATCTCTCACATTTTCCATATCTTTGTGTGTTTGGACCACATTATCTGAAAAAATGCCATTACATTTACCTAAATTGTTAATTAATTTCCTAATGATCAATGGGACACATGTTAAATGTATAATCGAGTGCTCATAATCACCATAATAATTTGATGTGTCCATTGTAGCTTCATTATGTTTTATATTCCCGTGAAATCCACGATGCCCAGTGTTACTCAGACCCCTTGGATCTAAGAAAGATTGTCTAGAATCCTCATGTCTTCGTCCTACAAAGACTCCAATGCCTTGCCCAAGTGCCAGTAATTAGAAAAAATAAAATTGATGTTATCTCCTTTCTTAGATCATCTCTTCACTACTACCTTCTTTCCCATAGTGATCTTGGTGAGAAAAGGCCACACATCTTTCAACTAGGTCATTGAGGAGTCCCTTCTTCTCAGGCCCCCTAATGGTATGAAACAGTGAAACATCTGTTTCAAAGAGCTGAGCTAGGCATGGCCTGAGCCAGGGTTACACTTTCAAGGCTGACCTGGAACTAGAACCCAAATGCCTGTTCCTCATTTTTCTTTATCCGTTAACAAATGAGGCCTCTATAGTCCAATATTTCCTTTTGTAATAAAGATAAAGGAGGAGGAGAAAGAAAAGGAGGGGATAAAAGCAGCAGTTATGATGATACTCCAAATAAAACTGAGTTAATACCTGGGAATTTCCTGTCATGGGAAGTTGGTGAGCAAGTTTTTGTACCCCTTAAAACTCAACAGATAGGCAGTTACTGCTGCTTCCTTTCTTACCTAGGGCAGATTCCAAGGAAGGAGAGAGGAGAGAAATGCTTGTTGCCTGGTTGCCACAGTTTATAGTAGCCTATTTTTTAACCCAGGTAGAGCATAGTCTATACATTCCATTTTACTTTCTGCTAAGTCAGTGAGTGGCCTTAGTAAGTGGAATTCGATGAACCTGTCCAATGTTAGCAATATCTGTTTGGGAAGACATAATACCAACATCTTTTGTAAAATCTGGCCCCAGCCTTCCACTTCTATCTGACATTGCTCAGTCTCAGCTCCCTACATCCTAGTCAAAATGAAACCACACACATTTATTTGCTTAGCTTAGAACACTTTCTCCTTGGCTGCCACCTTTGCTAGAAAAGCCAAGAACTAACATCACTTGGCTTTATGAGTTGATAAGATATGACAAATGAGTGGGCCATGAAAAAGGTGGCATTTACATGGCAAGTATAACCCGTACTTACTGAATTTATTGACACTTAATTGGAATCTCCTATGGCATATATAGCTATCTACTTGTGTAATCATTAAGTTATCTCATATCTCTTCTACTAGACTACATAGAATAAAAGGGTCTAAAATATGGGCACTGTCTGAGAAATCTGCTACTGAGGCATACATTTCTAGGTAGCAATGGATGACTAGTTCTACCTAGATGGATGAAGGCTTTGAGAGTTGGCTCATAATGGGAACTTCTCCTAGGCCCTGTGGTACACCCAAATTAATGTCTTTAGACTTTATGAACACAGTTTGCCCCATGTCTCATCTGATCTTTCCCATCACTTCAGTTACTTTTGGATTTTTAGCTGACAACATGGTTGCCCAGGGCTAGGATTACATATGCCAGCTTCCCTTGCATAATGTGTGTCATGTGACCACATTCTGACCAGTGGCCTGTGAGCAGAAAAGAGATGTGGGACATCTGCTTCGTGTCCTTAAAATCAAGGTATATGCCTCCCCCTTCCCCTTTACTCATTATAGTGTCTGGCATCCAGACATGTGCTGACCATAAATGAGGAAAATTATAAATGCACTTGGGCTGCTGAGGACTGGGTACTACAATGGAAATTCCATATCGGCCTGGATTTTAAGGAGAGCAATAAATTAATTTTCATTTGACTTAAGTTATTGTTAATTTAGTTTTTCTTGCTGTACCTGCTCTTGTATACTAGCCAATATTCTCAGGCCCTCTGAGACTGAGCTACAGATAGTTTTTCCTGAAACAGAACCCTGTGAGTATATGCATGGGAGTGTAGGGCTACTCTTGGGACCTCCATTTATTTCAGTGACTTTAATGTGACATTGTCACTCTGGAGCTTTGAGGAAAGTGGCCTTTCATCCTCCAACTAGTTCCAGAAGAAGTGAATTTTCTTATTATAAATCTTTGGTATTACATTACAAAAATCCATTTAAAAATAAACAGTGACCTTTGTGCTGTAATTCCTTTGGTTTGAAGCTATTAAGAATTCATTTATGATTAGAACACATTCAACAACTGGGGGAGAGCCACTAATGAATAGGAAGCTAAATTCTCAAACTGTGAAGATTCTGTTTGGGTGGATAACCACAGCTGTGATACTGAGGTTTTGTTTTATAATTATATCGAACTTCTTTAAGATTAAAATAATTCCAACTCCCATCTCCTTTCCCTTTCTCAAGTCTTTTTTTCCAACTTACATACTGAGTTTAGTGGCTAGCACACCTGTGATTCCAACCCCTCATTCTGGTCACATCCTTTGGGGACCTTGGGATGCCCATCCTGAAACATACAAGGAAAAAGAGGAAAACTCAGATGCTTTGTGTCACCCTCCAGCCACTTAGGATGGAAAGAAGACAATTTCTCTTTTTCTGGTACCAAGGCCAAAAGAAGGGAAGTGGCCCAGCTCTATAAGGAGGCAGAGCAGCCCCTGGACCCAAACCAGTAAGGCTTCAGATCATGGCTCATGCATATACCGGCCACACCCACTATGGATGTGATGGGCTAGGTCTTTGGTAAATTGGGTGGTGTGGAGGGGTAAGGAAGGGTTCTCCCAGGGCCTTGCAAACCAGCTTTGCCCATCACATGATGTGCTAAAAATTGAAGTCTAGAATTTCTATTACATTAGGCTGGCCATCACCCTCACGCTTGACTCGAATATTATCCCAAATTGAACAAGCCCCAGAGCAAGCAATCCTCTGCTAGGAGTGTCGTGATAATATTTAATAAAAGCTCAGATTTGCTGAGTGGTTCCAACGTGCCAGGCAGTTTATATACATCATTTCTGCTAATCCTCAGAACAAATCCCCTGAGATGAACATCATTCCTTTTCCTGGTTCACAAGGGAAGACCTGAGGGTGAGAGAAAGTAAGTAACTTTAAGCACCTTTCCCAAGATCTAATGAGTGGCAGAGCCTATATTTGACCCAAATCATCTGTCATCAATCTGTGAACAGACTCTTAGACACTACACTGTCTAGCATAGTACATTTACTTAACCAATGTTTATAGAAGGCCCATATGTGCTGAGCACTCTGCTGAGCACTTTTGCATATCCTCTCATTTTCTTATATTCATAACCAAGACTAGGATTTGACCCATTTATAGATGAGGAAACTGAGGCAGAGATAAATTATTATTGCTTTCGCTGTCCAGGAAGTGAATAGTGGCTGGGTTTTGAGCCCGAGTTAAGACCTGGAAGAGAAAAGATTATGTGCTGAGGCTTACGGCATCCATAGGCACAGAGTCCAAAGCAGTGAAAAGCTGCTAGTCACTATTTGCAGCAGATAGAAATACAGTCATGAATCCTTTAATGATGGGTATATGTTCTGAGAAATGCATTATTAGGCGATTTTGTTGTCACGTGAACATCATTGAGTGTACTTACACAAACCTAGATGGTATAGCCTGCTACACACCTAGGCTATGTGGTATAGCCTGTAGCTCCTAGGATACCAACCTGTACAGCATGTTACTGTACTAAATATTGTAGGAAATTGCAATGCAATGGTAAATATTTGTATATCTAGACATATCTAAACATAGAACAAGTGCAGTAAAATATGATGTTATAATCTTATGGGACCACTGGCCTATAAGACATCCATTGTTGACCAAAATGTCCTTATGCGGTGCATAACTGTGCACATGCACCAGAATGAAATGGATCCCCCAAAGTTGACCAGGAGGATACTGGAGGGATAAGGACACAGTTTCTGGCATTTGGGAAGTGACTTACTTTTAATAGGTTCATGATCATTTGTAATGGAATAAAATGATATTTTAAAGCACTTACTCTTTGCCAGGCCTTTTTCTTGTTGCTTTTCTCACTTGTGAGGTAGAAATTAGAATCCTCCTCATTTTACAGAGGCTTAGAAAGGACTGAGAACCTCATCCAATATCATTCAGCTCCCCTGTGGTGGTTCTGGGCTGGAGTCCACACCTGTTGGATTTGAAAGTCCTGCTCCTTATACCATTGTGCCATGCTGTCTTATTACAAGGGAAGATCTCAATCTGGGGGTGGGCTGGTAACTAGTGTAGAACTGCTTCCAGTGCAGTGACTTTATTTCTGTTAGCTTTTTGTTAGGTAACTAACATCCCCCTAAGTATCCAGGCAATTATCATAGACGCTGAGTGTCCCAATACCCTTATTCTTCCCAGATCTTGGCTTATCATCCTGCATATGATGTGTCTGACATCTTAATTCTAACCCTGCTCAAGTGGATGATGCATTTAACCTCACTCCTGCACAGTCAGTGATCAATTCTCACCTCTATCTTTACATCTCATCTTGGCCAAAGGCCCTACGGCTTGACAGGATCAACCACTACCTCCATCCCACTGTCATCTTCTGATTTAATCTCACCATCCTTCCTGAGAGAGCCTTTCATGTGGGACTTAAAATAGAGGTGGTTTGGCAGAATGGAAAAACCATAAACCAAAACTTGGCAGGCTGTTCCAAAAACTAAGAGTGAAAAAGACAGGGCTAAGACTAGCCAAACCAATTTCAAAGAACAATACAAAGGGAAAATCAGTGTAGTATAACATATCAAAAATCACAAGATTGTAAACAATGGGATAAAGAGACCAACAGCAAAGAAGAGAGATCAGACCCAGACCCACACACATATGGTGACTCCATAAATGACACAGTTGCATTCTGCATAATGAGAAGAGTAGCTAGTCACAACTAAAATAGCCAAGTTAGTGATCTATATGAAAATAGTAGATACCTATATTACATCATACACAAAAATAAAATCCAAATTGACTGAGATCCTTACTATAAATAGCAAAGCTTTAAAACTTTTTAGAAAAAATATGAGATCATCTTTCTGACATTGAGATATGAAAAAAAATCTTAAGATACTAAAAGTACAGGCCAGGTGCAGTGGCTCATGCCTGTAATCCCATCACTTTTGGAGGCCAAGGCGGGCGGATCATGAGATCAGGAGATTGAGACCGTCCTGGCTAACACAGTGAAACCCTGACTCTAATAAAAATACAGAAAATTAGCCTGGCATGGTGGCGGGTGCCTGTAGTCCCAGCTACTCAGGAGGCTGAGGCAGGAGAATGGCGTGAACCCAGGAGGCAGAGCTTGCAGTGAGCTGAGATCATGCCACTGCACTCCAGCCTGGGCAACAGAGCAAGACTCCATCTCCAAAAAAAAAAAAAAAAGATACTAAAAGTACAAACTCTGAAGAAGGAAATTATAAATCTAACTACATCAAAATTGAAAGCATCTATGAACAAAATGAAAAGACAAAGAAAAGACAAACTGGAAAGTCATTTGCAACCCACATAAAAAACAAAGAATTTATAATCGAAACATATAAAGAATTCCCATAAATCAATACAAAATAAATCAGTAGCCCAAGAAAGAAATTTGGCCAGTGAATAAGGTTAAATGAGCCACAGAAGAGGATACTTGGATGGCCACTAAATAGAAGAAAATATGCTCAATTTCATTAAGGAAATAAAAATTAAGATGAAAAGCCATTTATTTTATGCTCATCAAACTAGCAAAAAATTAAAAGTGTGAAAATTCCCAGTACTACAGAAGTGTGTGAAAATGAAAAGTCTCAAATATTGTCAATGGGATTATAAATTGAAATCTCCATTTAAAAAACAATTTACTGATATCTAGTAACATGTAGATGTATACTACCAAGCACCTTGTGATTTTCTTCTGAAGTATAACATAGATGAATGCTTGAAATAAGCTTAAGGAAACATATATGCAGACCATATCGGCAGCTTTTTGTGCAGTGGAAAAAAATTAGGAACAGAAATGTCTACCAATAGGACATACGGAATAACACTGAACAGTAGAGACAAATGAACCAAAGCTACAGGCATCAACAGAAATAAATCCTGAAACAAAATATTGGGTAGAAATGTCAACCACACAATACTACATTCCTTTTAAGTTAAAAGTTTCAAAGTAATACTATATGCGCTTTCGGATACAGGTAAACATAATAAAACTACTGACACCTGAATGGAAAGGAACAAACTAACTTCAGCATAGTAGTTATCTTTGCAGCAGGAAGAAGAAAAAAAATGGAATCAGGAAAGATGATATGGTTTGGCTCTGTGTCCCCACCCAAATCTCAACATGAATTGTAATCTCCACATGTCAAGGAGGGGACCCAGTGGGAGGTGATTAGATCATGGGGGCAGTTTCCCTCGTGCTGTTCTCATGATAGTGAGTTCTCATGAGATCTAATGGTTTAAAAGTAGCACTTCCTCCTTCACTCTCTCTCTCTCCTGCTACCATGTAAGACATGTTTACTTCCCCTTCACCTTTCGTCATGATTGTAAGTTTCCTGAGGTCTTCTCAGAGAGGCAGACTGTGAGTCAATTAAATGTCTTTGTTTATAAATTACCCAGTCTCAGGTATTTTTTATAGCTGTGTGAAAATGGACTAATACAGAAGGGCTAAAGGTGTCTTTAAATGTGTAGGTCTTT
Organism: Homo sapiens; assembly: GCF_000001405.40. Taxonomy (NCBI): domain Eukaryota; kingdom Metazoa; phylum Chordata; class Mammalia; order Primates; family Hominidae; genus Homo; species Homo sapiens. Next base: position 220,574,032 of record NC_000002.12, on the reverse strand, counting down.
CTTTCTTTCTTTTTTCTGTTTCTTTTTTTTTTTTTTTTTTTTTTTTTTTTGAGACTAAGTTTCCCTGTTGTTGCCCAGGTTGGAGTGCAATGGTGCCATTTGGCTCACCGCAACCTCTGCCTCCCAGGTTCAAGGGATTCTCCTGCCTCAGCCTCCTGAGTAGCTGGGATTACGGGCATGTGCCACCATGCCCGGCTAATTTTTTGTATTTTTTTTAGTAGAGATGGAGTTTCTCCACGTTGGTCAGGCTGGTCTCGAACTCCCAGCCTCAGGTGATCCGCCTGCCTTGGCATCCCAAAGTTCTGGGATTACAGGTGTAAGCCACCGCGCCTGGCTGTCTTTATTTCATAGGAAGATGCAAATATGGAAAATGGTAATATTTCTTAGATCTGGGTGGCTGATATTGGCAAATTATATATATATATATATATATGAGAGAGATAAATATTAGATAGATAGATAGATAGATCAATAAAATATTCTCTGGACAGGCTTTTGGGTCGCCAGTTCTGGGTTAGGATACTGGCTCTACTTCTTCCTGACTGTATATCCTAAGTAATTTATTTCATGAGAATGACCTCAGTTTCCTCTTTTTCAACAATATATACTTCAAAGGGCTAAAGATTAAAAGATGCATAGCATAAAAATATATAGCATATTAGTATAATACCTGGCACAGAGTAGACATCAATAAAATGCTACTATTTTTATTTCTTCAATAAATATCTACATTTTGTGTATTGCCAAGCTTGTAAAAGTAAATTACCTGGAGTCACATTATAATGTTTCATCAATAACTTTAATATCACGTGCAATAGAATTGACTGGCACTCTTTTGACAATTTATAGGTATGATTCCAAAAATGGCCTGAAGCAGTTCTCACCTGGAAACTCCTTTTAAAAAGTATTCTAAAGCAGTGATGGCCAATTGTGATGATGGAAATATTTTCTGTGCTGCCCAATACAGTAGCCGCTAGCCGTACATGTACTAAGTACTTGAAACGTGACTAATGAGATCAAGAAACTGAAGGTTCACAGATCTTCTTAATTTAAGTTTAAGTAACTGGGTCTTGTGGTTACCATATTGGAAAATGCAGGTTTAAAGTAATAAAATGCATTTTTTAACAAGTACATCCTGAGTATGCAGAACATTATGTTGGACAATGTAGGAGAAACATAGGGTAGTTTGTGCCCTCAAATTTATAATCCATAAAATGAAAAGAGACATACATGAAACATTTAAATGACAACAAGAGGCGGCAGTGACGGAGCTAGCAAGAGTGGAACCTAAGGCAAATATTGGTTAGCTCACCTGGGCAGCCACAATGAAGGAGGGCTCCCAGGCTATGGCAGCTGTACTCGGGACTCAAGAAACTAATACTCTTTGTAGGAATGAGCAGCAGAGGGAAGACACTCCTGACACCCAGCTCAGCTTAAACAGAACAAAGGCTGTAGTTGACTCACTGCTGGAAATGTGCCTGGTAAGGAAGATGTGCCGGTGAAGGAATTTGGACTTAATTTGGCTTTCCTTGTTCTGTCCACATCTCCAGCCTCATTTCTCATCAACATCCACCTCATGTCTTCTTTCCAGAAGCTATGAGCCACATTTACCTCATCTTGCATGGCCCATCTGCATGCATTAACTGATGTTGCCCCTTCTGCTTTGATCACCTCTTCCACGGCATTGTTTGGGTAACTTCTACTCGCCCTTTAAGATCCACATCAGGTATTGCTTTCTCTGAGAAGTTATCTTCTGACTTCCCTCTCCCACGCAGGGCATATTAAATGCCTCCACATTTCCAAAAGACCCCATGCTCATGTCTGGCATCAATCTTATTACACACTCTTATCATTAAGTCCATCCTCTCTGACTCTTCAAGAGCTCCTTGAAAGCAGGAATTATATTACACCATCAGATTCATTTCTGTTTATCCACAGCTCTTATTATATTCTATATGAATAAATAAATGACTTTGTCATATAAGAAGATTCCCCAGAGATTTTTGACTTGATCTTTGTGACATTTTAGAAAATATAATTTGTTAATCATATTTAGTGTGGATATACCTGCCTAAAACAAAGCACCAAGCACTTTTAGGATCAGTGATGACAAAGTATCAGGATATTTTGAAAATATTAACATGATTTTCTAATCTTTTTTCCTTTTTTTTTTTTTTGAGATGGAGTCTCACTGTGTTGCCCAGGTTGGAGTGCAGTGGCATAATCTCACCAAAAGCTCTGCCTCCTGGGTTCACGCCATTCTCCTGCCTCAGCCTCCTGAATAGCTGGGACTACAGGCACCCGCCACCATGCCTGGCTAATTTTTTTGTATTTTTAGTAGAGACAGGGTTTCACTGTGTTAACCAGGATGGTCTCGATCTCCTGACCTCGTGATCCGCCCACCTCGGCCTCCCAAAGTGCTGGGATTACAGGCGTGAGCCACCGCGCCCAGCCTCTATTTTTAATTTTTATATGACCTTTGCTAGCATGGCCTTCTCTCAGATAATCCACATAGCATGGTTTTCTTTCTTGTCATCTATCAAGTCTAGTTCAAATGTCACTCTTAATGTCCAGAAACTCACCTGCATCACTTATTCTCTCTTGCTTTATTTTCCTCCATACCACATATCAACACCTTGTATGTTTACTTTACTTACTCATTTGGTTTACTGATTGTCACTCTACACTAGAAAGACAGTTCCTCGGAAGCAGGAATTTATTGTTTTCTTTACCACTGTATTCCTAGCGTCTAGAATAGTATCTGATACATGGTCTCTGTGTGTGTAGGAGAGGGGGTATGTATGAAATAAATATCTACTTTTATGTTTGTCATTCAGAATAAGATTCTGCAGTAAGACAAAAGGCTCTGAAGCCAGGCTTTCTTGAAAAATATTTATCTAAAGGTTAAAGCAATTTTGCATAACCAGAACCAAACCTGGAGGACTCAGATCTTAAAGTGTTTTCCATAGTGTTGTAAGATATCCCTTCCATCCATGACAACCAGGTCATAAGATTGTTTGCCAAAACAGAAGGAAGATGTGCTACAGAACAATGGCAAGTCCAGCCAGCCTTTGGCAGTTCCTGGGTACTGAGTCCGTGAGGCAGGAGCGCAAGAGTCCAGACTTTGACTCAGAGATCAGGAGGAATTTTAGATAATTTAGCTAACAGACAAAAAAGTCAAAAGCAAAGAACTCTAGAACAGATTCTGGTAGAGATTACCACTACGTCATGTTGGTGAGGAGTAGGTGAGGGGAGAGGGTGACATCAAAGGCAATTAGCAACCCCAATATTATCATCAGAGGAATGGCCAGGGTCTAACTTTCTGGAGCCACTCTTGTTTCTGGTGTAGTGTGGGTGGGACCTGGGATCTTTTGCCAGCCTGTGAGGGATAACTTCAAGGCAGTGGAGTTCAGAAACAATAGGCCTCTAATGATGAGAGAAGGAACCTTATATCAAGACCACACCGGGTGTGGAAAGGGAATGTGGTTGAAATTCAGAGGACAAGAGAGAATCCAGGTGAGGCCAGGTTGCAGAAAAAAGCTACTGAACCAAATGGAGCAAGAGTGAACCCACCACAAGTTATACTGGCTACAGATGCTGACAGGGACCAGGTGGACGGAAGAATACCACTCAGAGAGCAGAGGCAGCAAAAGATTCTGCCTGGACCTTAGGATTCCATCACTCTGTTGGCTCAAGGTCACATGAACCATTTTAGATGGCTGTTGGGGAGGAAATAAGGGAAATGGAGAAGTCTTAGCATTTTTTCCTAGAGGTTGAGAAACATGAAAAGATAATTTCACCTCTCCAAGATTCAAGTTACCAAGTTGATCTATCCCCACAACTTAGCAAGAGGGTGATCTTAAGAAAAAGCCTATCACTTGTAGACAAGATGGAGAAACTGCTTCTTCTTTGCACATGTGAGTAGACCATGAGTACTGATCCAACAAAATATCCTGTGCACACAACCAGAGCTCCATCAAGGTTAAATGGATGCTAGTGGGCAAAATCCAGACACTTTTCACAAAGTGGGGTTCTTCGTGGCCTCTAGCATACCTCCTAATAGACCACCAAGTTGTGAAGCAATTGTTCTGCTTCATGCTAATAATAAAAGATACTGAGGCAGTTTCCTTGGAGATTTTATAATAACGCACTATAATTCACATTTATATTCCATAATCTAGTTCACCAGCGGCTTCTCCATATATGATTTTATGTCATCTTTACAGAGTAGCCTGTGGTTGTTACCAATCCCGTTTGACAGATAAAGAAAGCTGAGCCACAGGCTCTTAAATTGCAGAGCTGTGTGTCTGGATTCCACACTGTGTGGATGCCTGACTGTCCTGTACTGTGTAAGTTGCCAACTGTTCTCATTACAGACGTTGGGGAGTTTCTCCCGCCTCCCCAAAGAGTTTTTCTCCAGTCACTGATCCAGGAAGCTCTTATTCTTGCCAAGCCCAGTCAAGTGGGCAGGTATCAGCATGTTTCCCCCACCCCCACCCCCAGCAGGTGCAGGCAAATGAATGGCAGTGTTCACTGCCTCTTAATGAGTAGCCCCATGCTGCCACAGTTACACATTCTGGTTTGAATTTTTAATTCCATCTCATAAAATAGTACCATAAATCATCCTGCGCTCCATTTAGAGTTGCATTTTCCAAAACCATCTCTGAAGTAATTAAGGAGAAACTACCCAGGCCTCTAAATCAGTTCTCTATGATATGCAGGAGCAGTGAAAATTCTGCAGCTCACTTTCCCTTTCTCCCATCTCTTGCATCATTTCACTCTTGCTATGACACACTATCATCCCCAAACCTTCATTCACAAAATATTTATGAGCCATTTGTGAAGGTTTAGCCACTGAGAAATATAATGCCGCGTGACAAAAATGAGTTATATGAAAGTGTACAAAGTCTTACTTTAATATAATCCATCCAGCCCCAGGTCCACAGATTAATAACCCAAACCTGACTCTGATATGAGATCCAGGCCAAATGCAATATTCCAAAATCTTGTGGCTGTACCCAGAGACCTTGCAACCTAACCTAATTTGCCTATTGCCTATATTTTAAAAATCAAATGAATACATAAATAACAAGTAAATCCAAAAGAGATTTCCTTAGCTCCGGGGAGCACTTTTACAGCATATACAAAGCAAACCAGTTTGAACGTTTCCCAAACATGCAGGTGCTAAATACTCGTGCTTGGCAGGAATAATTATTTGTTGTATTCCCTGGATCTTCTATTTTGCTGGATTTAATTTGTTTTCAATACTTAGAGGGAGTAAAAATATAAAAGTACACCAAAACAGTAGAACAACTGTGACAGTAAATGAGAGATTTACCACAGCGCTTGTTATGAATATTGTTTAGACAGCATAAAATTGAAAAATAGCAAAAGGATACCTACTTTGATTTGTCCCTTCCTGCTCTGCAGCTGGTGGAAAAATGGGATCCTGAGACAGTGGACTATGTCATGCTGTTGGAGAAGAGTTGTCGTGCACTGCACGTGAGCCAAAATCACAACGTTCTTCAGAAAGGAAGCAAGCTGTGACTTCTTTAGAGTCTCTCATCACCAGTAAATGTTCTGGAACAACAAAAAAGGCAAGTGTTGCTGGAAGAAGTTCTTAGGCAGTCCTGGGGACCTGAGAGCCATGGGAGCAAGGCGAGGCGGTGGCAGCCAGGTAGAAACAGACACGATTCCTCCAGACCAATGCTTCTCAAACCCAGCTGCGTATTGGAATCATCTGAGGAATTTTGAAAGCTTACGGAAGTCAGAGACCAACCCAAGACTGATTGAATCAGAATCACTGCAGGTGGGATTCAGGCCCTGCTTGTTGCAAAATGCTCTCCAGATGAGGCGAATGTTTTGTCTGGGTTGGGAGTCGCAGAGTTGCAGGTCAACTCTGTTGGGTAATTGTGATTGATGATTGACTGCTCATAGGCCCTTGGTATAGGTGAGAAGTTGCAAACTTGAAGCCGGAAGACTTAATTTAGAATATAGATATGCTTGGTTTGGCAAGCATCATGCTTAACATTGAACTAATATTTTAAAACATAAAAATAAAAGCAGGATATTTTACATTAAAATACAGATTTCCAACTTCTAAAAAGGCAGTTCTGGACATCCTACAGGGAACACTGGCTGGACCTAAGAGACATGACATCTACCCTCTCACCCAAAGCGGGTCTCTGCAGTTCTCCACAGTCCTCATCACTCCCTTTTGCACACCATGTCAGTTCCCTTCTCTCACCAACAGTACCTACATGGCTTTAATAGCTATTTTTCTAAATGCCACCAGCATAGACCTACAGAACCTGGGGATCACAGTTCTGAGACTCAATTTTATGAGTAAGGAAATGAGGTCTGGAGAATGCAAACTGGTTCTTAGTCCTATTATTTCTCAAGGGCTGTCATACTTTCTCAAATCTGCATTTACCTACGCAAAACCTCCAGCAAAATTTGTTTTTGCAGATTGGCCTATTAATATTTAATGATGTTTCTCTTTGAATTTTAAAGTAGTAATTAAATTGAACTATTCTGAAAGAGCATATTAATTCCAATTTTTAAAATATGAAAGAGAATAAGTCTTGCTCAAAACAAGAACACAGTAAAAAGTGAACATTAATTTTGTAGGGTGAGCCTGGGTACCTCTTATTAAATATGTATTTCAGTAATGAGAAATAAATTGAGACAACAGCTACTAGGGAAACATAAAATATATGCTAAGAAGAAATGTTTCCATTCTCTAACTTTCTTAATACCTTGGCTGGCACTTCTCAGTTTCTGACTTCATATGCGTTTATGTTCCTCTACTATTCTATGAATTCATTCAGGACAGGGCGTTGGTTTTATTTATCTTCTGGGTCTGTAACAGCATCTAGCACAGAACTTTAGTATAATTAGTACTCAGTGAACATTGGTAAACAAAAGCAAGCTTTTGTTAAGAGCATCAGTACTGAGGTGAGCACAGTCCCACCGCAGCAGCTAGAGAGCAGACACAGTGATCATTCTGTCCACTTCCATTTACCCATGGCTTTCATGATGAACAAAAAATTAAAACCCATTGAACTTCTACTCTACTCCAGGCACTGCAGCCAGCAGGAGAGATCTCATTTAGTTGTTACAACAACCCTGGGTATCACTGTCCCCACTTTACAGATGAGGAGATGTTGGTCTAGAAGTTAAGTAAGTTCCCCATATTTACGCAACTGGTTAGCAGCCATAGCTCAGAGCTTCTACGCCTTCTCACGTCACCTGGAGACTACATTAAGATGCAGATTTTTATTCAGTAGGTCTGAGTATGCATTTCTGACAGAGCCCCTGTGAAGCTGAAGCTGTTAGCCCATGTCCACCATTTGAATAGAATTGAAGTATGAGGGTCCCAAATGCCTGCCAGGTCAGAGGCTGGGATCCTTGAAGTTTTTCTAATACAATAAATTGTGTAATAATTACATGAACTGTCACTGAATTCAGACTCTCTCTTCCATTTAATTTGTAAGATGCTATCACACCATTTACTTTCACTATCTTCCTTTTTCTTTCATTGTCTTAGCATCTCTTGCTCATGTTCCCTGCTGAAAGGAATTTGGGATTCCAGGCCCTCCATGGACCATCGCTCATATGCACAGTTGGAAAAAATAATCTGGAGAACCTCTTCTGCTGCAGGCATTGTACCAGGCTTTAGGACGCAGTCATAAGCAGAAAAAGCTGCTCCTTAAATCAAACCAAAATTACAATCCAGAGGTGGAGAACCATGATAGGAAGAAAGCATTTGCTCTGAGTACACTGCACAAAAAGTTAATCATGAGCTGAGGTGCTTGGAGCCCACTTCCCAAAAGGGGCGTTCCCAACTGAGACCTGTGAGTAAGATATAGTCAGGTGAAAGGAGGACTAAAATGGAGTGTGATGGTTAATTTTGTATGTCAAATTGCCTGGGCCATGGGTGCTCAGATATTTGGTCAAACGATATTCTGGGTGTGTGTGAGGGTGTTTTAATGAGACTAACATTTGTATCATTAGACTGAGTAAAACAGATTTTCTTCCTTAATGTGCATGGCCAGAAACCAATCAGTCAAAGGCCTGAGCAGAACAAAAAGGTTGACCCAACCACAAGTTAGTTGGAACTCCTGCCTGACTGCAGGTGCTGGAACATTGGTCTTTTCTGCCTTTGAACTCAAACTGAAACATCAACTCTTCTTGGTTGTCAAGCCTCTTGGCTTCCAGACCAACACTTACAGCACTGGTTCTCCTGGTTATCAGCCCTTTGGGCTTAGACTAAAACTACACGATTGGTTCTTCTACGTCTTCAGCTTTCAGATGGCAGACCTTGAGACTTCACTGCCTCCATCATTGCATAAGCAATAATTACCTATAATATCTATCTCTTTATCTTCCTATTTATCTGTTTATCTATCTCTATCTCTGTCATCTATCTCCCTATCTATCTCTATCATCTATCTATCTATCTAATCTATCTCCCTATCTATCTCTATCATCTATCATCTATCTATTTATCTATCTATCTATCTATCTATCTATCTATCTATCTGTCTATCAATCAATCTACCATCTATCTATCCTGTTGGTTCTCTTCCTCTAGAGAACACTGACTGATACACTGAGTAAAGGGCTAGGGATGAGGGAGGTCACAGTGCATTGTAAGAACTTCAGTAGAGTCTAGTGTTGCCAAAGCCTAAAATAGTACATGGAGAAAGGCAAGCCATAAGCCTGGAGACGACCTAAGCATGGCAGGTCAGGCAGAAGGAGATATAACTGGCCTCAAGGGTCTGTGGCTCACTTCATCTATGTGCTCCTGATTCAAGTGGAAAGTAATTTTTTTTAAATGATGAGCTATGGGTGACAGGGCATTATTCATATACCAGCCCCATAATCATGAAATATATCCATGTAACAAACCTGCACATGTACCCTTGAATCTAAAAGAACTTCAGGAGGCCAAGGCAGGTGGATTACCTGGGCTCAGGAGTTCAAGACCAGCCTGGATAACAAGGTGAAACCCCGTCTCTACTAAAAATACAAAAATCAGCTGGGTGTGGTGGCGGGTGCCTGTAAACCCAGCTACTCAAGAGGCTGAGGCATGAGAATAGCTTGAGCCCAGGAAGTGGAGGTTGCAGTGAGCCAAGATCATGCCACTGCACTCCAGCATGGGAAACAGAGCAAGACCTTGTCTCAGAAAAAGAAAAAAATTGAAATTGAAATTATTTAAAAAAAGGCTAAATTTCAGAGACAGACCCCAATGAGGAAATGTCTGAAGTTTTATTAATTGCATTAATTATTCATCTAGGTCAGGAACAGATGCATAGATATTTCCTTCATTCGTTTATTCAGTGAATATGTATCATGTGTATACTGGGTGCCAGACATCATTCTAGGTGCAGAGGAGGCACCAGTGAACACAGTCTCTGCCTTCAAGGATCCTGGTGGGGAGAGAAATACAGTCAATAACCAAGTAAGCAATACTATACATTGCATGCACTGGATAGTTGTAATTTCTACAGAGGCAAATAAAGCAGCCTAGGCAGTGTCAGGGTGGGGGTTGCTTAATATTCCCTAGCGGGTGCAGGGAAAGGCCTCAGTGATGAGATGGGACTGGGCAGGGCCTGATAGAAGTGAAGGAGAGGGTCTTCCATGCAGGAGGAGCACTGAGCACGATGTGTTTGAAGTGATGAGCTGTGTTCAGGGAGCAGCTAGGAGGCCAGTGTGGCTGGGTAGAGGGAGAGGAGCGATGGAAGGAAGGAGGCTAGGCCTGGGGTGACTGAGGCAGAGCAAGAGAAGAAAGAGTTATAAGGAGACTACACATGGGGTGAAAGTGGAGACGGAGACGAGAAGGTAGGAGACTAGACTTAGGGTGCCTGAGGCCTGATGATGGAGAGCCTTACAGGCCACTTTAAAGACTTGGACTTTTACTCTAGAAGACATGGGAAATGCCTCAGGGTGTCAAATGGAGGAATGACATGATCTGAATATTGTGATGTTAATAGGATCATTCTGGCTCACTCTTGTGGAGCATAAACTACGATGAAGCAACTTGGAGGAGGAGAGACCAGGGAGGAAGCTACTGCAATCATTGCAGTGAGGCAGGATGGGCCCATACCCAGGTGGTGTTAGCGGAAGTGGTGAGAAGGGAGAAAATCCTGAACATATATATATATGTGGATTTATATTATATAGACAGACATATGTGTATATAATTTATCATGTTAAAATATACATAACATAATATTTATCACGTTAAAATATACATACCATAATATTTATCACTTTAACCATTCATAAGTATATGATCAAGTGGCTTTAAATACCTCCCCAATGCTGTGTAGCTATCCCCATTACCTATGTGCAAAGCTTTTTTTTTTTTTTGAGACAGAGTCTCACTCTGTCGCCCAGGCTGGGGTGCAGTGGCAAGATCTCAGCTCACTGCAACTTCTGCCTCCCGGGTTCAAGCGATTCTCCTGCCTCAGCCGCCCAAGTAGCTGGGATTACAGGCACCTGCCACCACACCCAGCTAAATTTTGTATTTTTAGCAGAGACGGGGTTTCGCCATGTTGATCAGGCTGGTCTCAAACTCCTGACCTCAAGTGATCCACCCGCCTCGGCCTCCCAAAGTGCTGGGATTACAGGCATGAACCACCGCGCCCAGCCCCAAAACTTTTTTATTACCCTCAGAAAAACCTCTATATCCATGAAATAATAACTCCCCCTCTCCTGCACCCCAAGCCCCTGGCAACTACCGTCTACTTTCTGCCTCTCTGAATTTGACTATTCTGGGTACCTCATATAAGTGGAATCATGGTTGTCCTTCTGTGTCTGACTTATTTCAGTAACTGTAATGTTTACAAGGTCTATCCATGTTGTAGCATGTCTGAAAGTTTCATTCTGTTTTATTGCTGAATAATATTCCATTGTATATTGATACCCATTGTATATGATAACCCACTTATCCATTGACGAAAATTTGAGTTGTTTCCATCTTTTGGATATTGTGAATAAAGATGCAATGGAAATTATATACACATATTTGTTCCAGTCCCTGATTTTAATTCTTTTGGATACAATACCAAGGAGAGGAATTGCTGAGTCATATGGTAGTTCTATGTTTAATCATTTGAGAAACTGACAGAGTGTTTTCCACAGTAGCTACACCATTTTGTATTCCCACTAACAGTGCACGAGGGCACCAACTTCTCCATTCTGGATGTATTGATGTTTTTATGTAGGCTGAACAAGATGGATTGGATGTGTGATGTCAGATACATAATCATGAAGTAACAAAAACCTAAGCCACTCCAAAGTTTTTGGCCCAAGGTACTAGAAGAATGGGGTGACATTTAGTGAGACAGAAGACTGTAAGAGGAACAAGTGTGGGGACAATATCGACAACTTAACTTTGGGTATGTAAAGGTTTACAATGCCTATTAAACAACTAAGGAGAAATGATGAGTGGGCAATTAGAAGAGTCTGGAATTCATTGGCGACATCTAGCATAGAGACAGTATTGGAGACAGTCATGTGCCTATATGAGATGAGGAAGGGAGTGAGTATGTATAGAAAAGAGGGAAGATCTGTAAAAGTTAGTGGCCTGAGAGATGAATGGCATGCTCAAATTTAGGATAAGTTGAGAAACAGTATTTATTTATTTATATTTTATTTTAAGTTCTGGGGTACCTATGCAGGATGCGTAGGTTTGTTACATAGGTAAACCTTGGTGGTTTGCTGCACCCATCAACCCATCACCTAGGTATTAAGCCCCATGTGCATTAGTAATTTTTCCTGATGCTCTCTCCCCCACACTCCTTCCTGACTGGCCCTACTGTGTGTTGTTCCCCTCTCTGTGTCCATGTGTTCTCATTGTTCACCTCCTACTTCTAAGTGAGAACATGCGGTGTTTGGTTTTCTGTTTCTGGTTAGTTTGCTGAGGTTAATGACTTCCAGCTTCATCCATGTCCCTAGAAAGGATGTGATCTAAAATGTCTTTTTATGGCTGCCTAGTATTCCATGGTATATATGTAAAACATTGTCTTAATCCAGTCTATTATTGATAGGCATTTGGGTGGATTCCATGTCTTTGCTATTGTGAATAGTGCTGCAGTGAACACATGTGTGCATGTATCTTTATAATAACATGATTTTTATTCCTTTGGGTATATACCTACTAATGGGATTGCTGGGTCAAATGGGATTTCTGGTTCCAAACCTTTGAGGAAACACCAGGCTGTCTCCCACAATGGTTGAACTAATTTATATTCCCACCAACAGTGTAAAAGTGTTCCTATTTCTCCACAATCTTGCCAGCATCTGTTGTTTCTCGACTTTTTAATAATCAACATTCTGACTGGCATGAGATGGTATATCACTGTGGTTTTGATTTGCATTTCTCTAATGATCAGTGATGTTGAGCTTTTTTTCATATATTTATTGGCTGCATGTATGCCTTTTTATATTACACTTTAAGTTCTAGGGTGCATGTGCACAACGTGCAGATTTGTTACATAGGTATACATATGTCATGTTGGTTTGCTGCACCCATCAACTCGTCATTTACATTAGGTATTTCTCCTAATGCTATCCCTCCCCCAGCTCCCCACCCACCGACTGGCCCCAGTGTGTGTTTTTCCCCACCCTGTGTCCATGTGTTCTCATTGTTCAACTCCCACTTATGAGTGAGAACACATGGTGTGGTTTTCTGTCCTTGTGATAGTTTGCTTAGAATGATGGTTTCCAACTTCATCCATGTCCCTGCAAAGGACATGAACTCATCCTTTTTTATGGCTGCATAATAGGCCTTCTTTAGACATAGTATGTCTTCTTTTGAGAAGTGTCTGTTCATGTCGTTTGCCCACTTTTTAATGTTTTTTTTATTTTTTGTAAATTTGCTTAAGTTCCTTGTAGATTTTTGATGTTAGAACTTTGTCAGATGGATAGGTCGTAAAAATCTTCTCCCATTCTGTGGGTTGTCTGTACTTAAATGTAAAACCCAAAACTAGAAAAACCCTAGAAGAAAATCTAGGCAATAACATTCAGGACATAGGCATAGGCAAAGATTTTTATGATGGAATCACCAAAAGCAATTGTAACAAAAGCAAAAATTGACAAATGAGATCTAATTAAACGAAAGAGCTTCTGCACAGCAAGAGGAATATCTATTTTAAAGGATTTCAAAGGTGTAGGAAGGTACAAGGCAATTACAAGGCATACTGTGCTGCTGTTAAAACCTGTTCCATTCCTCTCCATAGCTTCTGGTGGCTTGCTGGGAATGCTGGCATTCCTTGACTTGCAGTTATGTGTATGGTAGATGCACCTGATAGCAATAGCTTAAGCATACCCAGAGAATGATCCTGTATGGCAGATGCACCTGAATGTGATTCCAAGGAATCTGGGAGTTGCCAACCCGGAGATCTGTCCCCTGTCTGTAAGGAACATCTGAGCCCACCAGCCATACTCAAGGCCCTGAGTTTGGGTTGAATGAAGGTTACCAGGTGGAGGTTGTTAGAAAAAGGGTGCTAAGTGAAAATGCTGTAGAAACTGCGTGTCTTTTGAAGGTGGCTGTGGTTCTTCTGCTTAGCCCGCTGCCACTGGGCTATCCTGTCCAACCACTGGACTGTATGTAAGGCGGTTCTCCTGCCCAGCCTGCCGCCGCTGGACTCTGACCCCTGTATGTAAACCCTACATCTCATTTGCTGGCTCTGGGTCTCTTCTTTGGCTCTTGAACCTGGTGCTATCCCCACTGGGATCAATAGAAGTTTGGCACAACAATGTATCATCTTTTTCTCTACCTTCGTGATCACACGGTGTTTGTTCTCCCAGTCTGCCTGTCTCTGTGCAAATTCCCCATCTTATGAGAACACTAGTCATATTGGACAGGAGGTCACCCTACTCTGGTATGCCTCATCTTAACTAATTACATCTGCAAAAACCTACTGAAGCCACATACTGATGTACTGGGGTTAGGACTGCAACAATGAATTTTGGGAGGACACAACCCAAACAAGCACTAAAGTCCATGATGTCATTCATAGAGCTCAGCCTCCCAGGGCACAAAGCTTGGCAGGGAAGGGGTGAGTGAAGAGAGAACCTGTGGGGGGGAGGGCACATGGAAGCTTTTCCCCTAGCACAAAGGTAAGGGAAGTTCCAATATTTGGAAGTCTGGGATATGAGGAGGAACTGCAAGGAGACAGAAAAGTTGCCTATGAGGTAGAAGGAGAATCAAGAAAGAGAAGTCTCCATGTGTGAAGAAAGGATTTCAGGAAGAAGAAAGTGATCACACATAATGTGGCTAAATAATATAATGTTAACATAATCACTTCTTGAGAGACTCCCAAGTTGTAGACTGCTTGAAGCCACCTGCAAACTATCAAATACCCAGACCTTGCTTTGAAAACCACTTATCTGTTAGAAAAACCATTGCCTGAAATAATTTTCGAGTGTCTGCATTTGCATGTTTTAAAGTACATTGGGTCTCCTCAGCTAGACCATAAGCACCTACCAGTGTTAGGGAGGTTCACACTGCTCTAGCTTAACGTTAAGCAAACCCAAAGCCTGGGTAGATGGATTATTAATCTTCCAACTGCAACTTGGCTCACTGCCACAATACCTACAAAATGAAAAATTAATGGCTTGGTATTAGGGATTGTCAACTAACCAATAATCCCAAGGGGTTAATTCTGCACTAAGCCTACTTGAATTTTTTTTTAAATGAATATAATAAAACCATAAACAACAAAGAAACATGTTCATGGAGAACTCTTGCTGACCCCTAAGGAAAGAATGTCCAACCATTCTGCCTTTCCAGAATCAGGGGAAAGGGAGGAGGACACTGAGGGGAGAGAACAGCTTTCTTCAATGTTGCTGATTAAAGCTGAGTGACTGATACTGTTGGTGGTTTAACTCAATGAATCGCGTTCTTGAAGTGCACCCAGATCAAGGCAGGTGGAGAAATTTCCACTAGATGCTGTTCCATGTCCTTATGACCATGGGGAGAGCAGGGCTAGGCTAGGCTGGGTGGGTAAATGAACTGCATTTTGCCAGTGTATTTGGGGGCAGTGGCAGACAAGGCCTGGCCCCTTAGGGTCACTGTTCTGGGCAAAGAGCCAAAACTGGGGGGTATGCAATGAATGGAGGCAAAGGGCTGCAAAAAGAGTCAGCAGGCAGCCTGAGGGCAAATACAGACGTCACAGTGTCAGGTCAGAGAGAGTGTAGAGACAAAATGGCCACAGGGCACACACGCTATGAGTTCTGGCCCATAGGAGGTCAACAAGGGGGTGAACAGGCAACAAGCGGGTGGACGGCAGGCCGAAGGGCAGCAGCGACAGCAGGAAGCCAACTCAACAGACCCAGGTGTGGAGGTCAAGCACTAGGCTCTCAGGAAATTTCAGACCATGGTGAGGGACTGGGGTTCTGGGAGAACAAGAGCACGTAAAGTAAACGGAAACATATGCCCTTGTCAAGGAGGGAACCAGTGGAGCAGTTTCCCAAGCTTACTTTCTGGTCTTTTCTATGCTATGAGGAGTGTCGAATGCCAGTTCCAGGTGGCCTTTTCTGAGGCCTGCAGGTGGGAATGAGCAGCCAGCAGCCAGCTGCGGAGGGGCAGTAGTTTCCCCTGGCCACACCGCATCTGCCTTCCGGGGACAGCTCAAGGGGGCAGTCATTCGTTGCTGCATACCCAACCCCTGACTCCTGCTTATACTGTTATTAATGTTGTTATTATCCTTATTAGTTTCTTTGTTTAATTTAATTTTTTTTTGAGACGGAGTCTCACTCTGTTGCCCAGACTGGAGTGCAGTGGCGCGATCTTGGCTCACTGCAACCTTTGCCTCCTGGGTTCAAGCAATTCTCTCTGCCTCAGCCTTCCCAGTAGCTGGGATTACGGGCACCTGCCATCATGCTCGGCTAATTTTTGTATTTTTTAGTAGAGATGGGTTTTTCCCATGTTGGCCAGGCTGGTCTTCAACTCCTGACCTCAGGTGATCTGCCTGCCTCGGCCTCCCAAAGTGCTGGGATTATAGGCATGAGCCACCGCGCCTGGCCCCTTATTCGTTTCTTGAGTGCTTTCTGCATAATACAATATACTTTGTTCTTTGTATCCATGGTCTTATTTAATGCTCTAAAAATGAGGTAGATACTCTTACTCTCCTTTTTCAAGCGTCTGAGAAACTTGCCCAAAGTGACCAATCTGTAAAAAGCAGAGTCAGGTTTTGAGCCCATTTTTGTGATACTCCAGACCAGGGCTAGCTTTATGGGCATATGAGCGGGCATGCCCACGGAGTATGCTTGCTTTAATGCTCCGTTGTCACCGTCTTGAAATGTTTAGTGAGTTTTTGCCAAAAAGCCCCGTTTTCCTTTTGCATAGGACCCTGTGCTCTTAAACTCCTACCCCTTACTGCCCTCCTCCCACTACCACCTATTCCCGCCAACTTACAAAATCATAGTGTCAATTTTGCAAAGCAGTGTAAAACCATTTAATCTATTGATTTTTTTCCCCCTTGAGGGAAAATGGGAGAAGATACTGTCTGGAGAATTGGGGTGGAGTCAGAGGGTGACTGTAGGTTTGCAGAACAGCTTGGAAAGTTGAAGGCTCAGCATAGGTATAAGGAATTATGAATGAAATCTTAACCAAAGGTTCTCGTACCTCAGGCTATGTTGGTCTGACAACCCTACAAATGTCTGAAAATGAAAGGCATTCATTCCATCACTTGGATGTTTTATCTACATGAGTAGGAATGGGTCTTAGAATTTAAAAGGGAAGTGGATGTATCCAATAACTTCATCAAAATTGCTATTTTTTTTCCTCTCTGTCTTTTTCCCTCCATGATGGACCACCTCTGCAGGCCTCCAGTGTGAAACTCACAAGGTCAGAGCCATCTTTCTCCTGGTCAGCTCTGGCCCCAAGGAGGAACATTAATTTGCTGACCTGGGCCACCCTGTCAGGCAGACATCCTCTGCTTTTCTCCCACACCACTGTTTGTCAAAAGGACTTAGCTGAGGCTCTCAGCAAGGACATAGAACCACGCAGACAAAATTAAGCACAAATCTAAATGCAGGGTCATTAAGAGTTGCAAGCTAACTTTTAAGCTCTTCTTTATCAAGTCTGAAGTTAACACTTTAAGAGTGCTAACTTCAGCAGTTTCTGCTTGAACCAAAACACTTATTGCCCAGGAAATAAGTCACTGGCTGTGGCCACAACCACAAAGCAGAACAGAGCTCATCTGGAATGTGATGGTTTCTGAGTGCCAGCATCTAGGTTCATTCCTTGTTGATGTGAGACAACCAAACACCTCTCTCCACCTAAACTCCTAAAGAGGTTGGTGCCTAGTCTTCTCTCACCCACCTTACTGTTTCCCAAAATACTAAAAGGGCCATTATAATTCTTTTAATTTTTCTAACCAAGTGTATTTGATCATTGCTAAGTCAGCCCTTAAAGAAAATTGGAATAGTCCTTTCTCATGACCAGGACACAGATCTACACTAAGCAAGAATGAGAGTGGATGCATCTTTAGATAGTGGCACGACTGACTGAAAAACAATCTGAGTGTTGGTAGAACATGTTGTTCTTATGGTAGGGAAGATTCCATGTGAAGTATCCTCATTCCAGTCCTAACTACACACACATAATAAAGCAGGAAGTAGAGATAATTATTGACTTAATCTGTGGCATAAATTTGTTTGCATGAACTATTTAGATATGTTAGGGAAAGGTGAATCTGTGTTAAGAAAGAAGTGGTATATTTCTTCAGTGTTACTCAGCAAATCCTGATTTTGTTCCTTTCATTTTTTTTTTTTTTTTTCATTTTTTAGTTAGTCTTTTTGTTTGAGACAGAGTCTCACTCTGTCACCCAGGATGGAGTACAGTGACTCATAGCTTACTACAACCTCAACCTCTCAGGCTCAAGTGATCCTCCCACCTCAGACTCTGAGTAGCTGGGACTACATGCATGCAACACCATGCCCAGCTAATTATTATTATTATTATTATTATTATTATTATTATTATTATTATGATTTCTTGTAGGGATGGGGGTCTCGCTATGTTGCCCAGGCTGGTCTCGAACTCCTGGCCTCATGCAGTCCTCCTTCCTCAGCCTCCCAAGGTGTTGGGATTATAGGTGTGAGCCACCATGCCTGGCTATTTAGTAATTTTTACTAGACTTTGTTTTTAGAGCAGTTTTAAATTTACAGAAAAATTGAGGAGATGGTTCCCAGAGTTCCCATGTTTCCATCCCCACCCCACACACAGTTGCACCTATTATTAACATCATACCTTAGTATAGTACATTTATTGCAATTAATGTACCTCTATTGATACATTATTATCAACTAAAGTCCATGCTTTATTCAGATTTCCTTCGTTTTTACCTAATGTCTTTTTCTATTCCAGGATCTCATCCAGGTAGCATATTGCATTTAGTCATCGTATCTACTTAGGCTCCTGTTGGCTATGACATTTTCTCAGACTTGTCCTTGTTTTTGATGACCTTGACTGGTTTGTACTAGCCAGGAATATTATAGGATGTCCCTAATATAGAATTTGTCTGATTTTTTTCTCATGATTAGACTGGGTTATGAGTTTTGAGGGCAAGAGCATAGAGGAAAAGCTTTGTTTTCATCATATCATGGCAAGGGTGCATGCTATCAACATGGCTTATTGCTGTTAATGTTAACCACAATCACTGGGCTGAAGCTGTAGTCATCAGGTTTCTGTATATAACTCTAGAGTTATTTTCTCCCTCCCTTTCCATACTCTACTATTTGGAAGGAGGTCTCAATACATAGCCCATAACTAAAGAGTAGAGAATTATGCCACTCTAATCCTTTAGGTTGGAATAGCTATATAAATTCTTGTGCTAAGGGGATTTGTCTCTCCTCCCTGACTTATTAATTTATTAAATTATCTATTTATTACTAGTATTTATTGATACTCTTTAGTACAGATTCATGGATATTTATTTTATACTTTGAGTTATAATTCAATAAATTGTTTTGATCTAATTATTTCAGCTTCTGGTCATTGGGAGCTCTTCTAAAAAATTCTTCTTCCCTTTTGACATATTCCCAATGTGTATGTATGTGTGTGTGCTTGTGTTTTAGGACTTCCTTATTTTATGGCAATAAAAGATGCTCCAGCCTTATCTTGCGTGTTTCTGCCATATCCTAGAATCATCCATTTCTCCCAGGAACCCTGGTGTTCTTTATTAGAGAATAGTATTTGAAACCAACATCTGGGTATTAGATGTGTTCACTGATGGTGGGCTATCCTTTCTTTATGCCCTCTTAGCTAACAGACCAAAGAAATATATATGTGTGGCCAGGCGTGGTGGCTCACGCCTGTAATCCCAGCACTTTGGGAGGCTGAGGCGGGTGGATCACCTGAGGTTAGGAATTCGAGACCACCCTGGCCAACATGGCGAAACCCTGTCTCTACTAAAAAATACAAAAAATTAGCTGGGTATGGTGGCAGGTGCCTGTAATCTAAGCTACTCAGGAGTCTGAGGCAGGAGAATTGCTTGAACTCAGGAGGCGGAGGTTGCAGTGAGCCGAGATTGCGCTATTGCACTCCAGCCTGGGAGACAGAGCAAGACTCCGTCTCAAAAAAAAATAATAATAAAAGAAGTATATGTGTGCATATTAATCTGTGCATATATAGACATATCAATAAATATTTCTGTATATAACCGTCTGTAACTATATGAGACATTTGCTTCTCCTACATTCTTATACATGAAGAAAGTGACATGCATAATCCTTTTATCTCAACACTAAGCTCAAACACCCTTAAAAATCATGTTTAGAAAATTTCCTGTTTCAGGCACTGATTTGACAATCCTTACCCTTGAGCAGCTTCCAGTCTAGTGGGGAAGATACAATTATATGCACATAACTTCATTAAAATGCAGCAATTTGATAATCTATAGGGAAATATATAAATTATTGAAAAAGTACACAGGATGGTCACTGATATAAATCTGAGCGGTTAGGAGAAAGTGTGTCTATCAAATATTTCTGAAAGATAAATAAAAATGTATTATAAGAAAATTGGAAACTATGTTTGTGACAGAAGAAACAGCATATAGAAGTCATGAAAGTGGGACTGAGCAGGAAACTGCAGACAATTTTGTCTTTTTTATAAAATATATTTTAAGATAGGGAGTGCAGTGAGGCTGGAGAGATAACCAGAAGCCAGATCTAAGGGAAGATGTACATGTGTATATGTGCCTAGGAGACTGGAATTTATTCTATATGTACATGCAGATGATTGAAGCATTTAAGGCAAGACTAAGTCTGCACAATCCCAAGACAAGGAGACGAGATTTTCAGTTTCCTCAGTAGGAAAGAATTAGAACATAATGGAGACAACAAAGCTAAAAATTATACACTGTCCCCTTCCAACTAGTTGCTCGTATCCTGGTGCTCATGCTGTGGGGATGACGGGATTGATGCTGATGGATGACAACAATTATTTATTGAGCACTTACTATGTGACAAGCACTAATTCGTTTGACTCCAGGAGATAGGCATTATGATTATCGTCATTTAGCAGACGAAGAACTGAGACTCAGAAGTTAAATAACATGCATGGAGCCCCACAGCTGGGAAGTGGCTGGTCAGACTTGAGCCCATATCTCTCTGACTCTTCATCATTGCTCATTTTAGCCAGCACTTGCTATCAGGAACTCTTGGGCTCCAAGTACCCAAGCTAATCATAACAAATTCCTTCCTAAAGCAAACAGGCCTTAGCAAATTCCAAGGATATTTAACATTTATTATTTCCAAGAAAAAAAAATCTGTTGATGGAGGCCTAGTGGTTGTGTCTAGATTGAAGAACAATGGCTTTTGGAGAGCGATAAACAAGATGAAGACAGGAGTCTCTTCCCCCTGGAAGAGGCTCCCCCTGACCAAATGTCTCTGTAAAATGTTTGAGTTAAACCATTTCCTTCTTTCATAATGAGGAGAAATGGACAGATAAATCAGTGAGGAGTCTGTAACCCAGTCCTCAGAGGTGATGTGTCAGCCCGGTCTCTCCCTCCCCTACTGGCTGAGATTTATGATAGGCAAGCAGATCCGATCATTCATCATGTGTCCCTTCAGTGAATTCTGGGTAAGGAGCAAAGTATCCAGGGTTCAGAACTACAGTTCTGGTCTGCACAGTCGTAGGGACAAACCAAGGAAAGATCCAGCAGAAGGGTGGAAAATCCCATCAACCTCCTCAATCCTCAGCAGCAGTCAAATCAAATCTTCACAAGGTACTTGCTATTTTGGCTTTTATTTTTACATGGAGGCATGTGGCATCCTGCAGACCCACTCAAAAAGACAGGCATCACTCTCCTCACCAGTGAACTGGGTTATTTGGTGAATTCATGAGGACTGGGTTTGAGCTCAATCACTCTGAACAGCCATAACCAGAAGGAAGAATATAAAACACTTTCAGCATGCAGACTATAAACCTAGGCGCAAGGAATGTATATTCACTAATAAAGCTGGTCTTGGCTGGTTGAGCATGTGCCTCATTTGTGATTAATAAAAAGAAAAATGCAATCCATTTGCCTGGATAGTATGTATAGAGCTCCCTACATAGAAAGAGACTTATGGGTTTCAAACTTGCCTCTCATTCAGTAATATATATTTTAAGCCCTACGACGTTCTTCCTTAGAAAAGAATTTAAGATGGATATAACTTGTCTAATTCCTGTCTAGGCCACCATGATAAAGCAGGGCTGCTCACCTTGATAAATTAATTCCTACTGCCCAGGGTATGTGTAGGCCTTTGTGTTCTAATCATATACAAATGTTAAATAATTTAAATTACCACTTATTTTTAACTTAGCATGATCTTCAGCTCAGTATATTATGAGAATAACTGTGGGAAAATGAAATTTCTAAGAAATGGGGTGACTGGAAAAAGTGAACAAATAATTTCTTTACCTGTCGAACCCAAACCAAACCATAGAAACCCTGTGAAGTTCTGAAACACTTCTTTGGCTCAAATAAACCAAACGGGTTTTTTTTTTAATTTTTAATTTTCATATAGTCATCATTAATGTGATAGACCATAAAGAATTCAGGATCAGGAATCTGGATAAGTTCATGGTCAGAAATGTAGACATAAGTTATGCCACAGTGTCTAACCTGACGGGTCCTGGTTTAACAAGGCCTCATAGTCACATCCCTCCATACACTCAACTTGCAATTGCCTGCTTTAAGAGACAGGGCAATTAGCGATAAAGAGAGAGTGAGAGAATTATTGCATTCTGAACACATCTGGGTAAGAGGAAAGGTCTTCCATCCTAGGATGTAGCCAGACAAAGGATGCCCACCAGAGTGAAGAATGAAACATAGTCTTGATTTACAGATTTGCAGTAAACTAATTTGAAAAGTTAAGGCATGTTATCCAAAAAAGCTTTGCAATTGCCTCACCTCTCAAGGTAAGATGAGAATTTTAGGCGAGAGGTTTCTGGCAGTTTCCACTGAACTAAGTCATAAGGTGTTTCATAATTCCTTGTCAATCGATTGTGCAACTAACTGGCTTTTATTTTTCTGAAGCACAGAAAGCACCTAACTCTGCCCTCTGATGTGTTTATCTGCTTTACAGCCAGCATTAAAAACTAAGAGTCCAGATGGACTCTAGGACCCTGCAATTACTGTTATTTGGACTTCTCAGAGAAGAATTCAGGCCAAGTGTCTATTTCAGATTATATAATTTCAATATTTTGGTCTGGAATGTTCTCATCTGAATTCTCTCTTTCATGTCAACATATTCTAACACACTAATGCTCTAATGAAGAGCCAATTGCATCACTAAAGTGGCATAGTGCTTTACTTGGCTCTCTTACAGGTATAGATTAACAGTGTTCAGGGCCATCTGGTTCTAATGGAAGTAGGTGATGTTGATTCATTTCTTAGGTACTGGAGACTGAATGTGTGCACCTCCTCCCCCAACATTCATGTTTTAATCCTAACACCCAAAGTGATGGTTATTAGGAGGTGGGAGGTGATTAGGTCATGAGCATGGAACCCTCAAGAATGGGATTAGCGCCTTTATAAAAGTGACCCCTGAGAGCTCCCTGGCCCCTTCTGCCAAGTCAGGACACACTGGAAAGATGGCCATCTATGAACAAGGAAGCTGGCCCTCACCAGAAACTATGTCCGCTAGTACTTCAATCTAGAACCTCTCAGTCTCCAGGACTATGAGTAATATATTTCTGTTGTCTCTCAGCCACCCAGGCTATGATAGTTTGTCATAGCAGCACTAATGAATTAAGACACTAGATATGAGAGGAACAAGGACCATTGCTCTTTCCTCTTATATTTGTTCTCAAGCCATAACTTACATTTAATTTCTCATTTCTGGCCCTTTGTGCACTGCTATAAAGAGAGTCCTGCATTGGAGTCAGCCCAGAAGCATCAGAGCTGGCTCAGCGTCTTCAAGGTCACTCCCCAAACCCAAGGATAAGGCCACAGGCATTTGAGAATAGACCTATTTTTCCTACATAGGGCACTCTTTCCTAGTGTCTGCCAGAGGAATAGTCAAACCTGACTGCCATTCTAGAGCCTTTGCTTCAGGTCAGGTAATTTGCTATTGTTCTGCCTCTTTGAAGCTTAAGCGTTGCCACCAGTTGTCATTTGCTCTACACCCTGTGGCTATCTGCCAGGCTTTCCCCACCGGTATGATTAGCTCCAGCTTCCTGACTCCCAAGAAGAATCAAAATTCTTACAGTAGTTTGGTAACAAGTGACAAATACACACTTCCAACAAGCTCAAGCGAAAGGGGAATACATTGACTAGTAGAATCCAAAGACAGAACCCCAGCTAGTGGAAGGACAAAGCTGTAGCTGGACCCAAGATCAACTGTAGATTTTGTTTTTAAGGCCATCTCTTTCCATTTTTTTCTGTTTCCTCTGGATGTGAAGATCATTTTCTCTTATGATTGTTCTCTATTTTATGGGGAATATGGCAGCACACAGCACCTGAATTCTATTCTTATTGCTTTTGTCACTAAATTGGATTCATTTCAACTCTTAGATCCCAAGTTCTAGAAATCCTTGTGAAATGATTCACTGATGTAACCAAATATCACACTAACCATGAGGTTTGGATGTGTAGGAGGAAAGACCACTCAGGATAAAAGGAAAATGTTGGAAGACAATCATATTATAGATATTTTTTTTTTTGCCTCACAGTGAAGTTAAGATATTAAGTCTAGTGTTTTATTTCTAGAAAAAAATATTAGAGAACCTGATGCAATCTGCCAAGCTTGGGAGGGGATAACCATTGGAGAAGACCTTCTGTTCTCTGGGCAAGAAGTATTCACCCTTTAATACTGGTATAGAAAATAATACTTTTCAATCTATGATGGGATGTATGGAGTCTTTATAGCCTCCTACAAATTGAAAATTATTACTATACAGTTTCAATTTGGATTTTTTAAATGGTATATAGAAATACTCTTTTTTAATCTAAAGATACACAAGGAAGCAGTGACGAATTGCATTTGTTCCAATTCTTTGGGTAGAAAAAGACCAAAGCACAGTCGGAAAAAATATATATAAACACGAAAAAGGGGCGATTTATTTATTAAAAAAATGGAGTGTTTCATGGACCCACAGGCCAGGAATGTGTATGTGTAACTTTTCAACATAGTGGTTCATATTGCTGCTGTGTGGATGGGTAAGTGGAAAAATATTGGCCAGACAATCTGATGAGTGGACACTATTCCAGTTCAAATTGGCCAATATTTATTGAGCACATTTTTTATGTGCAGGGCATTACACCACTCAACTTTTCATGCTTGTCAATCTATATGCTGTATTATGACACTTAAATGAATTAACTCTTTTAAAATTAAATGTGGTGCACCACTAAAAAATATACTGATACATATTAAGTTTGATTTGTAGCACACTCTGCTATCATGAAACAAAATGGTGAGTCGAGTTATAAGAATGTTGAGATGAGCACATTTCCTCCCACAGGTTTTAGTAACTATTGATTATATTCAGTAAGGGGAGAGGTCTATAGTTCACAAAATAACTATTATTCAGTAATAGAGTTGTCCCCACATACTATTAAGAAAATGGTTCTATAACCTTAGACTGTACTGAGGAGAAAAACATATCCAAGGGAAATATATGTGTGATTCTTCCAGATAATAGAAGACTTAAGGCCAGGCGCAGTGGCTCACACCTGTAATCCCAGCACTTTGGGAGGCCGAGGCGGGTGGATCACGTGGCCAGGAGATCAAGACCATCCTGACTAACATGGTGAAACCCCATCTTTACTAAAAATACAAAAAATTAGCCGGGCATGGTGGTGGGTGCCTGTAGTCCCAGCTATTCGGGAGGCTGAGGCAAGAGAATGGCATGAACCGGGGAGGTGGAGCTTGCAGTGAGCCGAGATTGCACCACTGCACTCCAGCCTGGGCGACGGAGTGAGACTGTCTCAAAAAAAACGACTTAAATAAGTTCATGGATAATACATCCAATGAGACCAGGGAGGACACTGTTTCCTGAACATAACCCTGCCCTCACCTGCCTCCAGGCCTTGGCTCAGGCTGTTGGCTCAACCCAAACGTCTTTGTTTCCAATTTGCTTATGTCTTCTATCCTTCCTTCAATATTCGACTGAAATTCTACCCACTCTTAGAAGCGCACCCCCAACAAATTTCCCAGCCAGTGTTAAGTATTCATTTGTTTACATCTGCTTAACAAAATGTTTGTACAAATACGTTTTTTTGCCTTTTCAGAGTTGGCCTTGCATCACACTGTGTGTGTATTTGTGTGTGTGTGTAGTTGTGTGTGATTTGTGTGTGTGTGTGTGTATTTGTGTGTGTATATACGTACATATATGTTGTCTCCACTAGATGCTGAGCTCATGGAAGATAAATGCCATGATGTTTTCCCCATTTATTTCTTTAATCATTAAATAAGTATTTCTGAGTGTCTATATTCACTGTGCTCAGCATTGTGAAGACACAAAAATAAATCAGTGTTTTATTCTCCAAGAATTTACAATATAGAAAATAGAAGGTAGGCAGAAAAAGAAATATAATGCAAGTCATTATAACATAAGTGACATAAGAGAGGTAGAGATGAAATGTTAGGAAAAATAGGAATGAGGAGGAGATCATTCCAACAATGATAGAAGGACAGGGACAACTGGTGAAGATGTCATGAAACAGGAAATAGTTTGAAATTGTCCACCGAATACGGATAGCTTTGGAGGTGTGGGGATGTGGGTTCCCCTGAATAAGAGAAGCAGCAGAAGGAAAGGCGTGTATAGAAAGAGCAAGAAGATCAGTTTGAGTACATCATGAAATACATAAAGAGAAACAGTAAGAAACTCTTGGAATGCTAGCTTGGAAACGAATGCCATTAATCTCACCCACAAAAGAAGTGGACAAAAAAGGAGGAGGTTGGGTGTGTTGGAGATGCAGGTAGGGAGTTGGTCAGTCAGTCTGCATCAATATTGCTAGAAAAGGATAACATGAACCAAAGCTGAGACAGTGGCAGTGGGGGCAGAGGCTCTGGATAGAGTCTTAATGAGACTTCACTGTTGGTTGCATATGGAGGGAAAGGGAGAGGAAGGAAGAGGTCCTCAAGAACCGAGGGGATGGTGATGCTGACTAAAGCAAAGAACATATGAGGATTACACAGATTAGATGGGGGCAAGAAATGATTCCCAGTAGAGGCATCAAGTACATGCTCTTCTCTTATATCTGCCTCCCATTCCAGTGCCTGACAGAATCACACATAAAATAAGTCAAAATAAGTGTTTACTGAATTCATATGGATCTACAATAAGCATTAAAAGTATATGAGGACAATGGTGAAAATAGGATGTTTAGAGACATCATTAAAACTTGAGGTTGTCATCAAGGGAGACAACACCACCATTGTCCCATGTCCCGCTATCATCATGGAAAATTCACATCCATTGGAAAGTAGCTGTTATGCACTGGGGGGCCGAGGTGGGTAAAGCATTTAGGTACTTTATGAACTATATGGCACTACATCATCCAGACTGTCTTTTACTAAAGAGGTAAACAGGATTTAGTTATCCAAGAGTTTTTAAATAGCAAGTTACAGCAAATTCTTCCCCTGGCAATGTTTCAATTCCTTTAAAATATTAAGCCTTTTACTTCTCATAACTCCAGGAACAAGAATTATCTCCATTTGGAGTATGAAGAAACCCTGGCATAGAAAGTTAAGTAATTAGTGAAAGACCACACCACAAAAAAAGTGCCAGAGGCAGAATTCAAGCTCAAGCAGGCTGGTGCTGGGGTCTCTGAGCCTCATGGTCCCCTTACACAGCCCCTGCAGACTTCAGCAGGACAGTGTGTTTGGGACCCATGTCTGGCTGGTGCCAGAACTCACTATTTCCTTCCACTTTTGCCCAGAGATAACTCTGCTGGAGAAGAAGAAAGAAGGAGAAGAAGAAAGAAGAAGGAGAAGGAGAAGGAGGAAGAAGAAGAAGAAGGAGAAGGAGAAGGAAGGAAGAAGGAAGAAGGAAGAAGAAGGAGAAGAGGAAGAGGAAGAGGAAGAAGAGGAAGAAGAAGAGGAAGAAGGAGAAGAAGAAGGAGAAGAAGGAGAAGAAGAAGGAGAAGAAGAAGGAGAAGAAGAAGAAGAAGAAGAAGAAGAAGAAGAAGAAGAAGAAGAGGAGAAGAAGAAGAAGAAGAAGAAGAAGAAGAAGAAGAAGAAGAAGAAGAAGAAGAAGAAGAAGAAGAAGAAGAAGAAGAAGAAGAAGAAGAAGAAGAAGAAGAAGAAGAAGAAGAAGAAGAAGAAGAAGAAGAAGAAGAAGAAGAAGAAGAAGAAGAAGAAGAAGAAGAAGAAGAAGAAGAAGAAGAAAATGATGATTGAATGATTGGTGCAGGATCAAGTGAAAATTAGTAGTGATGTCTGTAAGTCATGATTCCTAATATTCAATTTAGGGTTTTACCCAGTAGTTCATGTTGCCCTTTTGTCTAAGGATTAACAGTGAACAGACTATAATCATTATGTTGTCTTTATTTTAGGAATGTCTTTCAAAAGATGTAAACATGCATGTTAGATATGTATAATGAAGGAAAGCATTACACTTAAAAATCTTTGGGGCAAAGGCCAATACTTGATAAATGTAATCAGTAATTTTCTGTGATTTTTAAAAATCAAATTTTTATGGCAAATTTCTCAAAAAGGTAATTTTATTTATTTGCATTTAGATTTCTAGGTACAGTATATTATCATGAATCCCCCAATCATCCTTTAAAAACACTACAATATAGGGTTTTATTGTAGCTGTCTTTTGAGTTAGCAAATTATTAACATCTGTCTCTTAGTATTTTTTTTTTTTTTGCAATACTCTAAATACTCTAATCTCTGGTTATCCTGCTAATACCTGTAATTTTCTAGTCAGCTGCTATCTCACACAGTAGTTTAAAGGTCATTTTTTGCAATACATTAAGAAGCCTGTGAAGAAAGTGGATGTGATTTATTTTTAGCAAGTTGAACTCATGTTTGGATTTGCTTTTGTGTCCAAGAGGAAAAAATCTGCCTAGCTATTTTGCCCCTATTCCTCATTTGGTCCCAGTATGATCAATTTTGCTCTCTTTCATTACATTTTATTTCTGTTACCTGATGTTATTCCTAATAGAAAGGGAAAACAGATATTACTTTCAGGATCATAATTAAAGGATACATTTATATTGTACATTTTATATTCAAAGTACTGGATAATCCATGCATTATTTCTACAAGATAAAAACATGCTGCACTTCGCCCTGGAGAGGTATGTTTCTGAAAACTCTCTTAATCAAGATTTAGAGAATTAAATCCACTTCATTTGCTACAACACCAACCACACTTGCTACAGAAATTATGACACTTGAGTACATTTGTGTAAATGCATATATTTTCATATGGAAGGTGCCAATAAAACAATTAAAGAAGCATAAGCATATAGTGAACATACGGTGAGTTGTTTGTTTGTTTTGTCTTCTCAGCATCCACTACTTTCTTGTACAAAAAAATAAAAAGGCCTGGGTAAAACTTTCCTTTGGGTAAAATTTATCCTCATTGCACACTTGGCCTGCATCTCCAGAGCTTGACCTATTGCACACGTATAATGATTGGCTCACAGACAAATATGTGATCTCTGCTTGAACAATGGGATGCACAGTCAGGAGCCCGCAGAACTGTTTCAGAAATGAACATGCATTTTATTTCCATTGGGTTGGTGAGTATGTAGGGTATCAATACAGACCTGGCCATGTCAAATGGCTACATGGGGAAAAATTATGTCTGAAAATGCAGTCAAAGTGGGAGAAATTAGATTATGGAAGCCGAGAGAGGCAATACCCTGCTGCCATCATCTGAGGTCCCAGATCCAACCACAACTGTTGTTACATGAAATGGGCTCCTTTCAGTTGAAAAATGAATGATACCCACTTAGTATATAAGCACAATCAGTGCTTATAGGCATAAGTAAGGATCCAGTTTTACTACGATAGCAGATGGTAGGTGTGAAGGAAATTTTAGTGAAATATTTTAAATCAAAAGAACTACATAGGATTAAATAAGAAAGGCAAGACATTATAAACAATGTTTTAACTACATCAAAGAAGTAGAAAGTAATAGCTCATATATGTGCATACAGTAGGAGTTTATATAAGTGTTTGTTATGAACTGAATTGTGTCTTTCCCTCAAAGTTTATGTGTTAAACTCCAACCTCCAGTATGTCAAAATGTGACCTTACATGGAAATGGGGTTATTGAATGTAATTCCTTAAGATGACGTCACACTGGACTAGGGTGAGCCCTTAATCCAATGTGGACTGGTGTCCATAAGGGGAACCAAAGGGGAAATTGTCCCAAAGGGGAAATTTGGAAAGAGGCATGCACAGGAAGGATGCTAGGTGGAGCTTAAGAGAGGTAAAGGGTAATGCTTCTATAAGCTAAGGAATGCCAAAGATTAGCAGCAAATCACCAGAGGCTATGGGAGAAACATAGAGAAGATTCTTCCACATAGCCTCAGAAAGAATTAACCCAGCTGACACCTTGATCTTGGACTCTGGCCTCTAGAACTATGAGATTACCAATTGCTATTGTTGAAGCCACTCAGTCTGTGGTACTTCATTAAAGCTGCTCTTGCAAACTAACACAGAGTTTAAGGACAATTACAGATTAAAAATGCAAAAATTCCTTGGGATAGAAAAAAAGTTAAAATTAAATAGGAGAGCACCAATTAAGATCTAAAACAATAGGAGATAGTTTTCTCTTTTTGGATCAGAAGTAAACTAAAATTTTAGTTGGATATTGTGATGGTTAATACTGAGTGTCAACTTGACTGGATTGAAGGATACAAAGTGTGTCTGTGAGGGTGTTGCCAAATTAAATTAACATTTGAGTCAGTGGGCTGGGGAAGGCAGACCCACCGGTAATCTGGTGGGCACCATCTTATCAGCATCCAGTGAATGAAAGCAGGCAGAAAAACATGAAAAGGAGAGACTGCCTAGCCTTCCAGTCTACATCTTTCTCCCATGCTGGATGCTTCCTGCCCTCAAACATCGGACTCCAAGTTCTTCAGTTCTGGGACTCAGACTGGCTCTCCTTGCTCCTCAGTTTGCAGAGAGCCTATTGTGGGACCTTGTACACATATATATATGTATATATGTGTATATATATATACACACACACACACACACACACACATATATATATGGAAGTTTATTAAGTATTAACTTACATGGTTACGATATCTAGAGGGACAGAACTAATAGGCTATATATGTCCCTCTAGAGAACCCTGACTAATACAGATTTTGGTACCAGGAGTGGATCTAGAGGAACAGAATATTAAGGATGGAGTTATTTTGTTGGTTTTGGGGTTTCTGGAGTTGGCTGCTTAATATGATTAGACCCAAAAATGCTAAGGACTCTACTTATAATAGTATGGGGAACTCTAATAGTCCTTGGTGTGAACTGTTCAGAGAGTTATGCAAAATAAGTAAATTTGACACTCCTGATTCACCGCTTATGAGAGGCAAGGAGTTTAGTGACTCTATACATAATACCTTTGAACATATTTGGAGAACCAAGAAACATAATGAAGCTGGTTGGTTGCTCGTAATTTCAGTGGACAAAGTGATGAAGAGAATGATGAATTCAGGGATTCTGTCTCCCAGCTTCAGCTTCAAATATGCTAAGACTGCCCCAAGTGAGAGTCTTAACTCCTGTAGAGAAAGAGCTGAAATTGTGGAAAAACAGACACAAGCTCTTATCATAAGAGCGGCTGACCTGTAATGAAAAATGCATGTACAGCCTCGCCAGGTGTCTACTGTTAAATTGAAAGCACTGATTGGAAAAGAATGGGACCCTGAAACTTGGAATGGGGACATGCGGGAGGACGCTGATGAAGCTGGGGACACTGAGTTTGTAAACTCTGATGAACCTTTTTTGCCAGCAGGAGAGTTTCCCTGTCCCCAGTAGTGGCAACATCCCCTCCGCAACCCATGCTGCCATTAGTCTTTCCACTTTGTCTGAGGAGATAAACCCTGCACTGTCAGAGGCAACAATGATGGCCTCCCCTGAGGCAGTTGCCAGGCAAATAATGTTGATTCTCTTCAGGAGTCACCCTCAACATTCCTGTTTGCTTCTAGATCTATAACTAGACTAAAGTCCCAGTGGGCCCCTGGAGATGAGGTTGAGGGTGTGACCCATGAGGAGATGTGTTACACTTGAAAAGAACTGTTTGAATTCTCTAATTTATATAAACAGAAATCTGAAGGACAGGGATGGGAATGGATATTAAGGGTATAGGGTAATGGTGGAAGGAACATACAGTTGGATCAGGCTGAATTTATTGATTCGTGCCCACTAAGTGGGACTCTGCTTTTAATGTTGCAGCTCAAGGAGTTAAAAAAGGTTTTAATAGTTTATTTGCTTGGTTAGCTGAAAGATGGATTTAAAGATGGTTCACTGTGAGCAAGCTGGAAATGCCTGGTCTCCTTGATTTAATGTAGTGGAAGGGATGCAAAGGCTTAGGGAGATTAGGATGGTATAGTGAATTAGTCACTTTAGACCTACTCATCCCAGCTGAGAGGGTCCAGAAATATAATCTTGACCAATGCCTTGTGAAATAGATTTGTGAGGGTAGCACCTGCATCTTTGAAGAACCCTGTAATTGCTATTTTCTGTATGTCAGATCTAATGGTGGGAACTGCAGTCACTCAACTACAAAATTTAAATACAATGGGAATAATTGGATCCCAAACCAAGTGGCGGCACTCAACCGTCAAAGGCAAGGGGGGTGTAGCTACCGTAATGGACAGCAGAGGCAAAGCGGCAATCAGAATAGTTTGACTCATATATAGCTCTGGCATTGGCTAATTAATTATGGTGTTCCTAGAAATGAAATTGACAGGAAGCCTATTGCATTCCTATTTAATTTATACAAGCAGGAAACTTCTAAGTCGAATGGACAAAAGACTAATTTGAATTATAAAAACAGATAATCCCCCTCAATCAATTTCCAGACTTGAGCCAGTTTACAGACCTAGAACCCCTTGAATGAAGAGGAGGCTGAGTCCTCTTGAGGAAGGACCCCACTACACCACTGACAATTTATGCAGTGAATCGTTCTCCCATCCTTCCCCAAGGAGACATCCAGCCTTTCACCAGGGTAACTGTGCATTGGGGAAAGGGAAATGATTAGACATTTCAGGGACTACAGGACACTGGCTCTGAGCTGATAATGATTCCAGAGGACCCAATGTGTCACTGTGGTCCTCCAGTCAAGGTAGGGGCTCATGGAGGTCAGGTAATTAATGGAGTTTTAGCTCAGGTCTGACTTACAGTGGGTCCAGTCAGTCCCCAGACTCATTCTGTGGTCATTTCCCCAGTGCAAGAATGCATAATTGGCATAGACATACTTAGCAGCTGGCAGAACCCCCACATTGGCTCCCTGACTGGTAGGATGAGGGCTATTATAGTGGGAAAGGCCAAATGGAAGCCATTAGAGCTGCCTCTACCTAGAAAAATGGTAAATCGAAAACCATATCACATCCCTGGAGGAATTGCAGAGATTAGTGCCACCATCACGGACTTGAAAGACACAGGGTTGGAGATTCCCACCACATTCCCATTCAACTCTCCCATTTGGCCTGTGCAAAAGACAGATGGATCTTGGAGAATAACAGTGGATTTTTGTAAGCTTAACCAAGTGGTGACTCCAACTTCAGTTGCTGTACCAGATGTCGTTTCATTGCTTGAGCAAGTTAACACATCTCCTGGTACGTGGTATAACGATTGACTTGGCAAGTGCCTTTTTCTCCATTCCTGTCCATAAGGCCCACCAGAAGCAATTTGCCTTCAGCTGGCAAGGCCAGAAATATACCTTTACTGTCCTACCTCAGGGGTATATCAACTCTCTGGCTTTGTGTCATAATCTTATTTGGACAGACCTTGATCGCTTTTTACTTTCGCAAGATATCACACTGGTCCATTACACTGATGACATTATGCTGATTGGGTCCTGTGAGCAAGAAGCAGCAAACACACTGGACTTAGTAGTGAGACACTTGCATGCCAGAAGATGGAAAATAAATCCAACTAAAATTCAGGGACCTTCTACCTCAGTAAAATTTCTAGGGGTCCAGTGGTGTAGAGCCTGTCAAGACATTCCTTCTAAGGTGAAGGATAAGTTGCTGCATTTGGCCCCTCCTACAACCAAGAAAGAGGCACAATGCCTAGTGGGCCTATTTGGATTTTGGAGGCAACACATTCCTCATTTGGGTCTGTTACTGTGGCCCATTTGTTGAGTGACCTGAAAGGCTGCCAGTTTTGAGTAGGGTCCAGAACAGAAGAAGGCTCTGCAACAGGTCCAGGCTGCTGTGCAAGCTGCTCTGCCACTTGGGCCATAAGACTCAGCAGATCCAATGGTGCTTGAGGTGTCATTGGCAGATACAGATGCTGTTTGAAGCCTTTGGCAGGACCCCATAGGTGAATCACAGAACAGGATTCTAGGATTTTGGAGCAAGGCCCTGCCATCTTCTGCAGATAACTATTTTCCTCTTCAGAGACAGCTCTTGGCCCGTTACTGGGCTTTGGTGGAAACTGAACATTTGACTATGGGTCATCAAGCCACCATGTGACCTGAACTGCCTATCATAAACTGGGTGCTTTCTGACCTATCTAGCCGTGAAGTGGGTCATGCACAGCACCATTCCATCATCAAATGAACGTAGTATATACGTGGTCGGGCTCTAGCAGGTCCTGAAGGCATAAGTAAGTTACATGAGAAAGTGGCATGCCTATGGTCTCTACTCCTGCCACCTGCCTTCTCTCCCCCAGCCTGCACTGATGCCCTCATGGAGAGTTCCCTATGATCAGTTTACAGAAGAAGAGAAGACTAAGGCCTGTTTCATAGATGGTTCTGCGCAATATGCAGGCACCACCTGAAAATGGACAGATGTAGCACTACACCCCCTTTCTAGGGCATCCCTGAAGGACAGCATTGAAGGGAAATCTTCCCAGTGGGCAGAATTTCAAGCAGTGCACCTGGTTGTGCACTTTGCATGGAAAGAGAAATGGCCAGATGTGCAATTATTTACAGATTCATGGGCTGTAGCCGATGGTTTGGCTGGATGGTCAGGGACTTGGAAGAAGCATAATTGGAAAATTGGTGACAAAGATATCTGAGGAAGAGATACGTGGGTGGACCTTTCTGAGTGGTCAAAAACTGAAGTTATTGATAGGATGACCCATTCTGTGGACACTACTCAGCCTCTTTCCCCAGCCACCCCTGTCATCACCCAATGGGCCCATGAACAAAGTGGCCATGGTGGCAGGGATGGAAGTTACACATGGGCCCAGCAACATGGACTTTTACTCATCAAGGCTGACCTGGGTATGGCAGTTGCCGAGTGCCCAATTTGCCAGCAGAAGAGACCAACACTGAGCCCTCCCCTCAATATGGCACCATTCCTCGGAGTGATCAGCCAGCTACCTGGTGGCCGGTTGATTATATTGGACCTCTTCCATCATGGAAAAGGCAGAGGTTTGTCCTCACTGGAATAGACACTTACGCTGGATATGGGTTTGCCTATCCTGCACACAGTGCTTCTACCAAGACTGCCTTCTGTGAGTCATGGTATTCCACGCAGCATTGCCTCTGACCAAGGCACTCACTTTACAGCTAAAGAAGTGCAGCCATAGGCTTGTGCTCATGGAATTCACTGGTCTTACCATGTTCCCCATCATCCTGAAGCATGTGGAAGGGTCTTTTGAAGTCACAATTACAACGCCAACTAGGTGATAATACTTTGCAGGGCTGGGGCAAGGTTCTCCAGAAGGCTGTGTATGCTCTGAATCGGCATCCATATGTTTCTCCCATAGCCAGGATTCACAGGTCCAGGAATCAAAGTGTGGAAGTGGCACCACTCACCATCACCCCTAGTGATCTACTAGGAAAATTTTTGCCTCCTCTGACATTATGTTCTACTGGCCTAGAGGTCTTAGTTCCAGAGGGGGGAACACTGCCACAAGGAAACACAACAATGATTCCAGTAAAATGGAAGTTAAGATTGCCACCTGAACACTTTGGGCTCCTCCTACCTTTAAGTCAACAGGCTAAGAAGGGAGTTACAGTGTTGCCGGGGTGACTGACACAGACTATCAAGATGAAATTAGTCTACTACTCCATAATGGAGATAAGGAAAAGTATGCATGGAATACAGAAGATCCATTATGGCATCTCTTAGTATTACCATGCCTTGTGATGAAGGTCAATGGAAAACTACAACAGCCCAATCTAGGTAGGAGTACAAATGACCAGTGGCACCACTCACCATCACCCCTAGTGATCCACTAGGAAAATTTTTGCTTCCTCTGACATTACATTCTACTGGCCTAGTGGTTTTAGTTCCAGAGGGAGGAACACTGCCACAAGGAAACACAAAAACAACAATTCCAGTAAACTGGAAGTTAAGACTGCCACGTGGACACTTTGGGCTCCTCCTACCTTTAAGTCAACAGGCTAAGAAGGGAGTCACAGTGTTGGCTGGGGTGACTGACCCAGACTATCAAGATGAAATCAGTCTTCTACTCCATAATGGAGGTAAGGAAGAGTGTGTATGGAACACAGAAGATCCATTAGGGCTCTCTTAGTATTACCGTGCCTTGTGATTAAGGTCAATGGAAAACTACAACAACCCAATCTAGGCAGGAGTACAAATGACCCAGATCCTTCAGGAACGAAGGCTTGGGTCACCCCACCAGGAAAAAAACCCACGACCTGCTGAGGTGCTTCCTGAAGGCAAAGGGAATACAGAATGTGTAGTAGAAGCAGGTAGTCATCAGTACCAGCTACGACCATGTGACCAGCTGCAGAAACGAAGACTGTGACTATCATGAGTATTTCCTCCCTTCTTTTGTTAAAAATATGTTTGTGCATTTATACACTTGTACTAAGAAAATATCTTTATTTTCTTTCTTTGTCCTTTATCATGTGACATAAGATTTATTGACTTCATATCAGCATTTAAGTATTGTTAATTTTGTGTAATCGTATTTTGGGTTGGGGATTGGTGCATTTTTGGTTGGATGAAGGACAGTTGTATTATGTTAGGCATAATTATGATCTTTTTATTGTCTGTATTTAAAGATTATATATGACCTCAGGAGGTATGTATGGGTTCAAATTGACAAGGGGTAGATTTGTGATGCTTAATACTGAGTGTCAACCTGACTGGATTGAAGGATAAAAAGTATTAATCCACAGTGTGTCTGTGAGGGTGTTGCCAAAGGAGATTAACATTCAAGTCAGTGGGCTGGGAAAGGCAGACCCATCCTTAATCTGATGGGCACCATCTAATCAGCTTCCAGCGAATATAAAACAGGCAGAAAAATGTGAAAGGGCGAGACTAGACTAGCCTCCCAGCCTATATCTTTCTCCCATGCTGGATGCTTCCTGCCCTTGAACATTGGTCCAAGTTCTTCAGTTTTTGGACTCAGATTGGCTCTCCTTCCTTCTCAGCTTGCAGACAGCCTATTTTGGGACCTTGTGATTGTGTAAGTTTATACTTAATAAACTCCCCTTTATATATATTATATATTACTATATATTTATATATATATATTTTTATATATTTTATATATTATATTATATATATTATAATATATATATTATATATATATTACATATCCTATTAGTTCTGCCCCTCTAGAGAACCCTAAAACAGATATAGTAGGTGAAACTGATGAATAGCATGAAATCTCACAATTAAAGTTTAGTTTTACTTGAAAGATAATTTTCGTATCAACTACATTTAATACAAAGAATATGACCTATCAGGTTCTTACAGCTACCACATTAGCAGCTAAATATCTTTCCGAAACATTAACTTTATTATTGAATACATATAGAATGGAACCAAAAAAGGTAGAAGGTGGTGTGGTGATGGAAGATAAGAGTGTGGCCTATACATTTTTTCAGGAGTTAATAGACTAAAACTTTAAGGAATAAACTAGTATTGTGGTTGTATAACTGAGAGAAAAGAATATCACTAAAAATAATACAAAAGTGAAATTTAGGATTAGCAAGAGAACAGATTATGAGTGTGTAGGCTTAGATTAAAGGGGTTTTGCTTATTTTTGATGACTTCAAAACTATGTATCTGGAGAATTAGAAATTGATGAAGGCATTGTCAGTAAGAGAGGTGGGAAAGAATTGTGGTATGGAGAAGAAATTCTAAAATAGCTTGAGTTATATCACACTTTGAGAGTGTCATAATCTGGTAGACATCTCAACCATCTGACAAAATTAAATACCACCAACTGTGGAGTGACTGGCATTATATATCTCCTGATATGATACACTGAGAAGAACAAAATATCACCTATTTGTACTGTTCCAAAATTATTTAACCTGCATTGATTGTGAGCAAACAATCAGACAAATATAAACTGTGGAACCTTCTAAAAAACAACTTGCCTGGACTTTGCAAAACTATTAATTTCATAAAAGACAAAACGTTGACAGAACAAATCTAATGCAGGTTAGAGTGGTCTAAAGAGATATGACAACTTAATGAAATGTGCAATCTTTTATTAGATCTTGGATCCAAAAAAAAGTTCAAAAAAGCATTACTGGAATAATTTGAATATGGACTTTATATATTAGATTAATATGAGATAATAATGTTAAATTTCTTGAATGTGATCATGGTATCATGGTTATGCAGGTTATTTAGGAGACGCAGTAAAAGCAGAAGTATTTAGTGGCAAAGTGTCAAGGATGCCTACAGCTTTCTTTCAAATGGTTCACCAAAATATAAAAGTATATGTGCAGTATATGTCAACACAAACACACACACGCATAAACTTTTTTTTGACATTGTTGATACTCTGCTTATATCCTCTTAGATTCATTTTACTATTTCTGTGTGTCTATTCACCACCTCTGTGCTTTTTCTCCTAGCATTCTGCCATTGTGGTATCAGAAATCTACATAGGATTAGGGCAAGTCTCAACTCACCTGAAATCACACCCTTATTTAACTTCCTCCTGCTCCTAACAATTTTCTTTCCTTTTTCCTCTATGATCATATTTTTAACAAATCACTTTCACCCAAATCCTCATCTCAGGATCTGTTTTAGGGG
Organism: Homo sapiens; assembly: GCF_000001405.40. Lineage (NCBI taxonomy): Eukaryota > Metazoa > Chordata > Mammalia > Primates > Hominidae > Homo > Homo sapiens. Next base: position 220,535,400 of record NC_000002.12, on the reverse strand, counting down.
AATCTAATCTGAGATATATAAATATATACACATATTACAGAGAGAGGAGATGATGTAAGATATTCTCAATAGTGAATCTAGGTGAGTTTATTTTATTATTCTTCCAGCTTTTCTGTAGGTTTCATACTGGGGAGGAAGGACTTAAAATAGTGGGTCTGTGACCTCTTTCTCTTTTCATTCCTAAAGGGTCCTTCCCCAGGGGGAAAAAAATGTTGGTAACCTTATAGTCACCCAACAGACTCTTCCTGCTTGCTGCACAGACAAAAATCAATCCATTGAGACCATGGCATTGCATTAGAGAAATAGTTTAATTGATATGAGTCTGGCCCACTGGCCCATGCAAGAGAACTGGAGTTATAACTCAAATCAGTCTCTCTGAAGTTTCAGAGGTTAGGGGTTTTGTGGACAATTTGGTGGGTAGGGGGCTAGGGAATGAGTGCTGCTGATTGGTTGGGGATAAACTCACAGGGGTGTGGAAAATGGTCTTCAGGCACTGAGTCCACATCTGGGTGGGGCCACAGATCAGTTGAGTCACAAGTCATGAGTCCAGGTGGGGTCAGTCTGAAAGATATCTTGAAAACCATTCTTAGGTTCTACAATAGTGATGTTATCTATAGGAGCAACTGGGGGAAGTCATAAATCATGCGACCTCTGGCCACATGACCCCTCAGCAGTAAGGGATTATACAAACCATGCTTATCAGAATTCAGCCCCCTCTTGTAATTTTAACCTTGAAGCCTTTTGTTAGTTTTACAAAGGGAGCTTTAGTTTTGGGAGGGGCTGTTACCATCTTTGTTTTAAGTTTAAACCATAAACTAAATTCTTCCCAAAGTTAGGTTGGCCTACACCCAGGAATGACCAAGGACAGCTTGGAGATCAGAAGCAAGATGGGGTCAACTTGCTTGTCATATGTCAAGCAATGTGTCATATTTCTTACTGTCACAATTTTGCAAAGGTGGTTTAAACCTGGTCTTATTTCCTTACAAACAAGCTGAACCTCTTGGTAAATATACTACTGATATTGCTCAGGAAGGGAGTTTGTATTGATTGCATAATATCATCTTAGTAGGATAAACCTGGTTTAGGGTTAAGGTAAACAAACCCAGGACTTATGAATTTCCTTGAAAATGTCACATAAATTAGGTGACCATCTGGGGTATAAAATGGAGATATTTTATAACCAAAATGTTTTCTGCTATGTGAGGCAACCTGCATCCTTCCATTAGAGACTTCATCTGATCATGGTGTGTGTGTGTGTGTTTGTGTGTGTGTGTGTGTGTGTGTGTGTGTGTAGAAAGTCACAGGGAGCCTCCATCAAAGTCCCAGACCTGTCCTGTGCTTTGCATGCACCTTTTGAGTGCTTATATCTTTTTGGGATTATTAATAAAGCTGGAAACTGGGGAAGATCCTTGACTTGTGAAAGTCTGACTTGACAAACTGATCTTTTGTGTTAGCTTAGTTATTTTACAAACTAAAAAGTTCTTTTGAGAACACAGAGTATCAGTTTCTAAAACGTTCTCATACAGGATTTGGACTAGATCTGTAAGTTTCTCTTCTAAGTTTATATAACAAAGTACACAAATGCTGTAGATTGGTCTTCCAAAGTGTATGTCATATTGACTCTTCAACAAGACTGTGCTACTACTGCTGTTTCTTCTGTTAAGTGAGGTCATGGAGATGTGAGTGATAAGGGACACATTCCCATGTTGAGTCAGCAGCTTCTGGGTGTCAAGGGTTAGTGGTGGCAGATGCAGCATCAGCAATGCAGTAGCGGTGTTTGGCCACTGAGCTGTCTCCTCAGTGTCCCCTGACATCCACGCCTCCAGCCTTCCCAGTAATTTTCTAAGCTCTTAATTTCCTGCATTAAATTCCTTTCTGTTTAAAATACCTAAGGCAGTTTCTGTTTCCTGCAGCAAACCTCAAATGATGTAGTTAATTACTAAGACAAATAGCTATTTCATTTTGGTTTGGAGGAGTGTTTTTCAGCAACTTGATTGATATGCACCAATATTGTTTATCTTCAATATTTTTTAAAATTTAAAATAAAAAATAAAGGGTAATAGACATATTTCTTGGGCAAGAAAAACAAAGGCAGGGGAATCATATTTTTACAACCTATATGTTTTATTTAACATATATATCTTTTTAGATAACTTTTTATGTAATTGCTGGATTTTTGTTTTTGTTCTTTATGCAAGTTTAAATATCTGATTTCTTATTAAGAAATGTAACAAATGCCTTGGGATTTTTCCTGGACATGAAAATGGTTTGAAGATTATTTGAATCTATTTTTTTAATCAACAGATATCACTGCAAACTAATCCAGAATCTAAAATTGTTAATGCCATATGTGTCATTGATTTCCATCTTGCCAATTAAATAAAGGTTACCGCCTGGGTGCCTCAAAGATTGCCTCTCTCCCTAGGCACCATCACAGTAATTCAGCTCAGCCAGGGTACTCCTGCTGGTCGTCCCCAAATTCCCTCTGCAGGGAATGAGTGGCAGAATGCCTTCTGGGAAAAACTTCACTTAGGGAATGGCAAATCTGCAGTTGACTGGAACTTCAATTTGCTCACTAGAAAGGCTCATCTTTTCTGTTTTCACAAAGGGCCACGGATTAGTTCAACATATATGTATTGTGCATCTAGGATATACCAGGCACTGGGTCAGGCACTAGGAATACTAAGAAACAAAATGTAAAGCTATGTTTCTGTCCTCTATAATGTCTGACTTTAATAGACGGCTGCATATCTAATTTTAAAACAATGTGATCCATTCCATGCATTAAATGCTTTTGGGAAACAGAGATAGGAATAGTCTAATGTCATTATGGAAGGAGAAAGAATTGAGTTCACAAGTAGAGAAGATGGTAAGGTTTGAACTCAGTTGTGAAGAATAAATAGGGCTTTTCCAGGACACAGCAGAGGAACAATGTGAATGAAGAATGAAATAATCTAAAAAAAAAAAGAAAGAAATTCAATATGAGCCAAGGCAAGAAGACACAAGAGGGCCAGCTCTGTTGAGGAAATTGCCAAGAGTCTGCTGAGCTGGCACAGAGTGTGGTTAGGAAGGTGTGATGGTTGATTTTATGTGTGTACTTGACTGGTCCACAGAGCGCCCAGATACTTGGTAAAACATTATTCTAGGGGCTTCTACGAGAGTGTTTTGAATGAGATTAGCATCTGAATTAGTAGACTAGGTGAAGCAGATTACTCCCCCTAAGGTTGGTGGGCCTCATTCAATTAGTCGAAGGCCTGAATAGAACAAAAAGGCTGACCCTCCCTTGAGTAAAAGGAACTCCATCTGCCCAAGTCTCTTCAATCTGGGACACTGGTTGTTTTCTGCTGTCAGACTCAAACTGAAATATGGATTCTTTTGGGTGTCTAGTCTGCCAGCCTTCAAACTGGAGCTATGCTATCTGCTTTATGGGGTCTCCAGCTTGCTGACTGCAGGTTTTGGCACTTTTCAGTCTCGGTAATTAGATGAGCAATTCCTTATGCAGGTTGAGTATCCTTCACCTGAAGTGCATGGGACCAGAAGTGTTTCAGATTTGGGATTTGGGTTGTTTTTTTTTTTTTTAAGTATTTGCATATACACAATGAGATATTGTGGGAATGGCAACCAAGTCTCAACATGAAATTTATTTATGTATATACACTTTATACACATAACCTGGAGGTCATTTTCTATTTTAATATTTTAATAAATAATTTTGTGCATGAAACAAATTTTTGACTGCATTTTGACTGTGACCCATCACATGAGATCAGGTGCGGAACTTGCCACTTGTGGTGTCATATTGTTCCTCAAAAAGTTTCAGAGTTGGAAGCACTTCAGATTCAGACTTTTGGAATAGGGATGCTCAACCTGTAATATATGTATTTCCCATTGGTCCCATTTCTTTGGAAAAAAAACTGACAAATACAGACAAGTTGGCATAACATGAGATTGTAACAGTAAACATGACTGGAATGTAAAAACTCCAAAGGTGCTGGGTGCAATGACTCATACTTGCAATCCCAGCAGTTTGGGAGGTTGAGGTAGGGGGATGACTTAACGCCAGAAGTTGGAGACCAGCCTGGGCAACACAGCAAAACCCTGTCTCTACAAAAATAATAATAATAATAATAATAATAATAATTAATTACCTGGGCATGGTGGCATGAGTAGTCCCAGCTACCCAGGAGGTTGAAGTAGGAGTATTGCTTGAGCCCAGGATTTCAAGTTTGCAGTAAGCTATGACTGGGCCACCGCACTTCAGCCTGAGTGACAGAGTGAGACATATTAAACACAGCCAATATTTATTTTAGATATTATAATTGCTATTATTGACAAACCATACTTTTTCTGCTATTCCATTGGTGATCAACATACTCTTCTGAGGGCTTTACAGATATCCGTTTATTTATTCTTGATGGCCCCTTTATAAGGGAGGCACTAACGTTATCCTCAATTTATAGAGGGAGGAATGAAATACAGATAAGCAACCTGCCTAAACTCCCCAAGCTAGTAAGTGGCAGAGTCCAGAAGAGTGGAACCCAGGTGGTCACATCTCCAGAGCTTGCACTTTCTTGCTGTCTTAGCAACGCTCTAATATTGGACTTAATTCTACAGGAATTTTCAAATATAGGGATATCTACCATCTTTGCCATTTTTAGAAAGGTGATTCTGTTGGTATAATAGAGAGCAAATTAGAGAATGGGAGTACAAAGTATGCGAAAAGCTAAGATGAGACGTAAGTGATAAGGACCTAGCTCAGATTAGCAGTGCTGGGAGTGGGCAGTGGGTGATGACCCACACAATGTTTTCAGGATACCAAATGTGAAGAATCAGATGTGGAGAATAAGAGAAAAGAGGTAAAACCCAGTGTGATTAAGAATTGGTGAGTGATTACCTGAACTAGGAAGCATATTGAGGGGAGGGGAGAAGGCAGCTAGTGGGGATTTGGGAATTGCAATTGAGTCACCCACAAGATAGAAATTTGAATCTCAATTCAGAAGAGAGGTCAGCATTAGAGAAATAAAGTTGGGAGTTGTATTAGTTTCCTATGGCTGCCATTATAAATTATTCCAAACTGGCTTAAAACAACAGACATTTATTCTCATAGTGCTAGAACCTGGAAGCCAGGAATTAAGGTGTTGATGGAGCTCCGCTCCCCCCAGAGGCTGCAGGGAAGCAAGCCTCTTTCAGCTTCTGGTGATTACCACTTTTCCTTGGTGTTTTTGGCTTGTGGCCACATCCCTGCAGTCTCTGTCTCCATCTTTGTATCTCTTCTTCTGTGTTGTATTGAATCTCTTCCCACAAGTATCACAAAGACACTTGTGATAACATTTAGGTCCCACCCAGATAATATAGGATAATCCCTTCATCTCAATATTCTTAATTTAATTACATCTGCAAAGACTCTTTTTACAAATAAGATAAAATTATAGGCTCCAGAAATTAGGACCTGATATATTTGGATTGCCATTATTCAGCCTACTGCAGAAGTTATCAGAATATGAATGATTAGTAAGGAAGGAGAAAAATTCCCAAGGGTGAGAGATGGTAGGAAGTCACCTTGTTATAGGGGTAGAAATCTCTGAGCTGAGATCCCACTTGGTCACTGCTTGTGTGTCCCTAACCAAATGGCCTCAGCATTTTAGACCTCATTTCTCCCGTTGTCAAATGATGGAGCTTGACTGCCTGATTTTCCTCGAGTAGAAAACCTCAAGCATGCCTTTCCTCTAAATAAGTGTGCACAGCAACTTGGAGGCTATGGCTGTTTAAAATAATATTATTTTACTTAAATAGCAATATTAAAAAGATAAATTTAAGGCAAAACTGTCCATAAACCTGTCATTTAACCAAATCAATATTTTCTTTGTAGGGCATTTTCTTTTTTTTTTTTTTTTTTTTTTTGAGACGGAGTCTCGCTCTGTCGCCCAGGCTGGAGTGCAGTGGCGGGATCTCGGCTCACTGCAAGCTCCGCCTCCCGGGTTCACGCCATTCTCCTGCCTCAGCCTCCCAAGTAGCTGGGACTACAGGCGCCCGCCACTACGCCCGGGTAATTTTTTGTATTTTTAGTAGAGACGGGGTTTCACCGTTTTAGCCGGGATGGTCTCGATCTCCTGACCTCGTGATCCGCCCGCCTCGGCCTCCCAAAGTGCTGGGATTACAGGCGTGAGCCACCGCGCCGGGCCTGTAGGGCATTTTCTAGTCGTTGAAAAAACAGACACTTAATTTTTACATATTGGCCACAATTTCATAGATAGAATTCTATAACTTGCATTTTAATTTCAACTGTCACCAAGATTACCTTTCCACTTTGCTACAACCCACTTTTTAAAATCTCCCCCTCCCTACCCTGCCCGAGCTGACACATTGAATAGCTGAAGGACATGCATTCTATGTGAGTGGCGTCCCCCTAGAGTTGTGCACTGGCAGCCCCATGAGAATGGGAATCTGCCTTCTGAAATGATGTACAGTTTCTGCCCATAGGAATACACCCAACAATATCAACACTACACAGCTTTCATTAAGGTTCTTTTCAGCTCTACATTCAGATTCTAATTCCTACCAAGGTGACAATAGATTCTAATGCAGAGACTTAAAGAAACTTCTCATAAAGCTTTTGTGTTAGGTAAAGCTTGAAACAATAGTTTAGAGAGCTAAAATAAGTCCCGTATTGAACTTGTTCAACTTTTCACTTAGGCGATATCTCAACTGTTGTTGCCCAAAGGATTAGATCCCATTCAAACATAACTACTTCAAACTGTATTGACATCATTTTCCATGACACAAAATCACTGCTACGATTCAGCTCTAGCACCAGTCATTCTCTACTCTGCGTAGAAGTGCTGAAAATAAGGCAAGACTGCCCCAGTTTTCTGTAATAAATAGCAATCTGAATATAACTGGAAAACTTCAGAAATATTCTTAGAAATCTATTTATTCTATTTAGTCTTTGCTTTTTTTTTTTTTTTTTTCCAAGCATACTCTCTCCTTAAATAACCTCATGATTCATGGGCACATGCTTGCATTCACACATTCCTCTCCCTCTCTCACACACACACAGATTGGTGGAACTATCAAAGTGTTATAATCAATTTTTGTTCAGTCTACACTAAAATTTTAAATGGTACCAAAGAGCATGAAACTAAAAGAATCGATCATCCTTTATCATCTCTGCTCAGTGTGAAGTTAATGTGAAATGGTCATTCTTGTTTCTTTCTAGTGGAATAGAAAACAAATTATACTTGCCACCTGAAACCTAGAACATTGAACACCTCCTTTGGAGGCATGAGGTGTCCTCTGTGCAGGGATTTAATGAAATTAATTTAATGATATTAAAGGTGTTACAGTTCACAGAGGTGTGCATGTCTGGTTGAAAAGGCTGTGTACAGCTCAGCACTCATAATGCTGAACAGAGTTAAACTTGCGCTTTGGGTCTCGTCTGCAATTAGCTGCTATTCTGCCTCTTCATTCACTCTGGAGGAAGCTTCCTGGGTAGGTGTGGCTTTGGGCAAGTTACTTAACCTCTCCATGCCTCAATTCTTTCCTTTGTTGGTGAGAATTGGGCTAACAGCACCTTCCTTAAATAGATGTTCAGAGGGTAAGTCAAATGATGCTTGTGAAATACAAGATAGTGCCTGAAGTATAGTAAGTGCTCAATAAATGTTTGCTACGCTATCCAACTCCTCATTTCATCAAATGGTTTAGTCATTCATTTAATCAACCCACTTTACCAGGGGGTCCATGTGGACAATTTGCAGAATTTCCATCAGACTCATTCATTTGACATATTTTTCAAATCTGATTACAGTTGCCCTGCTTCATCATGTAGTAGCAATGTGAAAATTCTATGGTCACCCAGTGGGGCCATTTTGTAACATAAAATTCTTTGAGGAACTGGAAGTCCAGTTATACCCCAGAGACTGTTGGTAAAGCTGGCTTGCCAATTCTGTGTTAGACATGAAACCCTGAATATCAGGGGGACCTAGTTTGGGAAACTGGAGTAGGTGCAAGTCTCCCAGTGAGTTAAGTGAAACCTATTGCATCTGAACCTCTAGACTGGCCTGTGATTGAAATGGCTGGGCACGATGCTGTTTGCCAGATTCCCAGGGGATACTCTGATCTTTTTATTTTCATTTTCTATTTATCTGTTATTGAATACTTTTGGACACTGTGATGCCAACATAGCAGATCTCAGTGGTAGCTTCCCTTTCTATTACAAAAAAGATCAAAGGACATTAGAGCTGTGAAAAATATCTTACTTTAAAACAACATAGGCAATAACTGTTTTTGAAAATAGTTTTTATCTTCTAAAACTCAGTGCTGGTTAAGTCTTTAAGTCTTTACATGCAATTATTTCTTTTACTCACTTAGAAAACTGAGACCCGGAAAGGTAAAATATTTTTCATCCAGGGGTACCCCTAATTATCCAACTCTGGGCTATTCTTTGAGGACTTGCTTAGATGACTGTCTGTCTACATTAATTTGATTGGCTACATCACTAGTCAAGTTCACATGTCATCCGTGCAAATGGCCAATCTTTACCAAATTGTAATCAGAGCTTACATTATATAATGCTCTGCAGTTTTGGTATGTCATCTACATTATGCTTCACAGAATACTATAATACACCTATGTTGTGTATGCCAAGATGGGGGATTATATTTCTATGTATATTAAGATGAGACATTCAGATAAAGAAAGTGTAGTTTATTTACCAGTGGTTCCATAGCTGATGAATGGTATAGTTGAGCCTTGCATGCAGGCCTCAGATTCCCTATTACATGCTCCTCCCTCCTAAGGAAATTTCCCTGGGTGTAAGGAATAGCTTGCCATAGGGAGTTATCTTAATTAGCATAGAACTAGACCACCTGGGAATGGAACACATGTTGGGATCTTGTGGTAAAGTCAGTGACACCAGGAATAAAGACAGGGTTTAGATAAATACATTTATTCATTAAATAGAACCTTTAACTCCTTACCAATATTGAGGAGACTCAGGCCTGCTTACACACAAATTTGGTAAGAAAAAGGTATTTAATTGTGTTTTCTGGACTCCTACCGTATTTCCCCATATTAGTTCATGCATATATAAAAAAATTTGAATCCTAACTCAATTACAACAGCCCCCCACACCAAAAAAGTATTTTAAATCCTAAGAATTTCATTCTTACCTGTCCTGCAGTATTGCTGTTTTTCCAGAAGCCAAATTACAAGTTGTAAAAGAGGAAAGCTTTTTATGGGAACAGCTAAACAGTGATAGAGTCATTTCCTTAAATGATACTTATCTTTTAATAATAATGCCATAAAGATAGATTAAAAGCAGTTGTTTGTTGGGGTATTAAGTTCCAGTACAGAATTAAATTGACTGTGCCTAAAAAATTCACAGCCCCACCTTTGGTGTTAACGTATCTTTACAGATTCAACTTTATAAAGATGTATTAATTGTGATTAGTTGCTACAATCTACATAATATTCTTGCTTATATCATAGCAATTTCTTTTTTAAATTTAAAGAGCTGTTTGTTCTTTCATATTTTAATTATATTGGTTAGTTAAACCAGCTGTAAGTGAAAAAAGGTAATGGCTGAGGATTTTGCACTGACACCAACTCTGTTTTGTAGTTGCAAACTAGAAACAGCCTGGTCTGACAGGGGTGGAACTGGCCACATGCGAACAAGTAGGAAACTGAGGATGACTGAGGGCCCTCTTTCTTCCCTGCCACCCTCAAACAACACCTTTATTTAGAACAACTTCAGTTCATATCCACAAGACAACTCTCAGAGATCTGTTCTACTCACTGAATTGTGCACTTAGTCCCCTGAAAATATCCTTGGAGTGTCACTTTGATTCCCAGGAGGCAAAGAAATGTGGCAAAGGATGGGAAGAAGAGAAGATGAGGACAAAAACTCCAGTATCACTCAGTTCTTCTAGTGATGGCAATAGAGAGTTAGGTATGTACATGTGTATGCATGTATGTTTGTGTCTGTGGGTCCATGTTTATATCTGTGCATTTGCCAATTATTTTATTTATTTATTTATTTAGTTAGTTAAACAGAGTCTCATTCTGTCACCCAGGCTGGAGTCCAGTGGTGCAATTTTGGGTCACTGCAACCTCCACCTCCTGGGTTTAGGTGATTCTAGTGCCTCAGCCTCCTAAGTGGCTGGGATTACAGGCGTGTGCCATCATGACCAGCCAATTTTTGTGTTTTTAGTAGAGATAAGGTTTTACCATGTTGGCCAGGCTGTTCTCAAACTCCTGACCTCAAGTGATCTGCCCACCTCCGCCTCCTGAAGTGCTGGGATTACAGGCATGAGCCACCATGGCAGCCTTATTTTAGTTTTAAAGAAAAAGCTCAGCGCACAAAGCACCTCTTGGTTTACAAAACCATTGATCTGTGCTCTATAATATGCATGTATGTATATATGTGTCAAGGAGGGGATGTTACCCTCAAGATACAATGTACTCTACTTGAGCAGATATGTACTATACCCCTAACCTAAGGATGGCAATTCAAAATCCTAAACCCATTTTTAAACTATTCCTAGACTGAGATTCTTTTTATTATACAGGGCTTCATAGTTTGGATGTCTGTACCCCTCGCCAAATCTCATGTTGAAACGTGACCCCCTACTTGGAAGGTGGGGGCTAGTGGGAGGTGTTTGGGTCATAGAGGTGGATCCCTCATGAATAGCTTTGTGCCCTCCTTGTGGTAATTGGTGAGTCCTTGCAGTATTTCACTCATATGAGAGCTGATTGTTTGAAAGAGCCTGGCACCTCCTCCCTTCTCTTGCCATATGACACATCTGCTCCCCCTTTGCCTTCCACCATGATTGTCAGCTTCCTAAGCCCTCACCAGAAGCAGGTGCTGGTGCCATGTTTCCTGTGCAGCCTGCAGAACCATGAGCCAAATAAACCTCTTTTCTTTATAAATGACTCAGCTCCAGATGTTCCTTTGTATCCATACAAAGTGGACTAACACACGGCTCCTTTATCAAAATGCCATTGCGTGGTTACCACTCATGACAATACTGAGTTCCCTAATAGGCAGGTTTCCAATCTGGGCTCATGAAGATGGATCTTAAAGAGAAAAGCCAAAGATTGATATCTTTCAAATTTAAAAAGGGATAGTCTCCCAACACCAGTAATAATCAATAACAATTGACCAAAGGTCTATCTTGTGCTGGATAGCATGTGAGGACCTTTATACAAATCACCGAGAATCCTTAAGACCATTCTGCAAGGCAGGAGTTACTCACCTATTCAATGGATAAATAAGAAGTTAGATGGTTGACTGCTTTGTCCAGGGTCACACAGAAAAAGCCAAGAAATCAAACTGGGATATGTCCAGGTCCAAAGCCCATGCCACTTCACTTGGGCAGGACTACTTGCTCTTACAAATGTCTCTTGGGGCTACTTTTTTCCCACTTATTATTATTTATTCTGAACTTCACAAAAAATACATAGCAATTGTAGAAAACTTAGAAGATATGGATTAACCAAGATATAAAAGAGAAAGAAATATTATTACCCTAATTACCAATAAATTACCACCATTAACATATTGAAGTGTATTATTCCAGATTTTTCTTACCTCTATATCTATATAGTGGTACATAGATAACTATATAGTAACTATTTTATAGGCACTATATCTATCTATTTTATATATCTATATATCTATCCAAGTAGCTTATATCTATAAGTGTTAGTCTGTTCTTGCATTGCTATAAAGAAATACCTGAGACTGGGTAATTTTGAAAAGAGGTTGAATTGGCTCACGGCTCCACAGGCTGTATAGGAAGCATAATGCTGGCATATTCTTGGCTTCTGGGGAGGCCTCAGGAAACTTACAATCATTGCAGAAGGCAAACAGGGAGCAGGCATGTCACACAGCCTGAGCAGGAGCAAGAGAACAAGGCACCACACAGTTTTAAACAGCCAAATCTCACAATAAATTACTCACAATCATGAGGACAGCACCAAGGGATGGTGCTAAACCATTTATGAAAAATTTACCTCCAGGATCCAATCACCTCCAGTCAGGCCCCATCTCCAATACTAGGCATTACAATTCAACGTGAGATTTGGGTGGGGACACACATCCAAACTATATGACTACATTTTGTGCCATCTGATCTCTTTTAAGTGTCGAACATTCCATCTAGGTATGTGTTTTTTTTTAACAAGAAATAAAAAGATTATAAATACTGCTTTTTCCTTTTTTTTTTCTTTTTCTACTCAGTACATTCTGAACTTAATATATTCTTAGGCATAATTTTTGTTACAGCAATTTGGTGAAAAAACATCAGTCTGCGTCTGTTTGTGTGACCACAATGTGCAAGTTGCCATCAATTCAGGGGCCTCATGAACATATAACAGAGCTGCACAGGATCAACTTGTGTAGCTGCAATATAATGCACTTTACCAATCTCCTGTTGTTGGACATTTAAGCAGCTCCCAATTTATTTATTAACAATGCTGCAATCAGTATCCCTATATATTTAATATATAATCTTGTACATTAATAGAATTACTTTAAGTATTTCTTTAGAATAAAATTTTAGAGCCATAATTCCTCAGCCAAATACTCTTCAACATATACTTAAGATTTGGGAAACATATTACCAAATTGCAGTATGATTGCTATTCAGTAATATTTTATCAATTTACTCCCTTACAGGTCAATGTGAATAAAGCTGTTTTCCAGGATATAGTGGCTGAGTAGAATAACAGATTTATAGCTATTCAGTCCCCATATCCATGCCAATTCAGGGAATATTATTAGCCTTTGAAGTTCAAAGAAACAACAACACAAAGGTATATTATTTTTATTTCTATTTCTTTGTTAGGCTGACCATTTTTTATATACATGTAAGTATATTCATGCACCTATTTTAGTATGTGCATGTGTGTGTGAATTGCCCAATACCTATTTTAAGTGGGTAAACTCTCAAAAATCAATTCAAAATTACATATTCATCACCTATATGAGAATAGTACCTCTTATTAACTAGTACCTCATTCAACCAAATTTCACTGAGTGCTTACTAGGACTGACATTCATGCCAGCACACAGATTGTCTATAGCCTTCTGATTGTTTGCTGCCCATGTTGAACTGGTAGTTAAATATTTTAAATATCACCCTGGTATTTACTATCTGCTAAAGTTCCATTCTGACATTGGAAATTTAGCAGTGAACAAAAACTTAAATCTCTGTATTATGACACTTACATTCTTACCTAAAGATACATGTATAAAATATATAGTATCTCTGGAGAGTATACCAAAGGTAAAATAAGGCTTAAGCTCCTTTCAGCTCACATAGAGACATGGCACATAAAATATGCAACAATTATAAGAAAAGATTATACTCAGCTTTAGGACATATTCATTTCATTGTAAGGCTATGAATACATTGATCAATCTCAGCAGAACCCTGCCCAGATCTGCCATACTTTCCATTTCTCCTATTCTCTACCTGTGGGCTGAAACGCCACATTTTCTTTCCTTGGAAGCAAGTCTTTCCCAGTAAGATTTTGGGCAGCATATTATGCCACCCCCAGGCCTGCTGGCGGCGGAGGAGGACATAGCATCTCCAATCTGCTCTTTTCTTTGAGGCATTCTAATTGGAAGTCCTGCCTGGAACACATGGTCAGAGTGAGGAGCCAAGAGCAGAACAAAGGACAACCACTCACACGCATTTCTTCTCAATCTGGTCCAGGCTTTCTGGCTCAGCAGGGAGGTCAACGCTGCAAAATACTAAATGGTGAAGGGTCAGCAGGTGGTAAGTGGTCACATCCCTGACAAGCCCTGGACATGAGAGAAGAAAGATTGGCTAGACAGATTTTTAAAGGAACTAAAATGGAGACTGGAAAATTAAGATAAAATGGAAGAGGGAAATTTAATGGGAAATTCACTACTCTAGACTTCCCTGCCTAATGCCCTTCCAGGATTTAAAACTGCTGAGAGAAGCTACAGCTTTTCTTTCCTTAAAAACTAAAAAAAAAAAAAAAAAAAAAAAAAAAAAAAAAAAATTGCTAAGGAGATATACTCCTGACATTGTGGAAAAAAAAAAAAAAATTGAGGTGGAAGTAGCTAGATTTGGATTTTAAGCCAAGCTCTTAAATAAACTTATTTTGTGGTCTTGGGGATATATTGTTGCTTCCAAGGGCCTCAGTTTTACTTAGTGTGAAATGGACTATAACCAGTGGATTGTATCAACAGCTCTAACTCTGTTGTCTAAGGACCTCTCTCACCAACCCTGTGAAATCTTTAAAAAAAAAAAAAAAAAAAAGGTGCGTGAAATACTGTGTGAATGTACAGTTTTCTTAGAATAGAAGGCTTTCCTCAGACTTGCAAAGGGATGCCCGATGGTGAGAAAGGAGACATTGGATTGATGAACCCTATGATTCTTTATAATGCTTAGAGAATAGGGTTTTACACTGTCATGTGGGTCCCGACTGTGAAATCAGAATTGTTCCAAGGAAGTTGTCTACATCAGGCAGTCTCAAGCCAATAGAACTTTACCCCAATACCGAGTCCACTCTACCTCCAGCAAGGGGAGGACTTTGCTAAGAAGTGAAGCTCAAGGTTTTGAAAATCTGGGCTGCCAACCCTTCCCCTCCCTGAAACTCACTGTCCAGCCTTCTTGCTAGCCTTCATCTTTCCCATTCCTCCTGGCCACTGGAGAAGTACAAATCCTACTCATCAACAAAGACAAGTCACCTGCTGACTCTTTCATGGCCAGAACGACAGAAGTCAGTGAGAAATAATGTATGATCTGATCTAGGAATGTCTTTACCTAATTGTTTAAGAATAAAAACAGTCAAATATCTCTCCTACAGATAATCCACATGTCAAAGACTGATAGATGGGAGTAGAAATAGAAGTCTACTTGCAAATGTTTCATGAAGCTTTTTCCAAGGCAGCCAATCCTCAGATGTTTCATTCCACATTGCCTTAAAAACTCCTGGTTCTCAGCAAAAACTTTTCTTTCTACCACCCCTATTTGAAGCACATGTGCGTGGACATGCACACACACACACCACACATAATTTTCGTTAAAAAGTAAAGTAAATATTAAAAAGACAGAAGGAACAAGAGTACATATCTGAAATTCTGGAGACGCATTTTGTTTTGTTTTGTTTTGTTTTGTTTTGTTTTGTTTTTTGAGACAGAGTCTTGCTCTGTGCCCTAGGCCAGAGTGCAGTGACACAAATCTCAGCTCACTGCAACCTCTGCCTCCCAGGTTGAAGCGAGTCTCCTGCCTCAGCCTCCCAAGTAGCTGGGACTACAGGTGTGCACCACCATGCCTGGCTAATTTTTTCTTCCTTCTTTCTTTTCTCTTTTTTTGTACTTTTAGTAGAGATGGGGTTTATCCACATTGCCCAGGCTGGTGTCAAACTCCTGACCTCAAGTTATTGCCTACCTCAGCCTTCCAAAGTGCTGAGATTACAGGCTGAGCCACCCCACACAGCCTCTTTTTTTTTTTTTTTTTTTTTTTTTGCATACAGAATTTTGAAAATTGGATTGAACAAAAAGGAAGAAAAGGAAACAAAGAAGAGGAAGAAATGGAATCCTCTAAAAGTTCCGTAACACTCTCATATGCCCTTCACAAGAAAACACTTCAATTGAGAATCTTAAAAGTAATAAATATCCTCACATTAGCACAGGTCAAGTTTTACCAAAAAGGTTTCAATCAGGAACTAAGTTACAATTTTTTAAGTGGTTAGAGCTGTTTAGATTTTGGAATTGTGGCTAATCTACTACGGGTTCCCAGTCACTCTCTCTGTTTTATTTTATTATTGGTTGGGATCTTAACCAAGATATGAGATAATTATCATAATCTATAAGTATTTATTATCATTTGTAGAAGATGGGGCACTTGCTTAAGATGACAAAGCTTTTCTCATTAGCTGTTTATAAGCCATAGACAATGCAGAAATTAGAAACACTGCATGACCATAACATTGTATAAATTCCATGTCATTCACAATATAAATTTAAAGTGCTTCTGTTTTAATGTGAAATTTGGGAGGGAGGACAAATTTGCTGCCTGTCTAATATCCACTCTTCCATTCCTTTTCTGGTTAATATTCCTTCCCTTCCTCTTCCATTCTTCACCTTGGTCATTATTTTCTCAGGGAAGTCTTCTTTGCCTGTCCTAACTAGTCCAACTTGCCTTACTAAAACTTTTCATGGTCATGGTATCATGTATGTTTCCTCCACTGAAAATACATAATTATTTGCATGATTTTTTAAAAATAGTACCTCACTCCACACGAGACTGTAAGTTCCCTGAGGCAGAGACTGATTCTTTTTTTTCTCACTATGATTTCTCCAGCAACTAGCAAACATTAGGCATACAGTAGGTACCTAATAACACAAATTGATGGGATGGGTGGACGAATGGGTGGATGGATGGATAATTGATTTACTATCAGAGAGGTCATTAGTGTCAGACTTAGATTAAAGTGAAAATAAGGCTATGTCTCATTTTACATACAGATAAGAGCAAATACATATGGGTGAGAGATTCCAAGACGTTATTTACAGTAGCTACATCCAGTGCCACAGTTCAGGTCTCCAGGTGTGCTGATAATAAGAGAAATAATTTGGAAATTTCAATCTCCATTTTGAACAGAACCAGTTTAGGAACTCCGAAAAAGAATATAATCCAAAAATGTACTAAACCTTGAAATAAAAACAAGATTAATCCAGAAAGATCCTCTTTAATCTTGGGCATATTCTCTTTCTTTTTTCTTTTTGGGGAAAATTGTAGGAAAACTGAGCTTGGGAAAGATTTATTGGCAAGTGATGATGGGTGAATTGGGTGAAGTTGTATCTCAAATGAACTCATTCAACAGCTTTAAAAAGTAGCCATTAAAAAAAAAGAACAAAAAACTTTTTCTGCAAAGAGATTTTCTATTCTTTCTCTCCTGGTCAATATCTCAAAAATAATTAAGTGCATGCAAATAAGTAAAGGAAACCAAAGAACTGGTAACTAATAGGAGTCATCCTAAGTGTATGAACAAAAAGAAACAGAGAAGAGGAGGGGATGGAATCCATTAAACTCTCCAAGTATCTAAGACCTGCCAGCAACAGCAAAAATGAGAACGAAAACCTTACCTTTTTGAAGTTCATCCATTACTAATTGAAAGGTAAGAAGTCTGATTCTCTATGCCTTAGGAAATAAAGACTTAACGGATGTCTTTATTGAAGACTCTGCTGTTCTAAGGGGAAGGAAGATGGATAACTCTTCCTAAGCCCTTTTGTCATGTCATATCCAAGTCCTGTCACCTAAACCTGATACACAATTAAACAACTGGCTGGGGTGTTGTCTTGACAGATTATTTGCCAGGCTGGAAATGAAGAGATATTTGCAGCACTATTCACCTCTCTTTCTGGAAGTGTTCCTAATGAGCAACATTACCAGCAGGAATTATTCTGTGTTTGCGAACATCTCTGTAAATGGAATGGGGAAAGTCAAGCTGAAAGCTAAACTACACAAATTAAAGGAATAAATAAGTATGCTAAAATAAGAGAATAGCATGAAAGAGGGAGATTAAATGGTTCTGTCTTTCATCTGAAAAATACTTCAAATTAATCAGATCACTATAAAGTCCATTAGAGACTAATATTTTTATTAATAATATTCCAATTTGTTCATTTAGATATTTTAATGAATTTTACTTTGCACCCATGTTTTAAACATTTCACTCAAAGCAACCATCTTTAAAAGATCATATTGCTTTGATGTGATAAAGGACTTCAACAACATATATTAATGAGGCTTAAGGACTGAAAGAAATCATGTTTGCTTCCACACATGCCTCCAACTTCAACAGATGTGAGAGTGTCATCTGATAATTTCTACTTCATTCTATGTCAAAACATCTGCATGGTATGGAATCAGCAATTATTCTCAAATGAGCATTTGAGCATTTTTATCACTATAATAAAGAGCTGCCAAGCAAGACTTTGTGCATGTACTGGTGCATGGGCATGTACAAATGTATCCATATCTAAACATTTTCATATATATAAAAGTGTGAGACATTCATACGTGTGTGTGCATATTCATATACATATATATGCATATTCATATATACGTACATATTGCATGCATCTAGAATATTATGCAAACATGGTTGTATAAATGTGTCCATATGTGTTTATATATGTAGTCTTGTCTCAGTAATTACAATTAAGACCATGTCTGCCATTTAACTTTTCTTTCTTCTCACAAGCAAAAGGGGAGAAATCTGGGAAAAGACTACCTAAATACTGAATACGTAGTTTTATAACTTTATTATACATAGGCTTAATCGGGACTACTTGTAAAATTTACTAATTTCTAAGGTATAGGATTCTGCATTGTAACAATTCCCTCAATGGTGCTAATGCCTGGTAACACACTATAAATACACTGACCTTGTGGCCAAGCCAATTTTAGGAAACATTACCATAAGGGATGTTTGCCTCTAAGAAAAGCTCAACAAACTCCAGTCTACTGTCTATTTTTGTTCAGCCTGAGAGCTGAGAATGATTTTTACATTTTCAAATGGCTGAAAAAAGTCAACGAAATAATATTTCATGACATGTGAAAACTATATGAAATGCAAGCATCCATCAATAAAGTTTTATTAGAATACAGCCACATTTGTTCTTTTATGTCTCATCTATGGAAGTTTTCTGGCTACAACACTAGAGGTGAACAGTCATAACAGAGACCATATGCCTCCACAAAGCCTGAAGTATTTGCTCTCTGGCCCTTAACGGAAAAAGTTTTCCAACCCTGTCCTAGAGCTGCCTCCCTACTCTGTCAGTGGTCTTTATGCCTACATGGGGCATACTGTTCTGCCTCTTCCAGCCTCCCCATGTTCTTAAAGAAGGAACTGACAGTATACACTCTTCATCTTCAGGAATTTTCTCATTGTATGTCTTGGCTCGTATCATCAATTTAAATATTATTTCCACTATTAAAAAAATAAAGTAAAGCTCAATGAAGAGATTAGAGAAAACAGAGATTCCCCACTGGTATCCTTGAAATAATACCATAACAGAATGAATGGCTCGATGGTACAGAGACTTCCTCCTTCTCAGAGTTACCCAAGGAAAGTTAGGGACTCCAAAACGTCAGGAGGAAGGTAGAGAAAAAAAATCAAGATTCTTTGAAATATTGACTTCAAAGTTTAGTTCAAACTCAAAATCAATGATTTATTGATTTATATTTTCTACTCTGCCTAGCTAGAAGTCTATAGAGATATCTTCCCCTGTGCCTTCTACCTGCAAAATGCATCCAAAAACCAACTTCTGACTCCAATACAGAAACAATACCTATATAAAAAGGAACTACATTTGAGGACCCTGAATCCTTCTTTTGTAGCAGTGATCAAAATGTAATCACAGTGACACTTCTGTGATTATCTCTTTAATATCTACTTCTTTCCAGGCTTTCTCATCTTGGGTCCTCATCTGAACCACAAAACCCCCAAAAATGCACAGAGATTTATTTTCTCAATTATTTCAAGAGATGTGACTCTATGCAATTGTGGGAGCTAATGATTCTGCTGATGTGAGTCTGTTATTTGTTTAACTGAAGCCTGCAGGACAGGCAATTAGCTGGAAAGGTAGGCTTGAGGTGGGTAAGCAAGGGCAAGCTAGAATCAGTCACAAGACTGACCTGGAATTCACACTGGTCTTTGATCATTTCCAAGGCTCAAACCTTGAGGACAGAGGTTCCTGCTATGGCCCATGCAGCCATACAGGGTTCTTTGCTTAGAAGAACCTCATGCTTATTTTAATGCTCTGCTATTTCTATCTTAAAATTTTAAATAACTTTTGAATAAAAGAGATCTCATTTTCACTTTACGCTGGGCTCCACAAATTATGTAACCAACCATGCCTGCTGCAGAAACTGGTATCCCTCATCATACACTTGGCTTAGGAGCTGGAGGAGCAGAAGCAGAAAATCCAACACCATCTGCAGACACTGAGGACCCAACCATCTCCCGACACCCACAAGAGAAGCCAGCAGGTAAACATGTGTGAGCTCCAGTGTGGTCTCATGCCTAGCAGTGACCTCCTCACAGAAAAGAAATATGGCTGCTCCTTCACTTCCACCTTCCAAATCCACCCCCCTCCCCGCCGCCCCCAAAGCACACACACACAAAACATCTTCAGTGGCCCACAGTAACAAGGAACTCTACAGAGAAAAGAATTCTGGGAAATGCAATTCAAGCTCAATGACATCACTCTGCTGCAAACCCACCATTCAAGCAAAGCCTTTGTGTGGACAAACCATTTCAGACAAATCCAGTGGGAGGCAGTAAGTGGAATGGAGAAAAAAAAACAAAAAAATTGGATTCAAAGCTCAGATCCACCACTTATTGACTAAAACTCTAAGCAAGTCGATCTCCCTGAGGTTCAGGTAACTCACCTCTAAAGTAAATGTTACAATACCTACTTGAAGAATCATTGTGAGAATTAGATAAAATATTTTTAACATACTTAAAACTGTTCCAGGAAATGCTGTTCAAGCTTAAGAAAAAAATTCTGCATTCACAGGTAAAACATATAGACAAATAATCAATCTAAAGAATGGTTTATGGTACTTAGTTGAGAGGATTAGGGCCCTTTTTAATCCTATTGCAGTCACCACTAGTGCAATCTCCCCAGATCTCCCTGGAATACCCCAAATGACAGAAAAAAGTAAATGTGTTCCTCCAGCAGCTTCTTGCTATAAGTGCAAAACTCCAGTAAGTCTTATTTTATCTTGAAAAATCCATGTGACTCTTATATTCTGTTATAGAATTGTATTTGTTTTAATGTAAACATTTTATGTTAAATTAGTTAGCAATTAGTTAGCAAATGCAAATATTTTAAGGATGTACTGATGAACAAAGAAGCAATGATCCCATCTACCTAGAAAATGAAAAGCACAGAGGTTCTAGAATAGGGAATTCTGCAGCCACAACTCCAGCTCTCAGTAGAGTCAAGGCGAAAGCCAATGTGAGTATGCAAATAAGCTACTTTGAACATAAAACCCTCAACAAGTACATAGGCCTCCTCCAAGAAGCCCTCTTAGAACCAGTGAATCCTGACCTCTTAGTTTCACAGCACTTTTTACCTAGGCTTCCTTCAACATAATTCATGGGCTACCACCCTCCCAAAGCCCAGATTCTGCAGCCCTGGAAGGCTAGGACAGTATTTAAAAAGTAAAATAAATTGCTGAAATCTTTTATTATTAAAGCACTGAGTGAAGCTTCACTCAGTGCTTTACTCATACAAAGCATGCTCAATAAATATGTATTAATCACCAGATGACTACTCTTCTCACCATGAATAATTGAGAAGGGCAAAAATTATCCAAACCAAAACTAAGCTTAACAACATTTCAAATCTAAGGACTGAAAGGGTGATTAAAAGCTATTGCATTATGAGAAAATGTGTTTCCAGTGTAAAAAAAAATTCATTTGCCAAGCATGCCAGGTTTATTTTGATTCAAAATGGGATTAGACAGCTAAAAAAAAAAAAAAAAAAAAACGTGATTTTTTGTTCTTTACAATTTTGGTCATCCCCAGGGGGTAGAAACTGTTCTGGTGTCACCTTTCCATCTTTATTCAGTGAGTTTTATCAGTGTGACTCAGATAGAAAATGTCCTCTAAGAGCTGGATTTACTTTGGTCTAAAAAGAGAAAATCTGTGAGACTGTGACAGTGTTGCTAAATCAAGAAAGATTTTTTTTCCTTTCTTTTAATTAACAATAAGTGATTCTATGTGTATTTTTTAGTGTACTTTTTCCCAGCCGAACACTGGTCATAAACCTTGACAACCCCTGATTTTGTTGTTTGTACTGACATTCTCTAGTCCATAGATTTTAGTAAAATTACCAACAACTTTTCTTGATTCTGTGATATTCAGTGATCACTGTATGTACAGATTGAGTTCCACAGTGGCAAATAAGTATGAATAAATATTTTAGGTACCTTAATAGGCTTATTTGTATCATTTTTTTTTCTTAATAAGAGAACATTCTTGCCACATTGGTCAACTGCAGCTACCAAAAGTGGTTTTAGATGGTTTCCACAACGCGGAATTTGAATAGCTTCACAACTGGCTCCCTTGATGCTCTGTTCACTCTGTCTTCAATGTCCTTACTCTATTTCTGAATATTCAAGTGTTGCTGCCTTTCATTTTTCAGCTTACACACTGCCGCTTCCATGAGGTCTTTCCAGACATCCCCTTCACTGTAATTGAGCCATAGACAGTAGTTAGCATTATTAATACTATTACTGTCAGCGATGTGTACCTCTAGCTTGACTGCCCTAAAACACAATTCCAAAACACTAACCCATGCACTTGGGGCCTTCCCACTGTCCCTCTCTGCACGCCCCTCTTGCACCATCACCTGCCACACATTTTGGACTCACTCTGACTCTGGTAGTGGGAATTGGAAAAGCAAAGTCTGAGAAGCCCTGGTACCACTGCCCTGATCTATCACAGTGGCTCATTGCCACCTTTGATCATCATGTGAATTTCTTGCTCAAGTTAGAGATTATAGCAATGAGCAATGCTTCCTAATTTCATTTTTCTCCCCCTTTTCAGGATCCTTGATATGCCACCATTTTCAGTCTCTGAACAGCCTAAAATCTAATTTTTGCCAGCTGATCAAATGGACTGTGAGGAGAAAATCCATAAGTAAGACCTAGATGTCAGACGAATAAACCTGCAGAGAATTGTGTTTAAATTCCATTGAGATGATACAAGTTTGCTAACTAGAATCCACGTATAATGACAGCATATTTTTCATCACTAAAATTCCATTGTCATTAACTCATTATCTGAAAGATTAGCCCATGATCACTTCAGATGAAAACTAACTGAAAATGTAAGGAGGCATTTCAACTTATTTCATTAAAAATGTTACATCATTAGGTGTTATTGATGAGGTTAATCATGATAATAAATTAGACTTTATGAAACTTTATTTAAAGAATTTAGATTGTTTTCTACAACAAAACTTGTTTGAATAATCTCCTCCTGTAATTACCAAAGAGGGCACTGACTGCTCATATTTTAAAGAGAAAAAAGGAACAAATTAGTTACATGATATACCATCTATGTTTTGGCGGAGGAAGAAAAATGGGAGACAGAAAAAAAAAAAGAAATTTGAACACAAAGCACTAGCTCTGAAATCCAAACGTACAGACCTTACCCATTTTTATCTTTACCATATTCTCCACCTTCAATGTGGCCCTTAACACAATGTAAATATAAAATTTGCTTTTTGATACAACTCATAACTAGTTTACTGAAAAATATTTCATCAGTATAATTTTCTAGGTAACTTTTTAAACCTTTATTTTATTTTTTAACTTAAAAACCTTTAAAAAAGCATTAGTGTAATTCTTAAGCTGTGTTTGTCAATACAGTATATGAAACACGTAAACTGTGATCTCAGTGAATCCATTTTTTTTACCACATTTTAACCTCCTTGATGATAAGAATATTTCATGTATCTTTTTATCCTTAAGAAACTATATCACAAAGAGTCAGTGTTTAAAATCATTTATATATTCCCTAGTTTATTTTAAGAAGGCTTAGGATGAAATTCTAAATTGGTTAACAAACAATGCAA
The DNA here is from genome assembly GCF_000001405.40 of Homo sapiens. NCBI lineage: Eukaryota > Metazoa > Chordata > Mammalia > Primates > Hominidae > Homo > Homo sapiens. Next base: position 220,511,762 of record NC_000002.12, on the reverse strand, counting down.
ACATCTTTAAACACTTAGTCATGGATAAACTCTATAGTATTGTTAAAATCACTGATATAAAGATAACTTTAGAATATATAATCTGAAAAATATTTTTTAAAATACCACCTTAGGAGCAGACTTTTATTATTATTATTTTTCCCTTTCTATTAATGTTGTCAATAAAAGTCTATTTACTTAAAGATTCCAAGTGGGAGACCATCAACTTTCAGATTTAGTGCTGCCAGTCTGAATATCTTCAATCCCTCACTGCTAGCCCAGCACATAGAAGGTGTTAAGAAATGTTCTTAATTAAAAATAAAGATTCACTGCATATTATATTATGTGCATGTGGGCAAAGACAAAAGTAATGATACAGGATTGTAAATTTATATTATTCCTGAAACAACTTGGTGCTTTCATCTTCATCTTTAGCAAAGACCTATACATGAATCAGCTAACTGGTATTTTGACTTGCAGTACAATTCAGAATCATGACACTCATTGGCAGGTGCAGAAAGTATGGTAAGGACTATGTATATTGGAAATCAATGCCCCTTAAGAAAATAATACAGTAAGATATAAATCCAGATATTCTGCCAGCTGACTCAAGTTCACTTAAACTGAACACTCGAATGAGGAAGGCCTGATTGAACAATCAGGAGGAGGCTGTGAATTCTGTCCCCTGCCACCAAGTTGTAAAGGTATCCCACTTTACATGTTTTCAGAGGGTCACCTTTGATGTGAGAGGGAGAGAAGGAGAAAGAGGAGAGAGGATGATAGTATGATGACTTGCTTTGGCAAGAAAAATAACTTCCTATAAACATTGGAGGTAGAAAATTCTCCCTGTATAACAGGCATAGTTTCATAACATTCCTGAAACAGACAAACCATGAATTGCAATGAATGTTTCATTCTTTCAGAATGCCATAAGTACTAGAAGTTAATTTATGGACTCGCCTGAAATGCAGATGCTCAATCTGAGTCCTCTGACAGCCTCACTATTTTAAAAGCAAGTTGGATCCAGCGCTCTTGAAGATGGAGAGGCAGCCGAGAACCACCTTCCCTAATTGCCTGATGAAGACTCCTCTTGAGTTGAGACACCAGCTTACTGGTTATTGTGTCTAATGAGTAAATTTGCAAGCCTCCCATTTTAAATGAGTTGTGTGCATTTATTTTACACAAATGAAGAGGTTGGGTAAAAGATTTTCTAATTTAGCCTTATCTTTTACACAATTTTAGACAAAGCAGAGAAAAACAACTTTTAAAAACTGGCCGATGTATTTTAATGTTTTTGTTGTTATTTTCTTTTTGGGGCAGGGAGATAAATAATAGGGCAGGGAGTTCTTTGTGAGGTTTTTCTGCCCATTAACAATTATATAACAAAGATGCCCCAATCTGCATTTTATAACTGTATGTTATTGACATTCATACTCCTAGGACCTGTCTAGCTGTCGAAGACCGGCTTTTATTTTTTTCCTAGTATTTGGAGTCTCAAATGGACAATGACAGCAGTCCCAGCCTTACTGAAGCTCATCAAACTGCCTCATTCAAAGTGATGACTGAGTTGGATTCAATCCAAGGACTCAGCTACCAGTATTAACCCATCAAATGTTGCAGCTCCTCAGATGCTCTAATCATTAGGGTGGGATTAATAGGCACGCTCTGCCACAGCCTCAATGCCTAGGAAATCATGCCGGGAGAATGCAGACGCTTAAACAGGCCGAACTTTAATCACACCAGGCAAAAAATGACAGTCTGGAAATTAACTCAGGAGGATAAAGTTGGAAAGGAGATTAAAATAGCCTGGGTGTTTATCAACAGATTGTACAATATTAGCCAAGCAGATTCCCCAAACTTCTAGTGAGAATCCCTGTGGTGGGTGCCTTCCATGTTCTTTCTTTGAAAATAAACAATGAAGCGTTTGCATAGCCCCCCCCACAAAAAAGAAAAGCAGGTAAGTAGCTAGTGGGGTAATAGGTAACAAACACAAATTTCAGAGAGAAGAAACACATAAAGACAGAATTGTAAGGTTCTTCAACAGAATTTAAAATACTTTCTGCTCCAAGTCTGCACATGTCCAAATAAATCACCATGCACTTGAGCTATGCTGGGCTACTTCTTTTTTTTTTTTTTTTCCTGGCTGTAATAAGCATGCTTGATTGTCAGGCCCTGCTGTTCTCAGGGCCAAATCAAAAATACAATATTAACTTCTTTAAAAGATGCAGCCACCAAAGCAACAGAAGAATGCAAATAAATCAATTCTGCATGCTTAAGCCCATCTCCCTTTCATGCAAGCCTAGTGATGGAGAGTGATTCTCTTTCCCCAACTCTGCCTTATCATTTTGAGGTATGAAAAATAGATTGTGTCACCGTAATGAAGCACAGGAAAAGGGAGCTTGTTATAAGCTGATTACAGTTTAGATTGAAGGACTGGTTCTCATTAGCTATTTTAGATTGGACAGCATCCTTGAGCTGTAGTAATTACTGAAAGTAATTTTTGAGAGGGAGGGTGGGGCAGCTGGTGCAAGGAGAAATTCAAACAGTTGCATGGGGGTTGGAGAGAGGAGTGGGAAAAGAGACCCGCAGCCTGCCAGGTTATTACCCCAAATGCTAGGGCACAGTGAGGCAGCTGTGCTAGCCACTTTCTTGTCAGGCTATCCAGCAATGAGGAGAGAGTGCTTTGCATGAAGAAATGAATACAGCATAAGAGGCCTATTGAAGGTTCAAGTGGCAGGGTGGCTCACTGGAGTTACGCCTTCAATATGCAGAAGCTTGGTTTTCATCCCATAATAAATGTGATGAAGGCAGGTTTCATTGCTATTTATGGAAGCAGACTTAAAAAGAAGATGCCAAGTGATAGTCAAGGTAAAATGACCGATTTTCTTGCTTCATTAAGGGGATTTGAGAGACTGACCATTTCCCTCATCACAAATAGGATGAAATATGCAACCTTGCCAGTCTTGGAGGTATGCTGAGCAAATCTCTACGTGTGTTGTGCCAAAGGCAAGTTTTTGATCCAGCATTTTCTTCAGTATAGGAGAGAAGCCTCAGGGAAGAAAGTGTGTTATTTGTTTGTTGACTTGGGGGAAACTGGGAGTTTGGGAGGCCTGGTTTCTAATTCTAGATCTGCCACTCACTAGACAGCCAGAGACCCTGCATAAACCATTTAACTTCTCAGTGTGTCTGGGAAATAAAAGAAGCAAATTAGATGTTTTCTGATGTCCCTTACAGTTATGGACGTCTCTGATTCCAGTTATTATCTCTTCTAGCTAGCTAATTTATTGACAGTGAGATAAAAAATATAAAGAGGAAAAAATTCTTCCCTTCTAAATCAAGGAACAAATTCTGCAAAAAACTAAAATGAAGGTTTCTTCTAAACATAAGAGATCTGGGTTGCACTTTGATGGGAAAAGAAGCAGCATTTACTGAGATTCTGATAATATGCCACACTTTATATGCATGTTATTTAATTTGATCCCCCAATAACTCTACAAAGGACAGATGAGGAGACCCAAAAGTGCTATGTCACATGCCCATGGTGACACAGCCCACAGTGGGAGAAAAATGACACAGCCTATGAGGCTGTCCACCCAAATGAGCAAAATAGCCATGAAACAGAAGACTGATTCAATCAAAATTAGAGGAGGCATGGACAGCCACATTTGTAGCATGATTTGAGCAGCGTCCAGAGCCTTCCTTTGCTCTAAATACCCCTTAAGCTGTCAGAATGTTGCCCGGATTCCTTCCACTAAACTCCTTCCTTTGAGTTAATGAAGCCACCATCTCCAGAAAGCCCTGATTAAAATACAAATGTGTTACCTGGGAGGAATAAATTCATTAAGCCATTAGTAAAAATTAACAGTCTTTATAAAATTAACAGGCTGAATTTATCTGATTAGCCAGCTGTCATTCAGGAGAAAACAGATACCAAGGGGAGAACACCAAGTCAAAATTTCGCCTTCAAAGAAGAGATAGAGAAAGTCTGACACTGTGGCCATGGTTGCAAGGGGTCTGGCCATGCGTGTGCCCCAGTTAGGGTTCCTTGGCAGCTAGACAGCCACAGGGAGGGCAGGAACAGATGGAGAGTGAAGATGAGAACAAAGTCGAAGAAGGGACTCCAGTGGGGGAAATGCAGGAAGAGGGGAGCACCAAAACACATTTAATCGCTTGACTGTTTGCTAAAGACTACAGGTAGCTCTCAGGATTCAGGACTTCTACATACATCATTATAGTTATAGAATTTAAAAAATAATTTAGTTCAGTGACTTTCAGATTGGAAAACCGAAAACCACTCCCACATTCAAACCTTCAAAATAGAGGAGGCCTACTTTTATCTGTGTTCTCTACTGGGCTTCTGTGTAATATATTGTTTGGAGAAAGGATTCAGTTGCTAAGAAAGAAAAATATAGAGAAGTAAGAAAGGAAGGAAGGAAGGAAGGAAGGGAGGGAGGGAGGGAGGGAGGGAGGGAGGGAGGGGAGGGAAGGAAAGGAAGGGCTGGAGGGACGGAGGGAGGGAAAAAGGAAAAAAAATGGAAGAGGGAGAGGAGAAAACAGAAGTTTAGAAACTAGTGATCTAATCCAGGAATTGGCAAATCTTTTTTAGTAAAGGGCTGGACAGTAAATATTTTAGGATTTACAGCCATTAGTCTCTGTGGCAGTTTTGTGTAAATGAATGGCTATGGCTGTAAATAAAATTTATAAAACCAGGCAGTGGCTGACCCCTGATTCTAGACCAAGGACCTATCACCTTACAGCTAAAGGCAATGGCGCCCAAAATAGTTAACTGCACAAAGCTACTGAGTGGTTCTGTTAGATGGATACTCAGATCTTCTCCAGTGTATTTTTTTTCCTACAGAATCTCAATATAGACCTATTTGAACTTAAAATATTAGTTATACCTTGAAAAGAAGGTGCTCACAGATACTTGGAGATACAGGTCTGAGTTCAGGCTTTCACTCAAGAGTAAGGTCTATTTAGGTTAAAATTGTGGTCACTACCTAGAGGCAACAGTAGAAATTGTGGGCTTGGACAAAGTCACTGAGGAAGAGCAGGAAGCAAGCATGTGTTGAGGCATGCAGGGAATGCCAGGTTTGCAGTGTCTTCACAGAAAAGGAAGCCAGTTTACACACACACACACAGAGACACACACCTGCACACACACACACGCCTGCACACACAGAGAAAAATGATACGAGAATCTGGACAAGTCATAGCCCTGAGGTACTTCTTACATTCTTATGGTGGGAGTTGACATGAACTGTCTGTTTTATTTAGAAAACGAGCTGGTATGAACTCAGCAGCAGGGCTGGGGCTCCCACCAGGCCCCTGGCTGTGAGCTCCATCAACAATGTGAAGCCTTTCCCCATTCTATCACTTTTTATTTTATTAACTTATTGTTGAAGCCAGAATTCATATTTTTCACATCAAAGCTTGGTACAAAATGTCTCAAAATATCCTTCTAAATATCCGAGAATTACCACTTGGTTTTAGGTTACTTAATCTTCTCTCCATTCCAATGTCAAATAAGGAGATGAAGAGAGATTATTCATATTCAGTGATTTTCTAGAAAAGGATAGAATAGTGGATAAACGCAACTGAGGTGTGGCCATATGGTAAAAATATTCATGACCTAGTGAGTTCACATAATACAAATATACTTGTATTCACAATGTAATAAGTACCCTGCTTTTCTAGATGAAAGAATTATGTATTAGTTTTTGGAATTTTGTTAACATGATAATAATAACAACAGTAATGTTAGTAAAGGCTAACTAAGTGCAGATCTTGAGTCGGGTACCTCACATATGTGACCCCATTCAGCTTGCAGAATAGTGTTAGCACCAGCTGGAATGAAGAAGCTGAAGGTGAGCTGTATAAGAAACTTGCCCAAATTCATGTGGTTACAAAGCGGCTGGGCCAAGCAAGATTTGAACCAGTTACATTTCATTTTTGTAGCTGTTGTGTGAAAAATGATCGAAAAGTTCTACAAACAATTTTACCTGAAGCATATATTTCTTTTTATATATTGTCCTATATTAACCACCCTGATATTAAAAGAAGAGACCACATTTTAAAATTTATTTTTATCATTATCTCAGATTTGAATAGCTAGCTCTAACTTTAAAATCCATCCTCTCAATACTTTTAATTCAGTTTTTGCTCTTTCTATCAATATATATCTCTCCTCCTCTCCTTCTCTCCCTTGCTGTCTCCCTGCCTCTCTCTCCCTCTCTTGCTCTGTCTCTCCCTCTCACACACACACATGCAACCACACAAACACACTGTCTCTTTCTGTCTCTTTTACCTTCATTATCTCTTTGTCCTCGTGTGTATGAGTGTGTGGTGTGTCCCATAAAATAATCTTCACCTAGACAAATGCTGTAGCCTGCCCACTGATGATCTCAGCCCCACTCATTTCCTTGTTTACTCTGCAACCAGAATGATGTTTTCACAATGCTTCAAGGACTTCCCTTTGCTTTGAGCTTGGCTTTAACACAGCTTCCAGCCCTGCCCCTTCCTCCCTCCTTACACTCCTGGCCTCCCCTTTCCCCGACTGCCCCTTCTCTCTGTCCTCCAGTGACAGAGACCCACTTTCATTCCTCAAAGGACTCTCAGTCTCTTTGTCCACAAGGCCTTTTAAATGTGTTGTCCCTCACAGGGGAAGCTGTTCACACCTGCACTCTGACCCACCTGCTCTGTCCCATCCCAAACCTATTCACTCTTCAGATCTCCATCAAAACAGGCACCCTAGGGGCTGCACTCCCTCATTTCCAGGCTAGGGCATTCATCCCCATGATGCATCTCATAGCAAACAATAGCACTTCCATAATTAGAAATTACATATGGATTGGCTTGATTATTTGTTTCTGAGCCTCCCAGGAGACTTAAATTTCTACAAAGGCAAAGACCATGTTTGTTTTCCCTAATCTTGCATTTTATACGGGGTCTGACATAAAATAGGCAAAAACCATTTGTTAATTAAATAATTACAACTTAATTAAACTGCACCTCTACATTTTCAATACCACTGTTGAAACTTTCTTCCCCAAATTCTGAGCTAGTTATAAAATACATTTTAAATTGTATCCTCACGTCTTAATATCAGGGTGGTTAACATATTAAAATGAACAATTAGAAAGACAATGAAAAATGCCAGGTAAAATTGCCTTATGTGCTTCGATATCTTTTTTTTGTAGAAAAACAGCGAAAAGATGAAATTTAGCTGCTTGACATATTCCCAAGCTACTAGAGAAAAATATATATTGCCCAAGAGAATCAACTTTTTTTTCCTTGCATAGCCACTGGATGTTTCCTGGGAGAATTCAAACTACTGTGCACAAAAGCACTTTTTCATGGTGCATAGCCTCCCAGGTATACAGAAATTCACAAAGCAAAAGTCAGAGATCCATTAGAGAAACCGAGAGGAGAACTTCACCAACAAACAGCCTCAGGGCCTTGGCCCCATCATTCCCATTCCATCCTGTGTCCCTTGATATGGTTTGGCTATATCCCCACCCAAATCTCATCTTGAATTGTAGCTCCCATAATTCCCACATATTGTGGGAGGGACCCGATGGGAGATAACTGAATCATGGAAGCGGTTCCCTGCCTGCCCCCCCACATCCTGTTATTGTGATAGTGAATAGGTCTCACAAGATCTGATGGTTTTATAAGGTAATCCCTTTCACTTGGCTCTCATTCTCTCTCTTGTCTGCTGCCATATAAGATGTGCCTTTTGCCTTCTGCCATGATTGTGAGACCTCCCCAGCTATGTGCAACTGTGAGTTCATTAAACCTCTTTTTCTTTATAAATTACCCAGTCTCAGGTATGTCTTTACCAGCAGCACAAGAATGGACTAATACAGCCCTAGAATTAGGCTGGTCTAGAGTTTGGTTTTAAATATCTGCACCCACTGGAACTTTCTGCAGAGATCACTGGATGGAATTACTACTCAGCATGGCCCAAACTTGCAGCTTGACTTTACAAGTTTACACATCATGTCCCCATATGATTAATTTTAGTAACTGCCTTTTCTAAACACCTACACCTGAATTAAAATGCTAACGAGAAGGCACACTCAAATCATTCCCCAATGAACAGATGGGCCCCAGTGTTTCCAGCTATGGACTGTATGAAGCAACAGATTGTGCATCTTTTCACAAATCCTCAAATTAGAATTTTTATGGCATCACGAATTCAAAGATGAAGTCTGTTTTCCTGCAAAGGAGATTTTGTGCTGACCTGATGCCAGCCTCTAAGCCTCTTCCTCTGGCAGGGCACGTTGCAAATAAAAAGTGCTTTACCATGTATTCAATTAGCTATCGCTCACAACCATTCTGGCAGTTAAGATAACTGTTATTTATGTTTTATGATTCAGTTAACTTGCTCAAAACGTACTCTGAACAATTTCTTGGTGTCTGATTTCAGACCAGTTCAACTGGGCTAGACCCATCTGCAGCAATGTATTCTACATCGTCTTAGGAACACACCTGACTATCACGGTATTAACAGTGGGCTAGGCACCTGAATGCCCCTTGGCATTTGCAAGATATGCATGCAGAGGACTTCTGCTGCGACCTCCTGCTAATCCAATCAATTAGTAAGCAGGAGATGGAAGTCTGACGGCACTCATGCAGGTGTACCTGCTCTGGCAAAGGAGGAATCACATCCAACCCAGCAGAGAATGGGAAACTTGCTTAAAGGGCTGGAAACTTCAGTTTCAGGGAGTAACCTCTCTCTCATGGCATCACTCAAACACCCTTCTGCAGGCTTCTTAAGAGGCAACTGGAGAATCTAGAATACTCACCAATATATAAAATGTGCTATATTTATTCACTGGAATGGTATTCAGAAGTTAAAATCAAATAATTAAGTTGACATAAATCAACATGGATAAATTTCAAAAATAAATTGTTGAGTAAAATACAACTTGCAGACAACATACACAGTATGATGCGATTTGTGTACCAAAAAGCACATATGCACTTCATAGTAGAAAACCTTTCATTTTCTATGCACAGGCATACCTCAGCGATTTTGAAAATTTGGTTCCAGACCACCGCAATAAAGTAAATATCATAATAAAGTGAGTCATATAAAGTTTTTGGTTTCCCAGTGTGTATAAAAGTTATGGTTAAGCTATACTGGAGTCTATTAAGTATGCAATAGCATTATGTCTTAATAATGTATACACCTTAATTAAAGAATATTTTGTGGCTAAAAAATGCTAACAATCATCTGAGCCTTAAGGGGAACATAATGTTTTTGCTGTTGGAGGGTCTTGCCTTGATATTGATGGCTGCTGACTGATCAGAATGGTGGTTGGGTTGCTGAAGGCTGGGATGTCTGTGGCATTTTCTTATAATAAAATAAGACAACAGTGGAGTATGTCACATTTGTTGAGTCTTCCTTTCACAAAGATTTCTCTGTAGCATGTGATGCTGTCTGATAGCATTGAACCCACCATAGAACTTCTTTGGAAATGAGTCAATCCTCTCAAACCCTGCTGCTGCTTTATCCAATAAGTTTATGTAATATTCTAAAGTGTGTTGTCATTTCACCAGTGTTCACAGCATCTTCACCAGGAGTAGATTCCATCTCAATAAACCACTTCCTTTGCTCATCCATAAGAAACAACTTCTCCTCCATTAAAGTTTTATTATGAGATTGCAGCGATTCAGTTACCTCCTCTGGGTCCACTTCTAACTCTAGTTCTCTTCCTACTTCCACCACATTGGCTATGACTTCAAAGTCATCCACGAGGGTTGGGATAACTTCTTCCAAACTCCTGTTAATGTTGATATTTTCACTTCCTCTAATGAATCATAAATGTTCTTAATAGTATCTAGAATGATGAATCCTTTCCTGAAGTTTTTCAGCTTATGTTGCCCAGTTCCACTAGAGGAATCACTATATTTCATGGCAGCTATAGCCTCATGAAATGTATTTCTTAAATAATAAGATAAGACTTGAAAGTCAAAATTACTCCTTGACCCGTGGACTGTGGAATGGATGTTGTGTTAGCAGGCATGAAAACCTCATTAATCTCCTTGTACATCTCCATCAGAGCTCTTGGGTGACCAGGTGCATTGTTAATGAGCAGTACTATTTTGAAAGTAATATTTTGTTCTGAGCAGTAGATCTCAATGGTGGTCTCAAAATATTCAGTAAAACACGCTGTAAAAAGATATGCTGTCATCCAGACTTTGTGGCTCCATTTATTGAGCACAGGTAGAGTAGATTTAACATAATTCTGAAGAGCTCTAGGATTTTTAGAATGGTGAATGAACATCTGCTTCAAAAAGCAGCATTGAAAGCACCAGCTGCACTAGTCCCTAACAAGAGAGTCAGCCTGTCCTTTGACTCTTTGAAGCCAGGCATTGATTTCTCCTCACCAGCTATGAAAGTCCTAGATGACATCATCTTCCAGTATAAGGCTGTTTGTCTACATGGAAAATATTTGTTTAGTGTAGCCACCTTCATCAATTATTTTACCTACATCTGGACAGCTTGCTGCAGCTTCTTAGCACTTGCTGCTTCTCCTTGCACTTTTATGTTATGGAGTCAGCTCGTTTCTTTAAACTTCATAAACCAACCTCTGCTAGCTTCAAACTTTTCTTCTGCAGCTTCCTCACCTCCCTCCTTTGTAGAATTTAATAGAGTTAGTGCTTTGCTCTGGATTAGGCTTTGACTTAAGAAAAGGTGGTGGCTGTTTTGATCATCTGTCGAGGCCACTAAATAAAACATTTTCCATAACAGCATCAAGGCTGTTTTGCTTTCCTATCATTCATGTGTTCACTATAGTAGCACGTTTACCTTCCTTCAAGAACTTTTCCTTTGCATTTATAACTTGGCTAACTGGCACAAGAGGCCCAGCTTTCAGTCTGTCTGGGATTTTGGCCATTCCTTCCTCACTAGGCTTAACCATTTCTAGCTTTTGATTTAAACTGAGATATGTGTGACTCTCCCTTTTACTTGAACACTTAGAGACCTTTGTAGGGTTACTAACTGGCCTAACTTCAATATCCTTGTGTCTCAGGGGGTAGGGAGGCTGAAGAAAAGGGAGAGATGGGGTGTAGGGTTCAGTAGAGCAGTCAGAACACATACACTTATCAATTAGGTTCATCATCTTATATTGGCACAGTTTGGGGTACTCCAAAACAATTACAATAGTAGCATCAAAGATCACTAATCACAGATCACCATGACAATAATAATTAAAAATGGTATAATAATAACGAAAAGTTTGAAATGTGAGAATTACCATAATTTGACAGAGACACACAATGTGAGCTCATGCTGTTGGAAAAATGATGCTGATAGACTTGCTCAAGGAATGGTTGGTACAAACCTTCAATCTGTAAAAAATGCAGTATCTGTGAAGAGCAATAAAACAAAGCTCAATAAAATGAGGTAGCCTGCATGTAAATACACATGTGTAAACCATAAAAAAGTGATTTTTGTGCATATTAGTTGGAAATCTTTCAAGAATATTTAGGAATATTCTAAGGGAAAAGTGTATTAATATCCCAGAAAATTAATTTTTTTCCCAGTAGCTTAGGAATAAGTCAAATGGCTAAATTTCAGCTTTTGTTTTGGACATATTATCTAAATATATACATAGGTATTATATATATTCTTATATACTATATGTATTCTTATATACTATATGTATTATATATAGTATATCCATAGGGGATTGGTTCCAGGACCCTCTGTGGATACCAAAATTGTGAATGCTCAAGTTCTGCAGTTAGCCATGTAGAATCCATAGATACAGAGGATCAACTATATATAATTATTTTAAAATCTAAAAGGACATATACTAAACTCATCAGCATAATTTTATCTGGATGGAGGGTTAAAGCTGATTGCCAAAGAGGCTATCCATATAATAAACGATTAGTAAAATTTCAAACATTAAAAAAATACAAAATGGAGTAAAATAATAATAGTAGCTAACGTGTACTAAATCTTCATCATGTCACACACTCTTTCAGCTGTTTTGCATGTTTTAATTTATTCAATCATTACACAACTCTTATGAGGCAGGCACTATCATTATATATAAACCCATTTTGTAAAAGAGGTGATCAATGCCCAAGGGTTAAGCATTCTATCCAAGAGCACCAAAAGTTGAAAGATGGTGAGTGGAGGAGCTGGGACTGAGATCCAGGCAGACTGGCTCCAGCTTTGTGTTTAACCTCTGTGCTCTGAATGGCCCCTGAAGCTCTGCTCTGACTCACCAGAGGCCCTGCCAGCTCTGTTAGGAGACAGGCAGTTCCATCATCTGAGAGCAAAAATGCTGCGACATGTGCTTCACAACACTTGACTCTGCTTCTGGTGGGAGATCAGCAGCTCTTCACAGAAAACTACTCTCAACCTAACCCACTGCTATAAAGGAAGTCAAAAGCAGAACAAAGCACTGTTAACAAGGCAGAGAAAGGCCTGCCTCTTGACATTCCGGGGAACTAGCTTCTCTTAAAATAACTGATCAAGTTTCATGAAATATGGAATGTTTTCAAGACAAAAAAATGTAAAGTAGTACTTTCTTTTTCATTCAATGCATTTTAAGATTGGCTTTAAAGATATTGATCTGGCTTATGTGTTTGTTTTTTTCTCAAGGGAAAGATTGAATCATCTAAGATGTAGAGGCATAACTTGATTGGAAACTCAAAATGTAGTTTTTATCTGATTCAAAAATGTAGATAAAATAGGATGTCTCTTTACCTTCTTTCTTTTTGTGAACAGGTTTCAGATCAAAGGTCAATGAGCTGCTAAACATGGCAAATATGCATCTATTTCCTCTCCCTCTCCAAACTGTACAAAACTGACATAAACTCTCAGAGTAAAATCTCCAGTGGGAAATGAGAATGATGTGTTTAAGCATTTTAAACATTTTGTTGATGGGCATATGATAGAGATGCTGAAGGTCTAAAAGTACACAGAAAATAAGGCAAAAAAATTAAAAAGTCATTTTTAACTCTAAGAAAAAAATTAAGAGGGTTAATTAAGAAAAAAATGGTATCTTTCTAGGTTATGACCTGGGTTAGCAGAGCATTATTTATAGCATCCAAAATGAAGAAAGCAAAGATGATGGATTTAAGCAAAAGAGAATGTGATATAACAAGAGTGGAAAAGAGATTGGAGAGGAAGTATAATGAAGAGTTGAGGGAGATATAAGTCTCCAATCTTCCTCCACCATAGTGGGAAACCAATGTCCAAAAAAGGGAGCAGCTTTCTAATCAGGCTTTCATTTCCATTCCTTTCTAGAAACTAAGACCACAATTGCCTTCCACAGAGCCAAATCCAGTGGTCAATGCCAGTTTCATCTTATGTGGCCCAATGTAACGTCTGCACATTTTGCCATGCCTCTTTCTTAGCTGGCTTTCCACCTACATCATTATCTATTTATTCATTGTGTCTCCTTTGCTGGTTTTTCCTCATTCCAGGCTCTGTACCCAGCACAACCACTTCATGAACTCCACACTCTTATGTCTCTTTGACCTCCTCAGTCAGGTGCCTGCAGCAAGGTGAACATATCATCTGAACAGGGTTAGTGTTCAGGGTGAAAGGAAGATACTGATAATCAATACAATATTGATAATTTTTCATGACAACAAAGTAAACTAAGACTTTCCTAGGCCAACCAAGCTGTGAGTCACCCTTTCCAAGAGACATTTCAAAATTAACTAGCATGCCCAACTCTCATGTCTCTCTCAAACTTGCTTTTCCTAAACTCTTACTTGCCTTTGTTAGTGGAAATCCCATTCTTCCAGTTCCTCAGGCCAAGAAGCTTGGAGTCACCCCTGTCTTCCTTCCTGCTAAGGTACTAGCATTCACTCTATCGGCTACTCCTTCCAGCTTCTACCTTCAAAATATGTTCTAAGTCCCCCCATTTTCCACCCTCTCCTTGATCAGAGCAAACATTAACTCTTGGCTGGGCTGCAGAAGCATCCTTCCTGGTTCTTTCAATCCTGCCCCCCAATCCCACCTGTTCTGATTCCAGGAAGCAGAGAGTTTCTTACTAAATCTAAGTCCTATCTTAGGATCTTGTCTCTTCCCTACTTGAAACCCTCAGAGGCTCACTCAGAGTGAAAGCTTGAGGCCTTGACAGGTGCAAGGTCTTATAAAATCTGTCCCTGTGTACACCTCACGTGTCCTGTCTGGCCACATTGTCATCTAGGCACCCCTGCTCACTCTACCCCAGCCTGTGATCCTCCTGGCTGTTCTTCATGCAACATATCCTACACATAAGGACACTGCATTTTGCGTTTTCTCTACCTGCAGTCTTCACCCTTAGATATTGTGATGGTTAATATTGAGTGTCAACTTGATTGGATTGAAGGATGCAAAGTGTTGTTCCTGGGTGTTTCTGTGAGGGTGTTGCCAAAGGAAATTACCATTTGAGTCAGTGGACTGGGAGAGGCAGACCCACCCTCATTCTGGGTGGGCACAATCTAATCAGCTGTCAGTGAGGCTAGAATAAAGCAGGCAGAAGAACATGGAAACACTAGACTGACTCAGTCTTCTGGCCTCCATCTTTCTCCCGTGCTGGATGCTTCCTGCCCTCAAACATCAGACTCCAAGTTCTTCAGCTTTTGGACTCTTGGACCTATACCAGTGGTTTGCCATGGCTCTCGGGCCTTTGGCCACAGACTGAAGGCTGCACTATTGGCTTCCCTATGTTTGAGATTTTGGGACTTGGAATGGCTTCCTTGCTCCTCAGCTTGCAGTCGGCCTATTGTGGGAACTTCACCTTGTGATCGTATGAGTCAATACTCCTTAATCAACTCCCTTTCATATATACATCTATTCTATTAGTCCTGTCCCTCTAGAGAACACTAATACAGATATGTTTACAAGTCACTCTCTCCGTTTTCTGGTATTTTTTTCAAATTCAAACATTACATTCTTCTTTTAACCTCCCTTCTCTACTGTGTTGAAAATTGTCCACCTCACTCTAACATTCCCTGTCCCTCGTGCCTGTTTTGCTCTTCACATATAATATATGGTAGCATTACCATATATTATATATTTTGCTCACTGTGCTCCTCCCACAATGAGGATGTCAGCTCCATGGGGACAGTGACTTGACAATTTGATTCACTGCTGGGAGCCTGCACCTAGAGCTGAGCCTCATTAAATATTTGTTGAAGGAATGAAATAGGAATGTAAGCATGTTATTTAAAATATGAAGGTAAATCATCGAGGACACAGCTAGAAGAATTGAAGGAGGTTGCTACTGAGGAGGCAACACTAGGCTGGGGCAGGGGATGGCTATTTTTATCATAAGCATTTTAGTACTAGCTGATTCAAAAACACAATTTTTCATTTCATTTCTTTAAAGTAAATTAATCTCATGAGCACAGGTGGATTAAGTCCCTCACAGCCCCAAACTCCTGGACTTTGTGTCAGTGACGCCAAGACGTTATCTTCAAATACTCACACTGTCCTGGAGTCACCAAGGCCACAGTCCACACCCCTCATGCTGGCGAAGGTGACAACAAGATGTGCCTTCCTTCACCTTGCCCACCCACCTCGGTCCACATCACCAACAAAGCTCTCTGGACCTCAACTACCACTGTAGCTGTTCAGAGCAACCAGGTAAAAGCCTCCAAGGTTCACACTGAGGAGAGATGAGGAGAGAGGCACGAAGATTCTTGGGGAAGATACTTTTTTTCAAAATGTATGTTAAAGAAGCAGAGAAAAGATTCATTGTGTTATTCACAAAATGCTCATCTGGTGACTGGGAAATACCCTTTTGTTGAAAATATCTGATCTAAGGAATAAAGAAAATGTTATCTGTGCAGAGACATGATTTCTGCTATGAGAAAATTAATTTGAATGTTAAAATAATCACTTCTCTTTGTCATTGTTGATGATAAGGAGAAGAGGTAAGTGTAATAATGGTCTTGGTGCCACCTCAGTGTACAGCTTTTTTTTTTTTTTTTGCAACTAACTCCTGGCATAACTAATAGCAGTTCTCTAAAATAGATTTCACAGGAGACCAGGCATTTAATTTTCTCCCCACCCTTTTGTTAACTCCGACTCTTCCCCTCAGGCTATTTGGTTAGCTGTAGAATTAGGGAAAGCCAGGGTTGAGATGTCCCCTTGAAGAAAACTGACAGAGCTAGGGTTGGGAATAATGAAAATCAAACTTGGCAAAAATGTCTTTTCAGTATATTGAAAAGAGGATTGAATCCACCACGGATCAAGAAATCCCCTCATCAAATCCAATCTTGATTTTTACCTATGAACTGATTAGTCCCACCTGTCACTCAGCCATTTTATCTCCCAGGCTCAGTGTATGAGCAATTTTGCTGTGGTTTGTCAATTTGGTGTCAGTCCACCGAGACCAGAATATTGTTCAGGGTGGTAAGAATCAAAAAGAGAGTTACTTAAATGCATTTTATATTGCCATAAGCAGATATTTAAATCATGTTTGTAAAGCCTCAACTTTTTGAAGAAATTACAGATTACAGCAAAAATGCAAAGATAATTATGAAGTCCCAGTGATGCCACTGAATACAATTTTATTTTTATAATTTTTATAGACCTCAAAGAAGGAGAAGTTTGATTTGAAAATATAGGTAACTACAAGAGTTCAGGGCCACAATATCCATACATCTTTGTAGCCTTTAAGTATCCTGCAAGTGAAACAAATTTGGAAAGACACTGCATGAGCAAATAAATCACTTTAGAAAAAAAAATAATGATTTTCTGTTTTTCATTAGCATTGTGCCTTAAAATTGTTATTTCACATCTCACATTTTATCATAATATTTTTCTCTTGTTTGTTCTGCTGATAATGATTATCTTGATTTATGAACACAGCTAGAGAAGTTGAATAAGCCAAATACCTTTCCATATTAAAGACACTAAGTAGGTATAAACCACTGGGTGAGGAAAACAGATTTTCCCAACCGAAGCACTGATTACAGTCTTGGTTTCAGAAAACAGTAAGCAATATAATGACCTCCCAGTTATCCTCTGCTGATGAGATATAATCAACATTTTCCTTTTTTTTTTTGTCTCCAGCAGAGCATTTATAAATGGTCACCCTATTTAAAGTAAGTTATTATAGAATGAGAAATAATTATAGAACATTAGGAGAGAAAGTTATACCCATAACATTAAAGTTTGTTTTCCTTTACAACACATAGGGCTATCTCAAGCTCAATCTCTTACTTATATTTTTAACATACAGTTCACACTTTACACATGAATGTCTATGTAACAGATCCACTAATTCTATTTGTAAATGCAATAGAAAGGAGTCAGCCGAAAATATTATCACTTGGCATTAACTTATTTAACTGGATGTCCAGGCTTGAATTCAGAAAAGCATATTCTATTGGCATAATTCTCCTCCGCGGAAATTTCATTGAGAGGAAAAGATACATCTTATTTTGAACTTAAGGACTAGTAAAATGATTCAACATTAATCACCAACATTAAGTGGTTACTTGATGCCAAGCACCCTGCATATATCCCATTAAATATATGCTAAACCTTGCTGTAGCCCCATTTCTCAGATGAGAAGCTTGGGTAAAAAATAGGAATACTCTGGCTACAACTAAACTAATTTGACTGACCCAAGTATATTTTATTTTCCTTTACCTAAAAAGCAGTGAAAACGCGATGCTGTCGGGATCTGGGGCAGTGGCTCAATGACATCGTCTGAGAATCTGTTGTCTTTCTGTCTCGGAATCCTCAGCATGTTGGAATATTGTGAAAGGATTGTCTGCAAGATGATGGTTGCAGGACCTGGCACCACATTTTCTGTTTGTATCAGTCAAAGCTGGTCAGGAAAATAGAAAATTTTCTAGGCATTTTAAACAGAAGAAGGATTTTACTGGAATTGAGTGCTTACGGAATTGTTGGCAGGGAGGTCTGGAAGAATGGAGGTCTGTGCAGATTACTGCTGGAGTGTTCAATACCTCACTCATGACCTAATAAGAGGAACCACTTAATTATTTCCAACAAAAGGAAGATGTTGCCCTCAAAGCATCTGGGTCTTCTGGCTCCTGGTCTGGGTCCTCTGGCTCCTGGTCTTTCATCTTGTTAATCTGTCTTTCTCTGTTCCTCGGAGCTACTCCATCAGTCAAAAGGATTTTCTACAAAGTCCTTTTAATTTTCTAAGAGAGTGTTAAGAAATAAGGAGATGTTATCTGCCTAGGTTTCTCAGCCCTCTGCTTGTGAGGTTTCCTTCTTTTTGTTTCAGTAGTTCTCCCTTTCCCTCGATGAGGAGGGGCAGAAAGAGAGACCTGTCACGTTCTAGGGCTCGCTGCTTCCTTGGAACACAGCGGAAATGGACTCTCTCTTTTATTTCAGGGCAGATTGGCAGTGATGACATCCAAGAACAGCTATCCTTTTCTCAATTTGGATCCTGAGAGTGGGGTGTTCTTTCTTCTTCAACAGAAATATTCGATGCAGCCAGCAAGCGTAATTTATCATGACATAGAGCAAAATAGAAACATTCTTGCTGAACACGCCCGGCCTTTATCTCCTCCTCTTATTGATACATACAGGGTATCCCTGGAGAATCAAAGCCAATCTTGGTGGCACATGCTCCACTGGTAGCAGTTTTATCAAGCTCATATTTTTTTCGCAGATGAAGGAATGATGACCACCTGACAAAAGGACAGCAGAAGCAGAGGTTTCCAAGGATTTCCTAGCAAACTCTTAAAACAGTGACTGACTCTGTGACTTTGGACAAGTTACTTAACATCCTTGAAGGTCCACCTACTCTAAAAATAATGGAAATATTTCCAAGCACACAGTCACTGTGAGGGCTAAATCAGGCATTTAGGAGGAGGGGTAAAGCACAGATGACAGTATTTGTATCACCTGAAGCTCTTACTCCAAGTCACAGGCAGCTTTTACTTCCCCAGGTGACACTCTTGTTTGGACTCTTGTGTAAAGGTCATTCCTTGGGAAAACAGGGCATAAATCCACGTGATTCAATGATTGTAACCTACATCTATGTAGCTTCTTTTCAAATAAAGAAACCAACCTCCAGTAACCTCACTTTTATATTTCACTGAAGTCACATTACATATCAATATTATATAAGAAAATGCAGCTACGTATGCTTGCTCCTTTTTGTACCTTAAAGGAATCTAAAGTTTCATTTTGCTATGGTGTTCTTTTATTTATTAAATATTTTTATAAGCATTACTTGGCAGTTGTATCCATACACCCAGACATAAAAAAGTATGCTGTATTTTATAGCCAAGTTAACAGTATCTTTTGACTATTTTTGATGTTTGCCCCATGCCCCAAGAACTGAATTGAAAACCTAACTCCTAATACAGATGATACTCGGCTAAATAATTGATATTCATGTGAGTGGGCTCTGAGTCCAATGGGTTGGAGTCCAAGCTCCACACCACATTGTATATTAGTTGAATTATTTAAGCTCTCTGAGCCACAGTTCCAATATCTATATGAATGATTAAAACAACGTCTGGTAATTTGTAAACACTCAATAAATATTAGCTGCTATAATATTATTATTGTTACCTTGTTATTCCTCACTGATACCTAGCAATACTTACATTACCCTAAATAGGCTCTTGGATTCTCTAAATATGTTTCTCAATAAGCATGCAGCTTTTCTGTTCCAGTTTATTATTGGTAGCTTTTTTTCCCCCTAAAGTTCTTTAAGCATGAGAAATATTAAATTCGAAAGAACTAGTTTTTTAGGACTCTGGCCTGGACATTGAGTTGGAAGACATTATTGTCACTGAAGAAGAGAATAACAAAGAGGAAAGGCTTCCTTGTGTCCTCATTTTCACTTTGATGTGCCACAAATAAAGAATAAGCTGACACTCCTAAAATATGACGACACCATATTGTTGTTACTCCGTATCCTGGCACCTCAGTTCCCCTGCATGCTGCACAGGCTGCTGAAGCCTTTGAAGTTAGAAAACACTACTGCCTGATCGCCAGCGCTCATAATGAAGACACAGTATGGTAAATCAAAAGAGACATGTCACCTCATGTCTACACTCCCTTCCCAACAGGGAGAGGCAGGAAGGAGGAAGGAGAGGAAGAGGAGGAGGGGGAAAGCAAGCTCAAAATTGTGATTATAAATCAACTGGTCCTGCCTCTCAGGAGTAAAAGACCAGCAACTTTTATATTACAACTCAATCCCATCTTGCGTCTTCAAATCAATTTCTCTTTCTTTTTTAATGTTTTATCATCTTTAAATTTTTTTAATAAATAATTTTTCTTCTAAAAAAGAAAGAGGAATGTCATTTCTTTAAAGAAAAAAAAGATGTGTCATTTGTCTTCTTCTGGGGGAAATAGATGCATTTTTTAAATTCATTTTTCTTTGTCATAAGCAATTGTTGTGTCATAAATTTAAAACAGGTTGTGCATTTGAGGTTCCATTCAAATCTGAGCAGGGGACATGTGGGATATGAAGGTTTATTAGTATAAATGGATAAATAATGCATGTTGAGCCTCAGAAACCTTGTGTTCCAGCTAGTTGACTCCAAAAACATGTCATAATATATTTTTTAAAATTCAACTAGGCAATATCGTCACAAAGATAAATTGATCTAAACTCTAATTGGAAAGGCACAGAAAACATATTGCTGTGTTCATTTCTTTACACTAAATAATCTGAGTCTATGAACTCAACTGTGATTTATTTGTAAGTATATCATAATCATCAAAATGGATACCAGACTTTTTGGAAACTCACTCTTAGATGTGTTCAGAATCAAAACCTGTTAGTCCATAGCACATTGTCTTGAGTAATACTCTGCCATTCTCCTTCTGGACTCTGACATTTCTCTTTTTACTGCAATATTATTTAAATGGAAGGATTCACCACAAATTGCATAGTGTTGCAAAAATACTTAGAGTGATCTTTAAAGTCAAAGGAAAATCCTCACTTGACAAATGACAGTAAATTCCGCTTCTTGTTTTCAAAAGAAAATTTTCAATTTGTCAAGATAACAATTTTCAAATTTCAGATTACTTGGATTATAGGACTATTGATGAATTGTCAAAATCATAGGAAGAAGTATTTTTAAAATAAATATTGAGCATTCATTGGGTGAGATTACAAAGAACCCAATTGTTTTCATGATTTCTTTGTGCAAAGCTGGGATTAGCAAAAAGCAATTCCTAGAAGACAAAACTTTGAATCATTTACAGTCCTGAGATGCCATTTTAAGCAACGAAAAAAAGCAATAGTTAGGTCTGGGTGGGATGGGAAAGAGAAAAGGGAGGCAATATAGTTACTAAGCTCCCAGGAGTCAAGTGTATGCAGACAAAAGCTGCCGTGTAACATGTGGTCTTACTAGTTTGTGTGTCATGTAATACTTGACTGTGTTTTAATCATGAAAGGGAGATGACTGAAGAATTCCAGACCTTAAATAGATTCCAGACCTTCATTGTCTATACTTCTTTATATTTGGTAAAGGAAGGAATGTTAGATGTAGCTCTAGGGACATCTTAGCCTAGTGTCAGACAGTAGTAGTAGGTATGGGCCTCCCACCAAATGAGGTTACCAGAGTAATCTGAAGACTGGGCCAAGTACAGCAGCTATGTTTATCGTTACTGCTGCTACTGTGTTTCACCTAACATTGCTCCACCCTCTTATAGCTTACCATTATACATATTTATGCATATGCAACCTCATTAGACCTTCCCAGAAGTCTACCAAATGTGGTGGTATTATCAACACATTATGAGCGATCTGAGGACAAAAAGGTCAATGATTGGGCCCAAGATGACATAGGCACCAGCAGCGGACCCTGAAACAGATCCCAGTCCCTTTGATATTCAATCTCGTATTTTCAGATAAGCTGCATCACCTTTGAAAATGCATTACTGATGAGACAAACTGTGAGGGGAGACACTCGGTTTGATGAAAGGAATATGGAGAAGCTGGAGAAATCCAGGAGAGAAAATTGTACAATCCATTTAATAACCACTTACATAGCCCGTGGTATATTTTAGGCAGTCTTAAATATGTTATAAATATTGACTCAGCAATGCACATATCAATCTTATAAGGCAAGCACTATAGCCTCATTTTAAAGATGCCAAAACTAAAACCCGAGGATGTTAAATAACCTTCCCAAGAACATGGCAAGCTGGCTTGAACCCATGCTATTAATTGGAGGGGTTTGCTGCCTCTTGTGTAATGGCTTGGTTGTTGGAAGGGTTAAATAAGGTGATATAGGTCAACTGTTTATTATAGACCTTGGAAAAACGATGTTTAAAAGAAGTGAAGTCCATCATTAGTGATGTGAAGAAGACAGATGACAGACTTATCTAGTTCAAGTGAAGAATATATACTATGGTGCTACACAAAAGGATGGAAGTTGAACAAAGTGGAATGAGAGTGGTTAAAGAGCATCCTTCACACAAGAAGTTTTCTGGATGGGTTAGCCTCAGTCAGGGTCCTTTCTACACAGATTTTGACCATCTGTTGAGCTTGGCACAGTTCATACAAGATCAGATTGCCTCAACATTTTTTTCCTCTTAGTTTCCAGTTCATCCTTACTTTAACCCAAATCTAGAACTAGTTTGCTGAGTGTCCTGAAATAATTCTACAACTCATGCAATACCAAGTTTTCAGACCCTCAAGATACAAAGATTAAGAGACACCTGCTTCACCCTTCAAGCAACAGAGTTCCTATAAAGTTATTACAGACACATAAACCAGTAATAACCGCCATTACACTAAGGGCTAAAATAAAAGTTTGCCTAAGGACCAGAGGGAACACATAAGAGGAATGTTGCTTTTGCATAAGACAGATTTCCTCAAGGAACTGGACTTAATAGGGCTTGAAAGGGAAAGAAGATAAGAAGGGAAACGAGAGTGCAGAAGATAGTCCGAGCCAATCACACAGGCCTGTGAATTATGGTGTGCTTAGGGAAACACAGATCACTTGTTATTGTTAGAAAATAAGTTTAGGGAGGGGGCAAGAAGAAACGGAAAAGGAAGCTAGGTAGGTGCCCTATCAGGAGGCTGTGTCCACCATGTGAAGCCACACAGGAGAGGTTTAGAAAGAGGTAAAGAGATGAGATCTGTATTTCAGAAAAATACAAAAAATATAACATTCCTGAAAGCACAGTTGACAAATTCATGCAGGAATAAATTAGATGCGGGAGTCTATTTCTATCTGAGAAGTGTTAAGAGTTTGGCCTAAGATAGTTCAGTTATTAGGGAAGCAGAGAAACAAAAAATCGGTTTGTAAGTTATACAGGAAGACAAAAGGAATATTGGAGCTGGCAAAGACTCTCAGATTATTGGCATGGTGACTTTGTTAGTGGGGTCACTGATGCAGATAGCGAATACAGATGGGAGAGGATTGGTGATGAAGGAGATGTGATAATAAGACTTCTGGACAGATTGAGTTTAACGTGATTGTGAAGTATTCAAATAGAGATGTCTAGTAGGCAGTGGAAAATACAAGCAAGTAATAGGTATTCAAAATATGTTTACCTGAGTGCACTGATCTCTCCTGAGATGTTAGTTGTTTGGGATATATCCACTCTACTGGAATCCGCAGTATCTGGGTGATGCTTTTCACCCCACACCTCTGTGCCTCTGAATGTCACCAAATTTATCACCAAAGTACCACCCATTGTTTTCCCTCTTAAGGTATCTAGTTGTTTGCCCTGTGTTTACTCTTCCCACTCCCAATCCCATTTAAGGATCAACTGTAATTTCCTATCTCAATATATCAGTGGTTCTTTCCAGACAAGCAACAGCACCAGCACCTAGAAACTTGCTACAAATACAAACTCTTGGTCCTCATCCCATACCTACTGAATCAGAAATGCTGGGGGTAGGATTCCACAACTTACATTTTCATAAGTCCTTCAGGTGACTCTAATGCTTGCTCACTGCCATAGAACATCCTTTCTATAACCTAAAAAGTTTAGATTGCTCTAGCCTCAAATTATTCTTGCTCAAATAAGTCATCCACTCTTCTGGGGGGGAACAATTACTGTTCTAAAATACACATATGTTAGGGCTACTCTCCAACCACATTTAATTTTTAAATACTGATTCTTTTTCTCATAGGCTGAGCTGATGTGAATGACATTTATACATTATTTTGTTTCTAAGCTGTTTTAGGTACTTTCCATGGATCAACTTCAACAAACAAATTGGGAAAAAGACTAGAATGGACAGAAGTGTGTGAGAGGGGAGAAAAAAGAAAGGGAATGAGAGAAGAAAGTCAAGAAAAAAGAAAAAAGAGAAGTAGTTAGGAGACTGATAGGAATATGAAAAGCTAAGAGGAATTACGTAGATGAAGAAGTAGAAAAGACAGAAGAGAGAAATAAATTAACGTATGTAGACAATGATTGCAGATTCTCTAGTTGGGATCTCTTGTCTCTTGCTAAGCACCTCAATAAAGATATAAGCAATAAAATCTGGGGGTGGATTCTGCTTCATATAATTCTCAGTTATTATCCTGTTAATGGCTTTCTTCACTTGGTGAGCTGAATATCCACCAGATATTTGCCCGTCTAGATCCACTACTCACCCTTCTCTATCTTGCACTGTGCCCTGGGAGACTGACTGGTACACACCAAGTCAAAAGGCTCTCTTGCCTTCTGTCTTCTGGTTGAATTTAGCAAATGGCCAAAGATTGCAAGATGAAAGAAAAGGGAGGGTGAATTACCAATTCCTTGCTCACTCCCTGCAGCATTGCTATGGATTGGCTTCTTTAAACCAAGAGCATATTTTCTCTTAGGTGACCTCTCCCCACAGTTCTCTCTTGCTTTCTCTCTCTCTCTCTCTCTCTCTCTCTGTCTCTGTCTCTCTCATCCCTTTAGACTTAGCCTTGGTAACCCCATTTTTACCCCTTGAATAACTGAAGTTCTTCCTTGAGCTTTTCCCTATACCCTGATCACACCATCACATTTCCTTTATAAGACTCTCTTCTCAGCCAGGCACAGTGGCTCGTGCCTGTAATTCTAGCTCTTTGGGAGGCTGAGGTGGGCAGATCGCTTGAGGTCAGGAGTTCAAGACCAGCCTGATCAATATGGTGAAACCCCATCTCTACTAAAAATACAAAAATTTAGCCAGGCGTAGTGGTGGGCACTTGTAATCCCAGCTACTCGGGAGGCTGAGGCAGGAGACTCACTTGAGCCTGGAAGGTGGAGGTTGCAGTAAGCCAAGATCGTGACATTGCACTCCAGCCTGGGTGCCAGAGTGAAACTCCCTCTCAAAAAAAACACAAAAACAAAAAAAATCAAAAATCCTCTCTACTCTTTCTCTCTTGACTACACAAACTTTTACTTGCCAAGACTGATAAACTTAGCTTTGAGATATCAGGCTCTCTTGATTTCCCTCCTACCTCACTAGCCACTCTTATTTTATTTTATTTTATTTTAGACTGAGTCTCACTCTGTCACCCAGGCCGGAGTGCAGTGGCGCAATCTCGGCTCGCTGCAACCTCTGCCTCCTGGGTTCAAGTGATTCTCCTACCTCAGCCTCCTGAGTAGCTGGGACTACAGGCACCCGCCACCATGCCCAGCTAGTTTTTGTATTTTTAGTAGAGATAGGGTTTCGTCATATTGGCCAGGCTGGTCTCGAACTCCTGACCTTGTGATCTGCCTGCCTCGGCCTCCCAAAGTGCTGGGATTACAGGCATGAGCCACCGCACCCGGCCCAGCCACTCTATCTTAATGTCACTTTCTGGCTTCATCTCATCTTCCCAACATTTAGATTTCAGATTGCCCTGAAACTCACTTTTCGGACTCCTTTCCTCAAGGTACCCTCAGTGCATTGACTACCTCATTCAGATGACATTAGATACCATCTATACTCTAACTGCCACATTTAGTCTACAGCCTTAAGCTTTCCCCCGAATTCCAAACTCAGCTACCTATTTGGAAGTCGAATAGACAAATAAAATTTAATTTGCACAAATCCAATTTTCTTCACCAAAACTGTCTATACCTTGGTCATTTCCATATCAACTGTGGTACCATTGTTTATCTAGTTGGTCAGTTCGAAATCCTAGAAGTTTCCTTTGATTCCTCTTTGCTGCCTGTCCTGCAGACAATACAGCAGCAAGTACTATCAACTCTACCTTCCGGATATACCCTGAAACCAACAATGTCTCACACTTGCAGCACAACTGTTTTAAACCAGCACCTTCATCTCTCACTTAACTACCTAACAGTCTCCTATCAGGTCTCTACCCTCCATTCTCTCCCCTACCAAAGCCAGAGGAAGATCTCTCTAAAGCACAAATCAAAGCGTGCCACTCACCTATCCACTCAACTTCAGTAGCGTTCTATCACAAGCCAAATGAAATCCAAACATTTTCCCACGGCTTCCAGAGTCCTCTGTCATCTGGTTCCAGTCTAGCTCTCCAACAGCTTTCTTCGTTTCCAGACAATCTGGCCTCATTATGTCCAATGCAGCAGCCACTGCCACATGTGCCTACTGAGCACTTGAAATCTGGGTAGTGAGACTGAGGGGCCAAATTTCCTATTTTATTCAATTTATGTTTAAAAATTTAAATTTAAAAACGGCCAGGCACTGTGGCTCATGCTTGTAATCCCAGCACTTTGGGAGGCCAAGGTGGGTGCATCTCCTGAGGTCAGGAGTTCGAGACCAGCCTGGCCAACATGGTGAAACCCCATCTCTACTAAAAATACAAAAATTAGCTGGGTGTGGTGGCGGGCACCTGTAATCCCAGCTACTCAGGAGGCTGAGGTGGGAGAATTGCTTGAATCCGGGAGGCAGAGTTTGCAGTGAACTGAGATCGTGCCACTACACTCCAGCTTGGGCAACAGAGCAAGACCCTGTCAAAAAAAAAAAAAAGAAAAAGAAAAAAGAAAAATTTAAAAACCAGTACTTTTTAATTATCAGAAAACTCTTAAATATGGTCAGATGACATAGATATATGAATCTATGTTATCAATGATAGATTTCATGATCAATTATTTTTATAAAAATTTAGTTTCTGGCCAGGCGCGGTGGCTTACGCCTGTAATCCCAGCACTTTGAGAGGCCGACGCAGGTGGATCATGAGGTCAGGAGATCGAGACCATCCTGGCTAACAAGGTGAAACCCCATCTCTAAGAAAAACACAAAAATTAGCCGGGCATGGTGGCGGGTGCCTGTAGTCCCAGCTACTCGGGAGGCTGAGGCAGGAGAATGGTGTGAACCCAGGAGGCGGAGCTTGCAGTGAGCAGAGATCAAGCCACTGCACTCCAGCCTGGGCCACAGAGCAAGACTCCAACTCAAAAAAAAAACCAAAAACAAAATTTAGCTTCCAAATTGAGATGTGCTTTAAGTATAATATACCTGATTTTGAATAAAAGTATAAAAATAAACTATTACATACATAATTTTTATACTGATTACATGTTTAAGTTAAAACCATATAATTAAATTTTACTTTGTTTCTTACTTTTGAATCTTATTTTATTTTCACTTCTTTAATGTGATTAATTAAAAAATGTAATTCCACATGTGGCTGTCATTGCCATATTTCTGTCTATTGTAGAACAGATAGGCTGTCTGCTCCATCTAATTCAGTCCTGCCTCCAGGGTTTTTATACTCGTTTCTTCCTATGACTAGAATGTTCTTCCAGACCTACATCTCTTGTCCATTATCACTCATTTGCAATTTTTATTCCGATCTCTGCTCAAATATCAACTCTTCAAATAGATTTCCCTGACCGTACTAAGACAGCCTCCATCCTCTTCTCCTTACCTGCTTTTGTTTTTCCACATAGCACCCATCACTACATCTATTTGCTTACTCTCTGACTCCCCTACTAGGAAGTAAGCCTTCTAAGGGCAGGGGCAGTTTTCCTGTTCAGTGCTGTATTTCAAGGGCAGAAAAAGGATTGTATAACGGGCACTCAGTATTTGTTGAATGAATGAATGAATGAATGAATGAATGAATAAATGAATGAAAGAAACCACCAATACTCAACTGTGGCACAGCACGGACAACATCTATGTGTGTACTCTACGACTCTTACCTGAATTCAGCCTTTAAACATCTCCACCACATTAGAGCTCAGTAAGCATGAAACATTTATCTCACAGAAATCCAGGACCTTGAGATGCTGATGGAAACGGCACTTCAAGCAATGGCAGAGTAGGTGGGAGGGACATAGGCCACTCTTCACACAAACTTTTCACAGACATAGCCAAGAGCCACATCCTATGCTCAATGCCAATGAGTCAATCCTATTTAAGAATCCTATCATTTTCCATTACTTCTCTTTCAAGGAATAGATATCAAAGGTGCATGGAAAAATAATACATGGAAGATACAAACTTGAAGTCTTCTACAATGTGTTTTGCCTGAGATGCCTTAAAAGTGCACTGGAACTGCTTCGCAATGTAGCTACAATTCTAAGCACATGTTATGGTATGTTCTTAATTTTCAAGAGTCAGTAGCAGGTAATTCTAAGAAGGAAGGAAATTAGAATAACAAAACAAACATATTCTAGGTTATCTCAAGTGTAAACTATAGAAGGCTCATAATTGGCACACTGCTGGGAATCACTGTGAATTTTCAACAGAAATTTCACTTTGGGTACTAAGACAACCCGCTATTTCAAATGAGAAGTTGTACATACATTTAGCGTGGAAGCCAGGGAATTTCAAATTTTTCTCTCAAATCACATCAATTTGCACCTCCTAAACTACAAAGACAGGGCTAACAGCAGCATCAGCACAAATGTCAAAGAACATGCTATCTCCTACAGTTTAGGAATTTCAGAATTGAAGGGAAGATAAATGCATCAGCATAGCGAAGAGGAAGAAAGATGCATTTTATCTTGCTTTCCAGAAGTTGCATAACTTTCTGTAATTGTGAGGTTATCATCATGGATAACTGGTAAGGAATTTTAACAGATCCAGGCAATAAATCTTCAGCAGTGGGATGAAAACATGGGGAGAGTAGAAGTAGGTCTCCCTCCAAAAGGTCACAAAAGTGGGAATGTGTATGAAGACAGCTGCCAGCGCAGCTCATGGCCAGAATCTAAAGCCATTTTGGAGTCACTATTATGTTCCTCGTTGTAGACATATGGGTAATGAGTCCACGAGGGATGGGGGTGGAAAATCACATTAACCGTCATTTCTTGTTCCCATTCTGCCAGGCATGATATTGCTGCGTTATTTTTCTCATCTGCTTTCTAATCTGCGATGAGTTTGTGAAGGGGGTTAACACTGTGTGTGAATAAGGAGAAGATGTATTTTATTTCAGGTGTTTGGATGTCTTTTCTGCACATTTCTGAAGATGAGCACTTTTTACTTGTAACCTTTGTCTAAAGGCCTTTTAGTCCCATTCAGACTTGCTACTATATTAAAAACAGAAGCGTTGAATTTGGTGAATTGTGGGTGAAAGAGGTTATAATGTTACCAATTATCCTAATTTTGGGATGGGCTTCTGGAAATCAGGCTGCAGAGGCCTGCCACAGTGTCTAGCAAAAGCAACAGTGGCCAGGTGTGGTGGTTCACACCTGTAATCCCAGCACTTTGGGAGGATGAGGTGGGCAGATCACCTGATGTTGGGAGTTCGAGACCAGCCTGGCCAACATGGTGAAACCCTATCTCTACTAAAAAAATATAGATACACACACACACACACACACACACACACACACACACACACACACACATATAACTAAAAATGCAACAGTGAGGCAAGGTGTGGCAGTTCATGCCTGTAATCCCAGTACTTTCAGAAGCCAAGGCAGGCAGATCACTTGAGGTCAGGAGTTCAAGACCAGCCTGGCCAACATGGTGAAACCCCATCTCTACTAAGAATATGAAAATTAGCCCGTTGTGGTGGCACTCACCTGTAGTCCCAGCTACTCAGCAAGCTGAGGCAGGAGAATCACTTGAACCTGGGAGGCAGAGGTTGCAGTGAGCCGGCATCGCGCCATTACACTCCAGCCTCGGCAACAGAGAAAGACTGTCTCCAAAAAAAAAAAAAAAAAAAGGCAGAAAAGAAAAAGGGACAGTGATTCTGGGTTCAAATCATGATGTTGGACAGAGGCTTCCTGTCTGCAGAATATTGCTGGATTGCCACATATCCTCTTGAACACATGTAAACTTTGGACAGACTGCTCTCAGTGGGTACAAACATTCAGGAACATAAGTAAATTCCATCTCAAACCTCTGAGATATGCATGATTTCGCAGGATTCAGCCTCAAATTACAATGCCTTCTAGATAGTCTTTCAAATCAAAAGGTTGTTTATTTGGAAATGAAAATTTTTTTTTGTTTGTTTGTTTTTTTCTTTTTTTTTGAGACGGAGTCTCGCTCTGTCGCCCAGGCCGGACTGCGGACTGCAGTGGCGCAATCTCGGCTCACTGCAAGCTCTGCTTCCCGGGTTCACGCCATTCTCCTGCCTCAGCCTCCCGAGTAGCTGGGACTACAGGCGCCCGCCACTGCGCCCGGCTAATTTTTTGTATTTTTAGTAGAGACGGGGTTTCACCTTGTTAGCCAGGATGGTCTCGATCTCCTGACCTCGTGATCCACCCGCCTCGGCCTCCCAAAGTGCTGGGATTACAGGCGTGAGCCACCGCGCCCGGCCGAAAAATTTTTTAAAAGACAAAAATATTCAAAAGTGTTTTTTTTTTTAAAAATCCCTCAAGATCTACCTTTGTTTTCTTTCTTCTTTTCCAGCTGGAAATTGCTTTTCCACCCATTTTTCATGATTACTCCACTCTTGTCCTGTGAAATCCTACACTGGGATGTCCACCTTCTACTTGAACTGATATGATAGTGGTTAAATCTGACAATACTTTCTCCTCATGAGAAAATATTCACAACTGTTTTCTATGCCAGTGATTTGTGTTACTTCTGATATCAAATAGATTTTACTTTACATCTCTGGCAGTCAAATGCATATACTGTTCCCCTTCTCAAAATTTAAAATCCAGTCAAGAGAATGAAGGAGATAACGTCTCTTTTATTACATTTTGGGGAAAATAATAAAAATCATTATGGATATTGAAATATCCCATGAAGCACTTGGATATATTTTACTCTGTGCTCGGGAAATTGTAGACAATATAGTCAAAGAAACAGATGTCAACTAAATGCTGTGTTAAAGCTATGATGCCCCTATAGTCACCCAGAAGTTTGAGGATTCTAAATTGAATCAGCGAACCACAAATAAATAAGCACAGAGAAAACTAATTGCCTAGAAAAGAGTGCTCCACTTGCTTCGTCATTTGCTACTTGAAATTCTCCACAAGTGCAACTTAACTGAAATCTAAATTGCAGAATACAGATCAGACAGATACTGAAACCAAGACCTAGGTTTCTGTCTGTCTTCTCATCTTCAATCAGGGCAGCTAGGACTCAGGAGAAACCTCATAAATGCAAAGGAAATTTACCATTGTTATGCAGTTTCTTTCAGAGAGCAGTCCTCCAAAACAGAGAGGTCTAGTTCAGGACTGCTCAAATGTTAATGTGTCTTTGAATCATGTGGGATCTTGATAAAATGCAGATGCTGATTTGGTAGGCTTGGGGCAGGACCTGAGATTATGAATATCTCACCAGTTCCCAGGTGATGCCCATATAGTGGGGTATCCACTGGTTAATAATTTCTCTTGGAAATCAAAAAACAATTCTCACTCTTCTAGTACTCCACAGTATGATTTTAGAAACATTGTCTGACCTAGCTGTGCCTCAGTTTCTCATCTATGAAGAAGAACTGCTAAGGTTAAAGAGATCATGTTGCTATAGAACCCTGAAGAGAATTAAAGATGTTATGTGAACAGGTTTGGCCAAACAAATATGTTCCAGGACATGAAAAACATCAGAAGAGAGAAGAAATAAGGGTCTTAAAGACTGAGAATAAAAAGTAAACAGATAGATCTCACTTAAAGATAAACCACAAACAAGAGAATTTTTTAAAAAGTAAGGAAAAAAATCAATAAAGCCAAGTGCCATGAAGAGAGTCAAGTGAAGGGAGGTCAGACTTCAGCAATGTAGAACAAAGAAAAATGTGAAATATGCTTTAATATCTAAAAAATCATGAGCACAGTGTTTTACAGAGGACAGATCTGTGGAGAGGTAAGGAAGAAGGTGATGTAGCATATATACGAAAAAGAAAAGATAAGAAAATCTTCAAATAAAATTAAACAAATTATTTAAAATAGATAATAAAAGTAACAAATTCAACCGCCTCTTTCCCCAAAATGGTAGATTGATTTTTAATATAATTTTTTCTTTGCTTTTTGACTTATTATTTTTTTTGAGACAGGGTTTTGCTCTGCTGCCCAGGCTGAGTGCAGCAGCCTGATCACAGCTCACTGCAGCCTCTACCTCCTGGATTCAAGTGATCCTTCCACCTCAGCCTCCCTCAGCTGGGACTACAAGCATGTGCCACCATGGCCAGCTAATTTATATTTTTTAATTTATTTATTTATTTATTTATTTTTTAGAGATGGTCTTGCTATGTTGCCCAGGCTGGTCTCAAACTCCTGGACTGAAGCAATCCTCACACCTCAGCCTCCCCAAATGCTGAGACTGCAGGCATAAGCCACGGTGCTACGCTGATATTTTTAAGTGCCTGGGGCATGCAAAACTAGCCCATCTTCCGGTAACTGCTCAGACATATCTTGCCTCAGACATGAGATGAAGTCAAGTTATGAAGTTTTCAAGTACACTAGGGGTTAATAAGGAGGCTCTCTCTCTTGATGGGCCATTCCAAGAAAAGCAGTCTGCCTTCTAAGCCCCAAAGTCTCCTTGAGACAGGGAATACCTCACAGAAATCTGGGTGGCAGAAAGAATGTAGGAACAAATATATATTTTATTTATTTTGTTTGTAGGACCCTAATTAAATGACATCAGCAAAGCTGGAAAATCCTGCCTATCAGGTTTAACACTTACTCTGGTAGTCTTCTCAAACCTTTCCAAGGTTGAAGTTACTGATGATTAACTTCTGAGAATACCCGTGGTAACTATTTCAGACCTGTGAACTATCACACCCTCTTCATGTCACACAAGGCATGTCAGCAGACACCTGCATCAAGCGAGTACCTTTTTAGAAGGCTGTAATGTTAGATTTTGTTTTTGGAAGTGACAGTGACCGTTCTAGCCACCAAATGGTAATACTTCCTCTGAGCCTTCCAAGACCTTAGCCGACTTTCTTCCAGATAAAGTCACTACCTGCATAAGACTAACATTACCAGTGAATCAGCTGTTCCTGCAGCAGAGGCTGTACCTGAAATGTAACTGGCAATTTCAGCTCATCTATAGATGAGAACAAAGGGTCACATTTAAAAGGTTTCCAGCCCAGGGAAAGCCAGTTAGAGCATGTGCAACACAATCAGCTGTACAACAGTGAAGGGAAGATGCAGTATTACTCACAGATAAAGAGTAGTCCAAAAAGAGTAACCTGGCTCTCTAAATTTACCAAGATTCACTCAAGATTCTACTGCAGTGTTCACAAGCTTTTATCTCTCTGACAACCAAACCCAAGAGGTTTGCCAAAATAGAATTCCAGTGTAGAGGGAAGGAAGCTAAAGAATTATGCATTAATAACACCTTTACCCACAGGCAGAACATATTTTCATCTGCACACATCACGAATGGGAGATCTCAGGTTATTAAAGGTGAAAGAGGCTAATAGTCTTTGGGATGGCTCCCTTGGGACAGTTATTTGCATAATGAAGGCTAATACACAGTAAACCAGCTCAGCAGTTCTTTTGGATCACCTACTTGTAGGCACACACAATATTTTAAACTCACTAACTAAATTACTTGGTGGAAGAGTTGTCCATAGCTAATCTCAAAACTATGTCTACAAAAATTCATGACCATATTTACCAATGAGGAAAAAGCCTAATTGGTAAAGATGTATGTGTTAATTAATCTCTGTTTTAGAATATCCAAAATGAATGCCTATATAAAGATCACCATTGATAAATATTCAGATGCTGCCAAGGTCATCTGCATAACTTAAACTCAGAGTCAGAGAAAGGACCTATGCCTTGCTCTGGATACCCAAAGTCCAGGACGCCTATGTCAGAAGTCATCTTAGAAACCACTTATCAAGGGAAAGAAAGCCAAAATTTGTGGGAATGATCATCTTTTCATATTTAGTCATACAACTTTATTTAAAATATTTTAAATAAAGACATCTTAATGTAAAATATTTTAAATTAATGAACCCAAACTGTAAGAAAATTTAGCACAAAAGATAGAGGCAAATGTATAACTTTGTTTTAAAAGAGATAAATGGAGTTATTTACTACATAGGAACCATTTAATATTTTGCAGTTAATGTGTTGAGTGAATTGCTCTAGTATTTTTGTTGTGCAGTATTTTTACTTTATAAAATAACTTGTGGCTTACTCCATGCCTAAAGCATCATGAATAATAACAGTATTAAAATTAATATTAAATATTTATGTACTAGCATTCTACTCTGCTAAGTGCTTTACCTAGACTAATTCTCTTATTTCTCATTTCTCTATATCATAGGTGTTCATAATATATATACTTTACAGATGAGCACAAGGAGGGTAAATATCTTGCCCATGATCACACAGCTAGTAAGGGGCTGAGCTGGGATTCAAATCCAAAGTCTAAATTACACCATCTTCCAGGAAGTCCAGCTGCAAAAGCTTTGTTTTTCCTAGTGCGCTGCTTTTTCTGAGTGCCTATTATATAGAAATGTGTGTATTTCAATCTACAGCTATATATTAGGTTGGTGCAAAAGTAATTGCGGTTTTTGCCATTGAACGTAATGGCAAAAGCATCTCAATAAATAACACACACATACTGGATATGTACTTAGTGCCATGTAACAATTTAGGAGATGAATGTAAAAAGATCAATAAAGAGGGGTCTGCTCCCCTAAGAAGCTCTGTATCTCCCTAGATTCTCTTTCCAATCCTCACATCGCAACATTCATGGGGTAGTTAGTCCATGAAATCAGTTGTTAACTCGTGAAGAGAGTTACCTCTTTATCTATTAAATCTGACTTAGACTCCTTGTTTCTTCATCAATAATTTTCTAACCCAACACACCTCATCTTTCAACTCAAAATTTGGGGAACTAGAAAAGTAAAGTAGTTGTGCTATGCCATGCCGAGTTTCATCAGAGGAAGCCAAAATCAGATGAATGCTGCTGAGAATAGATGCTGAACAGATGAAAACTGGAAAGTTTTAGAGAGTTGGTCTCAAGAAAAGGGAAAAAGGGAAGTGCATCGAAAAGGAGTAGAAAACTTAAAATAAATGTGGTCCATCTAGTGGTGGAGCTGCCTAGAATCCAAAAGGAAACAACCTTACAGGCAGAGATGAAATAGGTGAAAAGATTCTAGGTTATAGCTTAATTCTCCCTCCCCTGAGTGTGGGCTGGACTTTGTGACTCACTTTGAAGAATAGAGCATAGAAAGGGAAAAGATAGTAAATTTACAGAGAAGGAACTTGGTAAACACTAACTTAGCCAAGTAATTAAACTTGACATCATACTCCCTGAAATGATGTGACGAGAAGGACACCTCACCTTCATGACATTTTCCCCTAAACCTCAACCCAGTCTGACCATGGGAAAAATATCTGCTAAACCCACATTAGAGATGCTGTGGCCTGAATGTTTGCATCCCCATGAAATTTATATGTTAAAATCCTAACCCCTAATGTGATGGTTTTGGTGGTGGGATCTTTGGGGGTTAATTACAGGCTACATAAGGATGGAACCCTCGTGCATGAGATTAGTGTTCGTATAAGAGACACTAAAGAGATATTCTTTTCTCTTATTCATGTAAGGATACAATGAGAAAATGGTCATCTGCAAACCAGGAAGCAGACCCTCACCAGACAGCAAATTTGCTGATACCTTGATCTTGGACTTCCCAGCCTCCAGAAATAAGTGTTCATTGTTTAAGCCACCCATGCTATGGTATTCTGCTATAGAAACCCAAACAGACTAAGCAAAGGGCATTCTACAAAATGCTTGATCAGGGTTCTTCAAAACTGTCAAGATTATGAGAATTAAGAGAAATTGAAATTGTCACAGATTGACAGAGAGCATGAAGACATGCTGCAATGCAGTACCATCAGTTGAATCCTGGATGGAAAAAGGCCATCAATAGAAAACTGGTGAAATACAAATAAAGTCTGCAATTTAGTCAATAGTATCTCCAGACATTCATTTCTTAGTTTTGACAAATGCACCATGGTTATATAAGATGTTCACATTAGAGTAAATGGTATAAAAAGTATTAGAAACTTCTATGTGATATTTTTACAGCTTTTTTGTAATTTTATACTTGTTCTGAAATAAAAAGTAAATTTAAAAATAATTATTAATTCATGTTTTTATCTTATTTATAAGGCTTTAGAGCATACTTTTTTTTCCCAAATGGCTGTTTTAAAGAAGATATGTAATTTTCTCTGGGTAAGAAAGACATGAAAAAAAGGCAAACATTATAGGAGTTGAGCTTTAAGAGCATATGTGTTCAACAATAGTAGTGATTACTAGTTACAGAGAGCCTTTGTGCCAAACAGTGATAATAAGTTACATGGTGATTCAGGTTGAAAGCAAGGAATAAAGTCAAAAGCATATAGGGAGGGACTCCTGCTTATCTGAGGGTGACCGCTCCCACATCAGCCATCTTCTGCTTGTCATTGGATAATTAGGTAAATATTCTAGGCAGTCACTAAGCCTAGTTGAGATGGGAGTTCCAGAAATTAAGAATTTAATATTAAAGAATGAAGAGGAGAGGAGTAAGGCATGGATTAGGGGCCAACTCTGGGCTATAATGAGCAACAACAAAATATGAAAGCCAGTGACCCCAACGTTGGTTCCTTGTAAGCATCTCGGACTTCAAGGTGGCCAAAAAGAAATCAAGCAGAGGAGATACAGTACTT
The DNA here is from genome assembly GCF_000001405.40 of Homo sapiens. Classification (NCBI taxonomy): domain Eukaryota; kingdom Metazoa; phylum Chordata; class Mammalia; order Primates; family Hominidae; genus Homo; species Homo sapiens. The sequence continues at coordinate 220,474,918 of NC_000002.12, read as the reverse complement.
TACAAAGTTGTTTCAAGCCTGTTTCCAGCAGAGATGGCCATGAGGAGGCTGGATCATAAACAATTGTCTCCTGTATTGCTTCATTTCCTTCCCACCATTTTTCTCAACAGCATAGAGTGGAGAACAAGGCTATGGGTTCTGAGTAATGGAGATCCCAGTTCTGCCACTAATCGGATTTGTCATATTATGGAACTCTCTTAATGTCTTGAATGGATCTCAGTTTCTTCAAGTGGAAAATGAGTAAGTTACACCTGATCATTGCAAAAGTCCCTTCTGAGTTGTAAAGATTGTGTGATATGATCATCTTGTGGACCACTTTTGCTATACAATACCCCAATTTGCAACCCTTGATCATTATATACAATGACAGGTAGGAACGAATAGAGTCAACACTTACATAACTGGATCCTGTGTGCACCTGGGCTCTGTCAATCTGATCAAAGATCAGTCTCTTTGTTACCAGATGGGGACATAAGCATCAAGACCATGTTGCTACTTCCAGGGAACTCCAGTATTCTGTTATTTCAGGTCTTCAAAAGTGTGTCATAAAACTAAGCTGCTTCAACTTGAACTTCAAATCACAAAAGTATAGGCCATTGGTATAGAGATAAGAGGAATTTCCCAATGAAAATAGAAATGCAAATTATCCGGAGGTATTAATGATCATTTCATGGTCATAAACTAAACATTGAAACGAGAGCATTAAGAAGAAACTGTGTGGCCCTAGCTGCTCTCTCATAAGGTAAGACAGCAAGTAAGAGAGGTGGGTGAGAGAGAGACAGAGAGAGAGAGAGAGAGAGAGAGAGAGAGAGAGATGGAAGGGAGGGTAGTTTTAAGAAGGAAATAATAGTCTGTAGACTAACAAGAAATAGTACCTAAAAGACAGAAGAAAACGAAATTGGCCAAAGAAAAGCTAGTTGTGTTAGAATTGGAAGGTGGTCAACCATTCCAGGTTTAAAATAAATAAAATAAAATAAAATAAAATAAAATAAAATAAAATAAAATAAAATAAAACAGCAGGGGGAGGTGTCATCTGGAAAGAATTAGGAGAAAGATAAGATGACCAACTCATCCCAATTTGCCCAGGAATTTCCCAGTTTGAGCACTGAAAGTTCTGCATCTTGGGAAATCCTCCAGTTCTCAGGCAAATGGATATGGTTAGTCACCCTCAAAAAAGACTATAATCTAAGATTACATTCTTGTTTTATTTTAATATGACCCTCACATTGAAATTGTTGCATTCCCCTCTCTGTATTTAGTTAGATGCCAATTAGTTTTTGTTCTATATTTATTTTATATAGTGTGGAAATTCTTAAATAAGGAGTACAACATGTAGATATATATTCACATAAACATATATATGTATAAAACACAAACACACACACACACACACACACACACACTGCTCTTAAGAAAATGAAGTTATCTCTACCTTACTCAGCATCACCTCACATTACATGAGCCAGGAAGTAACTTAGATTTATGATCAAATCTAATCTTATGACTGAGTCTAGTTCTTAAGATTAAAAATGTATAAAATGCTTTGAAAACTTAAAAGCAGCATACATGTGAGGACATAAGCCCATGCTATTAATGATCTGATTATATTAAATACCACTAGGGAGAAACTATTTTTGTAATCACTGAACTATTTTAAATGTATAGGTCAGTTATGATAAGGACAATTGATTTCATATATGAGGGTAAATTCTAAGTTGAAAAACAGATGTAGTAAAAGTGTCAAGAGCAATACACTGGGTTATTAAAAATATAGCCATAATATTAAGATTGAGAAAGGCTTAAATTCAAGAATTCAGATAAATAAAACATCATTAACAAATAATGCAAAAGCATGAGAACTTGACTCCTATCTAAGATCACCTTTTCCATCTTCTACTTCTATCATAATGATTTTAAAACTGGAAAATGTAGGTAACAAGCACAATTATCAGGGAACCAGAAGTAAAGATGGTAGAAGATAGTTAAGTAACATCTCTCTGTTTGAAATGAATAGAAGTCATTAGACCCAAATGACTTATATACAAGGCCAACTTATGAACACATGCTTACATTGCTCTAAAAGCAAGGTGTTCTAGTAGATGAAATACATTTTAAAATAGAGAAATACAGTTAGGAACTAGTGACTACATACAGCTGAGCTTGATGTTGACCCTGGCTATATTCTGAAGCCAAAGAGCCAACATAGACAATCAACCAATCATGCTAAGCTAATTTTCATTACAAAAAAATACAGGCAAGGAGGTCAGAAAAATACCATACAAAGAATATATTTTGATATCAGCAAGTTGAAAATACTTTGTGATTTGTTTTACAGTTTCCCTGTATATCTATACACACATGCACACATGTTGTCTGTTGATAATGGATCAATAACAGACAAGTAGGGTGGAACAAGATGTCTGCAATAGATGTCATCCAGTATTTTTCTTAATTACTACAAGTCAAGATATGTCCTTGTCAAGTTTGTATTAAATACACATCTGGTGATAAAATCAGTTTTCAAAAAGAATTTGACAAACTAGAATTAAAGATTGTATTGATTCCTATTAAAGTCATGCACTTGGGCCTCAGAAAGCAACTGAGTCAGTGAAGTACAGTGGATACCTGATATCACTATGAGATTGTTTATAAAATGCTTGGGAATTTTGGTTGATATCAGTCTCTTTATGAGCCAATGGGGTGGCATGGTTGCCAAGAAAAACTAATGCCTACTTAGCTCACACCAGTAGCAGTATCATGTTCGAAACAAAGAAGACAGTGCTCGTACAGTGGCAGTCCTTGGTTTAATCCTTGTGGTAGTCCATTTAGACTTACATAACAAAGTTCTGTAGACTGGGTGGCTTATGAACAACAGTCATTTATTTCTCGCAGTTCTGTGGCTGGGAAACCCAAGATCAAAACATCTTCAGTTTCCATGTCTGGTGAGAGCCCACTTCCTGGTGTACAGACATTCCTCATGTGGTGAAAAGGGAGAGGGAGCTTTCTGGGGTCTCTTTTATAAAGGAACTAATGCCATTTATGAGGGCTCCACCCTTATGACCTGATTACCTCCCAAAGCCCCCATCTATTCATGCCATCACATTGGCGATTAGGTTTCAACATATGAATTTGGGGAGTGGGAGGTGGACAAACAGTCAGTCTATAGACGTGTGAATAAATATTCACATATACATACGTGTGTATGTCACACACTCACACATATAGCAGTCCAGATTAACTGAGGCTTATCAAGAACAGTGATACCAGAACTGTGAAGAGACTAGAAACTAGATTATAGGAGGAGTAATTATTAGAGCAAAAAAAAAAAAAATACTATAACTGGAGACAGAGCACAGTGGAGGCATGATAATTATTTTCAAATATCTGAAATTACATTTTAAAGAAGAGGAATTGAGCTTATCTCACAAATCTCCAGTGAAGGAAAGTCTGATCAATAGATTGAAGATTTGGATAGGCAAATGTCAACTCAGTTCAAGAAAGAACATTTCAAAAATTGTAGCTTTTTTAATCAAAAGAATGAAAAATCAGAATTGCTAACGGTATGAAGACATGGATATTTTCATATAATTGAAATGGGGATGGAAATTGGAGTTCTTTCTAGAGAAGCAATTTTAAAAAATATTTTTAAAACATTAAAAGCCTATATCCTTTAGTCTAGAAATTCCACGTACATTGACATGAATAATTAGAAATGCTGGAGAAAGTCTGTAAGAAAATTAATTGCAGCATTTTTTGTAGGGGGTGAGTATTTTGAAATAATCTAGCCATTATACACACATACACACACACACACACACACACACACACACACACGAAACATATAACATATGGGATACAATGTTTCTTAAAAAGCACAGAGGAGAAAAATGTTTTGTAGAGACAGAAATATTCATAATACATTATTAGTAGAAAAAGAGATTCCAATCTTTTAAATGTAGAGAGAAAAAAATTAAAATAAGCCAAAGTATTAACATTGCCATCTGTAAAATAAAGAGCTAATTTTTTTCTTATGTGTTTTACTATTTTTTCTCAATCTGTCTAAAATGAAAACATATACATTTTGCCATCAGAAACAAACAAGTGAAAAACAATGAAAGCACAGAACATGTGTTTGTGCATTTCCAATACCTGACTCATAGTAAGAGGGCTACACATTTTTGTTGAATAAATGAATAAATTAATTAAATGTTATAAATATTTTATGAAGTTAACTCTCTAAAAGAGTTAATAGCTTCCCATTACTAGAAGTGTTTAAGTAGACGCTGAATGACTCTCAGCATATTTGGAGGGCATTCTTATTTTGATTTAGATCAGTGGTTCCTAAACAGAGGCACCTGGAAAACCTAAAATACTCTCCTGTTTCACAAAATACAAATTTCTAGTCCCTGCCACAGGTTTATTGCATCAAAATCTGTAGGAATTGAATGGAATCCTTGGAAAATCTGCAGGAGTTGTTAGAATTTGCTGGGGTGGCAGTGTATTAATCTGTTCTCACACTGCTAATAAAGACCTGCCTAAGATGGGTAATTTGTAAAGGAAAGAGGTTTAATGGACTCACAGTTCTACATTGCTGGGGAGGCCTTATAATCATGGAGGAAGGCAAAGGAGAAGCAAAGGCACAACTCACATGGTGGCAGGCAACAGAACTTGTACAGGGGAATTCCTTTTTATAAAACCATCAGATCTCATAAGACTTATTCACTACAATGAGAACAGTATGGGGAAACCGCCCCCATGAGTCAATTATCTCCACTTGGTCCCACCCTTGACCATGAAGATTATTACAATTCAAAGTGAGATTTGGGTGGGGACACAGACAAGCCATATCAGAGGGAAAAATACCTTCTGAGATTATTTTCATTCAGCTTGAAAACCAACCTGTGGTGCTGAGCTGGTGGCTAAGGTGGGACCCTGTAGAGATTGCCCAAAACCTTCCTGCTTGCTGTTCTCTGGCCTGAAACATTCTTCTTCCAGGCCCAAGGAACTCACTCCCTTATGCTTCTCATCTTCATTCAGATGCCACCTCCTCAAAGAGGTTTCCTTTGACTCCCACAAATTGCAACCCCTTCCAAGGCCCTCCCACCTAGGCATCCCTGCTCTAATTTTTCTATAGCACTTATTACTTTCTATAATATAATATAATTATTTATTATCGTTTTTGTTTAGGGTTTGTCTCTCCTGCACTAGATAGTAAGCTCCATGAAGATAGACATTCTCATCTAACTTTTTGCAAACCTAAGCATCCCAAAATAGTGCCTGCCACATAGGAGGTGCTCAATAATTGTTTGCAAATGAACAAAAAGAATGAATAGATCAATGTTTACGGGTCTAGTTGTAGGTGCCCAGCTGCTGCTTCGTGATAGTTCAGTGATATTTCAGTCTATGCCTTTCTTTTCAGAAAAGCAAACATTTTCCATAAAGGACCAAATGGAAATATTTTCAGCCTTGTGAGTCATAAGGTCTCTGTGGCAACCTCTCAACTCTGCCATTGTAGCGAAAAGACAGCTACAGACAATACGTAAACAAATGAGTACAGCTACAGCTATGTTCCAATAAAACTTTGTTAAAGACAGATTTGGCCCATGGGCCATAGTTTGCTGACCTCTGCTCTGTCCACATTTCTGGAAACCTCATTAAGACAGAGCTCTCTGAGGGGGCTGTGTATCTGGCTTTGCTAACCCCATGCACAAAGCTCTTGGCTCTAAAAGATGGGATCTTGGGGCAAGTATCCTTTTATACTAACACTGGACAGGGTTCTTTAAGTTGGTCACTATGAAGACATCAAAGGATTTTGCTGATAACGGCAATAAAATTCACACCCAATAGGAAGTAAATGACATTTTATATAATTGCTTAAGGAGAATACGGTGGATGTGGATATGAACCTCCAGTCCCTCCTCACTAGTTGTGGTGGAACTTTTCCAGTCCTGCCTGCCTTCCAGAGTCTCTGTGTTTTGCCTTGTGTCCTGGCTGCTTCTCCTTTCGGGAATTCTATTACATTGATGACACAATGTCTCGAAGCAATATTTTAAAAATGATCCTCCCCAGTGGGATTTTGTGGAGCCTCTTAATGGCCTTCAATATGCCCTACTCATTACAGGTGTGTGAGGCCGCAGCACTGTGTCAAATCATCTCAGGGATTTTGTTATGGAAGTCTAGGGGTTCAGCATTTTCTGGAGAGAATGGCAAGCTAGGGTGGGGGCACATGACAGGGAACAGAGTGTGAATCCCTATGCTATGAAGAGTTTCTCTGTGTTTTGTCTGATCTTAAAACACTTACCCCACTTGGCAGAAACAATCCACTGCCTGGCAATTTCAGTATAACTGTCAGTGACAGATCCCTTGCAGGAAGTAGTGCAGGACATTGCTGTTTAATTACATTGCACCCAATATAAATATAGTGCGAGATATTTGGATGAAATCTAAAGGATTCAGTCAATTTTGTAGATATTCTCCTTAAAGAACCACAGTAATTGCTAGTTTTAAAATATTATTACAAATAATATTTGTGCAATCTAAGTTTGGGCATCACTTGAGACCTCCAGTAAAGGTGGCAATTCCATTTCCAATAGGCAGGCCAGCAATTTCTGGCATTCACCTGTTGGACCAAATAACTGGAGGTTGTGCCTGGGCAAGGGCAGTGTCTTGGTCTGCCTGCTGCAGGTCACGTTTATGACCTATGGAAAAAAGAGGTCAAAGGTTTTGGCCTCTAGATCAATCCTCCTTTCAAATATTGCAACTTGCTAAAGAAAACAATGTACTGATTTTGTCACAGAAAGTATTGTTCTTGCTATCAGACAAAAAGGAGTCAGAATGGAGAACAGACCTCAAGAAAACAGATTTATATTATCCCCAAAATGCCAGCCTTGTCCACTCATAATGGCCTCCAATTTCTCTTTAGGAGAATGAACTGAAAAGACTCTTTTCTTGGATGTTATCTTTTGGAATCTATGCGAATTTTTTGGCCATCATTCTGTGCAAAAAGACAATATGTGGTGTTCATTCTTACAGGTGTATTGCTTCTTTAAGGCAGGTACATGCCCCAGCATTTCTTTATCCTCCAGAACACGCCATCCTGGGCCCTGGCTGGGGAAACTCCTTGTTCCCACAACATGCATTGGCCTGAGGCTCCATCCAGTCAGGCTCTCAATCCTTGCTCATTCCTCCCCAAGGGAAAAGTAGCTGATTTTACTGTGTTAGCCTGTTGGCTGCTGAACCACCTCACTGATGTTTAAGGTCACCGCTCTGTACAGCCCCACTCCTCTGCTTCCTGTCCGCTGTGACAAGCCTCACGGCCCAGGACCAACTCCCTGCTCATTCATCATCTCCACTGGTGACTTACTGGGTGAGACAGGAGAAGCCATTAATACAGACACAGGTCCCAAAATATAAATCAGCCAGAAAGCGAATGGGTCTCCCTTGCCTACCAATTCCTAGCGTGCAGCCCCTCCAGCCCATTTAGAGTCAGCACTCTAAAGAAGAGGAGAAATCCCTAACCACCAAAACCTTGAACTTGAACAACTCCATTTTCAAGTTTCATTTACAACTCCATTGAGTAAATGAAGGTTCTAGTTGCCGAAATCCCTCCCTCCCTACAAAACACTATGCAGACTCTAAGTAAGCAAGGCAACATTGCTGACTATCAATCCAATCCAATCTGCCCTCTGTCTTATGTGTGTTCTTTTATTTGCTTTTATAGGAATCAATTCAAATGTCTAAACCATAACAGACATTATTTGTCTAAGGGTTATATCCAGATGCTCACTTGTTTCCTATGATTGTTGCATCAAAATCACCTATTAGTTTGGAAAGATACTATACATATTTTTGTGGTGATAAATTGGAATATACTCATCCAATTTATTCTCCAGCCTTTTTTCTTCAGGTAATATTGGCATGTGAAAACAAACAGCCTTTTATCTCTTTTAGATAGCAGCTTTTCATATCCATTTATAGATGGATTAAAAATATTCCCCAAATATTACTTGTAATTGCAGGCAAAAGGAACTCTCTTTCTTGTATACACACACACACACACACACACAGTTGCAGGCACTTATGATGGAATAGATGTTAATGCTGCTGCTGACACCAAAAACTCCAATTACCCCAGGATTTGAGTACTGACTGATTCCTGATTTATTTTAGGCAAATTAGGCAGCATAATGAGTAAAGCAAATACTTCAAGGATCAAATTTAAATGAATAAACTTAAAGAAATTCAGGTGTAAGTCTGACTTGCATAGCTATTTCTTCAATTGTGGTAAAGTCTTGGCAGCTGCAAACGTCAATTAATGATCTGCAGTTCCAACAATAACAGAGTCCTGCTCAGAATGGATTTACGGAAAATTTGGCCAATCTGATCTAAAGCTACCAAACTGGCAAGTTTACTACAAGTAGATGTAACAGATTATACTTCACAAGACAGTGATGACAAAAAAATCTGATTGTCTCTGGGAAATTGGGAAAGAAAAATAACTTCTTAGCCATTACTTGTCCAACTGGCTATAATGACCAACATGTGCCTTGTGTTTAACAGTGTAAAATCTGTTCTCACAAACATTATCTCATAAAAGTCTCACCACAACCCAGAAGTTCATGAAACACACTTGATAAAGACACAGAGGCTCTGGGCAGTTAAGTAACTTCCCTAAAGTCATGCAGATATGGTTCAAACAACTATAAAAACAGCTGAAACTATGAAATAAATAACTAAAAGCAACTGTATCAGTCTGTTCTTATGCTGCTAATAAAGGCATACTTGAGACTGGGTAATTTATAAAGGAAAGAGGTTTAATGGACTTGCAGTTCCACATGGCTGGGGAGGCCTCACAATCATGGCAGAAGCCGAAAGGCACATCTTACATGGCTACAGGCAAGACAGAACGAGAGCCAAGCAAAATGGGAAACCCCTTATAAAGCCATCAGATCTCATGAGACCAATTCACTACCAAGAGAACAGTATGAGGAAAGAGCTCCCATGATTCAATTACTTCCCACCGGGTCCCTCCCACAACACACAGGAATTATAGGAGCTACAATTTAAGATGAGATTTGGGTGGGAACACAGCCAAACCATATCAACAACCATTCATTAGAATTTGCCAGATTGTGACACAGCCTCTTTTTTTGTGGCTAAACCAGACAATCTCATTCACTGGCAGTATTTTCCCAATCAGAGATGACCGATTGGTGGCCTGTGGAAGACAGCAGACCAGTAGTGATCAAGAGCACTCTTAGGACAAGACACTCCAAGATAACAAATGCTGACGAAACCTCTTCATAGCCAGCCTGTCGTGAATTCGTCTGTTGCCAGGACTCAAACACATATAATACTTCCCTCCTCAGGTTTCCAGGGGCTCAGGGATGTGCTTTCAACAAAACAGCCTTACACACAAATTACTGGTATTGTCAAATTCTGTGTCTTGCTCCCTTTCTCACCTCTCTTCATTTCTAGACACCTGTGTCTGGGAATAGAAGCAAAACCTATTTGAAAAAATATCTGAGCAAAAAATGTTACCCTTAAAAATACAATTTTTAATTTGAATAGAGGAATTCAATATATTAGTAGTCCTCAGAACAGCAAGTCCTTCAAACACCTAATACCCAGCCAGCTTCCTACACAGCACTTCAAGTGTGGAGTTTTAGAATCACAGATGTTCAAATCTGAAGGGAATTTAGACCTGCTAGTCTAAGCCTCTCATTTTCCCAAGGAGAAAAGCCCCATGACAAGAAATACCATTCCGTAGGTCACACATAGCATTAATTCTGAGCCAAATTTAAAAACAAAAGTTCCCAGATCCATGTTTCCAGATTTTCTGATATGACTTCATACGAAAAAGATGGCTGGTCCCCTAAGCAACAATTCTTAGGATCAGTCGACTCATAGCTAGGTGGATGTTTTCCCTTTCCTAGGAACAGGGACCAAGAAAAATCTTCTCACCTATTGCCCCTGAAGTTTCTCAGGGAAAATAAACAGCTCAAAGTAAAAAAGAGGAGGGGGCTAATATACATATTTTACCAGCTCCATTTCTAGGACTAATCTTTGGTATTATCTTTAAACATACCAGATATTTTAAAACTGACCTTGCACTGGAATATTCAAGTACTGGAGACAAAGGCATGGATTATAAGAACCACGAAGCTCTACCATCCCATTATTTATAATGTGTTAAGTACTACAATAAAAGAAGTATAAAATACTAGAGAAACAAACTTGAGGGGTGCCATTAATTCCTTTTGCGGGAATTGAGAACACGTGTATGGCATGTCTAACATTTGTGATAGACCCTGAAAGTCATCCGTCACAAGCTGGACAATGGCAGAGGGCAGAGGAAACAGTGCAAGCGAAGGCACAAAATGATGTCATGGTTAGAATCAGCATATAACCTGATGTGTTGAAAAAAGTGAAAGGAGATTGTAAACATGCAGGATGGGGCCAGATCTGGAAGTGTATTAACCACCAAGCCAAGAAATATTGAAAGCCTGAAGAAGAATTATATGATCAACCCTGTGTTTCTAAACTAATTAAAGGCATATTGCAATTATTAGCTCATAAATATTCCTCTTGGATTAGGGGTGTCATAGACTGAATGTTTGTGTCCTTCTAAAATTTACATGTTGAAATTTTAACCTCCAATGTGATGCTATTAGGAGGTAATTAGATCTTGAGGGTACAGCCTTCATTATGAGATTAATGTGTTATATTATAAGGGAATAACAGACAAAAGATCTTTCCATATCCACCATGCAAGGACACCATGAGAAGACAGCCATCTGTGAACCGGGAGGAAGGCATGGTTCTCACAAGAATCCAACCATGCTGGCACCCTGATCTCAAACTTCCAGCCTCCAGAACTTTGAGAAATAAATGTGTTGTGTAAGCCACCTAATCTATGGTAATTTATTGTAGCAGCCTGAACTAAGACAATGGGCAAGAGAGAGGTTAATTCCCATTCAGTATCTAATTCTTCATGGCAGCAAAAATCCAAAATATAGTCAAAAAACAGTTCCTATTGCCAATAACAACATTCTAATTTGGTCAGATTGTAATGCTAAAAGTAGAGGGCAGGTCCCTGAGGTTCAGATTGTTATAAGCCACACACTGGGTCTTCTCTGGGGTACTTCCCAGCAGCATTTTGCTGTAGGTTCCCATGGCCCTCATCCAGTCACCCTAAGTTCCTTGGGCATTCGGAAGTCTCAGACCTAGAATAGAATGGAAATTCCCTAAGGCCACAGAAGACCTTTGAAATTTTCAAGAAGACCTGAATCTGCATCAACTGACTTGGTTTATTTTCCATTCTGGTGGTGGTGGAGGGGGTGCACCCCCCTCCCTCAAGACTCAAGTAGATCTTTGTATGTCAAGGCAGAAAATAATCTAGGACCTGAGTAGCTCGGAAGAATGAGTATTTGCTGCTCTGAAATCATTGACCTGTGAGAAACTTACTTGTGAGTCTTCATTTTGTGACAAGTGGGGATTTGTATGACTCACTGAAATCAAAGTCAAAAACAGGATTTGATGTAATTTTGTTCTTATCTTTTATATTTGAATCCCTAGATACAAAACATAATTCTTCATTTTTATGGTTTGTATGAAAGTACAAGTCTATGCAATAGATAATTCTGACTAAATTGGAATTGAATTCAAACATTTAGTATTGCTTTTTATTTTGCTGAAGTAATCTAGTTGACTAATAAACAAAATAAACATTTTGATTGAACATCATCCACCTTTATTTTTAATGTTTTGAGTGGTTATTCCAGTTATCCCATGTAGATATCCTTCAGTGACTCTGGTAAGGAATAGAATATAATTTTGTTGAAAATCATTTTCATGAGAGGATTGAAATTTCTTGTGTCTGTTTTTCTTTAAAAATATAAATGTCTCTGTTCTCATGGCTTCAGATGTTAATACTTATTTCCCTGCTAGGAAATGTATTATGATGTCCCTCAGCGGTCTGTTAGATTTACCTGAGATGACCTCATGGATCACTGGGAACTAATTTGTAACTATAAAATAGAAATACATCTAGTTCAGACTTATAAACACCTATTTTGTCTTAGAAGATCAAACATTGACTGGAATTATAAACAGAAATTACGAAATGGCTACTGAAATAATATTTCCACTTTCAGATAATTACACCATTAATGAGATTAATATTAGTTTGAGAATACTTAGGATGTAAATTTCTACAAAAGTCAACAGTATATTTTACTTTGGATAAATCAGTCACTGCAGGGTATACATATAGTTGGATTTATTTAAATCCACTTTGCATCAATGAAACCTATAAAGGAATATGCCCATTTTCTCATTTTGAACCTCTCAAAAAATAAATCTCTTCTGAATGAATTGCAATTATGTATATCTTGAATTACATCTAATTGCAACATGGAATTAGATTATGGGGAAAGATACAGCACAAGTGAACTGAAATTTCCATGGGGACTTCCCTGTTTGCTTACAGACTTTAGGTCTGTCAGTTTGAAAATTTGGACAACTCAGATTTGAAGGTCTTTGGACCTTTATGGTGCCTGTCTCCAAACAAAATTGAGACTGTTCCCACGCATACTTACCTGTCGGAAACTGGGAATTATGCTTTCCCATAAGGCCGTGGGGCAGTTCTCTAGCTGTCACCGTGTGACATGTCTGACAATGGGTATCTGCTGAAGTGCCAGCCCATGTCTGCTTTATCTCCAATCCATCTCAGTATAGATGGATGTTTGCAGGGCCTTGAGACCATACGAATCACCTCAGGCAGAATAATAATTGTTCTTGTAGCAGCAGATAGGCTATTTCATGGACATATTGGGTTGACAGAAAAGTGAATCAATTTTAAAAAGAGTGTGTAGCATTAGATAAAGCCCAAGGCCCCATGGTCTTATCTGATGGTTTAGTTTGTTTTTCAAAAGTGAGGTGCCCAGAGGTATTGGTGCTCTATTTTCAGCAGACTGCAAGTTTAATAGGAAGGTTCTGACAAGCACCTGTAAGGTCGTCAGTACACACTGCTGTGCATCTCACTGGATTGAAAGTTTGCGTCATACAACTGCATCTAGTGTAAACAGGGCTATTGTTTCAGAAGATTCTAGAACAGAGCAGCCAGCTTTGCTTCCCCAAGGTTATGCCCCTATTGTATCAAGAGGCTGAAAGTTATCTAAATCTCTCTTATCATTATTATTCCATTTTGAGAATGAATATAGCCCTCACCACTGGAACTGGGCACTAAACTGAGAACACGTAGCACCAACTGGAAGCAAAAGGAGAAACAGAGAAAATCTCTGAAGCAATATCATGACAGTGGTCAGCAGTTAAGGGAATTGAGGTTCATAAATAAAACATACAATGTACAATCTATTTTGTTCCTGAATGCATTCCTGGGGGTGAAGTAAACCAAATAGATCTAGTCTGATGGAGGAAGATTAAGAAATCCAAGGAGAGTCTCATCAACGATCATCAATGGAAGTTGCATGAAAAAATCCTATTATATAAAAGGAAAGAACCAGGGGAAATAGCAACAAGAAAAAAAAAAGAATGGTGGAACTTAATCTCTTAATTGGTCTCTTTGTTTCAATTGTCTCTCTGTTCCCATCCTTACTCCTGACCATTTCCAAAGTTAGCATTCTGAAACAAAAAACTATACATATTACCATTTTGTTTCAAGACGTCCAGTGACTCCCTGATGCCTACAGAATTTCATAATTTGGGATTCAAATGCCCCCATTACTCGGTTCCTACCCATTGTGCCAACCTTATCTCCCACGGTGCCCCCAGTGGAAAAAGTCTTTCCAAACTTCCCTTTATACATCCTGCAACTTCCTGCTCAAATCCTTTCTCCTTCACAAAGCCCCTTCTGCTTCTACTCCAGATGGCGAGATTTAAGAAAGTAGAAAATGTGTTTTAATTACAGACAATGTCTATGAGCTTTATTGGGTACAAAGCACTTTGCTAAAAGACACACTTCCATTGTCTTCTTTAATATAAACAGCATCCCTATGAAGTGATCCCTTTTTATACATGGGAAAACTTCAGGAGCGAGAGTTTAAGTAACTTGCCCAAGGTCACATAGCTAACAAATGATGGAACAGAAGCCAGATTATCTTAATGTCAGAGCCTTTGCCCTGATTCTCTTCAACAAACTATCACATCTATTTTTGTAACCAGCTCTCCACCCGCAGGCAAAATTTTTAGGTGCAATAGATCAAATAATGGTCAATAAAATGTTGTTAAACCAAAGCCTCACTACGTAATATACAGAAATAAAATAAATTGTTTTAAAGGAGAGACGAACATATTCCCAAGAAACAGAATGAAATATTGACTTCAGAGAAAAGAAATGTAATGAAAAAGGAAATACAAATCCAGGCAATTGTTACATGGGTTAGGAAGGACATCAGAAGGAGGGGTAACTTACTACCTCTGGACTAAAGGCTAGCAACACTAGCTCCTCTAGTGTTAAAGGAGGGAAGTGATGAGTGAGCTTGAGACTTAACCTAAGTGGGAAATCAAGATCCAATGCAGGACTTCAAATATTGATGAAACCTACATTCTAGTAGAAATTGAGGGGATCCCAGTGGATTTAATAATTGTCAATGAAAGGTTAAAAACTGAACACTTCCTATGTAAAATAAAATCAAAGAAGACAAGTTTAGCATGGCAAGAGATCCATTAAAATAGTGAGGACATCAAGACAAAAAGTCCAAGAGACAATACAATGCAAGTGATACAGGCCAATTGAATCAAGAGAAAGAACCCAAGCACCGGCTGGGGAGATCAGGGTTGGGTTGGAAAAGGAACTGGAGTTGCACTTATTAGAATGAATAGAGTTTGATTAAGTAGACAGAAGTGAGAGAGATTTCTCTACTAAATGTTAAAGAATAGGAGCCAGAGGCTCTTGGAGATATATCTGTCACAATGTTTACGAAATGGTATTCCAAAAACCCTGACTCCAACCAGATGTTCTGCAGAGAAAGCATTAGTGGTTAAATAAATGTTGAACAGGCTGAACTGTACAGGTCTATTCTATAGACCTATAGCACTCATTGGCAGAGTGAAGGCACTGAGAAGCCCAGTAGTGTTAGTGACGGTAACAGTAGCAGTAGCAGCAGCTTATATCTATTGAGTTTTTTCTATGTGCCAGCCACTGTACTATGATTTTACATGGTTGACTAATATGTAACTGTCCTTATGTGATAGGAGTATTACTATCCCCATCAGACAACTAAGGGGTCTAAGGTTTAGACAATAAACCAATCCCTCAATGTCATGTAGCTAGAAAGTGGTAAAACTTGGATTCTAAATCAAGCATTCTGACCCCAGAGTATATGCTCTTAAATGTCACACTATTAATGCTTCCCATTAAACACTGCTATTTAACATTTTTAATGCAAACTTTTTGAACCATAATACATCCACCTTCTTTCTCATTGTTTCCTGTAACTTCTCTTTGGCCTTAAAAATCATTCTTCATAAGTCAATTTTATCCATGAGTACTGTGCGGAGAGAAAGTGCCCTGTGTGCTTGTGTTTGCCTGTGATTTGGGTCTGGTTGTCTTCCTAGATGAGAAGTCTGCCATCCTGATTTATGAAGTATTCCACAAATTTGGAAATACCAGGCTTGAGGAAGGCCTGATTTTCATTCACAGACTACATCATCAGAGTCAAACTTACATTCCCTCATCCCTTCCCACCAACCGCCACCTCCACTGACAAAAGCAAAATGTAAAACAGCCCTTGGCTAGTACATTTATGACAAGTCTATTTAATCACCCTATCAGAAAGCTTCCTGGACTACCTAATATCTATGGCACTGTCTTTCCCTTTTTGTAGGTGTGTTATACTTCATAATTAACTTGTTTATAAAATATATCTGTAGTACAAAAATACCCTTTTGCACTGGCCAAGGATGTATGCTTTTAAAATTCCTTCCAGAAAAATGCTGACTGTTAGGCAATCTAACATTAACCTGATAATATTGGGGGCTTGCAGAACAAAGGCCTTGTGAATTCCCAGGTGAATGAAAAGTCTATTTAGAAACAATATCAGCATCGTCCCATAAACTATGCATTTGGCATTTTCATTGCACACCTGAAATTAACAGTAATGCAGCAAAGGTTTTTCTAGGAGAGGCTGGAAGATCAAGGGAGGGCAAAGGCAGGGAGTGAATTTCTGTAACAGTGATGCCTATAACCCTGCCAGGTAATGCCCTAGGTGAAAACTCAGTGGCAGCCATCAGAAGATAAGGATCTTCAGGTCAGCAGATGAGAGGGAGACTGACCCTCCTGCAGTCTAAAGAGAGAAGAGAATCCAGGCTTTCCCCAGCCTTTCATTGCTGCTCAGAACCTTCTCGCCTGTATCGCTACACTGTGTGCTCCTTTAGTGAAGGCCTTAAGGTTTCTGCCATTCCATGCATCTCGATCTGTTTGAGTAACTGAAAAAACAGACACCCCAATCAGCCTCATAATTGATTCCCAGTTGATGGAAGGCAGCTGACTTTCTGCATTTACCCAGCATTTCACTAAAAGATGAAGCAGTAAATTTCTCAGGACCTGCCAAAGGAATTATTAACTTGGTAAGCCCTCTGAGTTTCTTTCCTGTTGACAGCTGGTTTTCTTAAACAAGTTAGTACCTGCTGAGATGGGTGGGATTTCATCTGATTCACCAGAGCTGATATCTATAAAACACACCAACAGTCCCACACTTTGATTATTTGTAAGCCACCACCATGTAGTTAAATAGGTGCTCCATGAGTAAATAAAGGAAGGAATTGCAGTTCTGTTCAAGGAGCATGAAATACAGCTTGCTAAGTTGAAGTCTATTTTTCCCAGGCAAGGCACACAGTCTAATTTTTTCCTTTTGATTACATGATGTCAGTGGATACTCCATCGCCTCCTGTATAGACTTGACAGGCCTATTTCAATGTATTCCAAACCCGCCCCAGCACAGTTATTGTTTCCAAGCTCCTAAGCACAGTCACAGAAATGGGAGTGGGTTTGGTTTGATTACCAGGCTTGGAGGGAGGCTCTGAAGGAGCCAGAACTGCCTCCTTTACACAAGCCTTCACCTCAAAAGCGTCCACTTAACTGCCTTTAAAAATATCCCACCTTAGGGGGAGGTAACCTCTGTGGTTCTCAATGGTTTCAAAGAAGAAGAAACACGTATTCAATAACCATGCATCCAGAGCATAACAAATACATGCTGGTCACAATCACAGCAGATCATATTTCTAAATAGGAAATCTATAGAGTTTAATCTGTGAGTAAGAGGACTCCATTCCTGCCCAAGTTTTTTTTTAATTGATCCATATAGTTGTACATATTTACGGGGTACATATGATTTTTGATACATGCACACAATGTGTAATGATCAAATCAGGGTAATTGAGATATCCATCACCTGAAACATTTATCATTTCTTCGTGTTTAAGACATCAAAATCTCTTCCAAAGGTTTGAGCAGGTTCTTAAGACACTTAGGCACCCAAATGAAATTGGATCCTAGTTAGCTTTTTACTACCACTTATCTAGCAAGACATCTCTTCCTTCCTACCTATCACCATGTCTAGTATGGCCCAACACTCATAATTATTGCCCAGGGAATGTCACCTGTTTGGGAATTCATGAAATGGACTCCATGAACAGCATCAGAATGAGGATAACCTCTAGAATATACTCCTACAAGAAAGTTACTGTCATCACTTTATGGTTACCTGCTACTCTAAAAGTCTTTCTTGTTAACATCTTTCCAGGTCAGGACTTCCCTGAGCCTGAAGCAGAGAAAATGTTTTCATTCCAGTGACCAACTGTCAAACCATAAGACAGGGCACAGTCCTCCGTGTAGTAATCCTGTCTGGGCCATTGTCCCAAGAAGTGGGGTGTCACTTTGACTGAACAGCTTGCCAGTGAGACCACTCAGAGAGCTCAAACTACCTACAACTCCTGCAGGCTGCAGCCCCTAAGAACTCTTCTGCAAGAGTTGGGGGAGCAGAGCATAGACTTCCGAGCTACAAGCTGAGGTCTGCATTCTTTACTGACCCTTGATGGTGATCAAATCACTTAAGCTTTTGATACTTCAGTTTCCAAATCTACAAAATGAAGTTGAAAACACTCCGAGGGCTGCTGTGAGAGTTGCATGATGTAGTTTACGACTTTCTGAAACACAGTGGTTCCAAACACATAATCATCCCCACCTAGGAAACTTGGACCTAGGAGTAATCATGTTTACAAAACAGAGGATGCCTTATCAGTGGATGCTTAGGCTGGGACAACACCTAATAATTCTTACAAACAGCCTTCACTTGCCAGCAGACAGACATCTGCTTCCACCCTCTCCAGTTATTCAGAAGACCTTGCTACCTCCCTCTCAAAGGCAGACCAGCCAGCACAGCTAGCAGTTCTTTTATGGATTGTTGGGAGAACCTATGAGAGTCCGCTTTCTTTCCTCCCAGTGATATTAGCACACACACAGGTGGATTTACCTTTAATAACACTTAAGCTTCAGGGCCCTCAAATTGCAAGAGCCCATTTCAACACCTTATACCCAACTTAGAATTCATAATATTTGTATTCTTGTTCTTAGAGATGGCCTCTCAAATTGCATAATTCCTGGACCCCCAAATATATGGATTTGTCCCTGGGCTCACCACAGTGATAGTGTCCTCATTATTTTATAGCTAAATAAAGAAAGCCCTGAGATGACCAGGAATAAGATCTGCGCTTCTTTGCTCCAACTTCAAGCTTAAGCTTCTTCTTAAGTTGCATGCCTTAGACAGGCACCATCTCCCTCTGGGCCACATCAGACTGTAAAACCCACCCCCCAGACTATAAAAAACCTAATTAGGAAAAAGAAAAGTGGAGATTCTATAACCCCACATCTTACTAATAACCACAACTAAGAAGCTCATATTTTTTTGTCAGTGTAAGTGGTAGGTAATTTTCATTTAAGTATAAATATCAGATTTTGTCCCAGACTAAAGCAAACCCTGATAATTATACAGTTGCAAATTATTGTGTTAACAAAAAAGATCTAAATTATCTCCTTCCAGCACTTAATGAATTCAGCCACTTAATGAATTCCCGAAATGCATTGCTTTTCCCCATTCCACTTTCTCCTTGCAACAGCGGATTTGTATGCCTGTTGGAAAGAAGAGTGATTCCCATGTCATCCTTCCAGAGTACTATTTATTTGCCAAAAAGAAAAATAGGAAAAAACAAGGACTAAGTTGCCTTTGATCAGTGGGAATTAGTTGCAAATGCTCAATAAAAATAAAAGCTGGATTTGACTCTTAGTATGTTTAGGACTTCAATGATGCAATCACCCGAATTTAGAATTTATAAGGCTGCTTTGTTCAGCTCCTTCAGCTCAGTTCTCATGTAATGTTTGCTCTCAGGGCACAAACATGAAGCATCTGGATGGAATCTATTCTGGCTTCAGGAAGAAAAAATGCCTACCCTGTAGAAAAACTGTCCATCTTTAAATTAAATTCAAATCCAAGCAACTTGCACCCTAGCCAAAGCCTGTTTCTCTATATCTTTATAAACTGCATGATTTAAATCATCTGTGTGTGATTCTTATTTTCCTATTCTTCATAAACTTTTGGAGTAAATGTGGTGCTTGTTAACATGAAGAATTGATAGTTTGTTGCCATTTTCCATGGTCTTAACAATTGGGAACATTTGTAATCAATAAAGGGAGACACAAGGAAACAAATTTGATAACTGTTTTTAAGGAATAAAGATAGAATATTAAAACAGGATTGGAAAGAAGTGCTCCTACCCCAAATCTAATAAACCCGTGGATTGACATTTTTGATAACTATATGGCATGCCATCTAACCTCCTACATTTTTAGCAGAGCTTCTCTTCATTCATGTTTTTCCACATTACACACCCAGTATTATACTATTTAGGCATCAGTGACAAATTCATTCACTAATGTCCTTTAATTCCATTTGATACTTGGAAATGACAGCCAGCTGGTCCTCCAAAAAGTCATGATGCAGTGAAAGCCCAGTGTATGTACTACCATGGTGTGTGTTTGTTGTTGTTGTTGTTGTTGTTTGTTGCTGTCGTTGTTGTTTTTTCCTAATGGAAGTTGTCTGCACGTCTTCCTTTGGCATTTAGTTACACAGGATGCCCCATCATAGCTGCAGAATCTGCTGCCATAGACAGTATCTCCTGTTAAAGTTAAGAAAATGTTTCATACCTCTCCCCACATCAATACCTCTCTGTCTAATGCCTGATCTCACAGAATCACAGTCTACAAATCACAGTCTCACCTACGCTCAGCTTTGCTGGTGGAACAGACCTACCCCATTTCTATCTGTGTCATGAAAAAGTAGGCACTGGGCATGCAATGATAGGTTCAATTTGAATATGGTGATCATCTGAGATAAAGTTTTGTTTTCCTAACAGAAGCCCATAATAGCAGTAGTGCCAAAGAAATAATTCCAACGTGGAAGTGATAAACAAAAATAGGAGAAAAGGGTGCCTAGCAGGGCCCCATGAGGCAGAAATTGCTGGCTCTTCTCAAGCCAGATCTCCCAGGAGATTCCCTCTGTTTAAACTTTTCAAAGAATGAGGCTATTAGGATTTCAAACATATGATATTATTACTTCATCAGAGCATAATTTTTCATTTTTTTTTAGAGCTTCTAGGCTTTTACAGTGCCCAAGTAGCTTGAGCAGCAGTCTGAGAAACTACCAAGAAACAGGAAGAAGATGTGTGCTCTGAGCACCCCACCCTAGCAGCATCACCTTAGAAGGTCCACTTTTTCCTTATTTATGAATTGGGATTAATAATGTTTCATTTGTAAAAAAGTATTCGGATAAACTACCTAGAATATCCTGCTGGGCTGGGCTAAGAAAATTTATGAAGAATAAAAGGAAAATCTAATTCTGCCCCCATCACCTCTCTCTTTGTGTCTCTATCTCACTTTCTCCTTTCTGTCTCTCTTTCCCCTTCTCTGTGTCTCTGTCTCTCTCTCCCATTTCTCTCTGTCTCTCCCAGCCCCACAGTGTGTCTCACTATTTGTCTCTCTCTCTCTTCTCTGTCTACCTCCCCTTTCCCCTACATCAGCACAGTCCCTGTAGTTGTAATTATTCTGCACTGGTTCTAGAAGTGATCTTCTTGGAGAGTCAGTCTTCTTTCTCAAAGCTCAGAGGCCAGGACTTTGGAAGCTCTTTATATGTGAGGCATTCCTGTCCTCCTGTGGAAAGCTGCAGGGATTGTGATTCCAGCTCTTGTGAACTATACTTTTTAGCTAGGGATAGAAAAAAATCAGACACATAGACTAATTAGGGCACCTAATGTCAAAACTGAATCGTGATGGAAACGGCATGATCCCAATCATCCCACAATATTAACTAAACTCAAGAAAACAGAAATATCCCTTTAATGTCAAGTTTTTAAAATAATCCTGATAGATAGACAGAGGTCCTGTGAGTTCATTGTTGCCCTTGGTATCCAGAAAGGTGAAAGTGCCTTCCACCCAGTAACTCTAATGCTCACATGAAGTGGCTTCTGAGTGGGAATGACTTAATCACCTATACTTATTCCCAGCTTACTTAGGATGGATAATAAATATAGAAACCAAAGAAGAAAAGGAACCTTTTGACAATGTTGGTCTCTAAGATCCCTGTGGCCAGATGGTACCATTGTATTTGAAAATAATCTGACTCTTTCTACATGATCTGTATTTAAAAGACTATAGGGCCAGGTGTGGTGGCTCACACCTGTAATCCCAGCACTTTGGGAGGCCAAGTGGAGCAGATTGCCTGAGCTCAGGAGTTCAAGACCAGCCTGGGTAACATGGAGAAACCCCGTCTCTACTAAAATACAAAAAATTAGCTGGGCGTGGCAGCGTGTGCCTGTAGTCCCAGCTGCTCAGGAGGCTGAGGCAGGAAAATTGCTTGAACCCAGGAGGCAGAGGTTGCAGTGAGCCAAGATCGTGCCACTTGACTCCAGCCTGGGTGACACAGCAAGACTCTGTCTAAAAAAAAAAAAACAAAAACAAAACAAAAAAAAAACAACAGACTATAAACCTGATTTTTTCCAGTTGTAGAACTCTGAAGCAAGGAGCTGGAATAAATCCAGACAGAACTGCAGTAAAGCTTCTGAGGAGGAGGGCTTTTCTTGTTCTCCATTTGTGTGGGTGAAACATAGCATGGCACATATTTCTTAGCACATTCTGCCTACTCCCCATCCCTGCCTGCTTCCTTAGGAAATAGACTCCTCCAGTGATCTCTAATGGGATAGAAATGCAGGCTTCAGAACAGGCATTATTTCCCAGTATTCGATAACAAACAAAGAACAATGTAGAAAATGTTTTAAAGAAGGTGGAGCATCTCCAAACAGAAAATAAAATACAGTAAATTACCATTTTGACAGCTTGCAAACAATTACAAAAACAGAAACCAAAAGCATTTTTGCATGTTTTGTACTCTTTTATGAGAAAGAGACAAATGATAAGTAAGCTGTCATCAGGGATGTATTCAATACCCAAAACTCAATAGCAATTGGGCCCCATCTTCTGAAACAACCATGTTCCTTATGATTCTGAAATGAGTCTGTGTCCTCAGATTCTTCTAGACCTCAAACTCAATATGCACAAAATGGTTTTAGTGTCTTCTTCTTAAGTCTTTGAAATCTGGAAGTTCACATCCATAAGCATAGATACCTGTCACCTTCTCATATTGTATATGCTGATCTCTACCATGGATTAAACCATTAACCAAATATTGAACGGTTGAGTTTTCTCCCTTCCTACAGATTTTGATACTCTAGTTCTGGCAGGGAGCAAGGAAAAGGAGCATGAACATGCCTGTGTCCTCTTTCATGGTAACTCAGCCTTTTAGGGAATGGCAGGATGGTAGGTAACCAAGTAAGCCAAGATAATTAGTTGTAAGCAATGAAAACCAACTCTGACCATCTTAAGTAAAGCATAGTACTTACTGGAAGCCTGTTGGAATCTCATAGAAATGATGGAAGACTATGCATGGCGCATGGGAAGTGAACATAACATGGACAAAGCAGCATCACTTGGGGACAGTCATCACGAGCACCATTGCCCTCCTTGCCATCTTCATGGATGGTGGCATGACTTCCTATTGTCCCCATTTCCTCATGTTCCACACTTCAGCTTCAGAGCCCTAGCCAGCAGTCAGTTTGGTCAGGGTTGGATGTGTGCCCATCCACCTGCCAGCAAAGAGGTAGAAGAGGGATCTGGCACCTAATGCTGAGAGCAGCCCTGGGAGGCAGGTGCCAGGATTTCCCCTTCTTCCTAGAACAAACGCTCAGGGACAGAGGAGGAATTACTTTCAGGGAAATCCCAGGGGTTTGTGGGAAAGGGACAGGTGCTGACCGAGCTCTGGATACCTTGGGACTGCACATCTACCATCAGGGCCCTTGCAGCCCCCTCCTCTGTATTTCACTCCTGGGTTCATAAACTATTCCCTAAGCCAAACGACACATTGGCGACTCAGGCAGGTTCATGTTTTTGTGCTCTTCTAATCCAATATCCTTTATTAGCTATTTACCTTCTATTTTAAGGGGCTTTCTATTCTTAAAAGTTCTATTCATCTTTATTCATGATCAAATGAAGGGATTTTCCTGAGAATAACAAATCATTTTGATTCTTTGGAACGACATTCCATTTTACAGTTTTTCCTTCATCCATAACTGGATAGCATTAGTCACTCACACTCACTTAGGGTAGAGGTAGCTAACCTGTATATACTTCCGAAGGCTTATTCCAAATACATATAAAAGTTTCTTTCACTAGCCAACATAGGCTGAGTTCCCTAGGAAACAGACTCTGAGATTTGCATGCAGGGGGTTTATTGGGAAACACACTCACGAATAAAACTGGCAACAGATGAGAGAAGAAGGACTGGGCAGAAGAAAAAGTTGAACTGTGATCCAGTTGCAGAGGAGACCTCAGCCAATCCTATGAGGAGTTCTGGAGCTGGAATAGCCCTTCAGAACTATCCCATCTAAGACAAGGTCCAGGACTTTGTACCCCACATCAACCAGTGTGGGCTGCCACTATAGAGGGAGTGTAACACTGAACAAAGCAATTCCCCTCAAGTGGAGGATAATTCCTGAAGAGGAACTCAGCCATGGCCGTCAGTAGCTAACATTCCTGCCAGCTGGAAAATGAGTCCTTGGTCCTGAAGAGGAATCTGGATGGAATAATAGTATCCATTATCTTCTAATCTTCCACAATCTGCTTGCCTCTTACACTGAGTTCATCCCATGTGAAAACGACTGCTCCCTGACTTTGGTCTCTTTTCCTAGAGAAACTTATAGGAGGAAAATTAATGGGACAAATTTCAATTGCCACCACTGAAGCTGATTTTTAAACTGCAATTGGTATGCCTCTTCTCTCTCCTGTAGTGCCCATTCTAGACTCCTATCATCCTTCATTAGTACATTTTCTGGTCTTGGTAACTCACCTGGTGGTGTAACCAAGGCTGTCATCCTTGAAGGAGCTGAGCTTCTGTTTACCACACTCTTCTGACACAGGGCATTTGTCCAAGAAAAGTAGGCTCTCCTTATCCACAGGTTCAGCATCCTCAGATTCAAACTACTGCAGATCAAACTATCTGTAGAAGAAAAATTAAAAATACAATGAAAGGCCAGGTGCAGTGGCTCATGCCTGTAATCTAAGCACTTTGGGAGGCCAAAGCAGGTGAATCACGAGGTCAGGAGATTGAGATCCTGGCTAACACAGTGAAACCCCATCTCTACTAAAAAATACAAAAAAATTAGCTGGGCGTAGTGGCAGGCGCCTGTAGTTCCGGCTACTCGGGAGGCCGAGGCAGGAGAATGGTGTGAACCTGGGAGGTGGAGGTTGCAGTGAGCCAATATCATGCCACTGCACTCCGGCCTGGGTGACAGAGTGAGACTCCATCTCAAAAAAAAAAAAAAAAATACAATGAAAATAGTACAAATAAAATTACAGTATAACAACTATTTACATAGCATTTATATTGTATTATGTATTATAAGTAATTTAGAGACTAAAATATATGGGAAGATGTGTATAGGTTATATGCAAATACTATGGCATTTTGTATAAGGGGTTTGAACATCCTCAGACTTTGCTATGCACGGGGGTCCTGGAACCAGTGCCCTCAAAATACCGAGCGATGACTGCTCTATCAAAATGAGTAAGGGTGTGCCAAGACTTGCCCCAGTGAATCATCCGGTGCCAAACAAATTCTTCCTGCCTTCATTATGTAAAAGTGGTCTTATCTTTTTTGGATGATCAGAGTCAATTATTCCTTCCAGAACTGTAACTCCGTTTCTTGCCTGCTAGTCTTTTGGCACAAGTATCTCAAAGTAATTTGCAGGCAGCCAAGGTGTAAAGCATAATGAGATTTTCACTGTGTCCTCAGTGGAACAGCTACTGAGAGGGTGGAAGTGCTCCTTCTCAATGGCTCAGGAATTTCAAGACCCTACAGAGCCTAGAGTTGTGGAAGCAACAAATTCCCCAAGGAATCGCTAGATGTGATGATAGGCAAAGCCACTACTACCACCATCCCTTGGTCCTGGACCAAATATTCCTCATCTTTGGGGCATAGCACCATATAATTGATACTCATTGTGAGTATATACTGCAGCCTAGAGGAGGGCTACCCTCCCCTTGGGGTATCATCCCTAATCTGGTACCTCATCTTGGCCTTCAAAGGATCATTCTATCACTCTGTCAGGTCATCAGAGTTTATGGTTTAAAACAGGACCAGTGGATTCCATGACCAAGTGCCTGCTGCCACATTCCCTTTTACTGTGATGTAGGTCTCTTGGTCTGATGCAATATTATGGATCAAACTGTCTAAGCTTTCAATGCTGCTGGCTAAAGTCCTGTGAGCAGGAAAAGCAAACCCATACCCAAAATATCAGTCTACTCCTATCAGAATAGATATTTTCCACTTCCAGGGGGAAGGGGTCCAATCTTATGAAATTCCTACCAAGTAGCCACTTGGTTTCCTCAAAGAATGATGCATCTTCCCCAGATCCTTTATCCCCAATTGTTTCCCTTCCAGCCCTTGACCAACCAGCTAAGCATCACAAGTGCCTTTTCCCACCACATGTACCTCTAGTACTATAGCTTTTGCTGGATAATATGCTTTGATCACAGCCTGGACCTGCTGCAGAGCCCTGTCCTGGCTGCTCTGTGTCCCACTCAAAGCTGATAGCTTTTTATGTTATTTGGTCAATCAGAGCCAACATGATAAGGAACCAACATTGGTGTTCTTCAAACTACCAAGTACGTCCATGCCATTTATTTATTCAGGGACCCCCTGGTTACGGACTCAGAAGACTTGTGAGCCAGAAGACCTGGGCCAAAAATCGCTTTATTGCTTGGTTCTCAAATGTCCTCACTCTTTCCTGACAACTCAGATCCTATATTGAAATATCTTTAAAATGCTTTGATATTCCCCTACCTTCATGTATTAGTCTGCTTACATGCTGCTGAGAAAGACATACCCAAGACTGGGCAATTTGCAAAAGAAAAAGGTTTAATTGGACTTACAGTTCCACATGGCTGGGGAGGCCTCACAATCATGGCAGACGGCAAGGAGGAGCAAGTCACACCTTATGTGGATGGCAGCAGGCAAAGAGAGTTTGTGCAGGAAAACTCCCCCTTATAGTATCCATCAGATCTCATCAGACTTCCTCACTATCACAAGAACAGCAAGGGAAAGACCTGCCCTGATGATTCAATTACCTCTCACCGGGTCCCTCCTACAACATATGGGAATTCAAGATGAGATTTGAGTGGAGATGCAGCCAAACCATATCACTTCAATATATGAGAATTTGAGTAAACGGTTGTAGATATCTTTGAGGAAGGCTTGGAATAATCACTACTGAGAATATTTGCCACGATGTTGCAGAGTTTATCCTTGTGAGGACCCAACATCTCCCTCTTACCAATGGGTTCTGAGTTAGAGAACTGGTCAAAAGATTATGACTTTTTTATTAGAGGAGTTGGCTTCTCTCTACTGATCATACATTCTTGTTTTCTTTTCTTGTATAGACCAAGCGATATTCTTGCTGGCTGACCTTTTTATCCTGTCAGTCTTAGTTTGTTCCATGCTGCTATAACAGAATAGTTGAGACTGGACGATTTTTAAAACTAAGAAATTTGTTTCTTATGGTTCTAGGGGCTAGGAAGTCCAAGGTTGAGGGGCCAGGATCTTTCTACTGAGGGATTTCTTGCTACATCATACCATGGTGGCATGCAGAAGAGCAAGGGAATATGCATTAGTGCATTAATCCATTCATAAGGGCAGAGCACTCCCGGCCCAATCGCCCCATAAACGTCCCACCTCTCCACGCCACTGCATTAAATATTAAGTTTCTAACACATGAACTTTGAGGGACACATTCAAGCCATAACACTGTCCCAAGGAACACCATGTTCTATTCGTCATCTACATAGCTCTTTTTAGGTCAGGCTCCCTGGTTCTACATTGCTCTTCATTGTAATAAATGTACCCACTTTGCTTTTGCCAGTTAAATACCTTCAGCTAGTATCTATTCGTACAAAATCCCATCAACCACATTGCTTTCACGGAACCCAATTCTATAACAGCATCTCCCTCCATCAGTGATGATCTACAGAGGACAATCCGCTTTGTACTTGTTGAAAAATTCTGGTGCCCCTCTCATTAGCACATTGATTATTATTTGGTAAATGAAGTGTCCTCAGGTCCTTGGGAGAGGCAGCTTCCCTCAGTCAAGGGCAATTCCTGGGGAGTCAATCAAGGGTAATCAGTCAGCAGTGTTGGTCCTGGGGATGAGGGTGAGAAGTCTGATGGTACCTTGGTAGTACATTACTGCATCTACTGTTCTACCTCATGGCCAAGCCACTTTCCTTACCCTCCTTCCAAACAAAAAGCATTAAGTCCACTATTGTTTCCCATAATAGAGCCTTATATGTCGTAGGAAATGCTTGATGGTCTTGGACATTAAGATCACAAAGGTCTATGCATTCTACATGGAACAGTAAAAGAAATAACTTCTATTCCAACTGAAGCTCTAAAGATAGAGGAATATCACTACAGAAAAAAGAAAAAAAAAGGAAGGAAGGAAAAGAAAAAGGAAGTGAAGAAGGGAGGGAGGAAGGGGGAGGGAGGAAGGGAGGGGGAAAGGGGGAAGGGAGTGAAAGGGGAAGTGAGGAGGGAGGGAGGGGAGAAGGGGGGAGGAAGGGAGGGGAGAAGGAGGGAGAGGGAAGGGGGGAGGAAGGGAGGGGGGAAGGGGGCAGGGAGGGAGGGGGGAAGGGGAAGGAGGGAAAGGGGAAGGGGGAAGGGGGGAGGAAGGGAGGGGGAAGGGGCAGAGGAGGAAGGGGGCAGGGGGGAAGGAGAGAGAGAAGTGGGGAAAGAGGGAAGGAGGGAAGAAGAAAAGAGGTTAATTTTCAGTGGGTCACTGTATTAGTCTGTTTTAATGCTGCTGATAAAGACATACCAGAGACTGGGCAATTTAAAAAGGAAGAGGTTTAATGGAGAATTCACAGTTCCACGTGGCTGAGGAAGCCTCACAATCATGGCGGAAGGCAACGAGGAGCAAGTCAAATCTACTTGGATGGCGGTAGGCAAAGAGAGAGCTTCCGCAGGCAAACTCCCGTTTTTAAAGCTATCAGATGTCATGAGACTTACTCGCTGTCAGGAGAACAGCACAGGAAAGACCCGCCCCCATGATTCAGTTATCTCCCACAGGGTTCCTCCCACAACACATGGGAATTATGGGAGCTACAAGATGAGATTTGGGTGGAGACACAGAGCCAAACCATATCAGTCATGCCACTGTCTCTGTACAGATTATCATGGAGAAATATAGCACATTTCTGATTTTTTTTACCAGTAGTACTTTAGTATGTGCAGAAGATTGATGCTGAGCAGCTGTCGGCTTACCCACAGCTCCTAACCTGAGTTTGGATCCTCCCTGCACGGTGGGTGGTTGCTCTGCTGTGAGTTTGGCTTTGCTGTCATTCATTTCTTACACCTAGTGTTGCTTATACTTCTCCTTTTCTGAAGACCTCAAGAAAGCAACAGGTAGAAGTGATCAATACCAAAACTTGTTTCCACTTTTGGGAATTTAGAGATATTACAGTTTCTTTGGAAGATCCAACATTTTTTTCTTCATTTTCAAGACAGAACATAGCTCCCTTAATACTCCCTAGAATTAGCAATCTCTCCCCAAAACTGTCCTCTAAAGTTGTTTCAGGGTAAAGTGACTCACTTGTTCTAAGGCTTGACAATATCCTAAATTCTTCACATTCCACACCTTCATTTGACATGAGGGAAAGCATAAGAATTGAAATCTAGCAATAGTTCTGGGATTCCACACACTTGGCCCAGTTTTATTATTAGTATTTTTGAATCATTCAGCTTGCCTATAATATGCAGAACATTAAGTCTGCCTGCATACATCAATCCTTCTGAAGAATTAAAATGATTTAATTGTATAGATTTCATCAGGAAAAAAAAGGTACTACAAATATTTGCAGTAGATTCTTAGACTCTAAAGGAAGGGTCAGGTTTTGTAAACGTATGTAGTAACAATACGCAGTACATGGTTTTGTTTTAATGTGTTAAAACATAATCGATTCTAATATAAAAATTATATCATTATGTTTTCGTGCTTCTAGTAGCATACACATAATAGAAAATGCTCATTATAGCTCTTTGGAGGTTGTGGCAAAGTACAAAATGTTTTTTACAAGTATCTGTGAAACTATTTGATCTATAAATTGTCTGGCAAAAATACTTCTATTAGTGTTAGAAGCAAAGATTTTCTTTTAAAAAGTCTAATCAAGATGTGTTTCTTCTAAGAACCAATACCAATATAAATATGAGATAAAATTGCATTGAGTTCAACAGAATGCAATAAACAACACTGTGCCAGGCACTGATTGGACCAAAGGCATACAAAGATGACTATAATTCATTTGCTTATGGAACTCACTGTCTGTTGAAGAAGAAAGGAATATTTG
Source organism: Homo sapiens (assembly GCF_000001405.40). Taxonomy (NCBI): domain Eukaryota; kingdom Metazoa; phylum Chordata; class Mammalia; order Primates; family Hominidae; genus Homo; species Homo sapiens. The sequence goes on along the minus strand of NC_000002.12, from coordinate 220,444,899 downwards.
ATTACCACACAAGGGGTTTCTGATGGGCATTAACACTGTTTTCATTACAACCTTTTTGTCAAGGACCAGAAAAGGTGAATCATAGTACTATATGTCAGAAACTTTCACGTTTAAGGTTCCATCTGGTCCCCATTACAACCCCAGTAATAGACATTATTATTTTTATTAAGTTTACTTGAGATTATGTAGCTAGTAAGTGGCTTAAACCAACTATCTCTAAAATCTTCGATCTTTGTACAATATCAGGGGTTGGCAAGCTATAATCTGTGGGTCAAATATGATCTGCTGCCTGTTTTTATAAAGTTTTATTGAAACACAGTCATGCCTATTATTTTCTACATATTATCATCTATGGTTGCTTTCAAGCCAAAAGAGCTAATTTGAGTGGCTGCCCAACAACAAAGACCATGTCACAAGCCTGAAAATATTTACTATCTGGCCCTTTAAAGAAAAGATTTTTCTGATTCCAGCATTATATCATACCACAATAGGTCTCAAACAGAGAATTTTGGCAGTGTCTGGAGACTTTTTCTGGTGGTCTCAACTTAGGGGTGCTACTGGCATGCTAGTGCCAAACACGTTCAATGCACAAGATGGCTCCCCACAATAGCGAATTATCTGGCCCAAAATGTCAATAGTGCTTGACACCCCAAATCCTTCTCATCTGATGAAATCTGCAGTTTCATTACAAAACTTCATAAAATGTCCAATTTTAATTCTGTGGAATGGCTAAATATTTAGCAATTTTAGTATATGTTACTACATTAGTGAGTTAAACATCAGCTAGAATTTTCAAGATATTTGCATCTTCCAGAAAGTAATTTGCCGGCTGTATGTTTGGTGTTATTGCATTATGAAAATATAAATTCATAAAATAGACCATCTGAAGACTTCTGTGTAAGGATGGCTGATTGGACATAATCCTCTATTTTTACATTCTCTTAAAAGCCAACTAAAATGACAGTAAAGAGATATTTTGAAGTTATAACCTTCAAGAACAGGGATGATGGCAGTGATTGTGGCAATAACACTTTGGAAGCTGGGGAGCAGATGGACCAGTGATAAATGATAGCAGACCTCAGGAACTGCGTTTCAAGACAGAGTGAGAAAAAGCTGAGAACTAACCAGATTTTCACCAAATAATTTCTCAAAACCTCAGAAACTGGCAAAACAAGTCCTTTGGAAGGACGGCTGAAGCCAGTGGCATGGCAAACGTACAAAGGATTGAAAGTCTGGAAAAGGAAGAGTCAGAGGCTCAGATCCCCTCCCTCACTCTGAGCAAATGGGTCACCATCTCCCTCCCACCCTGCAAAGAGTTAAATGCAGATATTCTCTGGAGTAGAGCATACCAGATCATGATTAGTTGGTTAACCCTGTACTGAGAACAGAGGAGTCGGGGGAATAAAGGCATACTGGATGCTGAGGACCCATCCACAACTCCGTATCTCATCGTCACTTGATTCCCAGCATGTTGGCATAGATAGGAAAAAATACGCTAATGCTAAAGAAGAACAGAGGCATATTTTTAAAAATTCAAAAAGAAAGAGACAAAGGTTCCGAGAAATGTAAAACTATAACAGAAATGAAAAGTTCAATAGATGATTTGAAAGATAAAGTTGAAGAAAACTTCCAGCATATATACAAAGGAATCAAATGAATAAGACACACAAACAATCAGCAAATTAAGGGCCAAGTTTAGAAGGTTCAGTATCTGAGTGATAAGACTTCCAGAGAGAAAACAATGATGAAAATCAGCAATAAAATAATCCAAGAGAACTGAATGCCCAGGACAATGAATGATAGACCCAACAAAACACAAATTTATGAATTTCAGATTGAGAAAAAGAGATGATCCAAAAATCTTCAGAAATGTAAACATAAAAATCAAGTTACATAAGAGAGTTAGAAATTGATTTTAGATTTCTCAATAGCTGAAAGCTAGAAGGTAATGAAACAATGCCCTCAGGATTCTAAAGGAAAATTGTTTCCAACCTTAAATTCCATATAAAGTCAAATTCTCATCAACAGTTAGAGTAAAATAAACATGTTTTCAGCCATCAAGTTTACAAAAAAATTTACCCCCCATGTACTTTCTCTTAGGAACCACCTTTCCTCTGATACAACAAGGCAGAAAAGCAAGAAAGTAGAAGACAATGTGTCTTAGCCCATGTTATTCAGAAAGAATAGCCAGAGATGAGTAATGTGTAATTATGAGATATGATCCGGAGAATAACAGTGAGTTTCATAGAAAAAAAGTCAAGGAAAGAGGAAGAGGGATTTTTCAGAACACCTGTCCAGAAAATAATGAAGCATTTGTGGTTTCATTCCTGTTTGCTGTTGGTCAAATATCCCCCCAGGCAGCTAACTCTCCTGCCCTTCCAGGGGGCACATGTATGAGCATCTAGTGGGTTCCAGGAGTATCTGCCATTCAGATGACCAAGATGCTCAAGACCAGAAGAAAGTGGCATGCAGTGCAGGCCCAACCTTAGGTCTTACTGGACTGCTTCCTTGTGAAGCTGGTCAGAGTACTCACAGAACTTGTCATCACAGTGTGGCAGGGTTAATTAAGAAAGAGACAGTAAGAATCTGAAGCGAGGCAAGAGGAGTTCGGTAATGTAGGGCTACCCCATATTTCCTGTTTTCCTCTCTTTCAAAGTGCACATTTCTCCACACCCTGCAGTTAGGCAAGGCCATGTGTTTGCTTTGCTCAATAATTTGCTTTGGCTGCTTCTAGACTGAAGCACTTAAATGTGGGTGCACGATGCTCTATGTTCCCTTCCCCTGCCTCCACAATCACAGAAACTTGCAAGTCAATGTGGTGGCACCACACTATGAAAGTCATTATCACAAGGAAGAAAGAATGTAAGAGGGTTTAGCTCTCAAAGAGGTAGGAGACAAGAGAATTGGGGGAAGGTTGTGGAACTATTCTGTATCGTATTTGTGGTGTTGGTTCCATGGCTCTATTACTTGTCAAAACTCAGAACTGTACAACAAAGACACACACACACACACACACACACACACACAAAGAAAGTCACCCTGGATGCTGGTTCAACACAGCTGCTCTAAGGAGTCATCCAGAGCCATTTAGACCCAAGGTGAACTTTGTGCAAGAGATTAACAACTTCTGTCATGTGAATTGACTCATATCTTGGTGCTAGATTGACATGAAATAGAGGAAAAAAGAAAAATCACCATAGAAAAGACATGACTTCAATTCCCAGGATAACAGTTAGAAGATATCTTGGGATGAAAGCTACACAACGAGCAATACGAAGCACCCTGTTCACATGGGAGCAGGTCCAAAGGCTCCCAGACAGGCATAGGGAGAAAAAAAAATGAGAAAATAGCTGATGAGTCTGAATTCTGTATAAGAGTTAGGCAATAGGCAAAGATTTTGAGGTTAAATTCCTGATCAATACACTGAAAACTAACATATATAAAAGCAAGATGACTCGTAACTATAATACAAGTTTTATAATAAAAAAAGAGTTAGAATTTGCTATGGAGCTCTGCTACAAATAGCAATTATTTTGTCATTAATCTCTAAACCCTGCATATTGATCTAAGTAAAACACAACTATATTAGGAAAATGGTAGAATGGGAACCATATGCATGGGAATATGGAATATTCCCATGTTCCAGGAAAGGGAAGGATTTTTTTATTTAATTTTCCAGAGGTGAAGTAAATATAAAATGATGAAATTTTTTTTTAATTTAAATACCAATTCAAGAATGTTATTTGGAAACACGAAAGTAAAAACCAAAATAATCAGCTAACAGAATTGAAAGTAGCTGCCTTTGGAAAGGGAAAAATATGAAGAAGTAGATAGAAGAGTGCTGTTTTAATAACAAGTATTATAGAACTATTTTATTGTAAACTCTTTTCAAATATAACTTAAAATAATAAAATGAATTAAAATCAACACACTTTTTTGCTGATTCTGTTTTTTGAAAACTTCTCGTTTATCTTTCCCCAACCCATTATTGCTGTGTGTTCAGAAAATGACGATTAATGTTTAATGTAAAAATTATATATCTATGTTTGCATCACACAGTCTCAAATGATTCTCATAAAGGTAAGTGATAGGGCAGCTAAACTGTCCCAAGTTCCCAGAGTTAGCAAATATCCAGGCCAAACTGTAAATCCACATTCCTCCTCCCACAACACACTACCTGTAACATGACATGGTTTTGTGGAAAGTGGAAATGGTCAAGGAGCCTAGAAATGAGGATTTGAGTCTGACTCAATACGAGCCAAACCTAAATGTTCTGACCAAACTTGAAGGTTATGTCTTCATAAATAACTAAAGACTCTTAAAGAAAAAATAAGGACCTATTCATTTACAATCAGATAGTCAACAAGCATTAAAAGAATATGGTTGGGTAGGTACCAGGAAAAGTAAACGGAATTTTCCATTTATTGATGGAATATACTGCAGTGCTTCCAAAACTTGTTCTAATCAGTCCCTAAGGTCTTTTAAGTAGTTACAATGCTCAAGGCAGCATACAGGACACTGAGGGTCAAAGATAAATATGCCATATCCATGCATCTACAGTGAACTCATTTTTGACAAAAATGCCAACAACATGCATTGTGGAAAGGCCAGTCTCTTCAATAAATGGTACTAGGTAAATTGCATATCCATTTGCAAAAGAACAAAATTGGACCCCTATCTGTCGTCATATACAAAAATCAAATTAAAATGGATTAAAGACTTAAACTAATACCTCAAACTATGAAACTACTAAAAGAAAACAATGGGGAAACTCTGTAGGACATTGGATTGGGCAAAGATGTCTTGAGTAATACTCCCTAAACACAGGCAACCAAAACAAAAATCGACAAATAGGATCACATCAAGTTAAAAAAAGCTTTTGCACAGCAAAGCACACAATCAACAAAGTGAAGAGACAACTCACAGAATCAGAGAAAATACTTGAAAATATTTACCTGACAAGGGATTAATAACCACAATATATAAGGAGCTTGAAAAACTCAACAGGAGAAAAAAAGTAATAATGTTTAAAAATGAGCAAAAGATGGCCAGGTGCGGTGGCTCACGCCTGTAATCCCAGCACTTTGGGAGGCTGAGGCGGGCGGATCATGAGGTCAGGAGATTGCAACCATCCTGGCTAACACGGTGAAACCTGTCTCTACTAAAAATACAAAAAATCAGCTGGACCTGGTGGTGGGCACCTGGTGGCTACTCGGGTGGCTGAGGCAGGAGAATGGCGTGAACCAGGGAGTCGGAGCTTGCAGTGAGCAGAGATGGCACCACTGCACTCCACCTGGGACACAGAGCAAGACTCCGTCTGAAAAAAAAGAAAAAAAAGGCAAAAGATATACATAGACATTTCTCAAAAGAAGACATACAAATGGCAAACAGGCATATGAAAAGGTGCTCAACATCACTTATCAGAGAAATGCAAATCAAAGCTACAATGAGATATCATCTCACCCTAGTTAAAATGGTTTCCATTCAAAAGACAGGCAATAATGAATGCCTGCTGGTTGGAATGTAAATTAGTACAGCCACTATGCAGAGCAGTTTGGAGGTTTCTCAAAAAACTTAAAATAGAACTACCATATGATCCAGCAATCCCACTGCTATGTATATACCCAAAAGAGAGGAAATCAGTTTATCAAAGAGATACCTGCAGTCTCATGTTTACTGCAGGCCTGTTCACAATAGCTAAGATTTGGAAACAACCTAAGTGTCTATCAACAAACAAATAGATAAAGCAAATGTGGTACATACACACAATGGAGTACTATTCAGCCATAAAAAAGAATGGGATTCTGTTATTTACAATAACACGGATGGAACTGGAGGACATTAACTTAAGTGAAATAAGCAGGCACAAAAAGAAAAACTTCCCACGTTCTCACTTATTTGTGGGAGCTAAAAATTAAAACAATTGAACTCTTGGAAATAGAGAATAGAATGATGGTTGGCAGAGGCTGGGAAGGGTAGTGGTTGCGGGGGGAAATGGGAATGGCTAATGGGTACAAAAACATAGATAGAATGAATAAGATCTAGTATTTCATAGCAAAACAGGGTAATTACAGTCAATGAGAATTTATTACACATTCTAAAATAACTAAAAGAGTATAATGGAAATATTTGTAACACAAAGAAATGATAAATGCTAGAGGTGACGGATACTCATTTACCCTGATGTGATTACTATGCCTTGTATTCCTTTATCAAATATCTCATGTACTCCATAAATATATCCACCTACTATGTACCAGTAAAAATTAAAAATAATTTTTTAAAAAAATAAATAAGCCATACTCTTTGGCTTTATTGCTGCCTCTCTCTTCGCAGTTTTTGCCAGAATTGTGATTTAACAGATGTTGGTATAGCTTTTCATTTACTGCCAAGAATGGCATATGTTTTTACTTACTGTTATGCCCTTGTATCTAGTAAGGTACCTGAAATATACTAGTGGTCAATACACAATTGTTTAATGAATGAACAGGTGATCTAATATATAAATAAGAAGCTAAATGGTCAACAATGAACCTGAGTCAAATGAACAATGTGTAGGATTGGGACAGTGCCAATCAGACTATTTTCCATAATTCCCACCTCCAACTCATTCCTGTGATAGTTTTCTCTGTGTTTCATAAGTCATTTAATCCATATGGCTAAATTGTTAGCTCTGGGGGTAGTGACCATGTGTCAACCTCCAGATTCCTTCAGAATTGTAAGACTGAACAGAGATGAGATATGGAACTCAACGCACACTCCATGAATGAGTACAGCCAATGCAGTGGCCTTGCTGACTCACCCTCATTATTGCACGTGAAAGTTAATCTACAATACATGGTTGAATATGCAAGACTGTTCATCCTCTTTTTTTATAATCCTATCTGACATCACAAAAAACCTTGAAAGAAGTGCTAAAAATAATTTTGCCACACTTATTTAGAAAGGATTAGGCTTGGACAAACTCCCCTAAATTCATTAATTTATTCATTTTTCTCTTTGATTCCTCCGCAAAAACCTATTTATAGGTTATTGAATCAATAAATAACTATATGAATCAATGGGTCAATAAATACCTATTGAGTTGACTTAACAAATAACTGTTGAGTCAATATTTATACAAATCAAATCCTATACTATGAGTTAGCCAGGACTGAAGTCACATGTATCTTCAGGATATTATAGTAAAACACAAGGTTAATGTTGGGCTTAGAAGAACATGTATTAACAATAAAAGAATTCATCAAGAAGGAATCTTCTCCCCTACTTACTTTCTCCCAAAGAAAATTTATTTTATTACATAGCAGCATGTCACCAAGAAATACAAAGATCCCTAGAGAAAGGCCATTATTTACAGTTTCTTCTTTTGCCTTTTAAGATTATCCAACGTTAAACAACTGGTATGGTTTGCATGTAATGTGACATCCATGTGCAACCCGAATAACATCTGTTAAATAACCAGCAGAAAAGGAAAAATAATCCATCCTCTTTCCTTCAAGTACATAAAAGCAGTAAACATTGGAAAAGATTTTGTTTCTGCTGTGATTGGCAGTCACAAAGTTTTCATGAGTCATTAGCACAACCAGATGCTTCCCTAGAAATAGGTAGGGATTGCAGGAGAGAGTTCTCCTATCTGGTGATATTCCAGCTACCATTGTGAGTAGCTACTATAAGTCAAACATCATAATGGATGCTGCAGAGGCAAAAATGTAAAGAAAAAAATGTTCCTTCCTTTCAGGAACTTTCTCTCCAGGAGAAAGTCTTAAGGAGTAAACAATTACCATGGAAAGGGCTCTGTATTAGTCTGTTCTCATGCTGCTAGTAAAGATATACTCGATACTGGGTAATTTATAAAGGAAAGAGGTTTAATTGACACATAGTTAGCTCTGCAGGCCTGCGTAGGCCTCAGCAAATCATTCTGGAAAGAGAAGCAAACATGCCTCACATGGTGACAGGCAAGAGGGTATGTGCGGGGGAACTCCCCTTTATAAAACCATCAGATCTCATAGACGTACTATCACAAGAACAGCATGGGAAAGACCTGTCCCCATGATTCAATTACCTCCCACCAAGTCCCTCCTATGACACATGGAAATTATGGAAGCTACAATTCAAGATGAGACTTGGGTGGGGACACAACCAAACCATATCATGCTCGGAGCTCAAGAGATGTAGGGTTGAGTTCTATAAGGAAGCAAAGTGCCTCCTCTGATCTGAAGTGATCATTGAAATGGGCCTTGAAGGATGAGTAGGACTTTCCAGGAAAAGCAAAGATTGGGATGGAAGGGGCATTTCAAGCAGCAGAAAGCACATGCAAAGGTCCAAAGTTTAACTGAGAACTTTGAGTATTATCACATACATCCGTGAGTAGAGTGGAAATGGAATTGATAATCTTGGGAAGGAAAGTTATATCCAAATTGTGAAGAACATGCTTTTGCCATAAAAAGAAGTTTTGAATGTATGAATTTTTTGCCACAAAAAGAAGTTTTGACTGTATGAAAGGGGGCTGCACAGTGACCCTATAGCAATTGGGTATCTTCTTTAGCGAAAAATCACTGAAGTCCATCCTCAAATAAATAATAATAATTGTTCTAAAAGAAAAGGTATACAGTGTTCCCTTCTAATAACTACTTTAAAAGCCAAAGTGATCCAAATTTTGAGAACACAAATTAAATTATCTGGTTTCACTTCATATGACTACACAGCTGAATTATTAGGAAAAAGAAGACTTGAGAGGGCATAAAATTAACCGTCAGTTATGTATTTGCCATTTGGGAATTTAGTTTCCTGCTGAGCTTCAATTGTAAGATTTACCAAAACCTTCTGTTCTTCTGTGTACTTAAAATACCGTGTGGGTTTCTGAGACCAGCCAACAGGAAAAACATGGGTAGCAACACATTGGTCGCCTTTTTCCCAGAGTTTTCAAAACCAGGCACTTCCTGCATTCAAAGGTAATCCCAAGCCAACCATGACACTGAAAAATAGATCACTTCTAATCAAAATTTAAAACCTAATCTGCAAAAGACATTGTTAAAGGAATGAAAAGACAAACCCCAGACTGGGAAAAAATATTAGCAAAAGACATATCTACTAAAGAAATGTTATCCAAAATACTGTATACAAAGATTTTAAAATACTGTATACTTTTAAAAGAAAAAAAAAATGGGCAAAACATCTGAACAAACATCTCACCAAAAAAGATGTACAGGTGGAAAATAAACATACAAAAAGATGTTCAGCATATATGTCATTAGGGGATTGTAAATTAAAACAATGAGAAACCACTAGCCACTTATTAGAATGCTTGGAGTCCAAAAAAAACCTGACAATACTGGGGAGAATGTGGCGCAGAGGGAGCCCTCAGGTATTGCCTTTGGTGATGCAAAATGGCAAAGCCACCCTGTAAAAAAGCTTGGAAGTTTCTTAGAAAACTAAACACAGTCTTACCATACAATCTAGCTCTTACTATACCAATCAAATTCCCAGGTATTTATCAAGTAGGTTGAAAACTTAACATCCATACAAAAACCTGCACACAAAAGATTACAGCACCTGCCCAAACCTGGAGGTCCTTCAATAAATGAATGGAAAAACAAGCTGTGGTGTGTCCTTACGGTGGAATATTATTCAGCAATAAAAAATAAATAAGCTACTAAGCCATAAAAAAAAAACATAGAGAAACGTTGCTTCAACCATGGGACATTCTGGAAAAAGCAAAACTATGGAGACAGTAAAAAATCAGTGGTCACAAGAGGTTGGTGGGAAGGGAGGGATGAATAGGCAGAGCACAGAAGGTTTTTAGGGTGGAAAATATTCCATAGGATACTGTAATGATGGATACATGATATTATGTTGTAGTTAATAAATGGTGAGTAATAGTGTATTAAGGCTAACTCAGTTGTAACAAATGTATCACATTAAGGTAAAATGTTAATACTAGGGCAAACTGTGTGTTCAGGTGTGTGTGGCAGGGGTGGTTATAGAAGTTCTTTATACTATCTGCTCAATTCTTCTGTGCATCTGAAACTATTCTAAAAAATTAAGTCTATTAATTTTTTAAAAGGCAAGGAGAATGTAAAGAATAATATGATTAAAGAAAAAAATACTTTTAGCTCTAACATGACCCCAAACTGACTCCTTGTAAGGTGGAATTGCGCCTAAAAATAATTTGGACTGGCTCATGCAAGCCCTCCTCAAAAGCCCCCAAACACCACAAATAGCTGATAAGACACAGCAAAGAAGATGCCAGACTGCTGGGCCCATTGCCATATGTAAGCCCTGCTTATGTGCTGGTAACTGTATTATATTAGTTTTCTATGACTGTGTAACAAATTACCACACACTTAGTCACCTAAAGCTACACGCATTTATGATGTCACTGCTTTTGCAGATCAGGTTTCTGAGCATGGCTGAGGTGGGGAAGCTCTTATGGGCTACAATCAAGATGCTGACTGAACTGCAACTCATCTGGAGGCTTGATGGGGGAAGGATCTGTGTCCAGGTTCACTGAGGTTGCTGGCAACATTTATTTTGTTGTAGTGCATGGCTTTTGGCCGGCTGTTGACTGAAGGCCGCACTCACACCACAGAGGTTAGAGGCTCATAGTTCCTCATCATGCGGGCTTCCTCAATATGGCTGCTTACTTGACAAGCCAGCAAGGAGAATCTCTCTGCAACTGCACAGAAGTGGTTGTATAGCACAATGTAAACATAAACACGACATTCCATCATCTTTGCTATATTCTATTTGTTAGAAACAAGTCACAGGTCACATACAAACTCAGGAAAGGGGATTGCACAAAAGTATGGACACCAGGAGGAGGAGACTCACTGGAAGTCACCTTAGGGTCTGTCCACCACATAGGCCAATGGGAGGACTCCACAAACAAGGACAGCAACCCAAAACATAACACACTGGAACCCCATAGCCTGTGGGGAAGCTTCAGATCTATGAGAAATGGTATTCAGCCCATTAGCTGAAGTTTTGCCTGGATGGATGGAATTATCTCTCAGTGTGTACCCTCAGGTTTTTACTGAAACATAATGGTTATGCAAAATATGAGGTATTTGTACTTCTAAGCTGAACCACAGGCTTGTTATTTTTATTCTTTTTATTAAAGGATAATAATAACATCAAACATACAGTGCCTGTAACATCTATGTAGCAGGAACTGTCCTTGGTCTCAATTAAGTATTTTTAAAAACATTTTTATAATCCCCAGTTTACAAAAAGAATTGGAGACACAGCAGTTTCGGGACTGAGAAGTGACAGAGCCAGGATTCAAACCAGGGAGTCTACACTGTCTCTCCCTGATTTTATGGATGACATGAAATAGTGGAATGAGGGATGAAAGAAACTCTTTGAAAGGTCATAACATTTGAAAAGAAAAAAATGTTACCAGAAAATTATGACTCTATCACATCTAAGCCCACTCTCCCCAGTACAACTCTTTACCATCTGGTTCATTCACAGATTTTAATGAATGTTACTAGATCAAATTTCAGAGTGCTATAGTCCATCTGCTGTAACTGGGGCTGTGGAAATACAGCATTAGCATCCTACTAGTCAATAACCAAGACTTATTGTTCAATTCCTGTCTCTAATCTACAAGTCATAATCATTGATGTCTCCATGACAACAAATCTAATTTTAAAAAGAGAGAGATTGGCAATACACAGATCTCTACATAGCAAATTTCCGACATGTGAATTTAGTAAGTATGCGGTATATGTAAGACCTTGTACAAAATGTAGATGCGATGGGGTGGATAAAAATGAATATGAATTATCTTTGCCTCTAAGGAGTTTATAATCCAGTTGGAGGGGCAGGCATATAGCAAATATAATAAAAGACACAATGAATGAAATGAAATCAGTGCTTCTGAAAAAGGAATAAGCAATATGGCAGAGGAGCCCCAGAGGAAGCAGGGATGGGTATTTCAGAATGAAGCTGATATCAAACTTGCTCCCAACCTTTAACTAACCACAGCCTTCCCCATGATCTGAAAATGTCAACTTGTGAAAGTGCTGTTGTCGATTTAGAAAGCAAAAGAGGAAGCACTAGAGAGGCCATGAAACTAGAGGGCCATGAGAATCATGGGCAAAAATAATGAGAGCCGCAGGTGGATGGGCCAGACACAGCACACTCCTTCTACTGGGTTTGTTTGTCAGTCATCTGCAAGGAAAGGTTCTTTGAGAACTGACACCAAGAGACCTCCTTCTTCATGTTGAAACATTGGCAGAAAGGGAGGAGACCAGGATTCTAAGAAAAACCAGTCAGGGTTCCCAAAGTATTCAATCTGATATGGTGAACATATCAGGTACAGACCTCTGGGATAAATTTTATGCTGTGTTCCAATGGTAAGATTAGCATATTTATCTAAATTCAAAGAAATAACCAATTTCCAAATATTCTTTGTCAATCAAAAGTGCAATAGGCTTTTGGAGTAATGTTTAATGTGTATAAAAACACACGTACATCTTGTTAAAATGCAGATTCTGCTTCTATGGAGCCAGGGCTGGAAGATTCTGAATTTCTAACAAGCCCCTGGGAGATGTAAATGCTGATGATTCATGAACCACTTTGAGTAGCAAGAAATTAAAGAAAAACCTTAAATACATACTAATTGCTCAACCTGCTCACCATCATGGTACAGTTGCTGCTCAGCTTACAGACTAAATGACTATAGCCTGGATTAAGGAGAAGAATTATGAGGAAAGGAATGGAAGGGAGTCTGAGTGGATGGAGACAGTGGTTTTAACCAATCACAGTAAAAATATCAGTCACACTTTAAACCCCCAGAGCTTTGGATGGGCCCACGAATGTTGGGCCCTGAAGCCAAAGCTTTAATAGCTTTGCCGTAAATTTGTCTCTGGTTTTAGTTCAACTCTTGATTAGCTAGAGTATATCCATTGATACGTTTTTTCAAAAAAGACAAATTTGTGGTATAATTTGAAATCTCCAGTGTTTAAGTAATTTTAAAAATCATATTGTGCCAAGAAAATATACACAAAATACAGACACACATATATAATGCAATAATTCATATCTTTTTATAGCTATTGTTTTGCCTATCATGGGTAGCACCTGATTTAGAGATGGTTCCTCTCAAGAAAACCATTTATTTGGAACTTAGAACAGCCCAGCTGTTACATACTTAGCTTCTCAGAGTAGCCCACAAGAAGTCTGTTTATTCTACAACATGCATTGTATAACAATGTAGATAAAATATGTGTTAACATATTTTCTTATATCACATAGCATGAGAATTCCTCTGCTCTGGGATGTCCAGGATGTCTCTAAGGATGTGGGACTTCTCAACCTTCTGTGACCTCCCAGGCCTTCATGTTTGTGTGCAGAGGGGATTACAACCCTCCAGCCCCAGCTCAATGGCACCAGCAAACACAGATTAAGGCAAAGAAAAAAAAATCCTCTAATTTCTAGCAGAATAGCAGTCATTGCAACTTGCAAGTGTGATAGTGCTGGTACCTGCATAAGTAAAAGTATTGGAACAGTAGGGCTCTCTCTGGCACACAGAGGTCTTCGAGTAGCATACATTAAAGAGAAGAGTAAGATTTATCTCATCTTATGAGAAAAATGCAGTCTCAGACCTAGCTGTCCCTGATATATAATTACAGAAATCAAGGCCAGGTGCCAGGATGGACGAGGGGAGGGGTCCTGCAATATTATCAAAAGGTTTGAGTTGTTGGGCAGCAGCAAACCCAGAATAAGGCAGGGAAGAAAATCCTCCAATTTCTAGCAGAATAGCAGTCTTCGCAATTTCCAAGTGTGAGACTGGGGAACCTGCTGAGGACGTTAAATCTGGGATAGTGATAGCAAAGGAGAGAAAGGAGACATTGGGACTTCCCTTTTCCTCATCCCTCACCTTTAACCAGTTCTGCCATCCCAGGCACTTCCCTAGGCCTTTGTGGACTGGCAGGGAAAGAAGTGGAGAATAGAAGATGAGAGGAGGTTTATAGGCAGCTCTCCAGTGTGCCAACATTAGAGAAACAGAGAACAGGCAAAGCAGTAGTGATTGATCAAGAAGAAGGGGTATTTGTGGAACTATGTAATTAAGGAGGCTTTCTGCAAGGGCTAGTTCAACTACAGAAATGTAAATGGCAAATGTGTAGAAAGTCACATCAGACAGGTTGGAGTAAGAAGGTTAGGTGGGTTGTCTTCTTCTTTGAGGTTCAGAATCCCCTTGTAAATAGTCTTTTTATCTATGAAGTGTGATACCTTTGAAGGCTTTAACTTCTTTCCTGACTCTGTCCCTTTGTGGTTGAACAAAAACATTACTGCCTTCCACAAACACTATTGCCCAGCTAGAGAGAGTTTTTGACTCTTATCAAACTTGAACCTTGCCAAAAGAAGAAGTGTCCAAACAGCCTCTGTCTACCAAGCAACATATGTTTGTTTTATTAAAAAGCCCCAAGTTGGAAAGCTCAATCCTGACCCAGCTCTAGAATTTATTCCCGCAGCCCATGATCCAACACTTCTGTTTCATTTCCTATGGACCCTCTCCCCACTCACTGTAATTAAGAGAAAACAATTTTTCAACTGTTATTAAAAGATACAGACATTTTATCCAAGAAACTTGGTGTATTTTCCAGAGCATTAGTTGCGTCAATTAAATTTGCATTTATTGCTGCTAGTTATTTCAGTGAAATAACTGGCCAGTGAATCACATAGACTGGGTATCCCTTGCTCTGCTAACATGTTTCCAACACGTCACACACAGGTATGTAACACAAGCACATGTTTTCAAGACCCAAGGCTCTTCAGGATTTATGCAGAAACCATTTTTGATTTAGTGGACTTTCCCCTCACTCCATGTGCCCCCTACAAACACCTTATAAATTGGTTGGTTGATTTGTTGTCCCTAGGTCATTTGTTTCTGCACATAATCAAATGTGATCTGTAGATCCTCAGGCCATACTAGTCTGGGTGTAAAAATGGAGCTGGTATTTACCTAACTCTGTCCTGAACTATTAAAACAGGTTCTCCTGTCTCTTCATCCTTCTAAACTTTTCTGGGAGTCCCTGGGAGATGTATTATATGTCATCCCAAACATAGCCCATTCTACCAGAATCTGGAATCTCCCTTTTTTTTTTTTTTCTCCACCATTTCCAACTTCCTGCACTAATTTATGCCAACTAAGCTTCCAGGCCCATAAAGTACAACGAAGTTGCCTCCCTACTGCAGGAATCTTGAGAAGGACCACAGTGATAAAGCCATGGCTCAGTATCATGCTGCTTGACACCATTTGTACACAACACTGAACTGAATCTGAAAGGCTGGGAGCAGTGCTGCGAGGGTGCATCACTGTTGCTCTTCCTCCTGGTACCAGCACTGTGGTCCTAAGTTCCTCTGGTGCTAAAGTTACTGGAAGCATAGGGACCACAGTAACTGTGGTATTTAACAGGCTGGAAGTGCCCTCTGCCTCTTTCCCCACCTTGGTATCACCACTGTTACACCAAGGGGCTCCAAGCAGCCCTGACCTGGTTCCCCAGGACTGAAATTGCTTCGGCTTTTTCCACTTTTCTTTTTGTAGGGCTCAAGCACAGACTCATGGTAAAGTGCAGCCTGGAAACAATTTGAAAGAGAGATACAATGCTTTAATCATTCATTCATTCATCTGACATTTATTAAGTGCCTACTATTTTCCTGATTCAGCCCCAGGGGCTGCATTTACAGTGGCAAACAGTAAAAACAAGGCTCCGCCTCCAGATCTTGTACTCAAGTAAAAACTCAGACCAACGATGAATGCAGCGTGAAGGGTGTTAGGATCAGGGAGGAACAGGGAAGTGCTAGAGCCCAGCACCGTGGTTAGAAGCTGGGTTCTGGGGCCAGGCTACTGGAGACTGAATTCTGGGCCCAGTGCTCGCTAGGTGTGTGGCCTGGGTAACTTACTGAATCTTACTCTGCCTCATTCACCTCATCTGAAAAATTCTATCGACAGCTGGGCTGTTGGAAGTACTCGATGAAGTAAACATGTGCAAGAATTAATACTGTCATATGTAACTTTGTTAAGTGACTTCAACTAACCTGTGTTTGTTAGAAAAGTGTACAGCTTTAGTTGCTATTACAAATATATTAAAAAGTAATTATCATTACTGTGTAATTTGCAAAATGTGTGTGATTCTGTTCTCCGAAAAACAGAATATTAGAAAACAAGCATGAAAACTCATGACTTTACTTCAAAGCTGATTAGAAATTCTTGAAAATGATTTTCTCCAAAACAAAAAAAACAAACCAAAAAGATACGTTCTTTCCAGAAAAACTTAGTGCAAAGAGAACATGACCTCAGCCCTCTATTATTACTATATGGTAACAAGGGACCTGATAGATTTGGGATGGTGGATGGAGAATAATTAAACCTGATTTTGTTTGTGTTGTATATATCAACGCAACTGTTTGATTGTTTGCTTTTTGGCTGTACAGACATCTGTGGTGCTGCTGTTGAGTAGACCTATGAGGTCCATGATGACAAAGTAATTACAACTTGTATGACTGTAGCAAAACATGTTTTATAGCAGCTCATTTACTCCACAGCAATGATTTATTGCATTTGTATGTGTGCACATATAAGTTTGCCATGACAAGATGATGCGTAGTAATTAATTTGCCAACATAGTTTCATGTAATATAATCCAGCCCTACTAACTGCACCACATTTAATAAAAGAAAGTGTTTAAACAGAACTCTGTTCTGAAAAGACATTTGGTGTGATGGCGAAACATCATCAGGAAACCAAAGCAGAAACGTGAGGCAGGAAGCCGAAATCTAAAACAGTGCTACAAATCCCAAAGAGGCAGCCAGTTGGAGCTGTGAAGACTCCCCATGCCAAACTGCACTGTTCTTGCATTACATAAAACTGAGTGGTCTTCTGGGAACCAGAAGAGAAATAAATGAACACAATTTCTTATTCTTTCAGATGTCCTACAAAAATTCATACATGAAATATTAGGGGTGATCACATGGGCTGGAGACACTTGAAGTTCTGGCAGTGCTTCTGTTTTGAGCCTGGGTTCTCAGAAGCGGCATCATTGCTGGTATTGCTAACTTTACACAGGGAGCTAGCAGTTAGCATCTCAGCTCATGAGTGAAATTGTTTTCATTTAGTTCGTTTGGAAAGAAAAATTGATTTACTATTTTGTCTTTCAGTATAATATTAGTGATATGCTTTCTTGAGTGGAACTTTTCAGAACAGACCATTTTTCTCCCTGCAATTAATTGTCACTGAATTTCCGATTACCTAAATAAGCTCTTTTTTTAAATGACATTTGAAATTGAAAATAATCAAAGCATTGTCTGTATAAGGTATAAACAGTTAAATACCTGATAATCTAAAAAAGTTCTGCCTGAATATTCTGTCATGGTTAAAAGACCTCAACGTACGTATAAACAAACTCTCGTCTTTGCCCACACTGCCCTGCCTGCACAACACAGTCCCTACACACCTCATCTTATCCCCTGAATACATGTTCTCCTTCTTCAATAAATAGCAGTTGACATGGAAGATGACCTCTGTCCCTTCAGCTATTTGGCTCCCATTTCACAATGGTTCTGAAAGGATAGTAACCCACTCAAATTAGGTGGGGAAAAGACCAATGATCTCCACCTCCCCGTGGAGGTGATCTCAATCTCCCACAGAAGTTTCCCATGGTTTATGTCTCTCCTGTACCCAAATTGACTTCTTTTGTCCTCTGTTGATTTGGATTCTTTCATATGTTGATATGAAAATATTTGTTTCCTGTATTCATAGTCTTCAAATCACTCTGCATACTCTTCCAAGTATATCTCTAAGGCTAACCAAGAGATATCTGCCCTTCATTTTATCACACCACTGTCACAAGATTTTAAAATCTGGAAAGGAGCATAGATTAGTACATTTAATTTCTTCCAAAAAGTGTTTTTGTAATAAGAAAATAACAAATGATAGGCAAACATGTTTACTTCAGGAAATTTGAGACTTAAAAGTATTAAGAGAATATTGTTGTAAAGATGTTGGTGTATTTCCTTCCAGTCACTTTTTTCTAAAAGAAATAGATAGATCACTTTGTCAAGTTCTAACATCAATAAAAAATATGCTCATCCAATTAATAGAAATTGCAGCAAATCCACAATTACACTTGGAATAAATTTATATACTTAAATGTTCCATTTTTCTACATAGAAATATATCTCCATGTGTATTTAAATCCCTCAGTAAAGTTCCATAGTTTTGTTAATAAAATCTAAAAGTTCTCATACTCTTTAAAATATTCCTTAAGCATTTTCATGTTTTTTGCCCTTGTGAATGGCATCTGATACTTCCATTTTCTATACTAGTTATGGCTGGCGTATTGGAAAGCCATTATGTTTTATATATTAATTTCTTATTAAACTCTAATTAATCCTAATAGCTCTTCAGTCAAGCCCACATTTCCACAAAATGAGAACAAGGATCTTTTATGAAGCCCAAAAAACAAACAAACGAAAAAAAACAAGATAATGCGAAAAATGGTTGAAGAGCTTCCTTAGCTCTGTGTGTGTTTGTGTAGATAAAATAAAGAAAAAGTTTCAACCATTTTTTGAGCATTTGTTTCCACATGTCTTTGGATGCCCATTTATATTGTAAGTGTGTGTCATAAAGTAGGTTATCAATGTTTATTAAAGAATACCTGTAATCCCAGCACTCTGGGAGGCTGAGGCGGGTAGATCAGGAGTTCGAGACCAGCCTGGCCAACATAATGAAACCATGTCTCTACTAAAAATACAAAAATTAGCCAAGCATGGTGGGACGTGCCTATAGTCCCAGCTACTCAGGAGGCTGAGGCAGGAGAATCGATGGGACCCAGGAGGCAGAGGTTGTGGTGAACCGAGATTATGCCACTGCACTCCAGCTTGGACAACAGAGTGAGACTCTGCAAAAAAAGAAAGAAAGAGAGAAAGAGAGAGAGAGGGAGGGAGGGAGGGAGGAAAGAAGGAAGGAAGGAAGGAAGGAAGGAAGGAAGGGAGAAAGAAAGATTACAAAGCAAAATTTAAATAAATGAGAAACAATATCCATATTGTATGCATAAAAAACTAGTTGTATGTACATACAAAACAGTTATAAGGGGGAATACATGCCACAAAAGGTAAAGAAATGCTCACTTGGTCTAATTGGGACTTAATCTATGAATTCTGTCTGGTACAGTTTACAGAATTTGGATATTAGATGGTAATAGACATTAATTCAGGACTGAAAGGCAAAAGAAATTCTTATTTTGAATCAAGAAGCTCAATTCAAACAAACCTGCCAAACATTTGTGTTCTGGGGCTGGTGGTTACTGGGAAATAGGGCCAAGCACTTTGACATGGCCACAGCAGCAGTGGGGCATGTGATGAGGGTCATTTAGATCAGAGCCCACTCTTCCTCTCTTGTGTGCAAGGCTGGTCACACGGGCCTTTCTAAGATAGCTAAAGCTGACCATTCACTAACATGAAATTATATTTCTGTATGTGAAGGTTACTACTTAAATGCTGCTAGGGTCATTCTAAGGTGTTTTAGCATAATAAATAAGGGTAGAATGAGAAAACATAATGGTTATAAATTAATCAGGAATTAATTAAGCCACTCCAATCTGCTCCTTCTAATGAAGTTTGTTGCCTAATGTAGTAAAGAGGATTCCTAATAAACTCTAGGGTTGTTAATCCTCCTAAATATCTGGGATTGTAAAGGACCATGAGAAAGTAAAATCATCTCAAAATTTAACCCAAGCATTTTGTTTCCTTGGGAAAAATTTCTAATTCCTAGTTCATTAATATTGTTCAACTGTGGATGGTGTGTGTGTGTGTGTGTGTGTCTGTGCATGTGTGTGTGTGTGTGTGTGTGTGTGTGTCTGTAAGGCTCAAGGAAAAGTCCCCATCAAACGGGTTTCAAATTAATTTGTACATTAATCTGTGTAGGAAGCTTTCTTTATTTGATAAAGAAGGGGGGAAAAAGACATCACATTGACTTAAAAGTTTCTACTAATTTCTAACTATGCCTGAGGAGTTTCCACAATATTTTCCAATCAGCAAAGGATTTGTGACTCTTTTCAGTGTGCCTGAGATGGCACAGACAAATTACTTAAGAGCCCAAGGAGATTATCTCTAATTGGCATAAAAAGGATATGGCATTAAAAACAAAACTCTCTGAAACTCTGACAGTGTTTGGTGCCTAAAGGGTAAGGCAGTTCCCTCTGTGGTAACACTGTAGAAATAAACACATCAGCCTACGATAGATGGCGGCCTTTTGAGGTCTTATTTAGACTTGGAAAGCTTTATTTCTCTTGCATTATGCTTCACAAGGCTGAGTTGTACTTGCTAAATGAGGGCAAATGACAGACTCACCTTGGCAGCCCGTCTTCATGATGTTTACCTTTGTTATATACAATGAATTATCATTGTTTATAAAATACAAATACCAATGCTCACAGAAAGTCAATATGAAATACATGCTGTTTGGATTATGCAGAGATCAGAAATTGAGAGCATTTGGGAAAGCAACGGAAGGGATAGGAAGATGAGGTTCATACTAGCAGATAGGTTAAGAATAAGTAGCAGTGAGTTTTACCAGGGATGTAGTCAATGATTACAATTGCAAGTCACTGAGTTAGGTGATGGGCTGGTATCAAAGTCTCTGCTCTCAATGGGCTTAACACTTCATGGGAAAAATAAGACAGACTTATCATAAAATTAAATAATAATAGCATGCAATAGGCAATATAAAAAAAAAACCCTAGGACAAAGATCAACAAAGTTGATCTCTGATAAGTGAGCCATTAAAGACCATCCAATCCAAACTAATTCTTTTGTAGTTGAGGAAAATGAGATGAAGACAGATTAAGCAACTCATCTGTGATCACCTAGATGGTTAGTTATTCTGGCTCAGGATCAGATTGTATGTTCTTACCACCAAAAAGGAGAGATATGACTACATAACACAGTAGGCTCAAAAAGTATTACTGAGTATGTAATTTTTTTAAAAAAAGAAGGGACACAAAGAAAAGAAACAAACAAACAATGACAACAAAAACCAGGCCTTAAAAAAGGGTGCTATGGTCTAAATGTTTGTGTTCCCCTCCCAAAATTCTTATGTTGAAAACTTAGTCACCAGTGTGATGGTATTGGGGGGCCTTTGGGAGGTGATTAGGTAATCCTCATGACTGGGATTAGTATCCTTGCAAAAGATGCCACAGAGACATCTGCCTTGTTTCTTTCCACCATGTGAGGTTATCAGGAGAAAACAGCCCTCACCAGACACTGAATCTGCTAGCTGATAGCACCTTGCTCTTGGACTTCCCAGCCTCCAGAACTGTGAGCTATACATGTCTGTTGTTTATAAGCCACCCAGTTTATGGCATTTTGAGCCATCCAAATAGACTATGATAGAGGGATACAATTTCAAACAGTAGAAAGAATGAGAGTGGGCTGAGGAAAGAACATAGGGTATGGACCTGCATGGGCAGGCAGCACCACGCCCAAGCTGAAGAGACCTCACATAAGGGCAGTGGGAGTCAAAGGCAAAAGCAAACATTTTCCCTCTTGCATCTTCCAGAACAAACTTTGGTATCTAGATTTTCTTCTAGGGTTAAGACCAGCCCAGTCCAATCAGAACAATCCCCTCGCTATCTGCCAAACACCCACATTTCTTCAAAATCCTTCCCTTTCTTGATGCTGCTCCTAGGACACACCCTATCTGATTTTCAAGGTCAGATGGCAAAGACACTTCATTTAGAATCTCCCTGATCTTTGGGCCCATGGAAAGCACTGTTTCCTGAACTACATTGTAGGCAGCCTGAAATATTCATGTAATCATGTAGATTTTAAGCTTTGGATATAGAGATGTTACATCTTACACTTACTGTGTGTCACACTGTGTGCTTACAATACTAGTCATGATGTGGGCTCTTAATGATTCTTACTGACCAAATCATAAAAAGAAACCTTTCTTCCAATGGCCTGTGCATCTGTCATTGAATCCTCATCACCCATCTTCAGATCTTGACCTGAGCTAAAAAATGATGATGATGATGATGATGATGATGATGACATTTACAACAATAGCAGTTATATTTTTAAGTACTTTTGGTAAGCCAGACACTTTTCAAAGCACTACTGTGTATTATTCTATTTAATCTTTGGCACAGTTATATAAGATACACATTGTTATCATCACCATTTTTAGTAGAAGAAAATTAAACAACGAATGTTGATCATAAGAAGCCAAAAAATTTTCTGTGCAGAAAGTTTCCTTTCATGGCTATAGCATATAGGCTGATTTGTATTTTAAATAAATTCAGATTTCCATAAGATCATTAGGGGAAGATATTCCCTTATCTGTTCAAACACTAATTCCATACTTACATTGTTTCTGTCCATGTGAAAGCAGGCATGATATGTAAAAATGTTAACCTGTATGGCAGGGATATCAGCGTTTAACAATAAATACTTGACAGTTCTATATGGAGGGAGGTTCTGTTGGGTTATAACTCTGCATCCTCCCTTACCCACCCACACCTGCCCCCAAATAGGAGGAGTGAGATATCTGATTGGAGGGTTTAGAAGAAGAATCTGAGCAGGTGTAGCTTGGTGTCTGCAAGCTGTGCACATTTTGCTTGCTTCCTTCAGGAACCTACATTTAATAAAGTGAGTCCTGCTGATGAACTAGCAAGGAGCCCACAGTTGGAGTGCTGTTTGAAACTGGGTGGGTAAACCTGTGTTATCTCAACATTTAGTATTAAGGAGCACTCTGTTGCCACATACCTGAACCAAGACAAAGATCTCCATAGCTCTACCACAAATGGAACTGACATTTTGGTTGCTATGTCCCTGACTGTATCTAGCTCTAATGGTTCTGAAATTGATCATGGAAACGAGGTAGTATTTATCAGGCTTTCTAAAAACTGCACCATCAACCAAAAGGTTTTTTTTTACATTGAAAAA
Organism: Homo sapiens; assembly: GCF_000001405.40. Classification (NCBI taxonomy): domain Eukaryota; kingdom Metazoa; phylum Chordata; class Mammalia; order Primates; family Hominidae; genus Homo; species Homo sapiens. Next base: position 220,421,946 of record NC_000002.12, on the reverse strand, counting down.
ATTTGCAATAAGAATGCTTAAATATAAAGCTTGCATTCAGTATTTAACATATAATTTCCTAACCAATATTTTATTTAATTTTTTCATCTCAGAAATAAGGCTATCATTGACCGTACCAAATCAAATGCTTTCATAAATATTACAGAGTTGGGAAATAGTTTAGACTCTTTGGTAATGTCTTTCATCACTGTTTGTATTACTTCTTTTTATTCCAATATGATGCATATACTGTACTGTTAACTAGATTATACAAAGCAAATACCTCACAGCAACATGAAATGACAATACCTAGCACCAAAAAAAAAAAAAAGAGAGAGAGACACAGAGAGAGAGAGAGAGAGGCCTCCTAAGGAGAAAATAATGCCATTCTTAAATGTTTTCATATTAAGAAGTCACACTAGAATCTACTATATTATAGATTTTGATATGATATGTCAACCATACTGAAATCTCCACATTTTAGGAAAACTTTTTACTTTTTTTTCCCCCATAAAAAGGATAATCCCTATTTATTTCATTTAAAGGAGACATTAGCAAAATTTAACAATGTTAAATTTGGGGATTCTTTTAACGTTTTTAAGCCCCAGACTGGCAAGAACAAAGAATCACTTTGCTAACTAATGTATTAAATACATTGTCTATTTATATAGTAATTGTTTGATGGAAAATTCATCTCTTTTGTTCCTTCTTATCTTTTCTTCTCTCTTGTCCATGCAGTGTATTTATGAATTATGCATGTGAACATAATTAAAAGTAACAATTGGTGAATTGTACTCCATGGACATTGTTTCATGTTTCAAGTCTTATTTAGGCTAAACCAAATTTATGCAAAGAGAAGATCTTATAATCAAATTCATAACCATCCTTCCTGGGAAGGTTTCCTTTATGTAAAATGCATTGCTTGCTAGAGGCTGTTTTTATGACCAAAAGCTTTGCATAGTATCTTCAAAAAAAAAAAATAGTAGACAATTTAACAGCAACTCCCTGCTCCTTTCTACAATGAAGGTTTCCTATAACTATTATCTGTCTTCCTTTACCCTCTACAGCATGGTTCATTTGCAGGCCATGTAGAGCTGCTAAGAACCAGCTTCTGCAGCAGTTCTGTTATTTGCAAACTAGGAACAGGTACAATATAGCAAATGGTGGAATGAGATTAATTCCTAAAACTCTCGTCTTTGATTCCCCTCAGGAGCTCTCATGGTAATTTTTCATCTTTTGTTTGCTTGTTTATTTTTATGTTTTAAGTACAAGAATCCTGGAAAAGGAAAAAGAGAGCTGAGATACTTAGAAAGATATCACTCTATCCACAGGCATACTTACTCCATAGGGGAAGAAAAGATTACCATAAATATTACCCCAGCTCCAAGCTTCTTCCTCCCCAATTCACATTTTTCAAAGTATTCTTTCTTTAGGAAAATACATTTTATTAAATGGTTTGTTTTAAAAAACATATGATCCAAACTCTCAGCTTAGTGTCACGTGCACATTTACTGAAAATCATCTGCACTCCCTCATCTATGAAATCCTGGAATATTCTGTTCAGAACCCGTCCCTGTATTTTACTAGCACATACCTGGATAGCCTTTCTCTTACTTAACCTAGGTCATCCTTAGCAATTTCTATCTCTGGACTTCTTATTTTCCTGAAACAACAAGCTCTTCTGTAAAGATAAAACATAATGAATTTGCAGTAAGGAATCGACTATTTTTCACTGCCAACAAACCATCCTTTTTGACTGTGAGTCCATTTCTCGGCAATGTGACAATATCATAGGATGAGTAGACCTGAAAAAACTTCAGATTTCCTCTCAGACTTGGGAAAGAACGTGATGTGTGATCACTTTAGCTTGGTCTGCTTTTGTAAAATGCAGTTTGATATTCTCTCCTCTTCCTCCCTCTGCTCTCCCTTCCCCATGATTTGAAAAATGCCATGTTTAAAAGCTTTGGCTGGACCCTGATGTCATCCACTTGATCCGTCATCATCTTCTCAGCTCATCTTTCTCTCTATTAAAAATAAGATATTTATATTTCTAGATGAAATAGGAGAAACCTGGGCCTGATAAATGACTTCCTGTTGTCATGACTGCCGGGTAGTGTATTATTGGAGGGAGTTCAGCCATGATCTAGTGTTATTGCCTTCTGTTCTGCTGACTGGAAATGATCACTCATATCCACATAGTGTAAAGTTTATTTTTAAGAATCAGACCGTTAATTAAAGAGAAGAAGAATTAATACAGGAAGCATGCCATGGAAAGGTGGTGACGGATGTCACAAGCTGCAGATGTTAAAGCCTTGTTGAGGAGACACTGGATTCTCTTAAACTATCCCCTATCTCTGAATAGTGGAGTGAAGGCAATGGTTATAGAGCTTGAAGGAAAGAAAGAGTTGTTTGAAATAAGCACTCGCCCCTATTTACTACACTAACGGGGGAAGGCAGCCTCTTCACAGGCCAAAGTCATTCCCACAAGAGCCTGGAGTGCGGCCATATCATAGCCCTTTGAAGTGCCCCAGAAATTCAGGAGATGACCTTACGAGATACCCAGACATTGCATTAAATATCCTCAATCACATAGCAAGGAAAGTGTTGTTTTTATTTTTCTATATCTAAGCAAGTCTTGCGTGGGTCTGAGTATGTCTTTAACATCAGCCATCATGGGCTGAACCTTCTGGTTTAACAAAAGGTGAGAAGACTCTGAACCCTCTGAGTAGAATTTAACTTAAGAGCTCACATTTTATTTTTCTTTGCTATTACCTTCCGTTTACTGTAAGCAAAACTGGTATTTTTCACTTATGTAATAAAGTCTCTTTCGAAAATGAACTAGCTTAATGTTTTTGTTTTTTGAAAAAAGCAAGTCCATTTAAACAAAATATTATGTGCATAGTGGTAGACTTGACAATCAGATATGACAAAATAATTGAAGGAGAAAAGCCATAGGATGAATACGTGAAAAAAATTGTTAAGGTTTTGCACAAATGACTGAAGTTTGGGAAATGCTTGTTTTGGATAATACCTAAATACTGATAAGGATTCGTATAAAAAAAAAACTTTAAAAACACATAGAGAGGACTAAGGTAAGTCCCTAATGTGGTGATAAAAACATTAGAAAAACTATGGAGATACTGAAATAAAATCAGTATTAAACTCACAGGAACGATAGCCTGAGGTTTCAAAAGCTATTTTTAGGGTGTCTCGTAACACCTGTTATTAATTAAACACATCAATTTCCTTTATCCTAAAAAGCAAACAAAAAAGGAATTCAGCAAAGTCAAGTGACAAACGGGTTAACAATATTTGACTCCTTGCCTCTCACGCATTCTATTCGAAGTGGCTTATGCTCAACCTTACAAAAAATAAGTGTATTTTCACTGAAAAGTCAGAAGTCAGAGATTTATTTTAAGCTCATCGGACACTTGGCAGAGGGATGTATAAGAATGTCTGATAGGGAAAACTATGCCTAATAGAGTTCTCTTCTTTTTCTTTGAAAGCCCTGATTTTGACGGTAGAATTTCCTCCTTCCTTATGAAGACATCACCCTTGCTAGGTTGTAGTAAGACCTCAGAGGTCATGTTCACAGCGGTATCTCCAGGGACTAATCCAGTGTTTTGTTCATAGCCAACACTCATTAAGTATTGAATGAGTAATAAATGAATGAATTAACAAATGAATTTAAGGTCTTCACACAAAATCCAATCCCGTGAGACATAATAGAGAAGAGAAAACATTAACCAAACTACTGAAGTCAACATTTTGCTTCCCCTACTGTTAACTTTAAAAGTGAAGGTCATAATTGATGCAGTTCAGTCATCCACTTTACACTCAGTGCACAAGTTTTGTTCATCTTTCTGTGAAGCTGAAAAGATTATAATGAAATTGCCTAAAGAAAGAAGGGAGGGACAATTGTAAATAGTTTTCTCTGACAACTGGTATCAGCATTTTCTCATAGCCTTGCATTTATTCAGACTAAAATGACAAATGTATTACAATGAATAGATGAGATCTTTCTTTCTGGATATAGCATAAAAATAAAACAATACTGTACTGATTTTTCTCGGCGCATTGTCCTCCCCGCACAATTGCGGAACGTTGGCAGAGCTGTTAACACCATTGATAGGAAACAAACAAAACTTGGGACAGATTCTGCAGCCTGGAGCTTGTGAATGTCTAGGATTTACAGCTCAGCTTGATGCCACTGTGGGACTCCTCTGGCTTCAATATCCTGCCAGCTAGCAGGGGGGCTTTTTTCTCTTCATGAAAGTGCACCTTTTCCTCAAGGTCACGCATTTACAGTTTCTTAAAGAGATTCCTACTGATCATGGGACTCCTCTCAGTTTGAGGAGCCTCCTGGGTGCTTTGAAGCCCAGTTTCTTGAAAGCTGCCCCGCAGTCCTCCTGGAATGGAGCTAGTAGATATAGAGGCAGACTGTTTGGAATTGAAAGGACCCCCAGCATTCCACCATGAAGTTTCTGCTGTTGTCCTCACAGAGCCCAACAGTCGGCCCGCTTCACATCTGTGCTGAAAAGTTTTTACCAGCTTTTGGGAAAATATCAACCCTAGTGAAAGTTTGATGCCTGCTTAAATATATCTTAAGCAGGCATGAGAGCAATTAAATCAAGTCTGTATCATAGAGTACTCCGGATAAATAGCAAGCTCCAAATATTCCCTGGCCTGTGCCCTACATTTGAGTTTTTAATATAAGCACAGTAACTCTCCAATTCTGGAAGTGATCGGCAAGGTTCAAAGTCATCCCCCACTGCTCCACAAACCACGGGCAGGAGGGAGCTTCATTTCCTGATCAATCATCCAGACCAACCCTGGAGGGCCTTCCCAGCCAAATGAGCCAAGGCCAAGTTCTTTCAACACTCTGAGGTGGCAATCAGTCGCCCTACACAAGAGGAAGATGCTCTGTATATGATTTGAGGACAGGCTTCAGTTACCCTTCTCTTATTTTTCTTTAGTTTCTTGCTTTATCTTCTTTGGCCTGTATTGCAAAGAGACCGCAACCTTTAAGATCCATGATGCCTTCTAAAAGGAGACAGAGTGGGAGGACTCTGACAGGTGTGGCTCAAAGGTGAAGTGGCTGAAATACTGATGGAAAACAACTGGTGATAAAGCAAGGCTCCCAATTACCCTAGAGCCATGAGATGAGCATAGGCATTAGCAGCTAATATACTTGGATTTCATTCCAAGCCTTTATATTTTAGTTAAGTGTAATCTGACTGAACTTCTGTTTTCTCATTTGCACGTGAGAGGAAGAGATGTTTCAGGAGGAAGGGACGTGATGTACATAGCGTACCTTGTATATAAAATGCCAACTACCTTCAAGGGGCTTTTTCAGTTTTTATGTGTAAGAAAGGGTATTTTCTTGAAGAGGTAAAGTTTGTTCTTCTTGTCTGTTGTCTATTTGTCTGTTTTCAAAATGTACTCTGCTTGATTCTGCCTTGAGCATATTTAATTTGATTAATCCCACTAGAATTAAATTTCATGAGAGCAGTGTCCGTATTTTCCTAACTGCTGTATTACCAGCTATTAGAACATTACAGAACACAGATACTATTCTTTCTTCTACAATCAGTTTTTCAATTATGCCTTCCCAGAATGGCTCAGGCTCACATTTGAGACCACTTATCTTTTTAAGGTTGTGTCCACTATCCCTAATTAGAGTGGGGTATCTTAACAGCACGGACACTCTGTGTGTCCTGAGATACCTCCTAACTCAGCACACCAAACATAGCAAGTGCATGTTAATATTTCTTGTGAGAATCTACTGTGAATTTGGTACTGTGGATTTCATACAAGTCTTATTTCTGCCTGGGCACTTGGTTTTACTTATCTTCCATCAATCATAGTGTATATGTTTTCATTTTAATCTATCTACTTATTGGATACCATACTTTATGACATTGCCAATTCAGTCAATAAATACCTCCCCATGAAACTAAAGCTGACTTTTTAATTGGGATTCCTTTTAAAAGGCAAATAATATGCTACTTGTTATCCTCCATTTAATCTTTAGAATAACTAGCAGCATTTTTATTTTTTGCAACATGTGTCGATCACCCTTAATGCTCTGAAGAAACAATGATGCTTCTGAAAACTCAACTCTCATTCTTCTGACTCCATCAGGATGACTCTTACTAATCAGAATGGCTGTTTAAAGTCTGTATTCTTTCATAATTTATCTTTCTCCTAATGTTGCAGAGTAAAGCTGTGATGATCAGTCACTTAGAGATGAATCCACTTTTTCCCTCCTTGACTGAATATGAGGAAATAGAAATGAGCATGCATCAAATATTGACTAGAGATAAGAACTGTGTTCTGTGGAAAAATACTTTTTCAATGTTATGCTCATGGCATATTTAGGACATCTATTTCATCATTATTTGGCTGCACAAATCTCTTTCTGAAACATGCTCAGAATATCAAGACATCATTATATGTGTCTATCACATAAGTATATCTGGATAATCTATTCATGCCCATTTTCTCATGCCTTTTGAAACAGCCTCTTGTGTGTAATAGATAGCATTTCTTATACCCCTCTTCCCACAGAGATGAATATAAAGCCAAAAGAACCTTGTCAGAATCCCATTAGCTTTTTCATTCTTACCCTAATCCCTCTCAACTCTAAATCAAGGGGAAATACTGGTATTCCTCAAGGACTTTTAGGGGACACGCAGTGAGGATATTGCCTTGAATGGAAAACTCTTAGATGAAGCAAAGGGGTCACTGTCCATATCTATCTTATGAAGGGTTCTCTTTCCTCTCCCATGGATGCAATAAAAAAAAATTCTGCTGGATTGCATTTCACTATAGAACATGTTTGAGTTACAAAAGCCAATTGGGACCAGGACAAGGTGACAAGAGAAAAGAACATAGTAATGTTAAATTTTTAAAGTTAGTAGCAGGCAACTAGCAAACTCTCTTTAAGAGTTAAAGCATCAGGGTTCATAATGGTTATATTCAAACAAAAGTCTGTAGAGAACTTCTGCTTCTAGAGAAAATACCAAATTTTCATCCCTCCCACCCCCTCCAAAACAACCAAGACAAAATATATGTCTTGAAACAACAGGTTTAAAGACATTGAGTATTAGGCAACAAAGGATAGATAGCCTTGAGAAACAGGGAACAAATAAGATAAGCCCTATGATAGTCCCAGATTACAGCCTTGAGAAGGTTTCTAGGCTGTGACATGAGAAAGAAAACCCAGGAGAAGCCCAGCAAATTCTCTGAGTTAAAGAAACAGCTGAGCCTGGGGAGACCAAGATGGTGAGAGTTGACATGCAGAGTACTAGAGAGGAGAGAGTTGCACAGAGAAGGAAATCTGGAGAGCAGCAGAGAATTCCCCTTGAGTATTCAGAATAGTGCTGATCAGTGCATGGTTATGAGGATACTACCCAAAGCTGGGGGTGGGGGGACCCAAACCCTTGAAAAGATAAAGATTACAGTCCTTAGTGCTTATAAAGGGATAGAAACAGAGCCTGGTCCCAACAGCCAGAATAGAAATCTCAGAATTCACAGAGCATTGGGTAGATCACCCAGAAATGTCTTGCCTCTGTAGTAGAGAATAATTAGCCTTAAACTAAGTAATACTCAGGTCCCATCTAACAAATTTAGAAAGCAAGATTTGAAAGAATCAAACTGTTTCCAAGTAACATAACCATGTTCCATAACAAGACTAAAAAATATTTATAGAAATACAAAAATAGCCAGCATCCATGATGTAACATTTACGATACCTACTATCCAATAAAAGACAATCGGCATGCAAAGAAGAAGAAAAATAAAACCCATGATGAGAAGAGAAATCAATCATCCAAAATAAACCCCAAATGGACATGGATTTTAGAATCAGCATTAAAACAGCTATTTTAATGCTTTCTTACATGTTCCAGAAAAGTAAGTAGGAAAAGAAAAATATTTTTTAAAGACCCCAATTGAATTTCTCGTGGTGAAAACTACAATATTTGAAATGAAAAAAATATACTGGATAGAATTAATGACAGATTAAACCTTGCAGAAGAAAAAAACATGGCAAAAGAAAGAAATCCAAAATTAAAGAGAAAAACAATTAAAAAAATAAATAATCAGTAAACTGTGGGACAAATTCAAGCCCTCTTATATATGTTCAATTGGATTCACTGAAGGAGAAGAGAAAGACATGGGACAGAAAACAATTTGACTCAGTAATGGCCCAAATTTTTCTAAATACAGTGATACTATAAACTCAAGGATCTTGGGTTTAGTATAGTATCTAAGAAGTTCAATGAGTGAAGGAGAAGGAGGAGCAGAAGGAGGAGGAGAAAATGAGGGAAGGAAAGAAGAAAGGAGGGGAAGGAAGGAAGGAAGGAAAAGGAGAAGGGAGGGAAAGGAGGAGGGAAGAGGAGGAGGTGAGGACTACAGCAAGACACATTTTTAAATTACTCAAAATAAGTGACAAAAAATGTTTAAAGTAGCTAGAGAAGAAAGATACTTATGGAGGAACAAAGATAAGGATGACAGTAGATTTCTCATCAAACATAATGTAAGCGGGAAAGTGGAGCAACATCTTTAAAGTCCTGTAAAAAGTGTCAACGTGGAATTCTATATCTGGTAATAGCATCTTTCAAAAATGAAAGTGAAATAAAAACATATTTAGATATACAAAAGCTGAAAGAGCTCATCTATAGCAGACCCTCAATATAAGAAATATTAAAGGAAGTCCTCCAGGCAGAAGGAAAATAATACCAGATAGAAACATGGGTCTACACAAAGAAAGAGCGGTAGGTATGGTAACTACGTGGGTAAATACATAAGAGATGTTTTTCTTATAATTTAAATCTCTTTAGAAGATAGTTGACAATTTTTCCCAAAATTACAAAAATATAGTATAACATTCACTCTTTCCTTTGTTGGAGAGGTTCTCCTGGCTCTGTGCTGAGCCCAGACAGGCTGGTGCCCAGCTTTGCTCCTCTCTGCTCTCTTCCCTGTCTGGGCTCAGCACAGAGCCAGGAGAACCTCTCCAACCAGGAAAGGGTGAGTGAGTGAGAGCCCCCAGAGAGATTCACACTCTCCACAGAGACCTGCACAAGACTGGCAGTGGGGGAATCCCGCTGGCCTCCCCACACTGTGCTTCAGACTGAGGCAAAGAGCCACCAGGACATTTTGCGGAGGCAACTGTCTAGTCCAAGGGGACCTCTACAATCCTTGTGCCCTGTAGCAGATAAACACCAGCACCACAGCCCCAATAGAGGACACAGTTGCAGTGCCTGGGAGCAGTAAGATTATCCCACCCTAATTTTTCTAGATGGGGCTCAGCTCCAGCTTCCAACCCAGAGTCCTACTTTGGCCTGAACCAGCTGGCCACTCCACTCACCCTCACCACTAGTAGCCAGGTGGGCAACACTTGCTAGAGCTTCCAGCCCAGCAGTCTCACTTTTATGTGAACTCAGCTGGGGGGTGCAGCCTTCTGATGTCCCAGGAAATATCCAAAGGTCAGAGTATATGACCCCAACCACTCTCACCACTGGTAACCAGGCAGGCAATGTTTGCTGGAGCTTCTGGCCCAGCAGCCCCACTTCTGTGTGAACCTAGCTTGAGAACACAGCTTTCTGTTGTTACCCCAGGAAACACCCAGGCAGCAGAGCATGTGACCCCACCCACTGAAGCCACCAGAAGCAAAGTTGGCAGCTCCTGCTGGAGTTGCCAGGTTAGCGGTCCTGCTTATGCCTGAATTTGCCAAAAGGCACAACCTCCTGTTGTCCCAAGAAGCATCCAGACAGCAAAGCAGGTTTCCACATCCATGCCCACCACTGGTAGCCAGGCAAGTCATACCTGCTACAGCTTCTGGCTCAGTGGTTCAACTTCTGCCTGAATTTGCTGAGAGGCACAGCCTCCTGCTGCCCTGGAAACATCTTGACAGCAGGGCAGGCAACTCCACCAACCCCTGCCTCCTATAGCCATTGAGGCCACACTCAGAGAGCTTCCAACCCAGGGGTCCTGCTTCTACCTAAACTCTGCAGACAGGCATAACCCTGTGTTTTCCCAGGAAGCACATGGACAGCAGATTAGGTCTGGCCTGGAAAGGATATGGCTTGTCTGCCAACCACAACCTCTGTCTGAGGGAGCCCCATGGACCAGAACACCCAACAACAACAAAAGCAGGTATGTAGATAGTAATCAGAGGGGGGATTCTCCAAGACCTAGGAGTGAACTAGAATTAAAGCTAGTCAACCAAACCCACCATATAGCATAATTGAACCCCCAAGGACAACAAAAAAGAAAAAAGCAAAAAAAAAAATTGAATGAACAGCAACGTCAAAGACTGAAGAAACATCAGCTCACAAAAATGAGAAAGACTAGCACAAGAACTCTTGCAACTCAAAAAGCTGGAGTGTCTTCTTTCCTCCAAACAACTACACTAGTTCTTACCTGGGCTGAAATGACAGAAATGGAATTCAGAATATGGACAGGAATGGAGATCATCAAGATTCAGGAGAACATCAAAACCCAATCCCAGGAAGCTAAGAATCACAATAAAACAATACAGGAGCTTATGGACAAAATAATCATTAGAAAAAAGAATCAACATAATCTGATAGACCTGAAAAACACTACAAGAATTGCATAATACAATTGCAAATTTTCACAGCAGAATAGATAAAACTGAGGAAAGAATCTCAGAGTTTAAAACTGGCTCTCTGAAATAACTCAGTCAGACAAAATAGAGAAAAAAAGCATAAAAAAGAATGAACAAATCCTCTGAGAAATATGGGATTATGTAAGGAGACAAAATCTATGACCCAATAGCATCCCTGAAAGAGACAAGGAGGAAGCAAGATCTTGGAAAACATATTTTAAGACACAGCTCATTAAAACATCCACAACCTCACTAAACAGGTCATCATTCAAATCCAGAAAATGCAGAGAACCCCTGCAATATATTACACAAGAAAACCATCCCCCAGACACATTATCATTAAATTCTCCAAGGTCAAAATGAAAGAAAAATATTTAAGGCAGTTAGAGAGAAGGGGCACGTCACCTACAAAGGGAATCCCAACAGGCTAACAGCTGACCTTTCAGCAGAAACCTTACAGGCCAGAAGAGAATGGGGGCCTATATTAAGCATTCTTAAAGAAAAACATTTCCAAGCAAGAATTTCATAGCCAGCCAAATTAATTCAAAAAGGAAGGAGAAATAAGATTCTTTTCAGATAAGAAAATGCTGAGGAAATTCATGTCACCAAACCTGCCTTAGGTCCTGAAAGGAGCACTAAATATGGAAAGAACACTACCAGCCGCTACAAAAACACACTTAAATATGTAGTCCAGTGACACTATAATGCAACCACACAAACAAGTCTGCATAATAATCAGCTAATAACATGAGGACAGGATTAAATATTCACTTTCCAATACTAACCTTGAATGTAAATGGGCTAAATGTCCAAATTAAAAGACACAAAGTGGCAAGCTGGATAAAGAAGCAAGGCCCAATAGTATGCTGTCTTCAAGAGACCAATCTCACATGCAATGACTCCATAGGTTCAAAATAAAGGGATGGAGAAAAATCTACCAAGGAATGGAAAACAGGAAAAAGTAGTGGTTGCAATTCTAATGTCACACCACATGGATTTTAAACCAACAAAGATCAAAAAACATTAAAATAAAGGGCATTATATAATGGTAAAGTGTTTTTAATTCAATGAGATCTGACTATCCTAAATATACACACACTCAAGTCAGGACCACCCAGATTCATAAAGCAAGTTATTAGAGAAATTCAAAGAGACTTTGATTCCCATACAATAATAGTGGGAGATTTCAACACCCCACTGACAGTATTAGATAGGTCACTGAGATAGAAAGTTAACAAAGATATTTAGGACAAGAACTCAACACTGGACCAAATGGATCTTACAGACATCTACAGAATTCTCCGTCCAAAAATAATAGAATATACATTCTTATCATCACCACATGGCACATACTCCAAAATCAACCACAAAATTGGACATAAAACAATACCCAGCAATTTTTTTAAATGAAATTATACCAATCACTCTTTCAGACCACAGCACAATAAAAATGGAAATGAATATTAAGAAAATGACTGAGTCAAACAATTATATGGAAATTAAACAACCTGCTCCTAAGTGACTTTAGAGTAAACAACGAAATTAAGGCAGAGATTCAGAAATTCTTTGAAACTAATGAGAAGAAAGATACAGCATACCAGTATCTCTGGGACACAGCTAAGGCAGTGTTAAGAGGGAAGTTTATAGCACTAAAATCCCGTGTCAAAAACTTAGAAAGATCTCAAGTTAACAACCTAAGATCACAATGAGAAGAACTAGAGAAGCAAGAGCAAACCAACCCCAAAGCTAGCAGAAGACAAGAAATAACCAAATCAGAGCTGAACTGAAGGAAGTTGAGACGTGAGAAACCATCCAAAAGACAAACAAATAGAGGAGTTAGTTCTTTGAAAAAAATAATAGATAGACTGCTAACTAGACTAATAAAGAAAAAAGAGAAGATCCAAAGAAACACAATTAGAAATAACAAAGGCAATGTTAGCACTGACCCCACAGGAAAAAAAAAATCATCAGGAACTATTAAGAACACCTCTAGGCATACAAACCAGAAAATTTAGAAGAAATGAATAAATTCCTGAAAACATACAATCTCCCAAGACTGAACCAGGAAGAAACTGAATCACTGAACAGACCAATAATGAGTTATGAAACTGAATCAGTCATAAAAAAAAGTCTACCAATCAAAAAAAGCCCAGGACCAAATGGATTCAAAGCCACATTCTATCAGACATATAAAGAGCTGCTGCCATTCTTACTGAAACTTTTCCAAAAAAAAGTTGAGAAGAAGGGACTCTAACACAATTCATTTGATGAGGCCAGCAACATTCTCATACAAAAACCTGGCAGAAATGCAACAGAAAAAAAGAAAACTTCAGGCCAATATTTTTGATGAACATAGATGAAGAAATTCTCAACTAAATACTAGCAAACCAAATCCAGCAGCACATCAAAAAGCTAATTTACCATGATCAAGTAGGTTTTGTCCCTGGAATGCAAGGTTGGTCCAACATAGGCTAATCAATACATGTGATTCATACATGTGATTCATTACATAAACAGAGCTAAAAAACAAAAGCCACATGATTATCTCAATAGATGCAGAAATGGCTTTTGATAAAATTCAACACCCACTCATATTAAAAACCCTCAATAAACCATGCCTTGAAGAACATACTTCAAAACAATAAGAGCCATCTATGACAAGACCACAGCCAACATCATACTGAATGGGCAAAAGCTGGAAGCATTCCCCTTGAAAACTGGTACCAGACAAGGATGCCTTCTCTCATGACTACTATTAAATATATTGTTAGAAGTCTTGGCCACAGCAATCAGACAAGAGAAAGAAATGAAGGAATCTAAATAGGAAGAGAGAAAGCCAAAGTATCCCTGTTTGCAGACAACTTAATTCTATACCTTGAAAATTGATAGTGTCTGCCCAAAAGCTCCCTGATATAATAAACAACTTCAGCAAAGTTCTGTGGTACAAAATCAATGTGCAAAAAATCACTAGCATTCCTACCAACATAGCAAAGCCAAGAGCCAAATTAGGAAAACAATTCCCTTACAATTGCTACAGAAAAATCATAAAATACCTAGGAATACAACTAACCAGGAAGGTGAAAGATCTCTCCAAAGAGGATAAAAAGCACTGCTTAGAAAAATCAGAGCTGACACAAATGAATGAAAAAATTCCACACTCCTTGATAAGAAGAATAAATATGATTAAAATGGCCATACTGCCCAAAGTAGTTAACAGATTCAATGCTATTCCTATCAAACTACCAAATACATTTTTCACAAAATTAGAATGAATCTATTTTAAACATTATGGGGGACCAAAAAAAGCTAGACTAGTCAAGGCAATCCTAAAGGAAAAGAACAAAGCTGGAGGATTCACATTACCCAACTTCTAATTATACTGCAGGTCTACAGTAACCAAAACAGTGTGGTACTTGTACAAAAACAGACACATAGACCAATCAAACAGAATAGGGAGCCCAGAAGTAATGCCACACCCCTACAGCCATCTGATCTTCAGCAAAACTGACAAAAATAAGCAATGGGGAAAGGATTCCCCATTTAATAAATTGTGCTAGGATAAGGAGCTAGTCATATGCAGAAGATTGGAACTAGACTACTACCTTACACCACATAAAAAAATCAACTCAAGATTGGTTAGAGGCTTAAATATAAAACCTAAAACTATAAATACCTTGGAAAGTAACCTAGGAAATACTATTTTGGACACAGGACTGGGCAAATATTTTATGACCAAGAAGCCAAAAGCAATTGCAACAAAAACAAAAATTGACAAATGAGACCTAATTAAACTAAAGAGCTTCTGCAGAGCAAAATAAACTATCAACAGAGTAAACAGACAACCTACAGAATAGGAGAAAATATTTGCAAACTCTGCATGTGGCAAAGATCTAATATACATAATCTATAAGGAACGGAAATTTACAAGCAAAAAACAAACAACTCCATTATAAAGTGGGCAAAGGACCTTAACAGACACTTTTCAAAAGAAGATATACATGCAGCCAACAAGCATATAAAAAGTGCTCAACACCACTAATGATTAGAGAAATGCAAATCAAAACCACAGTGAGATACCATCCCATACCAGTCAAATGGGCTATTATTAAAAAGTAAAACAAACAAACAAACAAACAAAAAAACAGATGCTGGTAAGGTTGAATAGAAAAGAGAATGTTTATACACCACTTGTGAGACTTTAAATGAGTTCAGTCATTGAAAACAGTGTGGTGATTCCTCAAAAAACTTAAAACAGGGTTATCATTTGACCCAGACTGACCAACATGGAGAAACCCCAACTCTACTAAAAATACAAAAAAAAAAAAAAATTAGCTGAGTGTGGCGGTGCATGCCTGTAATTCCAGCTACTCGGGAGGCTGAGGCAGAATTGCTTGAACTCAGGAGGCGGAGGTTGCAATGAGCCAAGATGGCACCATTGCACTCCAGCCTGGACAACAAGAGTGAAACTCTGTCTCAAAAAAAAAAAAAGAAAAAAGAAAATACACACACACACACACACACACACATACATATACACCCCTTACCGGGTATATACCCAATATGGTCTGGCTTTTTGTCCCCACACAAATCTCGTCTTGAATTGTAATACCCATACGTTGTGGGAGAGACCTCATGGGAAGTGATTAGAACACGGGGCAGTTCCTCTATGTTGTTCTTGTGATAGTGAGTGAGTTCTCACGAGTTCTGATGGCTTTGTAAGGGGCTTTTTCCCCCTTAATTCTGAACTTTTCTCTCCTGCCACCATGTGAAGAAGGACATGTTTTTTCCCCTTCCACCATGATTGCAAGCTTCCTGAGGCCACCCAAGCCCTACTGAACTGTGAGCCAATTAAACTTCTTTCCTTTATAAATTACCCAGTCTTGGGTATTTCTTCATAGCACAGCAAAAGTGAACTAATACAGTAAAGTGGTACCAAGAGAGTGAGGTGCTGCTGTAATGATACCCAAAAGCAACTTTGGAACTAGGTTAACAGGCAGAGGTTAGAAGTTTGGAGGGCTCAGAAGAAGACAGGAAGATGTGGAAAAGTTTAGAACTTCCTAGAGACTTGTTTAATGGCTTTGACCAAAATGTTGATAGTGATATAGACAATGAAGTATAGGCTGAGGTGGTCTCACATAGAGATGAGAAACTTGTTCTGAACTGGAGCAAAGGGACTTTTGCTATGCTTTAGCAAAGAGACTAACAGCATTTTGCTTCTGCCCTAGAGATCTGTGGAACTTTGAATATGAGAGAGATGATAGAGGGTATCTGGTGGAAGAAATTGCTAAGCGGCAAAGCATTCAAGAGGAAGCAGAGCATAAAAGTTTGGAAAATTTGCAACTTGACAATGTCATAGAAAAGGAAAAAAATATTCTGGAGAGAAATTAAAGCCTGCTGCAGAAATTTGTGTAAGTAACAAGGAGCTGAATGTTAATCACCAAGACAATGGGGATAATGTCTCCAGGCAATGTCTGAGACCTTCATGGCAGCCCCTCCCACCACAGGCCCAGAGGTCCAGGAGGGAAAAATTGTTTCCTGTGCCAGACCGAGGGTCTTCCTGTTTTGTGCAGTCTCAGGACATGATGCCCTGCATCCCAGCTGCTTCAGCTCCAGCCATGGCTAAAAGGGGCCAAGGTACAGCTCAGGCCATTGCATCAGAGGGTATAAGCCCCAAGCCTTGGTGGTTTCCACTTGGTGTTGAGCCTGTGGGTGCACAAAAGTCAAGAATTGAGGTTTGGGAACCTCCAACTAGATTTCAGAGGATATATGGAAATGCCTCTATGTTCAGGCAAAAGTTTGCTGCAGGGGTAGAGCCCTCATGGAGAAGCCCTGCTAGGGCAGTGCAGAAGGGAAACTCTGTACAAACCCCCCACACAGAGTCCCTACTTGGGCACTGCCTAGTGGAGCTATGAGAAGAGGGCCACAGTCTTCCAGATCCCAGAATAGTAGATCCACCAACAACTTGCACCATGTGCCTCAAAAAGCCACAGACACTCAATACCAGCTTGTGAAAGCAGCCAAGGGTGGGGGGCTGTACCCTGCAAAGTCACAGAGGCAGAGCTGCCCAAGGCCAGGGAGCCCATCTCTTGCATCAGTGTGACCTGGATGTGAGACATGGAATCAAAGGAGATCATTTTGGAACTTCAAAGTTTAGTGACTGCCCTATTGGATTTTGGACTCGCATGGATCCTGTGGCCCCTTTGTTTTGGCATTTTTATCCCATTTGAAATGGATGTATTTACCCAATGCCTGCACCCGCATTATATCTAGGAAGTAACTAACTTGCTTTTGATTTTACAGGTTCATGGGCAGAAGGGACTTGTCTTGTCTCAGATGAGACTATGGACTTGGACTTTGGGTTAATGCTGAAATGAGTTAAGAATTAGGGGAATATGGGGGAAAGCATAATTGTATTATGAAATATGAGAAAGATGAGATTTGGGAGTGGGCAGGGTTGGAATGGTATATTCTGGCTCTGTGTCCCCACCCAAATCTCGTCTTGAATTGTAATCCCACCGTGTTGGGAGAGGGACCTTGAGGGAGGTGATTAGATAATGGGGGGCAGTTCCCCTATGCTGTTCTCATGATAGCGAGCGAGTTTGCATGAGATCTGATGGTTTTATATAGGGCTTTTCCTCCCTCAGTTCTGCAGTCTCTCACCTGCCACCATGTGAAGAAGGATGTTTACTTCTCCTTCTGCCATGATTGTAAGTTTTCTGAGGCCTCCCTGTCATGCAGAACTGTGAGTCAATTAAACCTCTTTTCATTATAAATTACCCATTTTTGAGTATTTCTTCAGAGCACCATGAAAACAAACTAGTACAATACCCAAAGGAATATAAAGCATTCTACCATAAAGAAACATGCACATGAATGTTCATTGCAGCACTGTTCACAATAGCAAAGACATGGAATCAACCTAAATGCCCATCAATGAAAGACTGGATAAAGAAAATTGGTACATATACACCATGGAATATTATGCAGCCATTAAAAAAAGAACAAGATGATGTATTTCATGGGAACATGGATGGAAGTAGAGGTCATCATCCTTTGCAAAGTAACCCAGGAGCAGAAAACCAAATACCACATATTCTCACTTATAAGTGAGAGCTAAATAACGAGAACATATGAATACTAGAAGGAGAACAACAAACACTGGAACCTATTTGAGGGTTGAGGGTGGGAAGAGAGAGAGGATCAGAAAAAAAATACCTATCAGGTTTTATGCTTATTACCAGAGTAATGAAATTATCTGTGCACTGAATCCCTGTGACACGCAGTTTGCCTATATAACAAACATGCACATGTACTCCTGAACATAAAATAAGTGTTAAAAAAAAGTAAGCAGAAGAGAATAAATAATGAACATCAGAAAAACAATCAATAAAACAGAAAACAGAAAAATGGTAGATAAAAATTAACGAAACCTAAAGCTAATACTTTGGGAAGATCAACAAAATTGATAAACATCTAGCCAAACTAATCGGAAAAAGAAAATAAACATTAACGTGTTATAGTTCCTTTGTGATGCTAAGGAATACCTGAATCTGGCTAATTTATTTAAACAAGAGATTTATTTGTCTCAAGTTTCTGCAGGCTATACAAGCCTGGCAGCAGGATCTGATTGGCTTCTAGTGAAGCCTCATAAAGCTTACAATTATGAAAGAAGGCAAAGGAGGAGCTAGCATATGGTGAGAGAGGGAGCAAGATAGAGAGAACAAGATAGAGAGGGAGGAGTTGCCAGGATCTCGTTGTTGTTGTTGTTGTTGTTGTTGTTGTTGTTGTTTTGAAACAGAGTCTTGCTCTGTCACTCAAGCTGAAGTGCAGTGGCATGATCTTGGCTCACTACAAACTCCGCCTCCTGGTTCAAGCAATTCACCTGTCTCCACCTCCCAAGTAGCTAGAATTACAGGCATGCACCATGCCTGGCTAATTTTTGTATTTTTAGCAGAGACAGGGTTTCACAATGTTGTCCAGGTTGGTCTCAAACTCCTGACCTCAGGTGATCCACCTGCCTTGGCCTCCCAAAATGCTGGGATTACAGGCATGAGACACCATATCTGGCTGGTGCCAGGCTCTTTTAAACAGTCAGATCTCATGTGAACTCAGAGAGTAAGAACTCACTTATGCTATGAGTACAGCACCACACCATTTAAAAGGGATCCACCCCCATGACCCAAACACCTCCCGCTAAGCCCACCTTCAACATTGGAGGTCACATTTCAGCATGAGATTTGGAGGGGATAAAACATCCAAACTATTTCACCCAGCCCTTCAAGTTTCATGTCCTTCTCACATTGCAAAATACAATCACCCCTTCCCAATAGTCCCCCAAAGTCTCAACTTATTCTAGCATCAACTCGAAAGCCCAAAATCTTATCTGAGACTCAAAGCACATTCCATGCACCTATGAGCCTGTAAGATTTTTTTTAAAAAGACATTTACTTCCCAGATACAATGGTGGTACAGGCATTCCTATTCCAAAAGGGAGACGTCAACCAAAAGAGAGGGACCATAGGCTCCATTCAAGTCTGAAATCCAGCAGGGCATTCATTAAATCTTAAAGCTCCAAATAATCGTCTTTGGCTTCATGTCCTGCATCCAGGGCATGCAGGTGCAAGGGGTGGGCTCCTAAGGTTTTGGGCAGCTTTGCAGGGTGCAGCCCCTGTGGCTGCTTTCATGGGTTGGAGTTAAGAACCTGCAGCTTCTTCAGGCTCAGAGTGCAAGCTGTTGGTAGCTCTACCTTTCTGGGATCTGGAGAGCAGCAGCCTCATCCCCATGGTTCAGCTAAGCAGTACTTCAGAGGGGATTCTGTGTGCAGGCTCCAATCCCACATTTCTCCCTCAGCACTGACCTAGTAGAAGCTCTGTGGAAGGTGGGAGGGTTGCTCTACTCCTGTGGCAGGCTTCTGCCTGAGTATACAGGCTTTCCAATACATCTTCTGAAATCAAGGCAGAAGCTGCCAAGCCTCATTCACTCTTACATTCTGCACACCTGCAGGCTTAACACCACATGAAAGCTGCCAAGGCTTACTGTTTGTGCCCTCCAGAGTGGCAGCTCAAGCTGCACCTGGGGTGCTTTGATCTGTAGCTGAAGCTTGAGAGGCAGGGTTTTGGGGAGCAGCCTCCTAAGGCAGCTCAGGGCAGCAGGACCCTGGGCCTGGGCCTGATCCCTGAAACCATTCTATCCTCCTAGGCTTCTGGGCCTGTGATTGGAGGGGCTTCCTGTAAGGTCTCTGAAATGCGTTCAAGGCTTTTTGCCCATTGTCTCGTTTATTAGCCCTTGGCTCGTTTTTAGTCACGCTAATTTATTTAGCAAGTGGTTGCTCCACAGCCCACTTGTATTCCTCTCCCGAAAATTCTGTTTCCTTCTCTACCACATGGCCAAGTTGTAAATTTTCTAAACTTTTCTGCTCTGCTTCCCTTTTAATTATAAGTTCCAACTTTCAGTCATTCCTTTGCTCTCATATCTTATTACAAGCTGTCAGAAGCAACTAGGCCACATCTTGAGTGCTGTGCTACTTTAAAATTTCTTCCACCAGCTATCCTAAGTCATCATTCTTAAGTTCCAACTTACACAGATTCCTAGGACATGAACACAATCCAGCCAAGTTCATTGCTAGGGTGTAACACAAGTGGCCTTTACTCCAGTTCCCAATAACTTCCTCATTTCCATCTAAGACTTCATCAACCTGGACTTTACTGTTCATATTTCCATCAGCATTTTGGTCACAACCATTTAACCAGTCTCTAAGAAGTTCCAAACTTTCTCTCATCTTCTTCTCTTCTGGTGAACTCTCCAAACTCTTGAATTTATGCCTATTACCCAGTTTCAAAGCCATTTTCACATCTTCAGGTATCTTTATAGCGATGCCCTATTCATCAGTGCCAATGTTCTATGTTAGTCCATTTGCATTTCCATAAAATAATCCTTAACACTGAGTAATTTATAAAGGAAAGAGATGTTTGGGGGCTCACTGTTTTGCAGGCTATACAAGAAGCATGGCACTGGCATCTGCTTCTGGTGAGGGTCTCAGTAAGCTCCTTATCATGGCAGAAGGTTATGGGGAAGCAGATAATTCACCTGGCAAGCAAGGGAGCAAGGAAGTGAGGACAAATAGCCAGGATCTTTTAAAAAACCAGATTTTGGCCAGGCGCGGTGGCTCCCGCCTGTAATCCCAGCACTTTGGGAGGCCGAGGCGGGCGGATCACGAGGTCAGGAGATCGAGACCATCCTGGCTAACACAGTGAAACCCCGTCTCTACTAAAAATACAAAAAATTAGCCGGGCGTGGTGGCGGGCGCCTGTAGTCCCAGCTACTTGGGAGGCTGAGGCAGGAGAATGGCGTGAACCCGGGAGGCGGAGCTTGCAGTGAGCCGAGATCGCGCCACTGCACTCCAGCCTGGGCGACAGAGCGAGACTCTGTCTCAAAAAAAAAAAAAAAAAAAAAAAAACCAGATTTCATATCAACTCATTACTGTGAGGAGGGCACCAAACTATTCATGAGGGATCTGCCCCCATGACACAAACACCTCCCACCAGGCCCCACATCCAATACTAGGAATTACATTTCAACATGTGATGTGGGGGGGACAAACATCCAAATTATATCAGTTGGGAATACAGTTACCATTATAGATTCTATAGCTATTAAGAGCATAATAAGGCAATGTTATGACCTTATGACGATAGATTTGAACCAGAAAAAAACAGACTAATTTTTTCAATGACACAAATTACCAAGATTCATATAAGAAGTAGACAGAATTAGTAGTCCTCTAACTATTCTTAAAATTGAACATATAATTTAAAAGCTTTCCATGTAGGAAAACCTCAGGCCCAATGACTTCACTGTAAACTTTTAATGAAGAAATAATACTAAACAAATGAAGAAATGATACTACACAAATGGAGAAATTAATACTACACAGATAATTCTACATAAACTCTTTTATACAATGTTAGAGAAGGTAATGATTTCCACCTCATTCTATAAGCAACATTTTCCCGATACCAAAAATTAGAAAATTTATTAAGGAAAAGAAAACTATAGATTGATATTTTAATGAATACAGATGCAAAAAAATAAGCAAAATTATAGCAAATTTATACTAATAATATATAAAAATGATAATACATGATGACCAAGTGAAATGTATTCCAGGAATGAAAGGTGATTTAACATTTTAAAATAAGCTGATGTAATTTACCATATTAACAAACTAAAAAAAACAAAAACATTTTATTCAGCTCTATAGATGGAGAAAGAGCATTTTAAAATCCAGTATTGATTCCTTATAGAAGCTCTCAAAATTTTATGAGTGGAAGGAAACTTCTTCAATTTGATAAGGCATATTCCATGCACCAAAAAAAAAAAAAAAACTGCAACAAATATTGTACTTAATGGTGAAAGATGGAATATCCTCCACCCAAAAGCAGGAACAAGGAAAGGATGTCAGTCCTCATCCTTCTAGTTCAATACTGTATTGGAGGCTCTAGCCAAGACAATCGGGCAAGAAAAAGGAAAAGAGAGTACTTTTTTAGAAACTTGGATGTAGGGTTGATTTATCATGGTGTGAAAGAATCAGGTATGAAAGTCTTTAAAAGATCTTTAAGATGAAGAGAATTGGAAGATAGGCTGGAAGAAAATATTTGCAAAATAATAGATTTGGTTAAAAAAAAAAAACTGTTGTCCATTAATTGATTTATGCTAGCAAAAACACTGTTTCTTTGTTTTGTCATAAAATAAAAAAAACAGAGGAACCTGGATCATAAATAAATAAATAATAAATTTTTAATATCAATGTTTAAAAAAAGCCCGTTATCCCAAATATACAAAGAACTCTTAAAACTCAACACTAAGAAAATAAACAACCTTACCCTTTTAATGGGGCAAATAATCTAAACAGACACCTCCCTGAAGAAGATATACAGATGGCAAGTAAGCATATGAACAGATGCTTCACATCATACGTCATCAGGGAAATGCAAATTAAAACAATGAGATACCACTACACAGTTATTGGAATGGCTAAAATCCAAAACACTACCAACATCAAATGCTGGCTAGCACAGATGTAAAGTCACAAGAACTCTCATTCATTTTAGCAGAAATGCAAAATGAAGACACAGCCACTTTGGAAGAGACTTTGGCAGTTTCTTAGAAAACTAAACATACTCTTACCATAGATCCAGCAAACATGCTTCTTGGTAATTTACTCAAAGGAGTTGAAAACACATCTACACAAAAACCTGCATATCCTTATATGCAGTTTATAGCAGCTTTATTCATAATTTCCAAAACGTGGAAGCAATCAAGATGTATTCCAGTAGCTGAATGGATAAACTGTGATATAGCCAGACACTGGAATATTATTCAGTGCTAAAAAGAAATGAGTTATCAAGCCATGAAAGGACATAAAAGAACATTAAATGTATATCACTAAGTAAAGGAAGCAAATCTGAAAAGGCTACATACTGTACAATTCTAACTATATGACAATCTGAAAAAGGCAAAATTATGGTAGCAATATAAAATTCAGTGGTTGTTTGGGGTTAGGGAGAGGAAAGTATAAATAGTTGGAGCACAAAAGATTTTTAGGACAGTGAAAATGACTCTGTATGATACTATAATGATATAATGATAGATGAATGTCATAATACATTTGTCAAAGCCCATGGGATGTACATTAGTGAACCCTAGTATAAACCCTGGACTTTGGGTGATAATTATGTATCAGTGTAGATTTATTGATTATAACAAATGTACCACTGTGTCTGGGACATTGATAGTGGGGGAGGCTGTGAATGTGTGGAGCAGGGAGTATTAGATAATTCTCTGTACTTTCTGTTCAATTTTGCTGTGAATCTAAAACTGCTCTAAAAATATATATATATATATATATATATATATATATATATATATATATATATATATATATATATATGTAGTGCTTTAAGGGGAAATTATATTTGCATTGAGAGAATAGGAGATGGCAGGAAGCCAGAACAGAGAATCCTGTATTCCACCAATCCCCTTTTCCCATGTGGAGGTCCTAAGAGACTTATATGCATAGAGGACAAGATCAGGGAAATATGCACTCTTTATAATTACAGGGTTTTCCTTGAGCTTTGAACTCAATGTTGAGAACCCAGGATAGAGAATTCTGCCCAGACTGGAGGCAGGCCTAGGACCTAAGAATAAACTGAATGGCTACCGCTGCCCCTTTTTCAGTAATACCACCCTGAAACAACTCAGATAATTTCTCATCTCATTAAACTTACTTCACAGCAGCCCTCCTCACTTTGAAATGTGCCATATTTTTATAGTTTTATAGACATACAACAATCATCAACTATAACGTTCGGTTACTGGCCAGTGGAAACTCACTGATATTATTGGATTTACTGAAAGGCCAAAATGAAACAAGTACATTATGAGTGCATAATTATATACCCTGGGAGGTATAAATGCGGATTTGAACTGAAGTTTGGGCAGAAGAGAGCCCATTAAGTGCTATTTGGAGTCCCATCCTCCTCCCTGTCCTGCTCACAACTAATACTTTTTTCCCTAAATGTTGCCAAGTTCTCCACCCAGTGTTTTCTTGTCTTCAAAGTCCTCGATCTATAGGATTAGCAGAAGGTACATCACGCCTCATTGTGACCCATGTCTCCCCACTGATTGTCTTGATTTGTCTGCATATTACTCACTCCACATTCTATACTGTAGAAACCACGCAAAAAGCTATCCGTGAGCTTTAAGACATTAAGTAAAGGCAATTATGGGAAGAATGAAATATAAGGAACAGTCTCAAAAATTAGAACCACAGTGGTTTTATCTACTCTTTGTTACAAATTATTTCTTAACCACATCTCCGATTCTTAAACCAAATGTATTATGGCCAACCCAAAAACCTTAATTGTGTCATCCAGGGCCTAAATTATCTGTCTATCCCTGCCTGGACTTGTTTATGTCATGCTCATTAGTCAGTTCTGGTCAATTCTCCTTCCCAAAAAAGGACAGAGCTCCTGGCCACATATTCAATGCCAACGCAAAAAGCCAGGCTCCCAGGTCCCTATCAAACCAGATAATGGCCTCCCTATTGAGCACCTCTATTCTAAGTTACCAGTAAGACACCGCTGTTATTTCACAGTCTTAGCTTGGAAGACCCACCTGCCTTCCCACAGCTTCTAACTCATTTACTAATAACCATGATTTTCTCATTTCTGTTGTCTGGTACTCACCTCTGGCTTAATATGTACAAATAACCCAGGTTCATACTCAGCATCTCACCAAGGGATAAATGTTCTAAGGTGTCCAGGGACTTTTCTGTGCCTTCTTTCATATGTTAACATGCAATATCCCTGAAGAACCTCTTTGAAAAACTACTTGGAAGTGTTGACAAAAGCTAAATATATGTGTTCATTAGGACCCAACCCTTCTACTCTTAAGTATATACATACCCATCAAAAAATGCTCACATATGTTCAGCAAAAAAATAAAAAATAAGAATATTCATAGTAACTCTCTTGGTAATATACAAAAAAGAAAAAAAAATCTGGAAACAAACCAACAAACCAAATGGTCCTCTATAATAGAACAGATAAATTGAGACATTCATACAATGGAATTATTTCCAAAAAAATAGAATGAACAAACTATAATTACACAGAAAAACATCGGTGAATCTCACGGACAATACTCAGTGAAAGAAGCCTGGTACAAAAAAGTATCTGCAGTTTGCTTCCATTTATATTAGGGGCATAAACAGGCAGTCCCACGCTATCATCCTAGAAGTTAAAATAGTAGTTACTCTTCAGGATGGGGTGAGTAAGTGACTGGAAAGGCTTGGAGCACTTCCAGGACTCTGGTAAGTTCTGTTTCTTGATCTAAGTGCTTGTTGCAGGAATATCTTTACTTTGGGAACATTCATTGAGCTGTAGTCTTATACTTTGTGCACGTTTCACTGTCACTCTTATCTGATATTTCAATGACTTATTTAAATGAATTGATAAGAACATAGTGAAATGTACTTACAAAATTTTTATTGATGACTCCATACCAGATATTAAAAGATATATAATTTTCATCAAGGAAAGGGTTGAGGGTCCCAGGGGAACAGGAATCTTTTCCAAAAATCACTTATTAATTTGGTTTTACAGATGGGAAACCCTGAAATGAAAATCTTCGGGGAAATTTTAAAAAGCTTTCTCAAGGTTACAAATCTATTTGATGATAGATTTAGACTAGAAACCAGACACCATGACTTAGCCTGGCATTATTCAACCACACAAGATTCTTCTGGATAAGAAAACATATTGAAGTTCTCTATAAAACACTTGAGGCTCTTTAACTCACTATATTATTCTTCCATGAAACATGTAGAAATGAAAAAAATTTTGCATAACAAAAAAGCTCCAGACAGTGAGTGTTCTCGTGCCAGTCCTCCTGGAGGCAAATGGTCAATCCTGGGTGAAAAGTTCAAACATTGCATCTGGACACTGGTCCTTGCACTTACAGCATCCTCCTCACTCTCCACTGACTATACACATTGCCTATAGCAATCACCTAAGCATATTCACACATTCAATATGGTCATTCTATACAATTCACCTTTGTGTACTAGATACCAAGCAATATTGCCATTGTATCTAGCAATAGTACTGGATTCGCCCCCAACCATCCAGATTTTCTTATTTAGCTTCCTGATAATCACAAGATTATTAATGTGCAAGACTGCTGATTAGAATCACTAAAATGATTGGCTTTGCTTATATCCCAAGAGTTCATCTATACAGCAGGTAAATCGACATCACTCCAAATATAGGCTCAGAAACAGACACATTCTGGCTGGGGTGGAGCAAATAAAGATGAGAAGTTCTAAAATATAACGTTCAATACATAATATGCCATAATAGTCCTACTGGGCTCTCTCTGAAGCCCTTTCTAATTTTTAGCCATCAGATCTTGGAACAAGTTGCTTAATGTCCCACGCCTCAGTTTTTTCACCTGTAAAATAGAGATGAAAATAACATCGACTGGCATTGGACTCTTGGAAGAATTAAATGGAAAACTATGTAGAAGACACTTAACACCATGCCTGGAAAATAGTGAGAATTCAGTCAAGGTTGGTTATTATTACCATGATCACTATTATCCTTGCTGTTGTAACTCTATTGCCTTGACAGTTGGTTCGCCAATTTTCTCAGGGCAGCTTCTCCCAGGAGATGCTGAGCTAAGGATTCAAATTCAAGTGACTTATTAAGGGACTGCTCCTAGGAGAAACCAGGACAGGAGTCAGGAAACCAGGATAAGATGGAAAGAAGTCAAGGAATGGTGTGATTTCAGGTCAATTTCAGACTCAGCCTGGTCTCAGAAGGAACTGTAAAGTGTAAACGGTACCTCAGAGTTTGTCCCATCTGAAAGCAACAAAGCCGGATTTTTATACTTCTGCACCCGCCTGTCATTGGTTAAAGGATGGGAGGGGGTGTGCAACTGTCCCTAGAGGGTGTAACTTCTGAACTTAGGCCCTCCATTGGGGTAAGGCAACTCCAGGTGCCTAAGGAAAATCCTCTGAAGGTTTGAGTAGAAAACCATGGGCCCATGAAACAAGTAAAAGAGATCTGAGGGGATCTGGGCAGGCTGCCAACTGTGCCTGCTACAGCTTCCTATGACTAAATTCATGAAGTCTGTTGCCAACTTTCCATGCCTACTATCTTTCTATTTGAACCTCCCCACTAACTGAGCACATTCTTTCTATTCTTGGCTCTGCTTGGCTTGAGATCCAGATCTGTCTTTTGGACCCAGACCTTCTCAGGCAAGGCCCCATGACAATGGCTTTGAGGTGTCCTTTCTGGGCTGACCCCCTGGATCTACCTGATCATGATGATCTACATGACTTTCCCCAGCCAGGTTCTACTCTTGGTTTTCTCCTGATTGCCAGGAGGGAAACTGGCATCACATCTCTCTGAATTTTGAAGTGCCAAACTCTAAAACTCTTCTTAGAGTTAATGTATTTAATTTTATTAGATATATATTTCATTCATATATGTACCTATAGCTATATTTTATGTATTAACTATATATATGACTTAATTTGAGAACATGTGCAGTCACAGGAATAAAATTGAGAACTAAATACCACTATTTGTAGAACCAGGGAAATAACTTGCAACCTAAATAAATACACTAGGAGAAAATGTGCAATATCAAATCAAACTTGGCACATACAAACAATGAAAAATGAATCAAACCTATGTAAAAAAAATCAATTCCCCTCCCCATAATTTATGTCAGTATTTTACATATAATAAAATCCTCCCTAAGCAAATAACTGATAAAGCAATAAAGCTGTCAGATGCAATAAACGGACTGTTTGCCTGGACTCTCTGGAAACACTTCCATTCAGAGGCAGATACCCTGCTATATTAAGCTACATGAAGAAAACATTTATCTATTGTGTGATAAACCTGACAAGTGCCTAAATCATCTGCCTAAGAAGACTCTCTGGAAATGCGCCTCTACAAAGGTTTATATTAATTATATCACCCTGAGTGTGAGATATAATTACACCTGTTATGTGATTGGAGTGGAAAAGAGGGAGTAGAAATTAACTTCTATTGAACAACAAAGTAATTATCCATTATTGAGGATAAAGTAGGGCATCCCCATTGTATTTTAAGATTGGATTCGTTCATTGAAGTTTCTGTTGCTCCCTCTACATCTTTTTGACCAAAAAGAAGGTCAACCCAGCAGGTGGAATATTATCTGCAGGTGAAACTTTTTGATATCTGGAAACATCTGCTGGTATGCACTTCAAAGATTTCAAACTGAAGACATTATCCTTCTTCTTATACCAGCAATTTATCCTGTGTCCACCACATCCCACCCCCACAGTTGTATAACTAGAGTATTTGGAATTATTCTTAGCTACCCTCTCATCCCTTACATCTATTTGGACATCAATTCCTATCAATTCTGTGTTCTAAACTCAGTTATGAGCCCTCCTCCCCAGTCTCTGCCTCCACTGTTTATTTTTTGAGTCCTGGCCATTTCTTGCTGGGCTTGCTGCATTGGCCCTTTGCAGGTACTGCCCCTCTCAGCCTTTATGCTTCCCAGGCAGAACACTGACGTCAAAGTCAGCTTCTAAAATATAGATCTGGTCTTGTCACTCTTCTGCCTCAAAATAAATCGCCTATGTCCAACGACACAGGGTGCAGAAAAAGGAGCCAGACAAGAAAGAATGTTCCCAAGGATTCTACTTACAGAAAGTTAAAAAAAAATAATAATAATAGTGCTTTGGGATGCAATGTTGGGTGGTATATTAGTATCCCATTGCTGCTGTAACAGGTTACCATAAATTTGGTGACTTCAAATAACAAAAACTTATTATCTTACAGTTTGGCAAGACAAAAGTCTGAAATGGGTATGATGGAGCTAAATTTAAGAGGCCACGCTGGGTGTGCCATCCACGCCTGTAATCCCAGCGCTTTGGGAGGCCGAGGCGAGCAGATCACGTGAAGTCAGGAGTTCGAGACCAGCCTGGCCAACATGGTGAAATCCCATCTCTACTAAAAATACAAAAACAACAACAACAACAACAAAAATTTAGCTGAGCATGATAGTGGGTGCCTGTAATCCCAGCTACTCGGGAGGCTGAGGCAGGAGAATCGCTTGAACACAGGAGGTGGAGGTTGCAATGAGCCAAGATTGCGTTACTGCACTCCAGCCTGGGTGAAAGAGCAAGAATCCATCTCAAAAAATAAAAATAAATAAAAATAAATAAATTTAAAAAAATAAGAGGCCAGAAGAATGGTGTTTCTTCTGGAGGTTCTAGAGGATAATCCATTCTTAGCCTTTTTCAGTTTCTTGAGGCTTCCTGTGTTCCTTCTCGTGTGGCTCCTTTCCAGCAATCAGATCACTCTGCCATCTGCTTCTGTTTTCCTGTCTCCTTCTCTGACCATCCTGCCTCCCTCTTTCACTTTTAAGGACACCTGAGATTACACTGGATCCACCTAGGTAATCGAGGGTGCTCTCCCATCTCAAGATCCTTATTTTAATCACATCTGCAAGGTCTCTTTTGTCATATAAGATAACACAGTCACAGGTTCCGGGAGACTAGGACATGGGCGCTCAGATTTGGGGAGATAATTATTCTGCCTACCATAGGTGGTGAGACCATAAAGAAAAGCCAGGATGTGACGACCATAAAATTCATTACAGAGTTTACACTTATTATGGGGGAAGGGATTGGAGTTAGAAAGAAGCTTGTGGAAGCAAGCTTCTAGGGGTCTGGAAATGTTCTGTTTTCTGACCCAGGGATGGTTACGTGAGTATTCACTTTAAAAGAATGTTTAAAGTATACATTTTTATTTTGTGAATTTTAATATATGTATTTTTTCACATTAAAAATTATTTTTAAAATCTGCCTAATAGTCTCTATCAAATTATCCTGGATACCTGGCGCTCACAATATGGTCTCAGCTTCTCCTGCAAGTCTCATCTCTAGGCACTCCCTGCCCCTCTCCCTGGTCCTCCCTCCTCCCCTGCACCCACCTCACACTCTACCTTCCAGCCACACTGACCATAAGATATTCTTTTACACCTTCGTGTCTTTTCACATGAAATTCTCTTCTCTTGGTCTGCTTTTACCTTCTTTGCCTGGTGAACGTTATTATATACAATAAAGCCCAGGCAAAGTGCCACATCCCACATTAAGCCCTCTCTTCCTCTATCCCTCTCCCTTCAAAGCCATTCAGCTGGTCCATCCTCTGTGCCGCCACTGCGCTTTGTCCATAATCCATCACATCATGGCCATGTTCAGTTGTGAACTGATACGTATGTCTCTATCTTACCAGATCTCCAAGCAGCTGCAGGGCATCTATTTCTTAGCAAAGTGCTTGACATACATTCTATACTTAATGAATATGTTTCTCTAAAAAAAATTTATTGCAGCATAATCTATTCTATCGTGTAAAAAAGGCCAGAGGATAATGTTGGGGCTGATAGAGATTGAGAAAATGGAGAGAAACCAGATTCATACCATTATATTTTAGGTCCAACAAGTTGGCTGGAAGAAATTCCAATTTTGAAATAGGCTTAAATCCAAAGTGTACAGACACTTCATATATAGTTGCTTCTCATTATTCACAGTAGTTATGTTCTATAAAGTCGCTGCTAATACTGAACAATTGTTACTAGGGGAAATATAGGTTTAGGGAACTGCAAGCCTCTGGTGACAGCATTTTCATCAATATACAACCTTGTTCTAGGTGTGTTTGTGTTCAATAATATCTTATTTAATATATAGTTGATTCATTAACCTTGAACTCACAGCCAACAGCACTATAACATATGCCTGAATGAAGCTTAGCTAACATACATATTTTCCCTGTAAGGCATGTCACAGCCTTCCTGTGCTCAGTAACACTTAGACAGCACTTCAGAACTAGGCATGGGCTATTTTAAATAGCAAAATCACCCAAAAAAGCACAAAAATGAGAAAAACATGGCACTAAATGTACCCTAAAAAATGCTTATTTACAGTATGAGAGCTGCAAAAAGAAGGCTGAGCATCATGCATGTTGTCGACACCTTGTTCTTTCTCAGCTGGGAATATGGCTTCGCATATCGGAGAATTTCCGTGGCTCTGTGCATGCACATGCCCACAAATGACCACTAAAGCACTGCTGAGTATTAATTTGGGGGCTACACATAAATTTTAGTGAGTATGTACATTTGCAAATGTGTATTCTATGAATAATAATGATTAACTGCACATTATTCTAATTTCACTATCATCCTCACTTTGGAAACAAACAAATTATCCTCAGTGTGTTAACTTGCCTAAGGTTACACAGCCACTATCTGTGAGACATCGAATTTAAACCTCTGCTGCTCTACCTGACGCCAAAGCTTGTGCTCTGCCTTCTCTGGGCTAGCCATAGACCTGCAAAATGGCTTTTGAAGAATGAGTTTTTAGGGTCTTCTTACAGTTTGGGGACTGTGTTTTTATGGTTTCTTTTGTTTCAAGTTGTTCTCTGGCCTTGGAGCATACTAAATCTGTCTCTTAACAGAATTAGACTGAGACATCATAGTTATTGTTACCATTCTTTGCTAATTTTTGGTTTGCTTTTTTGCTGCTAATAGATTATTTAAGGGAATTACTCTTTCTTACTCATGGTAAAATGTTCCACAAAAGAAAGCATTGCTTAAAAATATTCACAAACCTGACATCTGAGAGTTTATTAATCATTCTTCATTATTAACTAATAGAAACTCAGTAAAGATTCAGTGTCTTCTTTCAGTATAGTCTATTGACTTGATTAACCTTGGATCTTTAAAAGTGACAAGAGTGTATGCTTTCTTTGAGTTCATCTCACATTCCCTAGATATAGGAACCCCAGAAAAGAGAAAGCTCCTGCCCAGAAACATTCTCTGTGAAGTGACAACCCACGAGATCCAGGAGGCTTCAGGTTTTTCTATGCGCATGTCTCCAGCTGTGGCCCACTTTCCATTTAGCCACAGATCAATGAGAATTAGGCTATTTCATTATTGATTTATGATGCAAAAAATATTTTCCATAATATATATTTCAGTGTAAATGTTCATCACAAGCAAAATGTTCTTAGATACTTATTTTAGGAAATGTAATGGTCTTAAGCCAAGATGAGCACAGATCACAACTCCTGTCTAAGTAATCATTTGAACCAGAAGCTGCCTGGTTTGAATTCGATTTCCAATAAATATTATGCTGTCAACTTCTCTTTATTAATGTTTCCTTTAATGTATTATGATTATAATATTCATGTGATCAAATTCTAGAATTATACATACTGACAACCAAATAATTCTGTAATGCTCCCAGATGCTGAAATAAAATTGAATGTTCATCAAATCAATCCACCCTCTAATCTCTCTTATGTTAAATATTGGCTCCTTCTAGACAGGAAGGAAAGAAAGAAGGGAGAGGGGACCACAAAGCAACCAGAAAACAAATAACAAAATGGCAGGAGTAAGTCCTTACTTATCAATAGTGACATTAAATGTAAATGAATTAAACTTTCCAATCAAAAGACATGGAGTGACTGAATATATTTAAAAATACAAGACACAATGGTCTATTGTCTATAAGAAACACATTTCATCAATAAAGACACACATAGACTGAAAATAAAGATATGGAAAGATATTCCATGTCAATGGAAATCAAAAAAGATCAGGATTGGCTATACTTATATCAGACAAAATAGTTTTTAAGATAAAAACTATAAGAAGAGACAAAGAAGGTCACTATATAATGATAAAGGGGTCAATTCAGCAGTAGATATAGCAATTATAAATGTATATGCACCCACCACTAGAGCACCCAGATATGTAAAGCAAATATTATTAGCGCTAAAGAGAGAGACAGGCCCCAATATAATAATAGCTGGAGACTTCAACACCCTACTTTCAGCATTAGACAGATCTTCCAGACAGAAAATTAACAAAGAAACATTGGACTTAATC
Organism: Homo sapiens; assembly: GCF_000001405.40. NCBI lineage: Eukaryota > Metazoa > Chordata > Mammalia > Primates > Hominidae > Homo > Homo sapiens. The sequence goes on along the minus strand of NC_000002.12, from coordinate 220,388,819 downwards.
TGCGCTATAGACTAAATGGACCTAATAGACATTTACAGAACATTTCATCAAATGACTGCAGACTACACATTATTTTCCTCAGCACATGAATCATTCTCAAGGAAAGACCATATTTTAAATCCCAAATAAGTCTTAAAACATTGAAAAAATCTTGAAATAATATCAAGCATCTTTTCTGACCATAGTGGAATAAAACTAAAAATCAATAACAAGAGGAACTTTGAAACTATACAAATACATGGAAATTAAACAATGTGTACCTAAATGACCAGCAAGTCAATAAAGAATTAGGAAATATATTGAAAAATTTCCTGAAACAAATGATAAAGGAAACACAACATACCAAAACCTATGGAATACAGCAAAAGCAGTACTAAGAGGGGAGTTTATAACTATACGTCCCTACATAAAGAAGAAGAAAATCTTCAAATAAACAGCCTAACAATGCATCTTAAAGAACTAGAAAAGGGGGGGAAGTTCTAAGATGGCCAAATAGGAACAGCTCCAGTCTGCAGCTCCCAGCATGAGCGACGCAGAAGACAGGTGATTTCTGCATTTCCAACTGAGATACCAGGTTCATCTCACTGGGGCTTGTCAGACAGTGGGTGCAGGCCACGGAGCAGGGCAGGGCATCACCTCACCCAGGAAGCGCAAGGGGTCAGGGAATTCCCTTTCCTAGCAAAGGGAAGCCATGACAGACGGCACCTGGAAAATCGGGACACTCCCACCCTAATACTGCACTTTTCCAATGGCCTTAGCAAATGGCACACCAGGAGATTATATCCTGTGCATGGCTCAGAGGGTCCGACGCCCATGGAAGCTCGCTCACTGCTAGCGCAGCAGTCTGAGATTGAACTGCAAGGCAGCAGTGAGGCTCAAGGAGGGGCGTCCCCCATTGCTGAGACTTGAGTAGGTAAACAAAGCTGCTGGGAAGCTCGAACTGGGTGGGGCCCACCACAGCTCAAGGAAGCCTGCCTGCCTCTGTAGACTCCACCTCTGGGGACAAGGCATAGCTGAACAAAAGGCAACAGAAACTCCTGCAGACTTAAACATCCCTGTCTGACAGCTTTGAAGACAGTAGTGGTTCTCCCAGCATGGAGTTTGAGATCTGAGAATGGACAGACTGCCTCCTCAAGTGGGTCCCTGACCCCCGAGTAGCCTAACTGGGAGACATGTCCCCCTAGGGGCCAATTGACACCTCATACAGCTGGGTGCACCTCTGAGACGAAGCTTCCAGAGGGAGGATCAGGCAGCAACATCTGCCATTCTGCAATATTTGCTGTTCTGCAGCCTCCGCTGGTGATACCCAGGCAAACAGGGTCTGGAGTGGACCTCCAGCAAACTCCAACAGACATGCAGCTGAGGGTCCTGACTGTTAGGAGGAAAACTAACAAACAGAAAGGACATCCACACCAAAACTCCATCTGTACATCACCATCATCAAAGACCAAAGGTAGATAAAACCACAAAGATGGGGAGAAACCAGAGCAGAAAAGCTGAAAATTCTAAAAATCAGAGTGCCTCTTCTCCTCCAAAGGAATGCAACTCCTTGACAGCAATGGAACAAAGCTGGACGGAGAATGACTTTGATGAGTTGAGAGAAGAAGACTTCAGATGATCGGTAATAACAAACTTCTCCGAGCTAAAGGAGAATTTTCGAACCCATCGCAAAGAAGCTAAAAACCTTGAAAAAAGATTAGACAAATGGCTAACTAGAATAAACAGTGTACAGAAGTCCTTAAATGACCTGATGGAGCTGGAAACTATGGCACGAGAACTATGTGATGCATGCACAAGCTTCAGTAGCTGATTTGATCAAGTGGAAGAAAGGGTATCAGTGACTGAAGATCAAATGAATGAAATGAAGTGAGAAGAGAAGTTTAGAGAAAAAAAGAGTAAAAAGAAACAAACAAAGCCTCCAAGAAATATGGGACTATGTGAAAAGACCAAATCTATGTCTGATTGGTGTACCTGAAAGTGACGGAGAGAATGGAACCAAGTTGGAAAACACTCTCCAGCATTTTATCCAGGAGAACATCCCCAACGTAGTGAGGCAGGACAACATTCAAATTCAGGAAATACAGAGAACGTCGCAAAGATACTCCTCAAGAAGAGCAACTCCAAGACACATAATTGTCAGATTCACCAAAGTTGAAATGAAGGAAAAAATGTTAAGGGCAACCAGAGAGAAAGGTCGGGTTACCCACAAAGGGAAGCCCATCAGACTAACAGCTGATTTCTCAGCAGAAACTCTACAAGCCAGAAGAGAGTGGGGACCAATATTCAACATTCTTAAAGAAAAGAATTTTCAACCCAGAATTTCATATCCAGCCAAACTAAGCTTCATAAGTGAAGGAGAAATAAAATCCTTTACAGACAAGCAAATGCTGAGAGATTTTGTCACCACCAGGCCTGCCTTACAAGAGCTCCTGAAGGAAGCACTAAACATGGAAAGGAACAACCAGTACCAGCCACTGCAAAAACATGCCAAATTGTAAAGACCATCAATGCTAGGAAGAAACTGCATCAACTAATGAGCAAAATAACCAGCTAACATCATAATGACAGGATAAAATTCACACATAACAATATTAACCTTAAATGTAAATGGGCTAAACGCTCCAATTAAAAGACACAGACTGGCAAATTGGATAAAGAGTCAAGATCCATCAGTGTGCTGTATTCAGAAGACCCATCTCACATGCAGAGACACACGTAGGCTCAAAATAAAGGGATGGAGGAAGATCTACCAAGCAAATGGAAAACAAAAAAAAAGCAGGGGTTGCAATCCTAGTCTCTGATAAAACAGACTTTAAGCCAACAAATATCAAAAGGGACAAAGAAGGCCATTACATAATGGTAAAGGGATCAATTCAACAAGAAGAGCTAACTATCCTAAATATATATGCACCCAATACAGGAGCAACCAGATTCATAAAGCAAGTCCTTAGAGACCTACAAAGAGATTTAGACTCCCACAAAATAATAGTGGGAGACTTTAACACCCCACTGTCAATATTAGACAGATCAACGAGACAGAAAGTTAACAAGGATATCCAGGAATTGAACTCAGCTCTGCACCAAGTGGACCTAATAGACATCTACAGAACTCTCCATCCCAAATCAACAGAATATACATTCTTCTCAGCACCATATCACACTTATTGCAAAATTGACCACATAGTTGGAAGTAAAGCACTCCTCAGCAAATGTAAAAGAACAGAAATTATAACAAGCCGTCTCTCAGACCACAGTGCAATCAAACTAGAACTCATGATTAAGAAACTCACTCAAAACCACTCAACTACATGGAAACAGAACAACCTGCTCCTGAATGATTACTGGGTACATAATGAAATGAAGGCAGAAATAAAGATGTTCTTTGAAACCAATGAGAACAAAGACACAACATACCAGAATCTCTGGAACACATTTAAAGCAGTGTGTAGAGGGAAATTTATAGTACTAATGCCCACAAGAGAAAGCAGGAAAGATCCAAAATTGACACCCTAACATCACAATTAAAAGAACTAGAGAAGCAAGAGCAAACACATTGAAAAGCTAGCAGAAGTCAAGAAATAACTAAGATCACAGCAGAACTGCAGGAAATAGAGATACAAAAAACCCTTCAAAAAATCAGTGAATCCAGGAGCTGGTTTTTTGAAAAGATCAGCAAAATTGATAGACTGCTAGCAAGACTAAAAAAGAAGAAAAGAGAGAAGAATCAAATAGACACAATAAAAAATGATAAAGGGAATATCACCACCGATCCCACAGAAATACAAACTACCATCAGAGAATACTATAAACACCTCTATGCAAACAAACTAGAAAATCTAGAAGAAATGGATAAATTCCTGGACACATACACCCTCCCAAGACTAAACCAGGAAGAAGTTGAATCCCTGAATAGATCAATAACAGCTTCTGAAATTGAGGCAATAATTAATAGCCTACCAACAAAAAAAGTCCAGGACCAGATGGATTCACAGCTGAATTCTACCAGAGGTACAAAGAGTAGCTGGTACCATTCCTTCTGAAACTATTCCAATCAATAGAAAAAGAGGGAATACTCCCTAATTAATTTTATGTGGCCATCATCATCCTGATACTGAAGCCTGGCAGAGACATAACAAAAAAAGAGAATTTTAGACCAATATCCCTGATGAACATCAATGCAAAAATCGTCAATAAAATATTGGCAAACCGAATCCAGCAGCACATCAAAAAGCTTATCCACCACGATCAAGTTGGCTTCATCCCTGGGTTGTAAGGCTGGTTCAACATATGCAAATCAATAAACTTAATGCATCATATACACAGAACCAAAGAAAAACCACATGATTATCTCAATAGATGCAGAAAAGGCCTTCGACAAAATTCAACAGCCCTTCATGCTAAAAACTCTCAATAAACTAGGTATTGATGAGCTGTATCTCAAAATAATAAGAGCTATTTATGACAAACCCACAGCCAATATTATACTAAATGGGCAAAAACTGGAAGCATTCCCTTTGAAAACTGGCACAAGACAGGGATGCCCTCTCTCACCACTATTACTCAACATAGTGTTGGAAGTTCTGGACAGGGCAATCAGGCAAGAGAAAGAAATAAACGGTGTTCAGTTAGGAAAAGAGGAAGTCAAACTGTCCCTGTTTGCAGATGACATGATTGTATATTTAGAAAACCCCATCATCTCAGCCCAAAATCTCCTTAAGCTGATAAGCAACTTCAGCAAAGTCTCAGGATACAAAATCGATGTGCAAAAATCACAAGCATTCCTATACACCAATAACAGACAAACAGAGAGCCAAATCATGAGTGAACTCCCATTCACAATTGCTTCAAAGAGAATAAAATACCTAGGAATCCAACTTACAAGGGATGTGAAGGACCTCTTCAAGGAGAACTACAAACCACTGCTCAACGAAATAAAAGAGGACACAAACAAATGGAAGAACATTCCATGCTCATGGATAGGAAGAATCAATATCCTGAAAATGACCATACTGCCCAAGGTAATTTATAGATTCAATGCCATCCCCATCAAGCTACCAATGACTTTCTTCACAGAATTGGAAAAAACTACTTTAAAGTTCATATGGAACCAAAAAAGAGCCCGCCTTGCCAAGTCAATCCTAAGCCAAAAGAACAAAGCTGGAGGCATCACGCTACCTGACCTCAAACTATACTACAAGTCTACGGTAACCAAAACAGCATGGTACTGGTACCAAAACACAGATATAGACCAATGGAACAGAACAGAGCCCTCGGAAATAATACCACACATCTACAACTATCTGATCTTTGACAAACCTGAAAAAAACAAGAAATGGGGAAAGGATTCCCTATTTAATAAATGGTGCTAGGAAAACTGGCTAGCCATATGTAGAAAGCTGAAACTGGATCCCTTCCTTACACCTTACACAAAAATTAATTCAAGATGGATTAAAGACTTAAATGTTAGACCTAAAACCATAAAAACCCTAGAAGAAAACCTAGGCAATACCATTCGGCACATAGGCATCGGCAAGGACTTCATGTCTAAAACACCAAAAGCAACAATAACAAAAGCCAAAATTGACAAATGGGATCTAATTAAACTAAAGAGATTCTGCACAACAGAAGAAACTACCATCAGAGCTAACAGGCAACCTACAGAATGGGAGAAAATTTTTGCAATGTACCCATCTGACAAAGGGCTAATATCCAGAATCTACAAAGAACACAAACAAATTTACAAGAAAAAAATCAAACAACCCCATCAAAAAGTGGGCAAAGGATATGAACAGACACTTCTCAAAAGAAGACATTTATGCAGCCAACAGACACATGAAAAAATGCTCATCATCACTGGCCATCAGAGAAATGCAAATCAAAATCACAATGAGATACCACCTCACAGCAGTTAGAATGGCGATCATTAAAAAGTCAGGAAACAACAGGTGCTGGAGAGGATGGGGAGAAATAGGAACACTTTTACACTGTTGGTGGGACTGTAAACTAGTTCAACCATTGTGGAAGACAGTCTAGCAATTCCTCAAGAATCTAGAACTAGAAATATCATTTGACCCAGCCATCCCATTACTGGGCATATACCCAAAGAATTATAAATCATGCTGCTATAAAGACACATGCACACATATATTTATTGTGGCACTATTCACAATAGCAAAGACTTGGAATCAACACAAATGTCCATCAGTAATAGACTGGATTAAGAAAATGTGGCATATATACACCGTGGAATACTATGCAGCCATATAAAAGATGAGTTCATGTCCTTTGTAGGGACATGGATGAAGCTAGAAACCATCATCCTGAGCAAACTATCACAAGGACAAAAAACCAAACACTGCATGTTCTCACTCATAGGTGGGAATTGAACAATGAAAACACTTGGACACAGGGTGGGAAACATCACACACCCGGGCCTGCCATGGGGTTGGGGGAGTGGTGAGGGATAGCATTAGGAGATATACCTAATGTAAATGACAAGTTAATGGGTACAGCACACCAACATGACACATGTATACATATGTAACAAACCTGCACGTTGTGCATGCGTACCCTAGAACTTAAAGTATAATAAAAAATAAAAATAAAAGAACTAGAAAAGAAAAATCAAATCAAACCCAAAATTAGTAGAAGAAGAGAAATAATAAGATCAGAGCAAAAATAAATGAAATTGAAAAGAATACAAAAAAAATGAAACAAGAAGTTAGTTTTCTGGAAAGTTAAGCAAAATTGATGAACCTTTAGCCAGACTAACTAGGGAAAGACAAGAGGAGATCCAAATAAACAAAATCAGAAATGGAAAAGGAGACATGACTACTGATACTGCAGAAATTCAAAGGCTCATAAGTGGCTACCATGAGCAACTATATGTCAAAAATTTGGAAAATCTAGAAGAAATGGAAAAATTCCTAGACACATACAACCTACCAAGATTGAATCAGGAAGAAATCTAAAACCTGAACAGACCAATAATAAGTAAAGAGATTGAAACCATAATAAAAAGTCCCCGAGGAAAGAAAAGTCCAGGGCCTGATGGCTACACTGCTAAATTCTACCAGACATTTAAAGAACTAATACCAATGCTACTCCAACTACTCTGGAATATAGAGGAGGAGGGAACACTTCCAAACTCATTCTACAAGAACAATATTACCCTGATACTGAAAACAGATAAAGACACATCAAAGAAAGAAAACACAGGCCAATATCTCTGATGAATATTGATGCAAAAATCCTCAAAAACATACTAGCAAACCAAGTTCAACAACACATTAAAAAGATCATTCATCATGATCAACTGGGATTTATTTCAGGGATGCAAGGATGGTTCAACTTATACAAATCAATGTGATACATCATGCCCACAGAATGAAGGACAAAAACCATATGATCATTTCAATTGACATTGAAAAAGCATTTGATAAAACTCAATGTTTCTTCATGATTAAAAAAAAAAACCCTCAGAAAACTGGGTATACCACAACACAGTAAAAGCCACATAAAAAGGACTTGCAGCTAGTATCACACTCAATGGGGAAAAAATGAAAGCCTTTTCTCTAAGACCTTGTATAAGACAAGAATACCCACTTTTACCACTGTTATTCAGCATAGTACTGGAAGTCCTAAATAGAGCAATTACACAAAGGAAAGAAAGAAATGGCATTTAAATTGAAAAGGAAGAAGTCAAATTATCCTTATTTACAGATGATATGATCTTAAATTTGGAAAAACCTAAAGACTCCATTAAAAAACTATTAGAACTGATCAATAAATTCAGTAAAGTTGCAGGATACAGAGTCAACATACAAAAATCAGTAGCATTTCTGTATGCCAACAGGGAACAATCAGAAAAAGAAATTTAAAAACTTATCGCATTTATAATAGCCACAAATAAAATTAAGTACCTAGGAATTAACCAAAGAAGTGAAAAATCTCTACAGTGAAAACTATGAAACATTGCTGAAAGAAATGGAAGAAGACACAAAAAAAGGGAAAAGTGTTCTGTGTTCATGGATTGAAAGAATCAATATTGTTAAAATGTCCATACTATCTACAGCAATCTACAGATTCAATGCAATCTCTATCAAAATACCAATGACATTCTCCACAGAAACAGAAAGACCAGTCCTAAAATTTTTATGGAACCACAAAAGACCCAGAATAGCCAAAGTTATTTTGAGCAAAAAGAACAAAACTGGAGGAATCATATTACCTGACTTCAAATTATACCGCAGAGCCATAGTAATCAAAACAACATGGTACTGGCATGAAAACAGACACACAGACCAATGGAAGAGAACAGAGAATCAAGAAATAAATCCACACTCCTACAGTGAATTCATTTTTAACATACACCAAGAACATTCACTGGGCACCAAGAACACATACTTGAGAAAGAACAGTCTCTTCAATAAATGGTGCTGGGCAAACTGGATATCCATATGCAGAAGAATGAAACTAGACCCTTAACTCTCACCATAGACAAAAATAAAACGAAAATGGATTAAAAAGTTAAATCTAAGACCTCAAACTATGAAACTACTGAAAAAAAATTGGTGAAACTCTCCAGGACATTGGTCTGAGCAAAAATTTCTTGACTAATAAGATTGACGGAAACAATCAACAATGTGAAAAGTAAACCCACAGAACGGGAGAAAATATTTGCAAACTACTCATCTGACAAGAGATTAATAATCAGAATACATAAGGAGCTGAGACAACTCTATAGGAAAAAATCTAATAATCCAATTTTAAAAATGGACAAAGATTTGAATAGACATTTCTCCAAAGAAGAATACAAATAGCAAAGAGGCATTTGAAAAGGTGCTCAACATCACCGATCGTCAGAGAAATGCAAACCAACACTACAATGAGATATCATCTCACCTCAGTTAAGATGGCTTTTATCCAAAAGACAGACAATAATAAATGGTGGCAAGGATGCAGAGAAAAGGAAACCCTCATACATTCTTGGTGGGAATGTAAATTAATACAACCACTATGAAGAACAGTTTGGGCCAGGCATGGTGGCTCACACCTGTAACTCTAGCACTTTCGGAGGCTGAGGTGGGTGGATCACCTGAGTTCAGGAGTTTGAGACCAGCCTGGCCAACACGGTGAAACCCCGTCTGTACTAAAAATACAAAAAATTAGCCGGGCATGGTGGTGGACACCTATAATCCCAGCTACTTGGGAGGCTGAGTTAGGAGAATCGCTTGAACCCGGAGAGCAGAGGTTGCAGTGGGCCAAGATTGCGTCACTTCACTCCAGCCTGGGTAAAAGAGCGAAACTCCGTCTCAAATAATAAAAATAAAAAAACTAGTCTAGAGGTTCCTCAAAAAACTAATAATAGAGCTACCATGTGATCCAGCAATCCCACTGGTGGGTACACACCCAAGAGAAAGCAAATCAGCATACTGAAGAAATAGCTGCACTCCCATGTTTGTTGCAGCACTGTTCACAATAGCCACAATTTGAAGGCAACCTAAGTGTCCATCAACAGATGAATGAATAAAGAAAAGGTGGTACATATACACAATGGAGTACTATTCAGCCATAAAAAGGAATGAGATCCTGTCATTTGCAACAACATGGATGGAACCGGAGATCATTACGTTAGGTGAAATAAGGCAGGCACAGAGAGACAAACACTGCATGTTCCAACTTATTTATAGGATCTAAAAATCAAAACAATTGAACTCATAGAGATAGAGAGTAGGATGGTTACCAGAGGCTGAAAAGGGTAGAGAGCTGTTGGTGGGGAGGCAAGGATAGTTAATGGGTACAAAAAAATTAGCTAGAAAAGATGAATAAGACCTAGTATTTGATAGAACAACAGAGTATCTATAGCCAATAATAATTTAATTAGACATTTTAAAATGACTAAAGAACATAATTGGATTGTTTGTAACACAAAGAATAAAAGCTTGAGGGAAGGATACCCCATTTTCCATGACATGATTATTATACATTGCATTCCTGTATCAAAACATCTCATATACCCCATAAATATATACACCTACTATATACCCACAAAAATTAAAAATACACAAAATAAAAAACAAATAAAATATTATTTTCTTTGATTCTTAAGTAATGAAAATGAAATGGGGAATAAATAATTAGCAGCTAGTTAGAGAAGTGCTGTGCTTGAGTCCTTCACATTTTTTGTTTGTTTGTTTTGTTTTGAGACAGAGTCTCACTCTGTTGCCAAGCTGGAATGCAGTGGCGTGATCTCAGCTCATTGCAACCTCTGTTCAAGTCATTCTCCTGCCTCAGCCTCCTGAGTAACTGGGACTACAGGCGCGCACCACCACGGCCAGCTAATTTTTGTATTTTTAGTAGAGACGGGGTTTCACTATGTTGACCAGGATGGTCTTGATCTCTTGACTTCGTGCTCTGCCTGCCTCGGCCTCCCAAAGTGCTGGGCTTACAAGCATGAGCCACTGTGCCAGGCCGAGTCCCTCACATTTTTAAACAAAGTTTTCTATCCTACTATAGTTAAAATGTTCTGATCATTAACCACTTTCTCACCTTAGGTATCTTTTGAAAGTCACCCAACAAGGCAACAGGTCAACATTTTATTTTATTCTTGTTAGAATGAAAACCAAATGTCTCTGTTTTCTGTGCTTGACACTTAGCAGGTAAATTCTCCTTGTCCTCTCTGATTGATTCAAGAATTCTAATCTTAAATCGTTCTGGTGAGTCAGTCCCTGAGTTTTTACAATTGGAGTTTTATTATTCTAAAAACGATAAACATCCTTTTACTCTGAATGCTATTGTAAGTTAAGAAAATATTTATGTAATCAGCAATGAGCACAGAGAATACAAGAAGTCATTAATGACAAGTTATTTTATGTGAGGGATTACAGGAGGGTCAGATTCAGAGCTTAAGTGAAAGTATTTTCCTGTAACTTTTCTCTAAATGAGCACATTAAAGTCAGAGAAAGAACAATGCTTTCACCATAATTCATAGGTTTCTGAAAGCTAAATGACCTTTTAAAAAAATTTTTGGCCCCAAGATGTGATAAAAATGAAAGTGATATTAATACCTATAATGCAGTAATGAATTGTAAATGGCTTAGTAATCTACATCCAGTGCTCACAGATCCTGTCCAAAAGAGCATCTAATCATACAACTGAACCATCCAACAATAGCTCCTTCTACTGGTATCTGAATTCCATATAAAACTGAAAAATTATTCTGGTTATTTTTTAAAAGCTGTTTCTAGAATGAACTTAGTACATTTCTTTGCTGTTTACTGTAGCTAATTTAAAATTCATTCTAACATATCAAACAGTATGTTATAGATCAAAATAAATTCATTATATTAGTCAGGCTGCTCCATTAACTTTACATTTTAAGACAAAGTATTGAACAGTGTGCTTTTTCCTCTCTCCCAGAAGGAGTGTCTGATGGGTCTCAAATTGTGATCTGAATGGAGAATCCAGACCCTTCCAGCTTGTAAGGTATGCTGTATGTCAGTCACACTTCCGAGCACCATCCTAAAACAGACAAATCCAGGTGCTCAAATCCATACCAGAGCTCAGCAACATTCTGGTGCTTGAACTTTACGTCTCATTGCAAAGCAAGGGAGTGAGTGGCGGAATAGCAAGGCCCCTATAGGCAGGAGACTTGGGCATTCATTCTGAGGTTTTTAAGCCCTTCAATTCTTCATCCCTATTCCTCTGTAGTTATTCTGATGATTAAATAAAATCATTTTAAATGTTTTTTAATGCAGCCCAATTGGATCAGGATCTCAGGGGGTTGGACCTGGCTGTCAGCATTATATAAAGATCCCTAGGTAATGTAGGGTTGAGAATCAGTGAGTTAAAGTATCTCTTTGGAGGCTGTTCTCTCCTGTAGCGTTTTTGTCTACAAATATATAGCCACAGAACAGCATGTGGTTAGGGAGACAGACGTACTCCCAAATGGCAAGTTGAGAAAGAACAGGTTATGTGATCAGTCGCTAGGGAAGTCCTGTTCTCTCCCATCATTGCTTCAGTTGTTGCTACCTGGATTCATTATTGAACCAGGTGCTCCTCTTCCTAACTCAGTCACTCAGATACAGTAAATGTACTTTAGGAGTAGTGGCTAAGCCTTTGACGAGAAACCCATGGAAACCACGTAGAAGGGGAGTGGGATTAAGTGCCCTGCGAGTATCCCTGTGGTCCAGACAAGGTTGAGGCCCAGTAGTGGCAGTCTTGCAATTATGGGCAATATAGATTAGGCTGCATAGATGCCCATGATTCAACATGACTCCAGGTAGCAACAACTGAAGCACTGCTGGAAGACAACAGGTCTTCCCTAGCGGACAGATCACGCACTCTGGTTCTTTCACACCTTCGGATTTGGGAGCAGGTCTGTGTCCCTTTGAAATGAACTGAGTCAACCTCTACGATGCTTGGTCAGCTAATGGGCAGCAACTGGGGATAAATGGGGAAAGTGAAGGATGCAAGAGATACTAGATGGATATTTACCGTTTGTTTAATTTATTGTGTAATATATGTTTATGTGTTATATAATCTACAAATTATAATGTGTAGTATAATATACAATATTTTTAAAAGTTATTGAAAAACTTAACTCTAGATACGTTCATCCCTAAAGAATTTAAATAGCATGTCTTTATGGTAGATCTTATTCCATTTAGTAAAACATGTTGGCGGGTCTCTTGATTAGGAAAAGATAGGCCCAAAAGCATCAGCTGGATGATAAATGACTAAGACTGAAAGGAAGAAGTCACTCTGCAATGCATTCCACTTCGTGACTATATCATAATTTATTTATTTTTTCCCTGCTAGTAGACATTTTCATTGTTTCTAATTTTTTGCTGTTATAAATATCTCTCTCCCTCTCATACATACACATACACACACATGTGCTAGTGTTTCTATAGGATAGAGTCAAGCAAGTGAAATTTCAGTGTTACAGGACAGTACTTCCTAACTTTAATCAGCATATAAATGACGACGGATCTTGTTAAAATGCAGATTCCAATTCAACAGATCTAGCCTAAAATTCTCTATTTCTACTAAACTCGCAGGATGCCAATGCTGCTGATTCAAGGACCATGCTTTGAGTAGCAAGATTATAGGAAGAATTTTTATAGTTATTATAGTTATTAAAATGAGGAAGAGTGGGGAAGATTAAAAATGAAAAGTACAAGAGTGAAAAGCAATATTTTTAACACACATATTGTTGGAATTTGGTTTAATGCACATATTACTTTAGTCATTAAAAAACAGAAAATTAGGCATGGGCTGTAAGACAATTTTAATAAACAGCAAGTAGATTAAAATATTTTTTCCACTTCCAGTAATAACCAGGTGGACTTCGTTCATTCCTTTCACTATAAATGAGTTTCCCAATATTACTGTAAGATTTCTGTAGGGATTCTTATTTTTCTATTTTTCCTGCCTGTACTTTAAACTGACCTTTTCAGATTTTTTTTAACCACCCACCCACAGGCTTTTAACTTCCTTTAACCCTTGTTCTTGTTCTTTTCCTGGTGGCCCCAAGTGTGTTCAGCACTTGTAAAAGCCCCTAGAGTTTCCTCCTCTTTGTAAAATGCAAAATTCCTCAGAAGGAGGGTAAATAATAGAATTTCTTGCCTGAGACAATGCCAACTCCTTACAGGATATGTGAAAATCAGGTATGCCAGGAAGCAACCCCAGGACAACTAGGTCAGCTCCATCTTTCTGCAAAACCCTTCAGTGAACGAGCCCGCAAAAAGTGGTTCAAAGAAAGTTACAGATGTTAAATTCATCTTAGGTAACTGATTACATTTTATTCCATTTTTGTCTTTCTTTTTCGCAAATCTCTTTTGTAAATTTGTGTTCACGATTTTTTGTGTGTGTGAAACTGCAAGTTTTTGGAAACCAGGGAAGTTTCAGATAGTTGGGAAAAGTCTCACTCAACGGGCAAGTGAAAAATAGCATCTGACTTTTAGAAATGAAAATCTATGAGAAATATAAGAACCTAAGAAGGGATTTGGAAACATTTTGATATTATAGCAAATTCAGGTTCACCTTAATGACCATTATAACAGAAAAAAATATCGGTGTCAGTAACTAATTTGAAGATTTAATTAATGTACTGACTGGTGTTAGACAACCTGGAGGGATAATTCCACCTAGTTTCTTTGCTTTAAGTTTCTCACATCATTTCTGCAAAGTTGGAATCCTGCCACTCATCCGTTGGTCAGCCCAAATGGGTGACACAATTGCTCCCTCGGTCTCTAGCAAGCAAAGAGGGAGGTGGTGTTGCCAAGACAGAACTCTAACCAATGTCAAAATCAGGAATTGGCTGTTTCATTTCAAGAGTGGTTGTCATTTTATCAGCTGAATCTTGAAAGACTCCAGGAGAAGTTAATAGTTTATGGTTTATAACTGTAAACTAGAACATAGGGGTTTACTGGAACAATAGATTCCACTCATTGATCTTTTGCAAAGACAACATCCCAGCCTTTCTTTGGGCTGAGAATCAAGATTATTTCCCTGGTTTCAAAGACCCACTTATTGAGGCAAAAAGCAGGGCATATTTGTCATTATAAACAAAGATGGCAAACACCAAGCTTGCAGAGTGTGTGTGTTTGCAGATGTGTGCATATGAGTTACAAGCATTTGAAATATGCCTTGCTGGTGCCTTGAAACCTAAAGTAATATGGGAAGAGTACATTCTTTCTGTTTCTTCTCAGGCTTTCTCAATAGAGCTGTGTAACATGATAGCATCAGAACCAAGAGCAGGGTATTACAATACTAGTCAGTAAGTGCTATTATAATGATGCATGTCACAAATAGATTGTGACTGACTTCTGAATCAGTGGCCTTGGTTACACGGTCTTGGGTACTTATATACCATTTGTTTTCCTATTTTACTCCTATTTCTAGCCTCTCGTTAGAGACTGTGCTCACTCTGGCAATGTGATCACAGTTAAACAATTACTCCATGAAAGAATTATACATAGCAGCCTTTCCAGATTCACTGTGAACTCTGAAATTAGAAACTGGGTTTCACCAAAGATGCTATATGCCAGAGTGGCTGCAATAAACTGAAACGATTAGTGCTATTTGCAAACTAAGTGGATGTGTCTTTGTTAAAATTTGATGTTTATTTTTAATATGGTTGCCTGCCCTTCTCTATTTGAACAGTTCATTACACCTTAAATGTAAACCACATGCACACTAGAGCATTTGTGTAATTTTCTGGGGCAAAGAATTTGGGCTGTGATCCAATGCTAAAATATATTACTTTAATATTTATTTGCATCTGTTTGGTATTGTCATGATCCATACAAGACCGAATCATTTTGTCTTTAAAAAGTATAAAAAGTGGGGGGGAAAAGCTCTGTTCACAGACTACTTCTAGTCAAGTGGATTTGAAAATCTTCATTTGAGATTCAGTTTTTCTTCACAGATATTAGTAGCATAAGCTTTGATGAAGAATAGTGTAATGAATGATGAGTTTTAAACAATACTATGGCTGATTTGGTAAAGCTATGTTTTTGGCTTACACAATAGGATGTTTGATCAAATCAACCACAGAGAAGGAAATGGTACTGCAAAAGATGAGTTTCTAATTGAGACAGACAATGAACTGTGCATCAGAAACAGCTGCAGGGAAACATCTCATTGCATTTTTACATGTTTAATATGCTGAATTTCCACATTAGATGGTCACAATTTTGATTCCTAAGACATCCAGGTGCCTTTACATCTGTGTGGTATATTTAGAAAGTAAGAAATATCAGATGGAAAATATTTTATGTTCATAGTATGCCTTTTTTAGTTTTCCCTTATTAATTTCATTATCCTTATATGCTATGTAAATGAGAACAGCTTGTTTAGCAATGACATTTTGTATAAGTTTGGATGTCATAGTTCTTTCCCTTTTCCATGAAAAGGGACATAAACCTTTGTTCTATGGTAAATACCTATATTTACCTGTAGGCAGTATATTAAGAGAAGCCAGGAAACAAACCTTATTTCCCTAAAAATGGTATTTGTTTTAGGCAAGGTAATTCTGGTATCACATATAGACCCAAATCTCACTGACTCCACACTGTAGAGGTTAACGTGGGTGTTTACAGGATGTATCCAACACAGATCAGCAGGCTTTGCTCTATATTCAGTTAGGGCCCAGACTGAGACTACTCCATCCTCTTGTAACATCACCATGTCTTCCACACATGATGTTCAAGATTGCCACATCAGGGGAAAGGAGCATGGAGAACTCACAATCACCCCTATTCCCTTAATTCTGCAGTGAAAAGAATCACTTTCACTCCAAGGACATTGACCGGAACTGGTCTTATGACCTTACATGAAGTACAAGAGAGGCTGGGAAATGTAGAGGAGCAATCTGATATTTGGCAAAGATTACTGTTCCTGCCACAGTTTTTTTTTTTTTAATCTGTGCTCTCAAGGGATACAAAGCACAAATCGATTATCCCCTTCAACAGAACGTATTGTGTGGGGAGCCAGTGTTGTCTTTTTATACATTACCAAATACTGTGTACATAATAAATCCAGTTTTAACTTATTATGAAACTATTACAATTTGTGAGAAACTCTAATGGGAATTTACCGATCATTCACAAAAATTATTTTTCATAATGGATATTTCTCTTGGATTTTATGGGTTATTTCCAAAGTTCTTTTAAATATACATCCAGTAACCCTTTTTGTGCAGAGAGAGACAAACCATAAAATTAGTGAAATTACTGACAATTCTTCTGAACGTTCTCCATAGACACAGAACTTACTATGAGCCATCTTCATAACATGAAATAACGTATGTACTGATATCCATTCTCTCTGGAAATAACTAATTGAAACTTATTCTCCTTACATACAGCTGAAAGCAAGTGTAATCCTGCATCAATCAGTGGACTTGGTGGGAACGGATCAATAAATCCCCAAATCAAGTGACATACACACTGATGTTAGAAATGACCTGAGCTCCAGAAGATACTCAAGAAATTCTAGGCTGCAGTAGGATAAATGGGGAGAGCATGTGATTATCTGAAATGTGCCTCTGGAGGGGACATGAAAAAATAGACCAGGATAACTGAAGTCATTAGCCTGTGTTCAAAATGTTCCTCGAATAGAAAGAAAAAATAAAAACCATGGGATTGATAAAGAAACTTATACTAACCAAAAGAATAAAGAGAGGAAAGGATATGTCAGTCTTCAAGACAGATATACACATGTCACAACTTAAATCCAAATGTCTATATTCATATCTACACAAGGAAGACAAGTTTAGAATGAGGATCTTGTTTACACGTCACTTCTTTAGGCAAATGACTACTTTTTTTAAGCAAAAGGATTTTCTTGCCTTCAAAAATGTTTCAGTGCCATGGAGAGAATGTAAACTGTGTTTGAATTTCCATAACCTCTAAATTTTATGGCAGGGACCCAGATCCTATTAACAGTTTTCTGTTTCAACACCTGTTATCAAATCATAACATTTTAGTTAAACTGGCAAATGATTCTCTTTCACAATGAAACTGTAAATAAACTCTGATTTCGAATCATTTTGGTAATTATTTTCCATACTGAGGACATTAATAGCTGCTTAGTCTTCTGACATGACTTAAACACCCTTATCACATCATTCTGGAGTTGACTGAAGTAAGTTGTGCACATTCCTATCTCTGCCACTGGAACATATGCTTTTTGAAAACAAGGTTAATGCCTTATTCCTCCCTGAATTAGCTCAGCACTCCTTGAATAAAGTTGTTCTCCAGTGAATGCTTACCAAATGCATTATACACATAGTCCAAAGGTGAATAAGATTTGATTGATGTGCCATGGCCAAGTTTGGGTTCAGAATCTCTTGGTGACAGAGACTCTCAAACATCTATCTTTGGAACAAAAAAGAATATCTCAAGCCAAAGATCATTAAGCAGAGTTATGACTTTTGTTGGAAGCTGTTCCTTAGTGATTTCTCATGGGGATAGAATGCCTACCTATTCAGATTAATGTGATTATTAAATGTTATTTTTAAAATGTATAGCTCAGTGCTTGATTCTTTGTGGGTTCTGCACAAAGTAAAATAACATCTAATGAAGTGTATGTTATTCTTACCAAAAGGTATGAAAGTCACAAAGCCTTAGGGAAAATTGTCACAAAAGGGTCTCCAAAGAAAACAGACTACCAAAGCAAAAACAAAAACAAAAAATACAAAAAACAAAACTAAACAAAAAAAACCATGTTGTTAAAGGTCAGGAATCTAAATTTCAATGATCTAAAGGTAACCAAAGTTAAGAAAAGACAAAAGTCAGTTATATCACATGCTCATGCTTAGGAGATTTAAATGAAAACAGGGAGACCAGTAATGAGACGTTCCAGTGATCCAGATCTCAGATGATGGTAGCTTGGAACACAGTGATCACAGTGCAGGTGGTGAGAAGTGGGTGAGCTTGAGATATATTTGAAGGCTGCTGTGGTTTGAATGTTTGTCCCCTCCAAAACCCATGTTGAAATGTAAATTGGTATTGGGAGGTGGCACCTTTAAGAGGTGGTTAGGCTGCCCTCATTGGATGGTTTAATGCCTTTGAAAAAGGGTTTTCATGAGTGGGTTCTCTCTCTTGGCCCTTCCACCTTGTACCATGTGATGAAACAGCAAGAAAGCCCTTAACAAATACCAGCACCTTGATATTGGACTTCCCAGCCTCCAGAACTTTGAGCCAAGATGTCTCTGTTCATTATAACTTTCCCACTCTCAGGTATTTTGTTAGAGCAGCACAAAACAAAGGCAGGTAGAACCAACATGATTTGCTAATGTCTAGAACATGGGATATGAGAAAAAGTAAGGAGTCTTTTAACTTAATAAAGTTTCATTCCTTCAAATGGAAAGACTATAAGGGAAATAGATTTGCAAAGTAACTTAGAAATTCAACTGGAGTATGTTAAATTTAAGAGTTCAGATGCCTGTTCGACATCCAAGTAGAAACATTCACTAGAGAAGTGGATGCACTTTACATACTATCATTTTAATCAAAGTGACCTTGAAAGAGAACTTAATTTTTCAGGTGAATAAGGGCTCAGAGGAAGAAAACAACCGGTCCCAAACTATACAGCCATAACGTAGCAGATATTACATACACATACATAATGTGCTAATATATTTTATATGCACATTTGAGATGTATTGGTCCAATGGTTTCATGCATGTGTGTCTCACAGATCTAAATATGTAGCAAAGCTTCAAAGGCAGGAACAAGGCCTTATTCAATTCCATATCCCCAAATTAGCTAATACAAAACCTTATCAATTGTAGATACTCAATAACAATTGATTTAACTGAATAACTACACACTGTACAAAGAAGAATTTGGAGGCTAGAGGAAAATACAAGCTCTCTCCTGTGCCCCTGTCCCCGTGTAAAATTCTCTCATCACCAACAAACATGCACATACCTTAGAAGCAGACAGGGGGACTATGTGACTCTATCTCTGTGTGGAGAAACTGCTCTCTTACCTCTCTCTTCCAATCCCAGGGTTTATATTGGCTCCCCACTGTTACTTATAAGTAGCTATTCATTAAATTCTTCTCAAATCATCCTACTTGGATTGCTATGTGTTTCCTACTGAAGCCCTGCCTGATACAGGGAGACCTCTATGAAGAGGTCCGGGGGACAGGAGTTGGGTCTTCAGAGGCTACAAGGGAGGGAATTGGGAGAACACATACCCTACTCTTATTCACCATCCTTTGACCCAAATTCTTATTTTATTTTTAATTGACAAATAATAATTGTGCATATTTGTGGGATACAATGTGATGTTTTGATATCTGGATACATTGTAGAATGATTAAATCAAACACATTAGCATATCTGTCATTCCGCATACATATTTTGTGTTGTCAAAAAATTTAAAATCTACTCTGTAAGCAATTTTGAACTATATAATACATTCCATTCTGTGCAATTAATCATTAAATCTCTTTGGCATACTGGCTTCAGTTCTGTTGGATATATACCCAGTAATGGGATTACTACATCATATGTTAGTTCAATTTTAATTTTTTGAGGAACCTCCATATAGTTTTCAAAATGGCTACACCAATTTACACTCCCACCAACACTGTATGAGAGTTCCCTCTTGTCTACATTCTCACCACCACTCATTATCCTTTTGTCTTTTTTATTAGTAGCCATCCTAACAGGTATAAGGTAACATTTCACATGGTTTTAATTTGTATTTCCTTGATGATTAGTGATGTTGAGCACTCTTTTCATGTATCTGTTGGCCATTTGTATGCCTCCTTTTGAGAAATGTCTATTCAGGTCCTTTGCCCATTTTAAAAATCAGGTTGTATGTTTTCTTACTATTGTTTGAATGCTTTATATATTTTGGATACTAACCCCTTATCAGAATATGGTTTATAAATATTTTCTGCCAATCCATGGGTTGTCTCTTCACTTGTTAATTGTTTCCTTTGCTGTACAGATGCTTTCGTTTTGGTACAACTCCTTTGTCTATTTTTGCTTTTGTTGCCTATGCTTTTGGGGTCATATCTAATAAGTCATTTCCCAGGGCAATGTCTTGGAGCTTTTCTTCTATGCTTTCTTTTAATGGTTTTATACTTTCAGATCTTACATGTAAATCTTTATTCCATTTTGAGTTGATTTTTATAAAAGGTGTGAGACAAGGGTCCAATTTTATTCTTCTGCATGTAGATATCCAGTTTTCAACATAATTTATTGAAGAGGATTTCCTTCTTCCATTGTGTGTTTTTGGCACCTTTGTGGAAAATCAATTAACTGTAAATATGTGAATGTTATTTCTGGGCTCTCCTATTCAACAGATTTAGACTCAGATCCTCTCAGTGCTCTTCACAAACTCAACAGGAAGTCAGAGGATGAAAAAGTCTGATTATGGAGAGGGTGCTTAGAGAGCAAAGAAGAGACACCCCTACATACTAGAGTCATTCTTACGCTAAAGCAGAAAGCATCCATGTCTGCATACACATAACTCACTTCACCTTTCTCCCCACACCCCGACTGAGGTGGGTGCTAGAGGCTGAAACATTAACTAGGAATCAGAAAACTGGGCCTCAGTCATTCACTAGCTGTGTTTACTCAATTAATTCCCTCACCCCTATAGAAAAAAATTGGGTTTCGGTTTTCCCATCTGTGGGTCTGTAAAAATCTGTGCTTTGAAGCTTCATTCTACAGCTATCTGCCTAAAATAGCCCCTGGACACTTGAAATGGAGCTAGCACAACTGAGAAACCAAACTTTTAATGTTTAAAAATTTTAATTTTAATTAATTTAGATTAAATAGTCACCTGATGTCAATGGCTACTATATCAGGCAGCACAAATATAGAACATTTCCAAAAATGAAGAAGTTTTCAATGGATAGTGCTATACACTCAGAATGTAGGGACCAGCCCTCACTCCCTGGCCAGCTGACCATGCATCTTAAACAAAGGGCATTCTCCATTCCCCTTCATGCTGCTTCCCTTAGCCCTTCACTTGAAAATGTTAAGAGGAAATTCCCTTTTTATTTGTTTAATGCTTATGTTCCTGCCAGTATGCTTAAATTAAAAACTATATATTAGTATAACTGAATAGTTATATAAATACTTTAGTTAACAATAGTTCAGTTACACTAAAAACTGAATCCCTATAAATATTTCTCCAGTTCTATTCCCCTCCCCCTTTCCATCATGTGACCATCATCTTGACTTGATATTTATCATTTCCAGTCAAGCTTTTAATTTTTACTATATGTGTATTCATAAACAAAGACAGAATTCTTTAAGTGTGCCTACAACCGTAATGTATCTCTCAGTTGACTGGATTCTTAACTGGTAGAGAGTTTTATATCCTTATAAAACATGAATGTTTCCCCAAACCAGATGATATCTGAGCCATGTTTCCAAGTAGCCTACCAATCCAGGGATTGTAAAGTCTGTCTCTGGAGAAAACAGCAAACTTACATTTATTTAAACTCACATATGAAGATCATTCTGGGGTAGGGAAGAGGAGCAGAAAGACACACTTTCAAGAAAGAAACACCACAAGCAAAACAAATCCAGAGAACTGAGGAAATTATCCAATAACTTAGGTAAGTGTTGTTCAGAGGCCTTGCTTTAAGTGGCGCAATCTTTTCTTTGAACACCCAGACCCCTCTGATAAAAGTTTCTCTTCCTACCCCTTCTAACTTCATGGATTTAATCTTAGCCACCTCAAGTGCTCCAGACCCTTCAGCTTTCTTTTCTCTGAAAAGCTTTAATAAATCACCCACCTATTAGGTTGGGTTCCCTGGAAGCAGGTGCTATGATATATATGTCAGTGACTTATTAGGAAGGTGCTCCCAGAAGAAAACAAAAAAGGAAGAGGGAAACAAGATGGGGGCAAGGAAGGAGCCTGATCCCCTGGAGGAAGCCTGCAGAGTAAGTTACTCCTCAGAATTACCTTGATCTTACTAGAGGCTAGGAGTTGGCCTTTCAAAGCCACATCCCTAGCAGTTATTGGCTAAGGGCCATCATCTGGGAGTAGGGTGGAGGTAGGACCTAAACTCCCAGCCAGTTCTGCTCTCTGCACACTCACAAGAAGGCAAAGCAGCTCCTGAAGGATGAGTCTGAGCCATTGGAAGCAAAGACATATCAAAGCCAGGGGAGAGAAGTGCAGAAACGGTAAAAGTGATCCAAGGATGTCAGGGCAAATCTCCAGTGCTGTCTACTACATAGCACCTGCTGGAGTTGATGGATCATTGTATTTCAGTAGTGTGAGCTAATGGAATGATCTTAGAATTTCAGAAATCACCATCTTGAGTTGAAATATCTTTTAATAACTGTACTTCCCAGAAGCCCCTCAAAATCAGACTATAAAAATAGACTTTAAGTAACCATTAAATAAGTCCGGTCTTGACTCAAAACCACAGTGAGCGAGATAACTTAGGTAAAAGTTGTTCTGTCTCCTTTTTACATGTAATGACATATGGTCTCATTTCATTTATCAAGCCAATATTCATCCAGCTATATCTCAAGGTAACCTTGGTGCAATCTTCACTTAGCACTTTGGGGCCATCTCCAGTGACAGAACTGTAAACCAACAGCCTTATTTCCTTGCCTCCATGAACATGCACATGACAAGAAGGCAGCTCAGCCCAGGTTCATTCAATATTCTTTGCATGTTGCCCTAAACACGGCTTTCTCCTGGCACCAGGAAGCCCAGTGACCTAGTAAAATCCAAATGTGGTCTTTATAAAGAACAAGCCCCCATGTAATATCCAATATGTTAGGGAAGAGATCTAAGATAATAAAACTGAATGAGTACAATGAGGTATTCATCTACTTACCATCCATGGGGATGTGTGGGCTGACAGCTTTGGGCTGTTGCAAAATCCATTGAGTTAAGTGGGAGTGCCATAACAGGTTAAGTTCCAATCAAACCTCTCTGGGAATTGTCTGTGCAAATTCACAAGCTGGATTACCAATGAACGTGCATTTTCAAGATACATAAGTGAATTGGCATGCTGTAACTGGGTGCCATCTTATGGAAACTGGTATGCATCCACCCCACAAGAGTTATTTTGTCACAGACCCAAGAAATACTTCATGGTAACTTGGAGAGAAAATGTTTGCCAGGACTTGAAGCAGAGACACCTCTTAGTCATAACTCTGTCTGTAGTCTATCCCAAATGCTCTCAGCATAGTTAAAACATCATGTCCTGAGCTGAACTAAGAAGAGGCTAGAGGGAGGTATATATCGGTAGCATAAATAATACTGCAGCTGAGTGGAGGGAGAGGAAGAGAGAGGAGAAACAGAGGGTTAAAAAACAAGCTTATCTTCAGCTCTCCTGCCCTACTCTCTGTTCCACACTCCCTGAATGATTTTTAGTCTTTATTGTTTTTAATTTTTAATTGCGCATCTTGTAAAGGCATTTAAAGTATACAGAAAAGTAAGTAACAGATACCTAGGCACCCATCATCACTGTTATGCCAGTCTCCTTGCTTCTTGTTTATAGTGTTATGTATTATAAGTATTGGTTTGATGTAATTTTTATGCTTTATGTTTTTTAATCTTATTTAAGAGATCTTTTTCTATCATAATATTATAAAAAAACTTTCCTGTATTTTCTTCTAAATGCTTAACTGTCGTTCTTCTCACATTTTGGTGTTTAACCCATCTGGAATTTATTTTCATATGTTAAAAAGGGATATGGCTTGTATAATTTTGAGCAGCCTACTCTTCCTCCACTGTTTGTCATACACCTATGTCATATACTTTATCCCATGTATGAATAAGTCTGTTACTTGGTCTTCTTTTACTGTTTCTGGTCTGTTTGTGTATTTCTGTGTCATTATCATACTGTTTGTATTTCTAGACTTTACTGTAAGTTTTGTGCCAGGTAAGTCAAATGCCTGGTCTTCTTTATTTAAAAAAAAAAAAACTTTTATTTTAGATTCAGGAGGTGCATGTGCAGATTTGTTACCTGGGTATATTGCATGATGCTGAGGTTTGACGTATGAATGATCCCCTCACTTAGGTACTGAGCTTAGTACCCAATAATTAGTTTTTCACCCTTTGCTCCACTCCCCAGTACTCCCTAGTGTTTTATTGTTGCCATCTCTATGTCCATGATTACCCAATGTTTAGCTCACACTCATAAGTCAGAACATGCAGTATTTGGTTTTCTGTTCCTGCATTAATTTGCTTAGGATAATGGACTCCAGCTGCATCTCTGTTGTTGCAAAGGATATGATTTCATTCTTTTTTAATGGTTGTGTAGTATTCCATGGTGTGTATGTATATCCAGTCCACTGTTGATAGGCACCTAGGTTAATTCCATGTCTTTGCTATTGTAAATAGTGCTGCAACGAACATGTAAGTGTATGTGTCTTTTTGGTAGAAAGATTTGTTTTATTTTGGATATATACCCAGCAATGGGATTGCTGGGTCAAATGGTAGCTCTCTTCTAAGTTCTTTGAGAAATCTCCAAACTGCTTGCCACAGTAGCTGAATCTACATTCCCACGAACAGCGTATAAGCCTTCCCTTTTCTCCACAGCCCCACCAGCATCTGTCATTTTATGACTATCTTCTTAAGATTCTTATGGTTATTTTGGCCCTTTGCTTTTCAAAAAATAAAAATAGGAGTTTGTGACATTCTACTGTAAATTTGATTGGGGTTTCATTGTAATTATAGGTTAGTATGGGAAGACAATGCTGTCCATACAGCATTGATTCTATCTCTAAAGAAACAAGGTGTATTTTCCCTTTTACCCAAGTCTTCTTTTATGTGTTTCAAATATGAAACTTTAGGTTCATAATTTTCTCCATCTTTTGTTAGATTTATCCATAGGCACATTACTTTTATTTTTGTTGTTAATGGCATCTTATTTTTAATTTCTGTTGTACTTACTCACTGTCCATCCATAGAAAACAATTTTTATATATTGACCTTGTATCCAGCAACCTTAGAAACTCTTATCAGCTCAAATAGTTTATGAAACCTCTTCTATCTCCTATACAAACAATAATAAGTGAAGAATAATGACTGTTTCTTCCTCTCTAGTATTTATCTTTTTTCTTTTCTCATCTTGCTACAATGCCTCAGAGAAGGTAGATTAGAAATCGTGATAGTGAGCATAGTTTTTTGTTTATTGATTTTAATAGAATACTATTAATAATTTACCATTAACAATGATGTTTGCTGTAGATTTTTAATAGAAGTGCTTAATTAAGTTCCACACTTACTCAAAGTTTTCTAGGAGTATTTCCTAATAAACATAGTTTTGAATAGTATAAATGGTTTTTATTCATTTATTGGAATTATCATAAACTTTTTTTATTTTAAAATGTTATTGTGGTGTTTGTAATGGTAGATTTCATTGAGGCTGAAATCTTCTTATATTAATTGGATAAAAATTTCTTTGTCATGAAGATAAATTTTTGACTATACTCCTGAATTTGTCAGATTTTATCGTTTTTTCAATATTTGCAAGTAAAATTGGTTTATATTTTTTCTTATATTGTTCTTGACCATTTTTTAAATAAAATAATACTAGCTTCTTAAATTAGTTGGATATTCTCTCTTTTTCTATGTTCTGAAAGAGTTTGTGTATTACTTTTCTTGACATTTTAGTACCAATCACCTGAAAACCATCTAGGTCTAATGCGTTTGGTATCTAGAAATTTTGCTACGAATTTGATATACATGATAATTATAGATTTACTTAAGCTTTCTATTTTTTTTTTTTAGTCAATTATGGTAAATTTCCTTTTCCTAAGAAATTGTCTGGTCTATATTTTCAAATTTATTATTATAAAGTCATTCTATAGTATTATCTTACAATTCCTTTAATCTCTAATTGTAACAATATCCCCATTTTCATAACTAATATCATTTATCAGTGTAATATAATGTAGTATTTGTGCTTCCATATTTAGTTTATTTTTATTCTTTCAAAGAATGAGCTTTTGGTTTTATTAATATTCCTTTTTATTCCTGTGCTCTAATTTATTATTTTTTATTCTTATCTTGTAGTTTCCTTCATTCTGTTTTTTTGGATTTATTCTGTTTTTGTTTTTCCCATAACCCTCTTATTTGGATGTAATTATTACCTTTTAGTCTTTCTTCTCTAATACGGGCAATAATGCTGCACATTTACCTCTCAGTGCCACTTTAGCTGCATCCAACAGCTTTTATGTTCAGTGGTTTCACCGTTATTTAGTTCTCAATATTTTCTCATTTCCTGATTTATAATTTTATTTTTTCTCTCACTCATACATCATGTAGAAGTGTCTTCTTGTGTGTCCAAATGTATAGAAAAGAGGATTTGTTTTCTCTTTATCACTGTTCAGTTCTACTTTTATTTCATCTGATCAGAGTAAATGATCTATGAAATGATTTTGTTTTTTATTTGTGACCTAGTATGTGGTCATTTTTTTTTTTGGGTGAAATCATTTGATTTTTATATGCAAATGGAAAGAGGGAGAATAATTTTACATTGTTGATTTTTACCTTCATTGGAATCCCTTTAACATTTCTGTCACCATACTTTGTTCACTTTGTAAGTAAAGGAGACTTCATGGACCGCCCCTTCCCACTTTATAAAAAACTTTCCTTTTGTGAAATATAATATGCATACCGAAAAGTTCCCAAACATAAAAGTGTAACAACTAAATAGGTTGGTGCAAAAGTAATCGTGTTTTTTTGCCATATAGCAAAAACCGCAATTATTTTTGCACCAACCTATAGCAGAAGGTGACCACTTATGGAATTACTATTCCAGCCTGGTCAGGGAACTCTCTCCCATCTCCCTGGCCATCAGCATCCTGACTTTTTTTTTTATTATTATACTTTAAGTTCTAGGGTACATGTGCATAATGTGCAGGTTTGTTACATATGTACACGTGTGCCATGTTGGTGTGCTGCACCCCATCAACTCATCATTTACATTAGGTATATCTCCCAATGCTATCCCTCCCCCCTGCCCACAACCCATGACAGGCACTGGTGTGTGATGTTCCCCTTCCTGTGTCCGAGTGTTCTCATTGTTCAATTCCCACCTATGATTGAGAACATGCAGTGTTTGGTTTTTTGTCCTTGTGATGGTTTGCTGATAATGATGGTTTCTAGCTTCATCCATGTCCCCACAAAGGACATGAACTCATCCTTTTTTATGGCTGCATAGTATTCCATAGTGTATATGTGCCACATTTTCTCAATCCACTCTATCATTGATGGACATTTGGGTTGGTTCCAAATCTTTGCTATTGTGAATAGTGCCGCAATAAACATACGTGTGCATGTGTCTTTAGAGCAGCATGATTTACAATCCTTTGGGTTTAGACCCAGTAATGGGATGGCTGGGTCAAATGGTATTTCTAGTTCTAGATCCTTGAGGAATCGCCACACTGTCTTCCACAATGATTGAACTAGTTTACAGTCCCACCAACAGTGTAAAAGTGTTGCTATTTCTCCACATCCTCTCCAGCACCTGTTGTTTCCTGACTTTTTAATGATTGCCATTCTAACTGGTGTGAGATGGTATCTCATTGTGGTTTTGATTTGCATTTCTCTGATGGCTAGAGATTACGAGCATTTTTTCATGTATCTGTTGGCTGCATAAATGTCTTCTTTTGAGAAGTGTCTGTTCATATCCTTTGCCCACTTTTTGATGGGGTTGTTTGTTTTTTTCTTGTAAATTTGTTTGAGTTCTTTGTAGATTCTGGATATTAGCCCTTTGTCAGATGAGTAGATTGCAAAAATTTTCTCCCATTCTGTAGGTTGCCTGTTCACTCTGATGGTAGTTTCTTAGGCATTGATAGGACGTATCTCAAAATAATAAGAGCTATTTATGACAAACCCACAGCCAATATCATACTAAATGGGCAAAAACTGGAAGCATTCCCTTTGAAAACTGGCACAAAACAGGGATGCCCTCTCTCATCACTCCTATTCAACATAGTGTTGGAAGTTCTGGCCAGGGCAATCAGGCAGGAGAAAGAAATCAAGAGTATTCAATTAGGAAAAGAGGAAGTCAAATTGTCCCTGTTTGCAAATGACATGATTGTATATTTAGAAAAACCCCATCGTCTCAGCCGAAAATCTCCTTAAGCTGATAAGCAACTTCAGCAAAGTCTCAGGATACAAAATCGATGTGCAAAAATCACAAGCATTCCTATACACCAAAAACAGACAAACAGAGAGCCAAATCATGAGTGAACTCCCATTTACAATTGCTTCAAAGAGAATAAAATACCTAGGAATCCAACTTACAAGGGATGCGAAGGATGTCTTCAAGGAGAACTACAAACCACTGCTCAACAGAATAAAAGAGGACACAAATAAATAGAAGAACATTCCACGCTCATGGGTAGGAAGAATCAATATCGTGAAAATGGCCACACTGCCCAAGGTAATTTATAGATTCAATGCCATCCCCATCAAGCTACCAATGACTTTCTTCACAGAATTGGAAAAAACTACTTTAAAGTTCATGTGGAACCAAAAAAGAGCCCTCATTGCCAAGACAATCCTAAGCCAAAAGAACAAAGCTGGAGGCATCTCACTACCTGACTTCAAACTATACTACAAGGCTACAGTAACTAAAACAGCATGGTACTGGTACCAAAACACAGATATAGACCAATGGAACAGAACAGAGCCCTCAGAAATAATACCACACATCTACAACCATCTGATCTTTGACAAACCTGACAAAAACAAGAAATGGGGGAATGGATTCCCTATTTAATAAATGGTGCTGGGAATACTGGCTAGCCATATGTAGAAAGCTGAAACTGGATCCCTTCCTTACACCTTATACAAAAATTAATTCAAGATGGATTAAAGACTTAAATGTTAGACCTAAAACCATAAAAGCCTTAGAAGAAAACCTAGGCAATACCATTCAGGACATAGACATGAGCAAAGACTTCATGTCTAAAACACCAAAAGCAATGGCAACAAAAGCCAAAATTGACAAATGGGATCTAATTAAACTAAAGAGCTTCTGCATAGTATGTGGTCATTTTGAATTAAAGTTTTCTGTATGTTTTTGAAGAATGTACATTCTTGAATGCAGAACGCTACGTTCCATATAGATGATCTATTACCACATGGTCCATCATAATTGTATTGTTTTAAAATTCTATATTTTTTTCCTAAATGGTTCTAATTTTTTAAAATGTATTAGAGTTTTATGTGTCGAGGTATTTGTCACATTCTCCTTGTAATTCTGCTAACTTTTGGTTTATATACTAACCCCAAGCATCAAAATAAACTTATTATTACTAGCAATTATATAAGTGTTGCACTTTCTTTTCTATGAGTTCAACTCTATATTTGTGATATTCTAAATACTTTAACTTTTCTAAGTGGAAAACCAAAAGAGTTTTCATTATTTTTTTAATTTGCCATATTTTCAGAAGCAAAAAAATGTAATTGCAAAGAAGGACAGAAGGAAGGGAAAGAAGGAAAAGAAAGAAGACATTCTGAAAGATGGATGGGTCTTGTATATTCCTCTGGCCTGTCTTTGGTCTAGGTATTTTAAAAGTTCCACTGTGTTATCCCACAGTGACAAGGATATAACCGAGAATTGGGAGCCTTCCCCATCCATTTCATGTATGTCATTCCTCCTTTTCTACACTGGAACAGAGAGCCATCCCCACATAGGACTGGTGGGGGAGCAATTTCTATTACACAATAAGAGCAACTAGACTATAGGCAAAGTGTTTTGATATAGCACATGTTGGGGGCCATCTACTGTACCTGCTAACCTAATTAGTTCACATTTGAGGCTTTCAATAAAAGGACACTCTTAGGAGGCTTCTGCTGGGTTTTTCTTTTCATGTGTGCTAATTGTTATACCTACAATCACATAATCAACCTCTTGGGTTGCGAGGAAAAACAAGGGTGTAAGTGGTTAATTGCAAATGCAAGTGGCCCATTGCTTGTGCAATCAGCAGACCTCCAGCATACTAAATTGGGTGCCCAGTTGTAGCGTAAATATTCTAAGTAATAGAGGTTGTCCTTTTAAAACTGACTTCACAAGTTCACTTGCAATTTTCTCCAACTCTTCAAGCCTTTGCAACTCTCCTATAAAAGGCATACACAAAAACTGAAACAAAAAGATCATGGTCACTGGCACACTTCATGATTTTATTCCTTGGACTTTTCAAACTGTGCCTATTGTGTATTCAAACCAGAAGTTTTAAAATAAAAATGAACTGCAATAGATAAAGTTTGCATCCAGTTGTAATATTTTAATGCTGTAGTACAGTTCAATTACGTCTTTCAAGCATAAGAGCTGTTTTCAGTGTTATTTGCTAAATTTATCACACCAAATCCAAAATGAAAAACAGTAGTTAGCCATAAACACTGAGCTAATGGTATTCTTTCCACTCTAGATCTAATGAAGCTTAAACCCACACAATGGGAAATAATTTAACAACAATGTTTACTTAGATGATTAGCCTGGTGCTCTGACCCATATAGTGATGTATAGCAATGTTATAAAGTGAATATCTTCCAGATGGATATTAAAGTCCCCACCTCATTCATTCCAACAGTGAAACTGACAGATGGAGGTGGCAAAGCTGGCTTATTTCTCTTAAATTTACCCCAATAATATATGAATTCACTAAATCAGTTTTAACCTCCTCTAAAAGAAATTTTATAGGGTACCTGTAGGAAATTATTTTCAAAAATATGACACACCTGACTAATTTTTGTATTTTTAGTAGATATGGGGTTTCACCATCTTGGCCAGGCTGATCTTGAACTCCTGACCTCGTGCCTCAGCCTCCAAACGTACTGGGGTTACAGGCGTGAGATTAGCTGAGCACGGTGGCAGGCGCCTGTAATCCCAGCTACTAGGGAGCCTGAGGAAGGAGAATCGCTTGAACCCAGGGGGCAGAGGTTGCGGTGAGCCAAGATCGTGCCACTGTACTCCAGCCTGGACAACAGAGTGAGATTCCGTCTCAAAAACAAAACAAAACAAAACAAAAAACATGACATACCATACCAACAATTTGTAATTGGGTTCCAAAAATTAGTGTGATTAGCTAGGACTTGCATAAAAGTTTGGGCTCTTTTATATGAACTTGGAAAAAGCAAAATTTTATGAAGTCTCAGTTTCCCCATCTGCAATATAGGAATTGTAATCCATAGCCTAATCCTCCAGAAAGAGTGATTTTTTTGTTCACATTAAAATACTAGAAAGAATAAGTTGTTGATCTGTTATTTATGGGAATTATTTAACACGGAAGTAAAGCATGGATTGTTAGGAAACCATGCCTCAGTTAGATTGCAGTTGCATGTTTACAATGAACTTTCAGCTTATGACTTGCCTTATTTGGTTAACAATTCCAACAGCCACACGTGAAGGGACCTCGTTTGAATAGGTATGTGGACCTATTTCCCTTATATTTTTTGCAGATGTTTTAACTGGCAAAGTAAGGCATCATGGAGCCAGCAGTATAGAAATAAGCTGTGATTTTACCTGACCCAAGATCACCTAATCCCACTCTCCTTCTTTTCCTACCCAACTTCAATTTCCAGGTCAAGTTCAGAGTTTCATTCAGTGTGAAGTGGCGTGCCCAAGAGCCAAAGGGTATTAAATAGCCCAGGAAGGATCCCACTCATGAATCCTGTCTTACTGTGGGATCAATCTTTTATTTGAGCTGGAAGGCATCTTTGATTTCATATTATCTTCAGAAGTTTATGATATTAAATTCATCAAACAAATCCCAGATGATTAGAACTGACAATCTAAACGCTGCTTTTAAGAATCAATTCTCAAAATAGCTTTGCATTAAAATAAAATTGCAATTTATTTATTCAATTTTCCATCCTTTTCAAGGATTTCTTTCACCTTCACCATGACATAAATAAAGTCTTCAGGCACTAGTGTTGGAAATAAAAATCTCTTCATAAACTAAGAGGCTAAGGAGTTAATGCCTATTAAGGGGTTCTTTTAAACTGGTCACATAACGAGGTCAATACTTGACTCCAGAGGCATGAGTCATTAGTACATCAGGCTCAGGTATCATAAGAAGAAGGCTCTTGCTACTGCCCCTGGAATCACACCAGACAGGAAGGACAGGGAGCTACTTTTCATTGTGGCACTGAGAACTGGGCTCAAGACAAATCCACCAGCACCTCAAATTTTCCCTTTCTTGCAGTGTTAGTAAAAATGCATGTCCTGTGTCAAGACAGTCTTTGGGAAATCATAAAATGTGGTACAAAAACAATATGATGAATTCATTTTGATATCTCACCTTCTACTTTTAGCCCATAAATATCAGCTTGTAAACATCCCAGCATGATAAAAATCTGTTTTTGTACTTTTACAAAGTAATCTACTCAATCAGCGATCCTGGCCAGCTCCCTGCAAAAAATTCATGCTCTGATAAACTCAAAAGGGTGTATTGGCCATTAATCCTGTAGCTCTGCTTGCCCTTTGATATTTCTGTAGCAATTCTCCTTCTACTCATGAGGAAATCACCCATTTTACTGTGTTTACTACTATATGATCAATTTACAGGATCTGTTTCTAACCAGGTACCTCACATTATAGTTATTTCCTCCAAAGCTTATCTACTTGCAACATAATAGGGTTATACATTAGGAGAGAATAACTTCCTATTTTTTTCTTCCTATATCACAGAGCAAAAATAGAATATAAGCAAAGACATGTTTACAGTATAGCTTTATGTAAGAGGCTGGCTGATGTTAATGTTTTGATAGGTTTCAAAGAAGATAGAGATCAAATGCCATGTACCATGTCCCCAGCTACCCAGCATGCTCCATGAGCACTAATCTGAGATAAATCAATAATATGGAGTACAGAACATACAGGGCAGGAGAGGTGGTTCCTCTTCTCAGGGAAGAGGCAGTTCTGAGGGCATGTAGTTAAGGCTGAAATTCAACACAGACCTGCATCTGTGAGTAAGGGCCCCTCTCTGAAAGAATCTAGGAAGGACATGTTCTCAGAAGTTATGGATGGAGGCATCTAGGAAGGTCAGAAGAAAACCTGGTCATGAAGCAGGAAAGTCCTTGCGGATTGCTGCAAAGGATTTCCAGAAACCAAATCTAGGGAAGACAGAAAACAAATGCGGGAAGATCGGTCTCTCTAACCATCATCTGATGTTTTTAGAGAAAATGGCAGAGAAACATCCAATCACCAGCACCAAGTACCTGTGTTTTACAGAGGGAATGGGGAGAGCTGTTTTATGTGGAAAGTCAGTTAAATTAGAGTGGTTTAAGGATGGCTTCTTTGGATAAATGGAAAAGAGAGTTGCCTTGAAGTTTCCTAAAAATTCTCTTTGAATTCTCTCTCACCTTCTCCCAAATAGCTTCTCATTTCAACGCCTGTCCCAATTATCTCTCTCCCAAAATTCCTCCAGCCACTCCCATCTTGTCTCCCTTTCTCTGATCACTTTCTCTGTTCCTCTTCTCTTCATCACAAAGCTGCTCATATTTTCCCAGTGCATCCTTTCATTCCTTAGCTAGAAAACTGACCTTAAGTCAATTTAATCTCTTGATCCACCCCAGTAACATTCTTATATATTTCACTATTCATAAAACAAATGCTTATAGAATCTTGAACTTTTTTCAGAAAAATGAAATAGCAATGAGTTAGTCAAAACCTGCAGTCTCTCAATCATACTTTTAGAAACCTCCATTTATTCTGCCATGGTACATCTTTTTAAGAATCTTTTTTTTTCATTTATGCATTCACTGACTCACTCACTTGCTCTATCAAAAATTAATTTAACAAATATTAATATT
The DNA here is from genome assembly GCF_000001405.40 of Homo sapiens. Classification (NCBI taxonomy): domain Eukaryota; kingdom Metazoa; phylum Chordata; class Mammalia; order Primates; family Hominidae; genus Homo; species Homo sapiens. Next base: position 220,354,536 of record NC_000002.12, on the reverse strand, counting down.
TTTATTTACAGAGGAACTCAGAAGCCAGAAAAAATGACCAAGACACAGTCTCCATCTTCAAAAGGTCACAGTCCTTCAGAGAAGACAGACAACTAAATAAATTCCAGCTGACTATAATGTAAATATGTATAGAATCATATGGAAGCATACAAGAAAAAGCAATGATTTACTTGACAGACAATGGAAATTTCAAAGCAAAAAAGTATATTTCATATGGTTATTAGGGGATGAGCACAACTTTGTCAAGCAGACAAAGGAATAAAAAATTGCAAATAACAATTATTGAGCTCATTGGTGCCAGAAACTGTGCTAAGCCCTTTCCACAGATCATCTTATTTAATCCTCTCAATAGCCCCAATGAGGAAGATGTTTTGATTATCTTTACCCAACAGATGATGAAACAGGCTTAGAAAGATGAGTAACTTGCCCAGGAGGGCATTCCAGGCATGGAGAAACATGCATGCAAGGCACTATGTGTGAATAAGTAGGAGGAATTAGGGAAACTATAGCAGTTTAATTGCTTAGGATGCAATGCAGGAGGAATCCTATGGGAAAAAGGCAAGAAGTTGAGATAAGGACCATATGTGCAAAAGCTATATCTAGAGTTTGAAATAAATCTATTAGGCAGCATGGAATACTTGGATAATTTTCCCTCTCTTCCACCATTATGTTTATAGTATAAGGAAGAGGTGGATGCTCCCCACCTCCATAGATCTATCCTGCTGCTTCTTTGCTCTGCTAATTAATTGCTATGGTAGGATGTGAGGGCTGAAACACAGATGCCCTCCCTCTCCAGGGTGCTTGTCTTAAGCTACAATAACTATAATTTGGGTAACTCAAGCTTTCCACAGCTTTCCACTAGCACAAAACTCTGATAAAGAGAAGGGATTATAGTCACAGGGATTCCTTCAGCAGTAGAAAGTTTCCACCCTCAAGGACCACTTGAAGCCATAAGTTCAAGGCTAGCCTGGGCAACATAGTAAAACCCCATCTCTACAAAAAAATTAAAAAATACAAAAATTAGTGGAACATGGTGGTGTATGTCTGTGGTCCCAGCTACCCAGGAGGCTGAAGCAGGAGAATTGCTTCAGCTCACGAGTTGAAGGCTGCTGTGAGCTATGATTATGCCATTGCCCTCCAGCTTTAGTGACATAGTGAGACCCTGTCTCAAAAAATAAATAAATGAAAGAAAGAAAGAAAGAAAGAAAGAAAGAAAGAAAGAAAGAAAGAAAGAAGGAAAGAAAGAAAGAAAAAGAAAAAGTTCCCACCCTCTATATTCTGTTCAGAAAGAAATCCTGCTGGATGAGAATGGTTCTAGGTAACCTTCTTGCTTAAAGTCATTTGGGACATTTTCAAGAGAGAACAAGACTTCCAAAATCTAGAGATTCTTCAATGCAGTCAGCTAAATTCTGAGCAGAAGGGGTACATCATTTTCCTGGTTTGCCTTGGCTTTGACATACAAAAAGCTTTTAGGTGGCTCTTGCCTCAAGGCAATATTTGGATGTTCAAATCATTCAGCATAAAGAGAAATTTAGGTATGTCAAGCAAATATCATGGTCTCTTAATCATCTATAATAATAAATTTTAAAAACATAATTAGAAATACTTTTCAGTTAATAAATTCAGCCCTCGGAAGGCACTCCTTCAAAACAGTAAGGGAACTGATGTGAATGCCTACTATGATCTAGGCAGTAGGAGAGAGAAAGGAAGAGAATAATAAAAGGACAGTAAAACACAAACAGAAACAACTGCATTGCTGGGTGATCGGTGCATTGTGACAAGGGAGTTGCAATGTACTTTGAGAATTTAGACAAAGGAGAAAGCACTTCTCTTTGTTGAACATTTTTTCTTTCCCAGAACTTGGTAATAAATAGCAAACTGAGTGCTATTGGGATATCGCTTCTGCTTCTTCTCCACAAATGGAAGGTATATAAAATTGAAGCAAAGTAAATGAATACTCCACAAATTGAAAAGTGTGAAACTGACTGTGTGTCTGTTTCCCAGTGTATTTGGACAAATAAATGCATTACCGCCACTCTTGCATCACAATAGTTTTGGATCTATGAACAATTCATATTTTCCTGGACCTTGTTGGTCCTTGTCCCATCAGCTAAAGTATGGCCCAGGCTAAAGCAAATAATTATGACAATAAGTGTTTCCAGGAATTCCCATAGGTTGGCAAACTAATTTGGAAAAAAAAAAAAAAACTCTGTCAATCATCATATATTGGCCACTTTTTTCCTATTCTGCTCTATTTCCTCCCCTTGAGTCCTTGCTCAAAATCACATAGTTAATAAGTAATAGAGCCAAGTCAAGACTCAAATCCAATTTTGTTGGATTCTGAATCTAATGCTTTTAACCAGACTGGATTCTCATTACCTATTCTCAAGAAAGAACAGGTCTTGGTAAAATTAGTATATTTCTAACAGTAATGATCCAGAAGACATTGACCATGTCCTTATGAGTTTTTAAACCTTGAATATTCTGATGTTCAGCTAGAAAAAGGAAGTGAAAGGCCAATATGTAAGTAAACACCACTACATTCACTCATGCACGTATCTTATTTACTTACTTGATTTATTAATTCCTTTTAATTATTCATTCAACATATATTTATTGTACATCTATGAACTGAATACTGCTTTAACTGTGTATATATTGGGAAAAGGACAGACTAGCCACTTGTATTCTTGAAGTTTACAATGGAACAGAAATCAATGTCCTCTAAAAAGCATCCTTTCCTTTATCCATCCTGTAGGTCACCAGGCTCATATTACCAAAATTATCAGTGATTTGACAAAAACAGCACAATCTTTCCCATCTTTCAAGAGCCCTGGTGTGATCCTAATCTAACAAGCCATCTGTAAAGCTGTTACTGAAATAATCATGCCACTTTAAACAGAAAGTCCACTGGATAGGGAGAAAAGAGAAATATAGATTGAATCTCATCTCTGCCACTATTAACTCTGGAAACTTAAATAAGTTAACTTCTTTAAGCCCGAATTATCTCATGTACTAAATTGGGAGAGGGAATAGATTTAGATTCAATGAGTTTAAGAATTCCTCTTTGAACACCTAATATATGTCTGAATTCCACTAGGTATTTCCACATATTATATGTTATTTAAACCTTATTATAATGATCAGCAAACCGAAGGCAAATGATGTTAGCTTGAATAAAGTTACATAGCTACTAATTGGCGTAGAGTTGGTTTGAACACAGGTGTCCTGATTCCACTTCAAGACTTGACCAGATGACCACAAAGTACTCTTCCAGCTCAAAAACTCCATTCCTGTTACCTTTACAGTTTTATCTCTACTTCTCATCCACTCAGAGCCAACTCTTTAGTTAAAGTTGACTTCTGTTTCCCAAGCATGTTTTCCTTTGCTTATGTAGCCCACTTTTCTCTCTTAAAAAAAAAGTCTTATGCCATTGAGCCAGTTAAAGTCCAAAACAATTGAAGTTCAAAGGAATCCATGTCCAAATTGTATTCTTTTACCTTGTTCAGTCAAACAAAATTAAATCCTAGAATTCATCCTTGTATTAGTCTGTTTTCACACTGCTGTAAAGAATGGCCCGAGACTGGGTAATTTATAAACAAAGAAGATTTAATTGACTCACAGTTCTGCCTGGCTTGGGAGGCCTCAGGAAACTTATAATCATGACAGAAGGCAAGGGGAAGCAAAGACTTTCTTCACATGGCAGCAGGAAAGAGAAGAGCAAAGGAGAAACTTCCAGACACTTATAAAACCATCAGATCTCCTGAGAATGCACTCATTATCCTGAGAACAGTGTGGGGGAAATAGCCTCCATGATCCAATCACATCCCTTTCTCGACCCATGGGGATTACAGGTCCCTCCCTCGACACATGGGGATTATAATTTAAGATGAGATTTGGGTGGGGACACAGAGTCAAACCATAGCAACTCTCTTCCAGTTATTCTCTGTCTTCACCAATGGGGTTCCATTAGTTCCCTTTAACAGCAACAGCTTGGGATGTCTCCTTCAGACTTGAATGTGGTTCATTCAAAGCCTTTGAAGTTATATCAATCTAATGCAAAGCTTAGATGAGCTTCATGTTTTAAAGCATCCTAGGAGTTAATAAAGCTTCCAAGAAAATCCACCCACCAAACTTGGAGAGAGCCAATCTCTAACCCCTAAAGGAGCTGCCTGAGACAAAATTATGAGCTGAGAACATAGCATTGCCAAAACCATAACAGTGACTCAGTGGTATCTGAGTGAAGAAGAGCAAGGTGTAAGCATTTTTTTTTTAGCCAAAGTATGGCTATCAGTTGCCTAAAATCCACGATCTATGAAGTTCAGTGAGCAGACACCTACCAATGTGGGTTAATATTTTACGTGTTCCCTGTATCCCACACTTCTTAATTTCTCCCATACACTCTTGCCTTCTGGTACTGCCCTGAGTCTGGCCTCTATCTAATCATAACATCCACCCTCTTTTGACCAGGAATGTTCAGTCTTTGTCATATGGGCCACTTCCATGCCTCTCTTACAGAATTACTTAGCCCAAGGAAATCTGCCTGCCAGAGAAGATATTTGACTTCATTCCCACATTTGTTTCAGCTGAAGTTCCCCCTTCCCCCATGCCCCACAAATGGATCCCTGAACTGAAGCTTTAATGCTATTTTCATGCCCAGGCTCTCAGGGGCCTAGTCCAGACCCTTTGCCCCATGCGTTCTTCAAGACACTGGCTTCCTCTGACTTGAATTCCGTATTTTCTTTGGCATGGATTTTAGGATGTATGCCCACCTATAGAAACTGAATCTCCTTGAAACTCACCCATAAGTTCTTTGAATATTTTTCATTTTTGAACCTGTGGGCTACTTACATGAATTCAGGCTTAGTCTCTCTACAGCTTCCTCCCTGCTCCTGAATGCAGAGTGGGATTCAGAACAGCCAATCTAGCATTGACTGGGTTAACATCCAGGCCTAACATTAGTAAGCTAGAACTTCACCAGTGCTTTGTAAAACCCAGTTGCCTTGACCTTTAAATGCAGCTAGTATTGTTCTACCCACCAATGCCTAAAAGGCCAATGGAGAAGCTCTTGCTCAATAATCACATGTCTCAGCTTCAAGTCTATCAGCCAGACCTTTGCAAGAAACCAAGGTGTGAGCTCTCTGTCACCCCCGTGAACTAGCTGAAGTTTCCCACAGATGTTGTTCTCTCCATAAAAATAGCCTCTTGCCTATGGACAAAACCTCTATAAATTTCCATCATTCACCAAAGACAAAATATCGTGTGGCTGTCTTAAAGATCTCACCCAGGTCACAGTAGTTAAATGTCAGCTACATAACTATAAAAATGCATCTGCAGTTTTTTCAAACCTCCACAAATCACCAAAGTCAGAGGACCCTTCTCTCATACTAATTCCATGACTAAACACTGCGCATCTTGGCCCATCTTGCCACAAGTATAATTTGCTTTCCAAATTTCACTCTTTCATTTTAATTTTTCAATACCTCTGACCAATACCAAAAATACTGGAAGGTTATAAAGTCATTTACCTGAAAACTGCAGTTCCCGTCCTCCTGACAACAACTTAGCAGCAGAAGGTGCCATGGAACAAAGCAATTCAGAGCAAATACCCTGCACAGGGAGGCGGGCTCCCTGGAAAAAGGGCAGAATCAAGCCAGTTGTTCTTCCCAAGTTTCCTAGTCAATATGTCCCCCAACTTCAGCAATGGGAAGTGAGCTACAGGGTAGAGAAAAGGCAGGAGATTTACTCAGGGAAAAAAAAACATCAGGACTAGGGTGAACAATTACCCCTTCACAATGTCCTGTTCATCCCCAGCAGCACCTAACAGAGAGCTTTTCATTTAATGAATGCTCAATATATACATAGTTATTGGCATGAAATTGAGTTGGAAAGAAACCTGGATGTTTTTCCTCTTCTGTTTTACTGTCACTCCAACAGAAGACCTTTGCAGATGTGCAAGAAGCAAACCCACCTGGAATGCACATTAACTCCTAGATCCCCCCCAACTCCCAGCACATGGGGTTAGTGGAAGGATGAGATTTTTTTTTTTTAATGAATCTAAGAGGTTTAATTGGAGAGTCCCTTAAAATTAAGTTCACAATCAGTCATTTCTTACTCTGGCACAGGACATGTTTCCGACCAGCTGTTCTAGCCTGTTTTTCCCTCGTGGGCTAGTAGAAAATACTAAAAAAGCCTTTGCCTTGGAAACTTCACTGTACTTACTGTCCAGGTGGCTGTCCCAAGGCTTAGTCAAGGCCAAGCTTCCTTCATATCTGCATAATTACAGAATGTTAAACCCAGAAAGGATAACACAAACCATCTAGGATAATGCTGTCATTCCTCAGTTTGAAATAGTGAAGTCCAGAGAGAACAAGTGATATTTCCATGCTCCCTCAACAACTGCAATGGCAAAGCCAGGGCTGGAACTGAGGCTTGTGACATTGTGAATGAGAATCTCACTGCTCTGATGTCTTCTTTATAGTCTTTGGACCAGGGGCCACTGTTTTGGTTGCTCTAGACTAGTGGCTTCAATGTCATATACCAGGAAAAACGGGAACATGAACTAAAACAATTATGATTCCATTGAAATGTTTTGCATGTTTCTCTTAGGGCCAGTGATGGAGAGGTGCAGACATTCTTGGTCTAAAGCGGCTTGACCTCTATTTGATTGAAAGCAACATCTGGTCTCCAGGCTTCCAGCAGTGTTTCTCCTATGGAGAGGTAGCCAATTGCAGACAGATGTGACATTTCCTCAACACATTGTGTTGACATCAGTTGCATATACCTTATTTGAACAATGGGCAGCCAAGCTTCTCAACAACTTTAAATCTGAAGCAATTCCAGCCCAATATAGCCCAAAAGATATTCTCTGTGCAGATTTGTCCACAGAGAGATGTAGAATGAGTCCAGATCCCACACTAACCACTCCCATCTATTTTATTTTCTGCTCTGTATCCTGTCATTTAAGTCCCAATCATTCCCATTTATACCATAAATGGGAATTGCAGAACACAGAGCTAAGACATGAATAGGTGTATGGCCTATAAAAAAATGAATACACCTTCAATTCCAGCCACCCAAAAAGCCCCCAGATAGAACACTCTCTTACAGCTGTCATGTGGTGACTTCATTCTTACAGGGGGTCGACAGCCTTTCCCTAATCCACTCTCTCCTACCTATCTCTCTGTACCCTTATTACCCTATATCCCGTGAAGTAGTAGACAGGCAGATGCTATTACCTCCAACTGCCCAAAGAGGGATCTTCAGTCTAGAAAGGAAATGTGTCTGGCAGGAGATCACCTAAGTAATCTGTGGCAAAGCTACAATTAGATTCTAATTCTTATGTTTATTCTGATGGATCAAAGAGAAAAGTCATACAAACATTCAAGAGTTATTAATGTACCTTGAAAATGCCGTTGTTATTTATACTGTCAGCATTTTTATCAATTACAATAGCTAGGATTATCTTTTCTATTGTCTTTTCTCAGAAAAGTGACTGAAGTGGCTCCTTATTTTATGAATTGCAGGACATCAAGGGCATTGTTTAGGTTTCCTTCCAGGTCAATTCTATGTCTTACTGTTTCTCATTTCCCAGCTTTACCTAAAAATGGTTAATATTTCCCATTTCCTACCTTTACCTAAAAATTACCAATAAATGATATTTATTGAGTACTTACTATATGCCAGGCACTCTTTATAGTGTATTGCAAAAGTTAACTCATTTGATCCACATATGAGATGGAAATTCATTTTATCCTCATTTCACAGATAAGGAAAGCCAAGCACAGGTAGTTAGAAATAGAAACAGGACTTGAACACAGACAGCTGCCAGAGCCCATGCTTGGGATTCCTGTGCTGCACTCCCTCAAGGCACACACTAAAGCCTCTGATCCCCATTGTCAAGTTGAGTAGTTGTTTCATTAATTGAAAAGTTAGGTAAAGCAGGAAGTCATTTAAATATAAATACATATCTATATTTATTCTACACATTTAATTTAAAGCAGCATCTTTTCAGCAACTTGTCTTTTAAGTTTTTCAAAACCATTCAGCTTCATTTTTCAAGAAACAAGTCATTCTTTAAATGGGGGTGATATGGTTTGGCTCTGTGACCCCACCCAAATCTCACGTCAAATTGTAATTCCTAGTGTTGGAGGAGAGATGCGGTGGAGAGGATTGAATCATGGGGGCGGACTTCCCCCTTGCTGTTCTCCTGATCGAGTTCTCAGGAGATCTGGTTGTTTGAAATTGTGTAGCACCTCCCCTTCCTCATGTGAGGACATTCTTCCTTTTCCTTTGCCCTTCCGCCATGATTGTAGGTTTCTGGAGGCCTCCCCAGAAGCGGAAGCCTGTACAGCCCGGAGAACCATGAGTCAATTAAACCTCTTTTCTTTATAAATTACCCAGTCTCAGCTCATTCTTTATAGAAGTGCGAGAACAGACTAATCAGGGGGTTTATATTTAAATGGTCTGCATAATTTTAATAGCAAGTTTTCACGTGCATAAACAGGTTTGAGAAGAAACATAACTGGATCTTGGAAAACATACAAACCAACTAAGAGCATGCAGCAGACCATTGGTATCACTGAAAATGTTTGCAAAATGGAAAAGGAATCAGACTGATGAGCTGAGTAAATAGGGGTTAGTTAATGTAGCTTCCGCTATGTCTAATGCTGATATGCTATTGTGCTAGTAGATATGCTATTATATGGCATATCTAAGTGGCTCATAATGGCTGCCTTCTGCCATTTCTAAATGATAATTAATAAAACAAGGACTAATATAAGCACCTTAACTATTGGTTTAGAAAGAAAATGCCACATTGATTCAGGAAAACAGTAGACAAAAGGAAGAGCACAAGAGGCTTAGGAACTTACTAGCTGTGGGAAAAGGTGAAGAGAGGAGACAAAGGTAATTCTGAATTTTTATGTCCGAGTGTCTGGGAGAATGAAGAACAGCATGAAGCTCAGAATGTCTGATGCAGATGTGAGGGTGCTGTCTACATAATAACGATTATTATTAATTTGAAGACAGTGGGACATCTAAGAGTAAATACTCATTAGAACATTGGGATCAAGTATTAAACTAAGGTCAATGTTGGAGAGAAGGTTTATATATTCTGTCTACTGAGGCCATAGAAAAAAAAAAGAGAGAAAAGGGAGAATAGATTTTTTAAAAAACAATAGCAGAATCTTTTCAAAGTGTTGACGTGTACAAATTAGCATTCTGGAGGAATACAGTAGAGGGGTAGTCCACAGCTTCCCCATCATGACAACCGGCACCCCGTCAAGAGCTTAAGGTACAAAATGAAATCACTTTCTTTTAACAGTCTAATGCCAAGTAACTCTAGAAAAGCCCTTGCTCCTTCTTCTCCAGGGTCTTCCTTCCATGATAACTCCAAGACTTTGAGGAATGCCTGTTCCATCCAAGGGATCAGTTGTGAATGTCAGTACTTTGAGAAGAAAAAGTAAAACAAACAAAATAAACACTGCTCCATCCAAGAAGCCCAGTTATCTTAGAACTTCCAAGGAACAAGAAATACACAGTTTGTATATAAAGGTTAATCCAGCTTGCCTGACAGTGAGGAAAGAAGGCAAGACAAAGTAGTATAGAAAGGATTAAAAAGAGACAATTGCCAGACAGGGCACACAGGTGCCTTAGAGTATGGCTATTGAACATGGCAGACTGGCATTCCACAGGCTGATGAACTGTAGATGGATTATGCATCATCAGTGAACCTGTTAACCCAGAAAGCTGATCCAATGCCTCTCTAGGAAAGAGATGCACTTATTATCCGAGAATCACTGCCACAGTCCTCCAGTAATTTTCTTTTCACCCAGGGGCAGAAAAGGAATCTCCCCTCCCTGCAAGGTTACATTCCACTGTCAAAATTTCATTCTTTCCTTGAGTCCAGTGTTTCTGCTGTTATTATGTGTTAATCACATGCCCATGCATATACCCCCACACTCCTAGCTGAGTCTTTTAGCTATGCTATGTGCCTAAAGTACCTCTCTCAACTTTCTCATCCCAGCAAAAGAGAGAGTAAAGCAAGTTCTCTGCATCTCTGTCCCCAGATCAGATTCCATTCCTGCCTCAGAATAATTAATTTTGTTTATGCAAAAAATCCACTCAGTTTTTCTATTTCTAGCTGTCTGTGTTTCTAGCTAGAGAAAAAGAAGATCTACTACCTTACTGGTAATATGTTGAATGTATTACATACTAAAACATCATTGTTATTATCATGTATCAGAATTTTGGACAGATAAGAAAAAGCAAACAAATTAATATTTAATAGTAAAATAGTTCTACATTCCAGTTTTCTGTAGAGATTTTCCCAGCAGACCTCAAAGCCCTCTACTTAGATGGCTGTCTACTGTTTACTATGGTATTTTTTATTTATTACACTCTTGCTTCACACTTTTCAATTTTTGCACTTTTACAAAGCGAGAAGCCCAACAGAATTTTAGCACTGGAAGAAAGAAATGACCCATGTTCCCCAGAGACTGAAGTTTGAGCCGAACTCATGGGAAATTCATAAATTCTTTTATACTCAGTTCCCTAACATATCTGCTCAGGGTAACATGTATTGGTGCCACCACTGAAACAGACATCATGTTTCCAGATTTTAAATTGTAGTGCTGTTTTTCTTGAGGTGTGTTGCTTTCCTTGCTAGATAGTAACAGGAAGAAAATAAATCACAACTGTTATTTTAAAGTAATGTTGTTCACTCTATTCATTGTGAAAATCACAAAATGACTAATATAAATTAAAATTGTTTACAGTCTCACTCCTCCTTGAAGCAGGTACCATTAGCATTTGGTTATAGTCACTTACTGGTCTTTATTTTCTATTTTATTTATTTAGCTATTTTTTTGCACAAGACTGTGGTATTAGTTATACATTTGACATCTTTGATGTATATTTTATTGGAAACATTTTCTCACACCATTAAAAAATTATCAAAGTACTGCATGATCTCACTTATATGTGGAATTTGTAAGAGTTGATCTCATAGAAGTAGTGAGTAGCATCATGGTTACCAGAGGCTTGAGTGGTCAGGGGAGATGAGGGACGGGGAGATATTGGTCAAAGAATATATAATTACAGTTAGGAAGAATGTCTGAAAATATCCATAAGAGGCAAATACATAGAGGTGGAAAGTAGGGGTGATTGCCCAGGGTGGGGAGAAGAGGGGCAAAGGATAAGTGGAGGGTGGGGAGAGAAATGGCAAAGTACAACTTATTCAGTGTTTTTGAGGGGTGATGAAAATTTTCTAAAATTGATTATGATAATGATTGCACAACTCTGTGATAAAACTAAACACCATTGGACTTAACATTTTAAGCAGATTAATTGTATGATATGCAAATTATAGCTCAATAAAGCCGTTTTTTAAGAAGAAAAGAAAAGGAAAAAGTTATCAAAAACGTTTTGGTGGCTGCATAGTATTCCAATGTAAACATCTGTCATTGTCTGTTTAAACCATCCTCATTGTAGGAACACCCAGATTTTTTCCACTTCTTGTTTTCATCTATATCACTGCAATTGCCAACTTTTAAGGTTAACATTCACTCTCATTCATTGGCTGCTCGGACTCAGGCAAGTTACTCGACCTATGTGTAAGGCACCCGTTCCTTCATCTATAAAATGGGGATAATAATAATCCTGCAATCCTATGGTCGCTTGGAGGATTAAGGAGTTTGTATTTGCAAAGTTCTTAGAATAGTGACTGGAACCCAGTAAATACCATAAAAGTTTTGATGATGAAATAAGTAAATCTTTAGCTTTTATTTGTATAGGCCACATATTAACGCAGTGAAAACTTTGTTCTCAGCCTTGGGCTGGAGGTTAAGAGGAAAAAAAGAGGATGAAGTATAAGAAGCTCATGGCATTCTTCTCACCTTTAGTGAGGCATTTGGTGATCCTAGATAGAGCGCATAGCAGGTGATAATTCCATACCCAAACACAAAATGTACACATCAGTTGATCTTCAAGAAAGAAGTGGTCGTCTTTCTACAAATCAATAGCTAAATAATTGAATGCTTAGTGTCTATAATGAGAAGACGGAAATTTTACCCACTAGATTATTGCCGAAAATTTTTTCTGTTCTCAAAATACATCCTTTTTTTATTAGGATTTTATAACCTTTTATAATTTTATGACATATACGTTTAAAAATTAGGTTATATATATATTTGTTGACAAAATATATATTTTAAAAATAGGTAAAAAAGAAAAACCATCAAAAGTCTAATTATTTAAGTGTAAACAGAAATATAATTTTGTTGATTATCTTTTCATTGTATATCCTTTCAGACTGCTTTCCCATTCATGCCTAACAAATAGTTTCTATTCAATACTACACATATTATTTTATAACTACCATTATTATTTAATATGAGTGTCTTTCCTTAATGATAAATCACAGCTATATTATTTTGTGAAAATCCTATTTATGAGTGCATGATAACTGACTCAAATGAATATTCCTACTATTGCACAGTTATAAACTTCTTGCTATTATAAACAAGACTGCAGTAAGGATCTTGAGATACATATCTTTGTATACTTGTCCAATTCTTTTCCTTAGGATAAGTTCCTCAAAACAGAATTGCTGTTCCAATTATATGCATATTTCAAGACCTTTGCCAAATTGCCACCCAGAGTATCACCTCTCACCGGGACAGTATGAGAGTGTCTCCTTTCTCACACGTGTGTCAGCACTAAGAAGTTTCATCCTTGTAAACTTCACCAACATGATAAATAAAATGTAATATCTGATACACATATTTACATTGCTTTGACTACCAATAAAGTCTAAACTTTTAAAGATAATGTATTTTTAAAGGGCATATCTAATAAAGAATCTAGTAACAGGGGGCCAAAGACTAAAGATACTCATAACATAGTAATTCTTAAAGTTATTTAGGTTGTGGGCCTCTGAGAATCTGAAAAAAACCATTAAGTGTGGTACACATACCCACAAAATTTTGATATAATTTCATAAGTCTTCTATAGGCTATCAGTGGGCTTAATGATGCACAAAGGTATCTGTCTCAAATTAATGTTAAATGAGAAACCACAAATTCATCACACTTGCACCCTACTTCATTGGAACATGGCCAGCCAACTTCTGTTTCCTGGTAGCAGTACACACAATTAGAACTAATCTCATCAGCAACTTCTCTAGTTGTTCTATATTTAAACAACATCTCAACACAAGAAAGGTAAGCAAACCAGAAAGCGCCAGTTTTAGTAATGGATGATTTGGGCAGATAAGCCATTTTTTTTCAAGGCATTCGAGGCTGTGAGGTCTAAGAGAGAGCCCAGGACACCAGCAAGGAAGCACTGAGGTTGAGTCATTAATCCTCAGATAAGTCACATACAGTTCCAAGAGCTGTTAGCCCTTACAGATTTTATAAAGCTTATGGGAAGAAAATGAATACAGGCGATCTCCTTGGAGAAAATCTGCTGTAAAATAGCCAATTTCAAAGAAATACATTAGGGGATAGTTATTAACTTTTCTCACAAATTTTTCATTTGACAATAGGTTTTATTATAGGTCTTCCCTAAACAGTACCTAAGAGCATTTTAAAAAAATTCAATTTTCAAAAATGTGATTTACCACCCACTTGTTGTATAAAATGTCTTGTTCTCCTGAGACTAAAGATGTTCTACACCAATAAACTATTTCAATGCATCATCTGTGACTCCCTGGGAGACCACAATACTTGATAGATAGCAGGAGCAATCCACTGTGTTATTACAGAGGCTGTACTCAGAAGGATAATCAATAGATTGGTGTCAATCTGAGGCACACTGGGGCAACATCACTAGTGGATTTCTTTTTGACTTTGACTTAAGAATATTGGTATTCTATGTTTCTGCCAGTGATCTGCATGATGGAATAGTTAGCACAACATTAAGCTTTACAGGTGACACAAATTTAAAGTGGCTGGTATTTTGCATTGCAAGATTAAATGCCCTTTTGTATTTGAAGAGTATCCAGAAATAAAGACAATTGAACATGAAAAGGATATGTGGAGGAGAGTTTCACTGCAGAGAAACAATGTGAGCAACCAACTGAAGAAAGGGCCACAAAGAAGAGAGGCCCTACCAGTCTTTAAAAAGCATAGCAACCAAAAGACATAAACAGTCAGAATTGAAGATATGATGACATTGGACCAATAATTGTGCTTCAATTTTAAAAGATGCCATTTGCGTATTAATTTTATAATATTTATCAAGCACCCACTCAGGGCCAGCTGACATGATGCTGAGATATGCAAATATAGCCACCATTACTCTATCTATCCAACAGATCATTTTTGATAAAGGAACATGTTTTACCAGGGGCTACAATCCAGGAAGTTTTTCTCGGCGTTGGAGGAAGCATGAAGACTGGAAGCCTATTGAGGGAAAGGCACAGAACAAATAGGTTTAAAATGCAAGACTTCCATTTAAAAGATAAAGTAACTTGGGCTTTTCAGCTTCAAGGGTGATCTAATAGAGGTCTCATGGAGGTAACCAGATATTTTCCATTTACTTAGAGTGGTACTTCTTTTAAATGGGCCTAACCTACTTCATAAGGGTATATATAAAGACAATTTGGGGGATAGTCAAGTAAAAATAAGATTTAAGCAAATAATATGGGAATATGTTTTGTAAAACTCTGACAGTGCAATAATCCTTTTTGGCTAGGGTTCAACAGGGCCCTCTTAAATGAAGGATATGGTTCATGGCCTCCTATGTCCCTTCTAATTGACACTATCCATAAACACTCATGAATGTTTTTCAGATTCTCAAATTGGAAAACAGCCCATCACCTGGGCAAGAATAAACGTTTTCCAGACTTGTTTGACTCTTAGGCATTCACTCCTATTGCTTAACAGTTTATCTCAGCCACTTTCTATGAGACTCTAAAACTCTAATTGATATATGGGTGGGGGTGGGGAGGCGCCGCTAAACTGAAGCATTACAATTATTACCTTTTAACGTTCATAAATATTTCTCATTACATAGGCACAACTCTATTCTGTAGGTATTTTTCTTAACTTTTTTCATTCATTTCTGATAACTGTTTTCTAATTTAAAAAGCAATATGTACTTACTAAACATGTAGAAAATGCACTTAGAAAATTTAGTAAACTCAGGTAAGCAAAAGAAGAAAATAAAAATCACTCCACACTCTATGGCTCAAAGATTACCACTATTCACATCTTTATTTCATCTGGCCTGTGATTTCGGCATGTATTCTTTTCTCTGTGGCACACACTTCTGCATGTAGGACATTCCCATGGGTTTATCCAGGTTTGGACAACTGGGCTGCAGCATACAAAAAAATAACCTTTGGTTTATTCATAATTCCCACAGTAGCTGCATTCGTTTCTCACACCTGAAGCAGAGCAACAACATAAAATAGTGGGGGGAAATTGGCATAGTGGTCATGAGTTCAGTATCAGGCCTGCTAAATTTAAATCTACACCTTCTTATCAGTTTAATCTTCAGCAAGATAGGTAATTCCTAAGTCTGTTTCCCCGTCATTGGAATAGCTAATAAGATTGCCTACCTAAAGAGCTTATTGTGAGAATTAAATGAATATTTGTAAGGCACGCTCAGTACAATGTCTGCCACACAGAGCGGACTCAGTAAGTGTTGGCATTTGTTTTTTTTGTTTTTTGTTTTTTATTTTGAGATGGAGTCTTGCTCTGTCGCCCAGGCTGGAGTGCAATGGTGCAATCTCAGCTCACTGCGATCTCCACCTCCTGGGTTCAAGCGATTCTCCTGCCTCAGCTTCCCGAGTAGCTGGGATTACAGGTGCCCCGCACCACGTCTGGCTAATTTTCATATTTTTAGTAGAGATGGGGTTTCGCCATGTTGGCCAGGCTGGTCTTGAACTTCTGACCTCAGATGATCCATCGCCTCGGCCTCCTAAAGTGCTGGGATTACAGGCCTGAGCCACCGTGCCCGGCCAGCACTTGCTTTTTCTATTATTATTATTACAGTATTCCAAATGAGAGCTCTGTATGTGTATATGTGTGCAGTCTCTTTGTTTGGAAGTTATAGTGATCATCTGTTCACATTAATAAATGTTATTGTAAAATATAACTTTTAAATGTCTGCATAATAGTCCATTACTGCACTTATTACAAATTCTTTAACAAATATCCTACATAGGATATCCAAGAATTTGCAATTGCAAATAAACCAAAGGGTTTTTTTTTTTTAGCAATTATATTACTGCTTTATGGGAACTTGCCTCATCTTTGCCCATAGACTGAGAGTGAATAATGTGTCTTTTTACCTTTTTGTACCAAGTTCTTACCCCACAGTAAGCTAGGATGAAGGAAGGAAGGAAGGAAGGAAGGAAGGAAGGAAGGAAGGAAGGAAGGAAGGAAGTGAGTGAGTTTGAATAAATTTACCAGTTTAGGGGTAGTATTTTTTGATGTATTATGTTAAAAGATTCTGCCAGTCTGGATGCAAAGAGAAAAATATGTTCCATAAAATTTCCCAGAGGAGAAATAAAAGTAAATATGCTCTGTCGTGTGGTACAATTAAATTTTAACTTTTCATGAATGTTCTCCATCAGTCAATGATTCAAATTGTAAATAGCTTACTAGGATCAAAACAAAATCAAAAATAGGCCACAAATTCATACAAATAATTTTCTCTCTGAGGTGTTGATTGAATAAAATGGAACCTCATTGAGATCCAATTAAGAAAAACTCGCCAGGAAGCCATAAATGACCCAATGTATCTTGTGGGCTTACAAAAATAGCTCAAAAAGTGGAAGAAACTCTCTGCTGTTATTTTTGCTTTTGTGTTTGCACAGAGCATTGTTCTAAAAAAATCATCTTAGAAATCATCAGCATATTGATGTAAAGTTTTCATCAATCATTGTTAGGGGCAAAGAAGAAAGAAATACAAAAATAAGGAAGCAGACTAGTATTTTATTTGCTTTATTGTATCTCTAGACTGTCTAAGTGCTTTTCCATGTATCTCATTTAATTAAGGAAATTTGAAGTTTCAATGTATTAATATGAACTCCAAAGTAATCTACCAGGTTGTGGGTAAAGAATCAGGAAAGCGTGCTGACAAAAAGCTGATCTCATTGCTGGAACAGAGACCTAACTCAAGCCTGGAGTTAAGGGAATTCAGTTATTGCTGAATTCATGAAATATTTTTATCCCAGCAGGATTTGTTTTTTTTTAATTTTTATTCTGGAAAGAATCAAACCCAATTTCCTAAGGTGTAACCTTCCAGTTTAATTTTCAAGGAAACAAGTTAAAAAAAAACAAAAAACAGAATATCCCTCTTATGAAAAGGAAACAGACCAGCCCTGATCAACAATGATAGATAACGTATTTTGAGCATGACAGGTGGGGCTCCTCTTTTCCCCCTTGATTTCTTACGTGCAAATGTCCACCACTATCACCAAGCATCCATTGGGCATCTCAGAGAGAGTTATGCAAAGAGAATTCCACAGACACACTTCCCTGTCTGCACCTTCTTAAAGCATGCAAAATTAGCTCCCTTGGACTACAGATGTTCAGAAGATTCTGCTGGTGCCTCGTACAAGCAGTTTGTTACTTTGAGAAAAATGTGTCCAATCACAAATCATAAGAACAGATTGTCAGGCTGCCAAAACTTGCAATTCTGGGCCTTATTATCATCATTGTTATAGTCATTGTTCTGGTTATTGTTCTTAAACATTGTGCCTAACCAAGAACTATTTCCTGGAACATGAGTTTAATAAAATTAACTGTCAGGACTGTCTCTTACCTCTCTTTTCATTTTATCCATATCTCAGTATAAAAATAAGCAATTATTAGAATGACTATAAATGGCCTCTTAAGAAGAAAGGTTACCACTTTTCTCTGTAAAATTTATAAAAGTGCTAAAGTACAGTTTCAAATATTATTTATTCAGTCCCAATTGCTCACTACTGGCCACTGTACCATATGGCATCTTAGTGTTACACTTACAATAATACACTTTGTATTCACAATAATCCTATTGAGTAATTACAGTTATTGCTTTTACAGTTGAAGACACTAAGGCTTAGGGAGGCCAAGGAACATAACCAGAGTTGCACACCTCGTGAGCAGCAAAGTCATGATTGGAAGCCAGGCCTTCTGATTTAAGTCCCTTGCTCTCCCACTATCACTTAATACTTTCTACACCTCCAAAAACTCCTTTAATAAATTCAAAGCTGCAACCACTCTCCTCACTACCATTTCAACTGTTCTTTGCTATGCTTTAAGCATCAGTTTTTTCTACAAATAAAATGTACTGATTGGATTACTGAAACCACACCTGACTGACTTAGAGCTAATTTTAACAGAACGAGTCCCAGCTTATCCAAAACATTCATTGGGCAGATTGAAATTTTCAAAGCAGATAGACACAGTAAAATAAAAGTTATTAATTTGTTGCATCTCTGTAGTGAGACATAGGCTAATGATTTTTTTTCTTGTTCAAGTCATTTAAAAAAGAGAATAAGCGATAGGGAGGTAGAGCAAGATGGCCAAATAGAAGCCTCCAGTGATCATTCTCCCTCCCTGCAGGAACACCAAATTAAACAAATATCCACATTAAAAAAGGCCTTCATAAGAACCAAAAATCAAGTGAGTGATCACAGTGGTTTTAACATCATATTAAGGAAAGAGGCACTGAAGAGGGTAGAAGACATAATCTTGAATCACTGACACCACCAGCCCCATCCCCCGGCAGCAGCCCAGTGGCACAGAGAGATAATCTGTGCACTTGCGGCAGGAAGAATGTGGTAATTGTGGGACTTCGCATTGTAACTCAGTGCTGCCCTGTCAACAGCAGAAAGCTACATGGGCAGAACTCAGCTGGCCCACACAGAGGGAACATTTAGAGCAACCCTAGCCAGAGGGGAATTGTCCATCCCAGCTAAGAACCTGAGCTCCAGCAAGCCCCGCCATGGTGAGCTAAAGTGTTCTGGGTCCTAAATAAAACTGAAAGGCAGTTTAGGTCACAAGGACTACAATTCCCGGGCAAGTCCTGGTGCTGTGCTGGGCTCAGAGCCAACAGACTTGGGGAGCACAGGACCTAATGAAACACCAGCTGGGGCAACCAAGGGACTGCTTGTGTCACTCCTTCCCCAACTCCTGGCAGTGCTGCTCACAGCTCTGAAAGTGACTCCTTCGTTCTGCTTGAGGAGAGGAGAGGTGAAAGCAAAGAGGACTTTATCTTAAACTTGGATACCAGCTCAGCCACAGGAAAATTTGGCACAGCTAAGAGTCCTAAGGCCCTTATTCCATGCCCTAGCTCCTGGATAACATTTCTAGACATGCCCTGGGCCAGAAGGGAACCCATTGCCTTGAAGGGAAGGACCCAATCCTGGCAGAATTCATCACCTGCTGACTAGAGAGCCCTTGAGTTCTGAATAATGAGTAGTGGCCACAAGGCCTTACTCACCATGGGCCTTGGGTGAGACTCAGAGCCATGTTGGCTTCATGTGTGACCCAGCACATTCCCAGCTGTGGGGAGAGATCTTTTCTGCTTACGTAAAGGACAGGGAATAGTAAGAGAACTTCGTCTTACAGCTTGGGCACTAGCTCAGCCACAGTGGGGTACAGCAGTATGCAGGTTCCTAGAGTCCCTGATTCTAGGCCTCAGCTCATTTCTGGACCTCCCTGGGGCCAACAGGGAGCTCACTTCCCTGAAGGGAGAGACTGAGGACTCACAGCATTCACCACAATCTGACTGAAGAGACTTTGGGCCTTAAGTGAACATTGACAGTTTCCAGGCAGTAATCACCATGGGTCCAGGGCAGTGGTGGCCACAGAGAGAGACTCTTCTGCCTGAAAAAAGTAAAGGGAAAAATGGTGAGGGAAGAGTAGGAAGGACTTCGTCTTGCAGCTTGGGTGCCAGCTCAGCTGCAGTAGAATAGATCACCAGCTAGATTCCTAAGGTTCCCAACTCTAGGCTCTGGCCCCTTGATGGCATCTCTAAACTTGCCTAGGAACTGGGAAACTCATCACCCTGAAAGGAAGGACACAGGCTGGCTGGATTTACTGCCTTCTAATTGTAGAGTCATTGGGCCTTGAGTGAATATGGGCAGTAGCCAGGAAGTGGTCACCACAGGCCTTGGGCAAGATCCAGTGCTGCACTGGCTTTGGGTCTGATCCAATTCAGTCACAGTGGTGGTGACCACAGAGGTGTTTGTGTTACCCCTCCTTCAGCTCCAAGCACCTCAGCACAGAGAGAGACTTCATTGTTTGAGGGAGAGTAAGGAAAGAGAACAAGAGTCTCTGCCTGGTAAGCCAGGGAATTCTCCTGGTTCTTACCTAAGACTACCAAGGCAGTACTCTATGAGTCTGCAAGAGCCACAGCGTTACTGGGTAGGGTCCCCCCAATGCAGATTCCAGCTGCAGTGACCAAAGACTTAGATCACAACACCCAACTCCCTTCAAATACTTGGAAAGCCTTCCTGAGAAGGATTAATACAAACAAGCCCAGACTGTAAAGACTGCAATAAATATCTAACTCTTCAATACCCAGACACCAAGGAATACCTACAAGTATCAATACCATCTAGGAAAACACAACCTCACCAAATGAACTAAATAAGGCACTAGTGAACAATCTCAGACAGACAGAAATATGTCACTTTTCAGACAGAGAATTCAAAATAGCTGTTTTGAGGAAGCGCAATGAAAATCAAGATAACACAGAGAAGGAATTCAGAATCCCATCAGGTAAATTTAACAAAGGGATTGAAATAATTTAAAAGAATCAAGCAGAAATTCTAGAGCCAAAAAATGCAACTGACATACTGAAGAATATATTAGAGTTCCTTAACAGTAGAATTGATCAATCAGAAGAAAGAATTAGTAAGCTTGAAGAAAGGCTATTTGAAAATACAGTCAGAGAAGACAAAAGAAAAAAAAGAATAAAAAGGAATGAAGCACACCTATGAGATCTAGAAAATAGCCTCAAAAGGGCAAATCTAGGAGTTATTGGCCTTAAAGAGGAGGTAAAGAGAGAGAGAGGTCATGGTAGAAAGTTTATTAAGAGGGATAATAACAGAAAACTTCCCAAAACTAGAAAAAGATATCAATATTCAAGTACAAGTAAAAGATATCAATATTCAAGTACAAGGAGGTTATAGAACACCCAGCAGATTTAACACAGATAAGACTACCTCAATATATTTAATAATCAAACTCCCAAAGGTCAAGGATAAAGAAGGGATTCTAAAAGCAGCAAGAGAAAGGAAACAACATAAAAAGGAGTTCCAGTGCCCATGGTAGTAGACTTCTTAGTGGAAATCTTATAGGCTAAGAGAGAGTGCCATGACGTATTTAAAGTGCCAAAGGAAAAATCTTTTATCCTGATTAGTACATCTAGTGAAAATATCCTTTAAACATAAAGGAGATATAAAAACTTTCCCAGACAAACAATAGCTGAGGAATGTTATGAACACCAGACCTGTTCTACAAGAAATGCTAAAGGGAGTTCTTCACCCTGAAAGAAAAGGATGGTAATGAGTAATGAGAAATCCTCTGAAAGTACAAAACTCACTGGCAATAGTATATACACAGAAAAACACAGATTATTATAACTGTATTACTGTGGTGTATAAACTACTCAGATCTTGAATAGAAAGTCTAAAAGATGAACCTATCAAAAATAATAACTACATCAACTTTTCAAGACATAGGCAGTATAATAAGATATAAATATAAACAATAAAATGTTAAAAAGCAGTGGGATGAAGTTAAAGTGTAGAGTTTTTGTTAGTTTTCTCTTTGCCTGTTTGTTCCTTTGTTTATGCAATCAGTGTTAAGTTGTCATCAGTTTAAAAGAATTGGTTATATTATTTGCAAACCTCATGATAGCCTCAAATAAAAAATATCAACAGATACACAACAAATAAAAAGCAAGAAATTCAAATATACCACCAGAGAAAATCACCTATAGTAAAAGGAAAATAGGAAGGAAGAAGAAAGAGACCACAAAACAACCAGAAAACATAATGAAATTGCAAGAGTAAGCCCTTACTTATCAATCATAACATTAAATGTAAATGAACTAAACTCTTCAATCAAAAAACATAAAGTAGCTGAACGGATTTAAAAAAAACAAGACGCAAGTGATTTGTTGCCTACAAGAAATACACTTCACCTATAGTAAGGACAAACATACTCTGAAAATAGAGGAGTATTGAAAGATATTCCATGCAAATGGAAACCCATAAAGGGTGGAAGTAGTTATAGCTATATCAGACAAAATAGATTTCAAGACAAAAACTATAAGAAAAGACAAAGAACGTCACTATATATTGATGAAGTGGTGAATTAAGCAAGACAGCATAACAATTGTAAATATATATGCACCCAACACTGGAGCACCCAGATACTAAAAGCAAATATTAGAACTAAGGAGACAGATAGGCCCCAATACAATAATAGCTGGAGACATCAACACCCCACTTTCAGCACTGGATGCATCGTTCAGACAGAAAATCAACAGAGAAACAGTGGACTTAATCTGCACTATAGACCGAAGGGACCTAACAGATATTTGCAGAACATTTTATCCAGTGGCTGCAGAATACACATTCTTCTCCTCAGCACATGGATCATTCTCAAGGATGGATCATATGTTAGGCCACAAAATGTCTTTAAAAATTCAAAAAAAAATGAAATTATATCAAGTATCTTCTCTGACAACAGTGGACTAAAACCAGAAATCAATAACAAGAGGAATTTTGGAAACTATACAAACACATAGAAATTAAACAATATGCTCCTGAATGACCAGTGGGTCCATAAAGAAATTATGAAGGAAATTCAATTTTTTTTTTTTTTGAGACGGAGTCTCACTCTGTCGCCCAGGCTGGAGTGCAGTGGCCTGACCTCGGCTTACTGCAAGCTCCACCTCCCGGGTTCATGCCATTCTCCTGCCTCAGCCTCCCAAGTAGCTGGGACTACAGGCGCCCACCACCACGCCCAGCTAATTTTTTGTATTTTTAGTAGAGATGGGGTTTCACTGTGTTAGCCAGGATGGTCTTGATCTCCTGACCTCGTGATCTGCCTGCCTTGGCCTCCCAAAGTGCTGGGATTACAGGCGTGAACCACCACGCCCGGCCAAAAATTTTCTTGAAACAAATGATAATGGAAACACAACATACCAAATCCTCTCAAATACAGCAAAAGCAGTACTAAGAGGAAAGATTATAGCAATAAATGCTTACATCAAAGAAGTAGAAAACCTTCAAATAAACAACCCAACATACAATGCATTTTAAAGAATTAGAAAAGCAAGAGCAAATCAAACCCAAAATTTGTCAAAGAAAAGAAATGATAAAGATCAGAGTGGAAATAAATGAAATCAAAATTAAGAAAACTATACCAAAAATCAATAAAATGAAAAGTTGTTTTTTTAAAAAAGATAAACAAAATCAACAAACCTTTACCCAGACTAGGGAAAAAACAGAATATTCAAATAAATAAAATCAGAGGTGAAAAAGGATACATAACAACTGATACAACAGAAATTCAAAGGGTCATTAGTGGCTATTATGAGAAACTATATGCCAATAAGTTGGAAAACCTAGAAGAAATGGAAAAATTCTGAGACACATACAACCTACCAAGATTGAAATATGAAGAAATTCAAAACCTGAACAGACCAATAACAAATAATGAGATCAAAGCTGTAAGAAAACTCTCCCAGCAAAGAAAACCCAAGACTCAATGGCTTCATGGCTGACTTTTACCAAACATTTAAAGAAGAACTAATACCAATCTTATTCAAACTGTTCTGAAAAATAGAGGAGGAAGGAATACTTCCAAACCCATTCTACAAGGCCAGTGTTACTCTGATACTGAAAACAGACAAAATTACATCAAAAAAGAAAACTACAGCCCAATAACTCTAATAAATATTGATGCAAAAATCCTCAAAAACATACTAGAAAACCAAGCTCAACAACACATTAAAAAGATATTTCATCATGATCAAGTGGGTTTAGTCCAAGGATGCAAGGATGGTTCAACTTATACAAATCAATCAGTGTGATACATCATATCAATAGAATGAGGGACAAAAAACACATGATCATTTCAACTGATGTTAAAAAAGCATTTGATAAAATTCAACATCTCTTCATGATAAAAATAATTACTCTGAGAAAACTGGGTATAGAGGAAAGATACCTCAAAACAATAAAATCCATATACAAAGGACCTACAGCTAGTATCACACTAAATGGGGAAAAACTGAAAGCCTTTCCTCTAAGACCTCAGATAAGACAAGAATGCCCAGTTTTGCCACTGAAATTCAACATAGTACTGGAAGTCCTAGGTAGAGCAATTACACCAGAGAAAGAAATAAATGAAATTCAAATTAAAAGGTAAAAAGTCAAATTATTTTTGTTTGGCAATGATATGATCTTAAATTTGGAAAACCTAAAGACTCCACTGAAAAACTTAGAACTGATAAACAAATTCAATAAAGTTGCAGGATACAAAATCAACACAGGAAAATCAGTAGTATTTCTATATGCCAACAGTGAACAATCTGAAAAAGAAATTTTAAAAAGTAATCGCATTTAAAATTGCTACAAATAAAATATAATATCTAGGAATAAATTTAACCAAAAAAGTGAAGGATCTCTATGATGAAAACTATAAAGCACTGATGGAAGAAGTTGAAGAAGACACACACAAAAAATGGAAAGATATTTGGTGTTCATGGATAGAAAGAATAAACATTGTTAAAATGTCCATACTAGAAAAAGAATATATAAATTCAATGCAATCCTTATCAAAATACCAATGATATTCTTCACAGAAATAGAAAAAAACTATCCTAAAATTTATATGGAACCACAAACAACCCAGAATAGCCAAAACTATCTTCAGAAAAATGAACAAAACTAGAGGAATGACATTACCTGACTTCAAATTATACTACAGAGCTATAGTAACCAAAACAGCATGGTACAGGCATAAAAACAGATACATAGACCAATGAAACAGAATAGAGAACCCAGAAATAAATCCATGCATTATAGTAAACTCATTTTTGACAAAGGTGCCAAAAACACACTGGGGAAAGGACAGTCTTTTCAATAAATGGTGCTGGGAAAACTGGATATCTATAGGCAGAATGGACAAATTGGATCACAATAAGTTAAAAACCTTCTGAACAATAAAGGAAACAATCAACAAAGTGAAGAAAAAATCCACAGAATGGAATAAAGTTTTACTAACTATCCATCTCACAAGAGATTAATAACCAGAATACTTAAGGAGCTCAAACAACTCTATAGGAAAAAAATCTAATAATCTGATTTAAAAATGGGCAAAAGATCTGAATAGGCATTTCTCAAAAGAAGACATACAAATGGAAAACAGGTATATGAGAAGATGCTCTGCATCACTGATCATCAGAGAAATGTAAATTAAAATGAGAGTGAGGTGTCATCTCACCCCAGTTAAAGTGGCTTTTATTCACAAGACAGGCAATAGTGAATGCTGGTGAGGATGTGGAGAAAAGCAAACCTTCATACACTGTTGGTTGGAATGTAAATTAGTACAACCACTGTGAAGAACAGTTTGGGCATTCCTCAAAAAACTAAAAATAGAACTACCATATGATCCAGCTATCCCACTGCTAGGTATCTACCCAAAGGAAGGAAATCAGTATATCGAAGAGATATCCTCACTCCCACTTTTATTGCAGCACTATTTACAATAGCTAAGATTTAGAAACAACCTAAATGTCCATCACCAGACAAATGGATTTTTAAAATGAGGCACATATACACAATTGAGTACTAGTCAGCCATAAAAAAAGAATGAGATCCGGTCATTTGCAACAACATGGATGGAACCGGAAGTCATTATGTAAAGTGAAATAAGCCAAGCACAGAAAGACAAACTTCACATGTTCTCACTTACTTATGGGAACTAAAAATTAAAATAATTGAACTCATGGAGATAGAGAGTAGACTGATGGTTACCAGAGCCTGGGAAGGTGAATGAGGGTTGAGGGAGATGTGGGTATGGCTAATGGGTACAAAAATATAATTAGAATAAATAAGATCTAGTATTTGGTAGTACAACACTGTAATTATAGTCAAAAATAATTTATTGTATATTTCAAAATAACTAAGAGGTTATAATTGGATTGTTTATAACACAAAGAAAGGTTAAATGCTTGAAGTGATGAATGTCTCATTTACCTTGATGTGATTATTACTCATTGCATGCTAGTATCAAAATATTTCATGTACTCCATAAATATATACGCTACTATGTACCCATAAAAATTGAAAAAAGAATTAAAAAGGAAATAAGCCTCAAGTAAAATGAACAAAAATCTAAATAATGGAAAGGTGCTATATGTTTACTTCCTTCATGTTTTGCATTGGGTAGAGAGTTTACCAATTATTCATGTACTGGGTGTCATACTGTTTAAAAATATTGTATAATTCAGAAATTATGGTTCCAGCATTTATTATCTATGATACCTGAGCAAGTCATGTCATCTCACAAGATTTGTTTCCTCACCTGTAAAATGTTAATAATAGTAGTGATCACAGTTAACAGTAGTTTATAATAACAGCAAATATTATTAATAGTAACTATTAATTATAATAATAAAACTCATCATTTTGAAGCATGAATGAAAGATCATACATTAGAAGCCAACCACAGTGAAGGAGAAATGGCAAGCACTAAATAGTCACTTAAAATATTATATGGTATTTGTCTCCAGAATGTGAATAGAAGATACTAAACTTGGGCACTTATCAACTAGCTGAATTGCTTAATCAATTGTAGCCCTGTTCCCTGAGTCCTTCAAGTCATTTTTAAAACTCTTCAACAAGTTATTTATAGGCAAAGAAATACTATCAATGAAAATTATGATTAAAATTAAACCTTTTCTATACTTCCAAAAATAGTAGATGGGGGGGCAAGGATAGACCACAGGAGTTACGTGTTTTTCCAGGGTCAACTTCCACCATTTTTAGGGAAGATGGAAAATGGAAAACCTTCTATCCCCCATGGAAAAAAGAAAAAGAAATTTCCATAGAAAGGATTCCTCCGGCATTTCTATTATAAAATGAGAAAATTACATCTGAAATTTTTTACATTCCAAGATAAAAAAAAAGAGTTCTTGATAAATGGACACTAAAAGGTGAGGACTTCTTGGTTCTCCTTGAGTCCCAATTGTACAGGACTAGCCACTGTGACATATGGTACCTCATTTAGTTCTCTATATAGTGTTCCCATTGCTTCAGTACCACAAAAAATAAAAGAGAAATGCAAAAACTGCTGCACCCGCCTTCAACTCATATATTTTAGTACTTGTGAGCAGGCATCTTAGAATAATGGAAAATGCTGAAGCTAGATTCAGGGTTTAGGAGATTATGATTTCCAGATTCTAACTCAATATTTTCCCATCCTAAAAATAACATTCTGTTACTGCTTATGGCATGAGAAAATTCAGTTCAGACAACTAATGCACATAGGCAGAGGGCATGCTAACCATGTACACTGGACTCAGATGGCTTTACTACAGCCTTAAAAAAGAAACACACCTAGAATCAAAAGATCTCAGTCCAAAAAGCCTTTTCCACATTTCCTTTGGGACTCCAGAGGAAGTTTCTTTACAAAACTCATAGTATTTTCTCTAAATCCAGGGAAATTCGGCACATCTCATGACAGGGATTGAAGGTAAGCTACCTAGCACCACATATGTTAAACGTTTTAATTCCCTAGCAAAATGAGTTTTGTGTTAATGCCTCCGTAGGAGCTCCACTTGATAGAGTTTCCCTGCTTCTTCTAAGGCGGCCAATCACCAGGCTACCAACAAGCAAACATTTGATGATGCCACAGATCAATATAATTGCCATGTTTTGTGGGATGCTCTACTGGGAAGTACATTTTGGAGTAAGAATGCCTACCAATGGACCAGGAAAAGAAGGCAGTGAGTGTACTTTTATTTATAACACATTATATCAGCAAAACTGGTATTTTGTTAACCAAAATTCCCTGCACTATTCCTTTTAATATTCTTTAGGGTCAGACAGTCTGCTTTTTCATTCTTGGGCCTCCACTGAATAACTTCATCCAAAGTGTTGTAGATGGTAAAGAGTGCATTTTCGCATGACCAGTTTGGGAGTGAATAATATTACTGAGTTTTTACTGATTCATACTAGATAAAACCTTTCATTTGGCCCAGAAAAAAACTATGATTTTCAAAAATTTATAAACAGCATAACTCAATCATAAAGTTTCCACAATATTTTCATATATGTATTGCCCCAAAACACATGATTTCTACCTCATAAGCCTAATGCAAAAAGAAAGTGAGAAAGAAGAAGGGAAGAGGAAGAAACAGAGGCAGGGAGGGAAGAAGGAAGGATGGGAGAAAGGTAAGAAGAAAGTTTAAATAGTAAGCAAAAATGTGTTTAAATCTCAGCTCAAGCAAACAACCACATACACTGTGGTCACTTGATACACATTTGGTGAATGAATGAGCAAATGGATGAGAACATTCAGATTATTATCAGCAATATTAGTAAAGTAGTAACAATAATAACCAACACTTTGTTAGTCTACTTATTAGCCAGGCACCATTCCAAGCAGTTTATATGTGTTAATTCATTTAACCTGAGTAACCCTAGAAGGTTAGGCACTGTTTTCATTTTTGATTTATAAATAAGAAAACTGAGGCTCAGGAATATTAAGTAACTTGCCAAAGACCACACATCTAGTAAGCAGCAGAACAGGATTTGGACCCAGGCAGTCTGGTTCCAGAGTGCCTCTTCTAATGACTCTGCTTTCTGAAAACTTTACTCTGATTGGCTTAAACAATTAAGAAATGCATCATCAGTGCGGAGGTAGAAGAAGTTCCAAGGGTGGTACATCCAGTAATCAATATTTTCACCTCAACAGGACCCAAGTGGCCAGGCATGGTGGCTCATGCCTGTAATCCCAGCACTTTGAGAGGGCAAGATGGGCAAATCACTTGAGGTCAGAAATTCCAGACCAGCCTGGCCAACATGATGAAACCCTGTCTCTACTAAAAATACAAAAATTAGCCAGGAGTGGTGGCACATGCTTGTAGTCCCAGCTACTCGGGAGGCTGAGGCAGGAGAACCACCTGAACTCAGGAGGCATAGGTTGCAGCGAGCTAAGATCATGCCACTGCACTCCAGACTGGGAGACAAAGCGAGACTCCATCTCAAAAACAAACAAACAAACAAACAAAAAAAAAACGGACCCAAGTTCTGTCCATCTATCTGTCTTACCATATGCATTTTTTTCATGCATTTATTGATTTCACCTTTTGGATACAGGTTGCCCTTTTCTGCATCTGGGAGAAGAGGAGAGAGAAAAGAAAAAAAAACTTAGCTCTGAACATTCATTGAAATATAAGTCTCCATCCCAATCTAATTGCAGCAACCTAGGGCACATACTCCGCCCCAGACCAAAATAGCCACCAGGAAAGCGACATAAACTGATTGAGTCTTATGACTCATCTGGGATGGAATAAGTTTCGGAGAGTCACTATAATGTTTTGGTTTAGAAATTGCCCACCATATTATTGTCCACTGTAGTATTTTGGTTTAAAAATGGCTAATGTGAAACCTACAGAGAGATCAATATATTCTGTCTTCAAAATAATAAGACATGATGACTTCATCAAACATTTTATGAAATAGAACATCTCTAGGTTTACCTTTTGTTATGGCATTCTATGATCTTATAAATTCACTGAACTTTTACTAATGTTTCTCAGGATAAAAGTGTTCCTGTGGAAATATTTCCATATACCCCAATTTTTCTGATACAGCACAATTAAACTTGCATCATTTATCATATTGGTGACTTAGGAGGAAAAACATGATGAAATAAAAGGGAAATGTAAGGCACTGACTTTACTTTTTCACTATCTTAGGAGCAGATGTTTTCCATCATAATGTATGAGCTACTCATGGTTGTGCCCCTGAGTACAGCAATGGACCTTCAGCGGACCTGGCATGTGGGTCTCCTCAGAAATGCTACACCTGGGAAACCAATCTTTAATTCAGCTGGTCTGACGGTGAACACTCAAGATGGCACCAAGGTTGCTTTTGCACTGCGAACTGGCAGACAGGCTGGTGAGTCCCCATATTATCATCAACGAACAGGAGAATATGACTGTACCCCAATAATGGCAAACAGGCACTTTTTACCAAGCAAGAACTCTAACTCCATGCAGGTGGTAGCAGCAGCTGTTATATATTCCTATAGAGATTCAGGGACCTGAGAAGTCTTCTCCTGGGAGCATGGCTTATTGTCTCCTTTCTGGAGCAATCTTCATATGCTTTGCCATTAAAAAAACATTATCTTTCATAAGTGTGTCTACTGTCCTCTTACCATCAATCACATCACTCTCCCATGGAGACATTCATGCAATTATACAGGATATTGAACAAGAGCAGTTTGGGAGTCAATCATTTTCTGTAAAGTCTCTATGTATTAAGCTAGAGATGGCTGGAAGGGAATTTTTCTAAGGTATTCTACATGGTTCTGCAGGCATCTGAGAACACCCTGAAATGATCAAGGGGATCCACTGAAATTAAGAGTTTTATAGGTTAACGAGAATGCCTCTGCCTTGACACTTGGATGAATTGAGTTCTATTGAATTGAGTTCTTTAGAACTTTGCTACTCGAGACAGTAGCCCATGGACCAGGAACATCTGCTGAAATCTAGGGGTCCTCCTATCCCATATCTACTTATTTAGAATCTGAATTTTAACACGATCTCCAAGTGTTTCTCATGCAAATTAAAATTTGGGTAGCTATCACTGCTTTAAGGATCTGCCTTCTTTGGCTTATAAGAATTTACTCCCTTCTATCCCTTCGTTATATAATAAAATCATGTGGGCTCAGTCAAATACCCATTTGCAAATACTCATCCCTGGAGCCACATCTTCAAAATAATGTAGCAAATTAGGCAGACATACACAAATAACAATATGGTACCTATGTACATGCAGTACCTTGAAGATTCTAGATATTCTCAAATTAGGAACCACTGATATGAATGTATGAATTACCAATTACTAGAATTAAAGCTTGAAATTAAAAAAAACTATGTGAAATACTTGACAATCAAGCTTAATTTAACTAAAAAGGACTGTTTTGCCTGAAGTAGAGAGACTTGAGAAAACATCACTGCCTTCTTCAAATGTATGAAGGCTGGTCCCGTGAGAAGGGACTAAATCTCTGTAGGAGACAAAAGGTAAAAATAGAGCAAGAACAAAGATGTGACAGGGTAGCAGATCCCAGCTTTATTTAAAGAAGAAGTCCTTGATAGTTAGAACTATCCATGGTATTGAATATGCCACCCGGGAAATCATTACCCAAACTGCATTGAGAATAAAATCCATTCCTGTGATTATGGCCTATACAGTATCAGGCCTCTGCATCTCTGACCATCCCCCTCCTCATTCACTGCATTTGCCTCACCTTACCTTAGCTCCCTACTCTTTCTCCAACACATGGACCAAGCTCGTTTCACCCAAGTGTTCTGCACCTGCTGCTACCTCAACCTGAATGATCGTCTCATGCCGTTCTCCTAACTCATATCTTCACGCCAGTCAGGTCCCTGCTCAAATGTCTCATCACTTAATCCATGAGGCTGTTGCTGACTGCTCAATCTATCTAGAGTGATTTCAGAATAATCTCCTCCTTCCTCTCTCTCTCTCTCTCTCTCTCTCTCAACCAGTTATGTTAAGGTAATACACAATGTCCAATTCTCAGTTCTCAGAAAAACTAAGAGTTGCCTAGCATGATATCTGGAATTCTGGTTGCTGCAGATTGGCTGTGGCTGTGACTCACAGGCTTCTTCAAATGACAGAGGGGTAGAGCAAGAGTCTAAGCTGAACCATGTGATCACTATAGAGTTTCTGCCCAAAACTAAGAAAATTGTATTGTATTCAATGTCAATGTCCTGATTGTGATACTATACCATAGTCTTGCACGATGTTACCACTGGGGGAAACTGGATGGAGTCCATGGGATCTCTCTGCGTTATTTCTTACAGCTGCATATGGACTTACATCTCTCTCAAAATATTAAAAAGCTTAGTTGTGTTTGTTTGTTTGTTTGTTTGTTTGTTTTTTGAGACGGAGTCTCGCTCTGTCGCCCACGCTGGAGTGCAGTGGCGCGATCTTGGCTCACTGCAAGCTCTGCCTCCCGGGTTCACGCCATTCTCCTGCTTCAGCCTCCCATATCTGCCTTACCTAAATTTGGCATGTATCACACTCTACTCACATTCCACTGGCCAACACAAGTCACGTGAACAGGCAGGAAAATATACCTGCCACGAGAAGGCACTACAAGCCACACGGCTCTGGATGGAGGTGGACAGTTCGTGTAACAATCAGGATCCTACCTGGAAAACAGAAACCACATTAAGTTTCTTAACAGAGAGAAATAAATATGACGAAGTGTTATGTTAAAATCATGGTTGAAACCTAAAATGATAGAAAGAGAACACAAAGCTAATAAGAATAATAGCTGCAAACACCACCCAATACTAGGGAACAAAGGGAAGAAGTTGGTTTTCACAGAAATTAAAAGCTTGGAGGAGAGGCTCCAAAGAGATGAGACTCAGAAAAGAGTGGGCACTGCTCAGGTGGTGGTATTACGGAGGAATGTGAAAGACTTGCTATAGTTGTTATTTCTACAGTGGGCCACAAGACTATATTTAGTAATTATTATTTTTGTCTTTTTTTTTTTTTACCCATTCCATATTCCTTGTCCTCAGTCAGCACCTCAGGTAGTTGGGGTTCTTGGTGGGGTGACTCAAACCCTGATTCCTGAAAGGCCTGATTCTTAGTAGTCCCACCTTTGTGCTGGTTGCTATAGTTTTCCTTTGACTTTTACCAAGAGGACATGGGAACACTAAGAGATGCCCCAGAGAATCCCTTAAGCTCCAGCCATTTTGCTCCCTGCCTCGACCATATGGTAGCAACTCAATTTTCTTTGGTAATCAGGATTAATTTTCCTAATTAGCAGGGATTCCACTCTTTACCAAGATGGCTAGGAGATAGTCTCAACTGGCAATGCAATTGAACTAATGTTGTATCCCCACATAGAAGCATTCCTTCCTTGGAAACAAAGTCAGAAAAAACTGCTGATCTGAACATTCTGGGGATAAGAATTAGAAATTCTGTAGGTAGGCTATCAAAATTCATAGTGAGAAGAACAATTTTTGCTTCTATTCTTGATTCTGGGGCCCAGGCATACTGGCTGTGGGAGAAACAGCACCATATACTGACCACTAATTTTATTATTTAAGATAGAACCCAGTGTTTTCTCCTCACTGAAAAATTAATTCAACCTTTATTTGGTCATTCTGTGACTCTCTCAGGCCAGCTGCTTCTGGGTGATGGAGTATATAATAAATCATTGATGGTACAGCTAATCTCCTCAATCTCCCTTCCTACTATAAGGGACTTCACTCTACAGGTGACTATATCATGTGTCTGAGTATTTCTGTTCTAATTACATCTCTAGCAACTGGAAAAATAACCACAGGAGAGTCCATTGACTCACTTGGCCAATGGTGAGACAGACTTGGGCAAAATTTCATTGATTGCTTGGACACCATAAGGCCCTAGTTGACTAGTGGACCGTAGAATTTCTTTGGGTCCTCAGGAATAAGCATAATTTCAGAGCCAGTGTTCACTGATCCCCCATTGTCTGAGTACTTGCCTTTCTCAAGTATTTTCCTCCCTCCTTCCCCGTTTCCATAGTCACTCATAAATGGAAGAGTTAAGCGAATATTTAAAAACAGTAATACAAATCTACTCAACTCTCTTGCTTCTTTTATTTTTCTTCATAGCACTGATTGCTACTCAAATTACATCTTTTTTTTGTTGCTATTTGGTTATCTTTCATCTTCTTTCTTTCTGAGTAAAACATAAGCTCCAGGAGGATGGTATGTCTTATTCATCACTGTTTTTCCCCAGTGCTTGGAACAATGCCTGGACACCAATAAGTATTTAATAAATACTTGTTGAACAAACGAACATTTCTAGAAGGTAGTTTGGCAATATGTATCAAAAGCCTTAAAAATGCATAAAGCATATAGCCTAAACATTAGACTTCTAGAAATTTTAAACTTCTTGAAATTCATCCTTAGAAAACACTTACATTTCAGTAAAATTTAGTATTGAAAGAATTATTCATCACAGCATAAAATTTGTAAAAGTAAAATAACCTAAACATATGATCAGAGATTATTAATCCATTAATTCAACTTATACTTCTTAAGTACCACTAAATACCAGGAACACCTGGCTCGGTGCCCAGTATACTACAGTTAATAAGACAGATATGATCCCTCAAGGAGCCCAGAGAGAAAGATGTCAAGAGACTATTTTGCTTTTTATTTTTCAATGCAGCAAATACACTTATAGATACTCCACTAATAATAGCAATAATAATGAGGATACTTTACATTTGCATAGCACTCCTCGCTTTTCAAAGTAATTCTCCAGCTATTATATTTCTTAAAATTAGGTCATATTAAACTGCACTTGAACTCCATTATTAGATCTTTTCTGAGAAGAGAGTTGAGAGACTGTTGGCCCTTTTACATTAATTATGGACATATAAGATGAATTAATCAAATTCTGCTGTATTTGCTATTAAGGTCAATTGTGTGGGGAAAAAAAGTCACTCTGCAGGGTTTACAGTAGGATGCAGCAGAGAGGATTGTATAAAAAAATCAAAGGTTTTAACAATGATTTTATTTTTAAATAAACCCTGAACCCGTTGTCTGGATGAAGCCTCACTAGTAGTCTGCATGAACACCACCATTTTGGAGATTCAAGTTAACTGGCAGAGATAGTTTACAGTGAAGCTTCAAGGCCTCAAGTTTCAGGGCCCTTTCTTTGCATGGGCTGTGGGAGAGGAGTTTGCAAGGTATTCAATGGCCATATGTTTTTGTAAATTTGACAAAAAGATTTTTACCTCAATCAGTTTAGACTGACATGTGCCTTTTTTCATCAGACTTCTCCTCTTTCACTTTTATCTTTTTTTTCTTTTCTTTTCTTTTCTTTTTTTTTTTGGAGATGGAGTTTTGCTCTTGTCCCCCAGGCTGGATGGAGTGCAGTGGTGAGATCTCGGCTCACTGCAAACTCTGTCTCCCATGGTTCAAGTGATTCTCCTGCCTCAGCCTCCCAAGTAACTGGGATTACAGGCACATGCCACCATGCCCAGGTAATTTTTGTGTTTTTTGTAGAGATGGGGTTTCACCATATTGACCAGGCTGATCTCGAACTCCGGACCTCAAGTGATCCACCTTCCTCAGCCTTCCAAAGTGCTAGGATTATAGGCATAAGCTTCCGTGCCCAGCCCACATTTTTCTTTCATCAGGTGGCACTACAGGGGCCACAGCCAGAGCTTTCCATAGGGTGTGCAGAGCCCCCAAAAATATTTTTGTGAAACCCCTGTCTATATAAACAACTTTATGGAATATTACAAAATTAATGGTCCTGTAGGAGGTACAGGGATGTGTCAACAAAGACTTAGAATAATGAGTAGATGAGAAATTTATGTATACGTCTGTTGTCCTATCAAGACACATGAATATCCTTTGTAGTATCCAGGGACCATCTTTGCCCATTCTGGGCCAGAAGCCATTTCTTTTTGTTCTATACAATCAAATGTGTGGTTTCTGGCAAGCTTCATAACGCCCATCATGAGAAAAAAGTAGCATACTCATTACTCACAATGCATGGCTCAGTGTGTGTGTGGGTATGGGGGTGTGGGTGTGTGGGTATGGGGGTGTGGGTTTGTGGGTGTGTGTGTGTGCACACATGCCTGTGTATGTGTGCACATTGTTTGTTTTGAGACAGCATCTCACTCTGTTGCCCAGGCTAGAGTGCAGTGCCACAATCATAGTTAACTGTAGCTTTGAACTCCTAGGCTCTCTCAGCCTCCCCTATAGCTAGGACCACAGGTGGGGGCCATCATGCTTGGCTAATTTGTGTGTGTGTGTGTGTGTGTGTGTGTGTGTGTGTGTGTGTGTGTAGGCACAAGGTCTCACTGTGTTGCCCAGGTTAGTTTCAAACTCTGGGTCTCAACCAATCCTCCCGCCTCAGCCTCCCAAAGTACTGAGATTACAGGTGTGAGCCATTGCATCCTGCCATGGCTTTTTGAAACCTGTTTGTACTGAAACAATATTGATCCTCTAGCCTCTGCAGTCTCCTAATGCTATTTATTTAATGCTATTTACATGATTACTCATAAGCCACATCACCCATTGTGCCACCTAGGGATACTGGCTTCCAGTGACCCTCGAAGTTGTTACTGTATTTATTTGATTATGAACATAAATTCCAGTCTTACCCAAAGTATACAGGAAAATGTGAACAATGATTTATATGCTGGTCAGGTTAAATTTACCATTTGTTACTTTATAGCCTAAGTACAGAACAACATACCTACCATCTATTTCTCCTCTTAAGTTATTTAGGCCAAATCATTGTGTTTCTAGAATGTGATCGTTTACCGTTTTGACTGTACCACCCGCTTCCACACACTGGGGAGGAGAGAAAGAAGGATCACGGGAGGAGGGGGACGAGTGATCTCATTCCTACAAAGAATGCCCATTAAGCATTAAGCATGGCTTAAGAGTGACCTGGGAGAATATGACATCACCATATCTCACCATACCACCTCCCCAGGCGGCAAAAAACTGCACTAATCGGAAGGGCCCGCTGACATTACAGAGCAATAGTCTTGAGAAACCCTTGGAGGACAGAAGCACAGCCACTCTGGAGGATGCCTGACCGTTGGTGTGGAACCTGCAGAGGAGTTAGAGTGACAGCTCTGGATGCCCATGGCAAGAGTCCTACAAAGTAGACAACTGCTACCATCACTAATTGCCCTCAGGGGCTGTAGATCAGAGGCAGCCCCGCGGTTGGAGCAAGGACTGGCGAGAGCCCGTGCATAGGCCCACACCCAGAGCTTAGGCCCCAGGGTTAACAGTAGATGGTCGGTAGTTCAGAGCCCTGAACTCATCCTGTGTCACCCAAAATCAGTCCAACAACACAGGTTATCATGAAAACAAAAAAAATGCCATACTGGTCAGTGGGTACAGTGTACCCATCAGGCCTCTCAAACCCTGAGTCCTACAGATCTTTGAGGTATATGGCCAACCTGAAACATGCAGTAGAGGGTCAGAGAACATACCAGGCTGAAATGAGGACCAGGGCACATGCAGGTCCAGATCCAGGGCTGGATGTGCACCACCCAGGTGGCAATGGTAGCCCCAGCCAATCTCAGGAACCATAGAGAAACCTCAACAGTTTTGAGGAAGTCACTCCACAGTGCACGATCCCCTGAGGCTCAGTGTTTGGGGTGGGGGCCCTGATGGCTGCAGTCTAAAGGCAATACTGCAAACAGGCATTTGTGATAGGCTATTAAAGGAATGCTGACTTGGAAGACACATTTAGTTGGGGTTAATATAGTTATTTGGGTTGCCATTACTTTTGTGTATAATTAAGTTTCTGCCAGCCATCCCAATGCAAAAATGTCTTTCCAGGAATTTCTACTACCCACTGTACCAACTCACCCAATATCATGATGTGCAGGAGCAGGGCCAGATGCCACGGTAAGGTGTGACATTGCACCAGAAGAATGTGTCTCACAGGTATTGGTGAGAAACCAAGTTTAAAAGTAGGGAGCAAGAAGATAGTCTGTGGGAAGGTTTGTTGATGTTAATATCTCATGTATGAAATGAACATGATAGAAGTTTTCCCAAATTTAACAATAATTTTAATGATTTACATGAAATTACCAATAATGAGCTGTGAGATCAAAGAAGCTTCTAAACATGTCAACAGTGAGACTGAACTATTTTCTGTACAGAAAATATTACAAAATACTGTCATATAATAAGATGGCCAAAGAGTCATTAAGGTCATTTTATCAATCTGCCATGTCTTCCAGGTCTCCCGTTTAGCACGCTTGATACTCTCTGGCCCCTGACATATTTTATGCCCAAACTCCTTCCCACAGATGTTTTGTAAGACACTTGCAGTTAATTTGGTAAACTAATTTGAACTGAGGAGTTAGGCTGGTTAATAATGATTTCGAATAGTATCATCTCCCTGTTGTGGTTTGCATTTTAACCAGCATTTTTCAATGCTTTAATGCAGCATTTTCTCAATTTGGTTTCAATGAAGATCAACCAAAAATATAGGAAAAAGTATTATAGAGATATCCTAGTATATTAATAGAGCTATAATGTTTCTGACTTTTGTGCTGTTTACAGCAGTAACTTTTATATTTTGTAGCCTGCTGTAATTTCTTTTCTTACTCTAAACAAATATTAACTTTAATTCCCAATTTTGAATATACTTTTTTAAAGAAGACCCTCAAAATTGTATACATTTCTAGGTTCACAATGCCTGGATCCAACCCTGTTACTAGGGCCACATCTTACGCAGCTTCAAAATAGCTGAGTTGTCAATTGAAATTTGTTGTTAGCTATAAAAAAAGGAAGACATGTAGATTTATGAGTTCCTCTGAGTAGCAAGTACAGCATTTACTCCCCAAAAGGAGTCATTCACATATAAAATCAAATCAATACATATATTCTTATCAAATGAGACTTTCAGCAGATGTAAACATGCACACCAATAATCCCTAACCTCTTTATTCTGTCAGAAGGCTGAAAAATATTGTGCCTGGCAAAGTTTCCTATTCCTGAAAATTCATTTTTAATTCCTAAGGAAGGTTTACATTAATTTCATCTTTGTTTTCCTACCAGCTCCTACTTTCATGGAATTCTCTTGGGAGAAGCTCCTAAAGTATCCAGGACTGTTCTAGCCAGCTGTGCAGGGTTGGGCTAAGGGCCAATGTGTGTAAATATGGGAAGGCCAGGAGGTTAACAGAATTCTGGCTGGGTTCTGCCCAGGCTTCATTCTCTGAGGGGGTGGTTCTACACTTCATCACTAGGGAAACTGCCTCCCACAGCTCCATGTGCTGTATATGACCAAAAACACACCACAGTGGAATTTGAACGTTTGAGTTTAAGGTGGTCACTTTTTAATGCAGCAGATGGAAGAGAAGAGTAGAATACCAGTGGGAGATATTAGAAAGCTGGAACGCTTTAGCGTTAATCTTACATAATCTGATTTTAAAATAGTTCCCATGGGACAAGTCAGGAGTAAGGCAAGGCCCATCCTGTTGCAGTCAACATGAAAAGAATTAGTTACTAGCAATGCCTTACTCTAGATTTAGTTTCTGCAGCTATACATGTTCTTAGTGTTTGAATTTGCCTCAGTCAAGGAAATTAACATGAACTATACTCACAACCTCTCCCCCCAAAAAAGGCGAAATCTCAGTGGCTTAAAATAAAAATTTATTTCTAACCCACACAAAGTCCAGTGTGTATGCTTGTGTGACTGTACGCCATACAGTGACTCAGGAACCCAGACTGCTTTAATCATGTGACTCTTCTTATTGCCCTGATAGAATATAACTGGCAGATGGGAGAGTTGAAAAAATGCAAGAATGTGCAAGACTTTCTGTATATGTCAGGATTAGAGGTGAAGTTTGTCACCTCTGCCCACATTGCACTAGTCAGAACTCAATCACCTGGCTTCATCTAGCTGGATGAGACACTGGAAATGTCACTGAAATGTGTGCAAAGAAATGAAAGGAAACAGGTTTGGTGCCACACTAGTGGTATCACCATAAACCAGCTAAACTCCAAGTTTGAATATCAGTTCTCCATATACCAAGAAACACTTTTGCATGCTGAGGGAATTTTAAACAACTCCACTTGCTGCTGGCAATCATTTATTTGACTTTATGCTTTAAATGAATACAGAAAGATTAGAATCTGATTTGTATGATTCTTGTTGCTTAAGTAAACCCTGATTGAACATCTCTTTTCTCTTATTTGGTTCTAGGCCAATATTACCCATATGAATTGAGGTTGGTAGGATAAATATTTAATATTCAGGAACGTTCTATCTTTTTTTTTTTTTTGAGGCAGATTCTCACTCTGTCGCCCAGGCTGGAGTGCAGTGGCACAATCTCGGCTCACTGCAACCTCCATCTCCTGGGTTCAAGCAATTCTCCTACTTCAGCCTCCCGAGTAGCTGGGATTACAGGTGCCCACCACCACACCCAGCTGTTATTTGCATTTTTAGTAGAGACGGGGTTTCACTACGTTGGCCAGGCTGGTCTCAAACTCCTGACCTCAGGCAATCCGCCCACCTCGGCCTCCCAAAGTGCTGGGACTACAGGCGTGAGCCACTGCGCCCAGCCTTCTGTCTTTTTCTGCTCCACCATGTCTTCCCGGCCTCTCAATTAGCACCCTTGATACTCTCTGGCCCCTGTCATATTTTATCTCCAAGCTCCTTCTCACAAGAGTTTTGTAAGACACTTGCAGTTAATTTGATAAACTAATTGGAACTGAGGAGTTAGATTGCTTAACAATGACTTCAAGTATTATCATCTCCCTGTTCTGGTTTGCATTTTAACCAGCATTTTTCAGTGCTTTAATGCATTTCCTCAATCTGGTTTCAGTGAAGATCAGCCCCATAAAATGTTGGTGGAGGGAGGGGGCCAAATGGGTAAAATCTCCCTTTCAGCTAAGTTTGGCCATCTTTACGTGGCTACATACTGCAGCTCTTCCTTTTAAAGATGCGTAATGTACATGACAATATTACCAGTCCTGGGAAATTCTGCAGTAAAGACTTTACTGTCTTAGTTTATTCCATTTTTTTCCCAAGCTTTTTGACCATGGAATTTATTTGCTATTTTTTATTTTTTGGTTTTTGGTTTTATCATTTCTTTTTGTTTTTGTATAGCTCTTACTCAAGTCATGAAATATTTCTAATGCAGGGAACTGAAAGCCCAGGAGAGAGCCAGTAAGGGCAATAGTTGAGGTAGGGGATTTTTCACAGCTCCACGAGCTGTCTTCTCTCTGTCTGTGGGGCCATCATCGGTTTCAATTTTTTATCCTTTCTATGGCTCAATTTCACGTGTTTGTTGAGCTCCTAACTCAGTGTTTTATCTTTCTAAAACAGTGCATCTCTAGTGATAAATAAATAAGAAAGAAATAAGAATCTGAACAATCAGTCCCCTTGAGGAGAACTCCAACCTCTCTTTCATTTCAATTAAAGAAATTTTGGCATCATTGGTTTTTTTGGTTTGTTCCACATCAAAAAAAAATTAAAATCAAATTTAAAATTTTCCCACTTTGGGCTTTGCACTTAAAGAGAAAAGAACTTTGTCCTCTCAGAGGGAAGGACTTTTAGAAAAAAATTAACCAAATAAATCCAATAAGCCCCCTACCCGTGATCCCCCTTCTCCTCTGGCTTTTCCCTGCTGGGGAAAAAAAATAAACTTTCCTCTTGACTCTCTCTTGCTGACAGTCTCTTCTAACTGCATCACAAATTGAACTTTAAAATAAATAAATGAATAGAGGCAGCTGCTGTGGGATGGGAAATGCAGAGATATACGAGTAGGACTTTGTGAGAAAAGAAACCTCAGCGTCAATTGATCTGAAAACATCCAGTCAGTGTTTTTCATGTGGCTCTAATCTAAATGGGGGAAATAAAGGTGTTTTCAGCAATCATAGGTGATCACATCAAAATGAGAACTCGAAGCTTTGCATAGATGATCCACCAAAACTAGACAGTAGAAAGAAATTTGGGATGACCTTGACCAAGTCTATCTCATGCCAAGTAAGAAAGAATCCACGAAAAAGCAACCACCCAAGAGAGCAAAAGACAGCCCCAGCCTGGTTGTTGACGTTACTGGAATGACTGGAAAGGGTCACCTGTGCTCTTATGAATGGTAGCCCCTTACCTAAAAGTACTTCTCATTGACCAAACATGATAACTCCATGATACCTCCAGCCATGTGAGCTTTGAGCAAGTCACCAAGTAAGCCATAAACTCTTTGGAAACTGGGAGCATTTTTTATACTACTTTATAGCCCTCACAATGTTTGAAAAACTTACTTTTTTTTTTTTCTTTGCTGAGATGGAGTCTTGCTCTGTCACCAGGCTGGATCACAGGGGCACGATCTTGGCTCACTGCAACCTCCACCTCCCAGGTTCATGTGATTCTCATGCCTCAGCCTCCCAAGTAGCTGGGATTACAGGCGTGCACCACCATGCTTGGCTAATTTTTGTATTTTTAGTAGAGATGGGGTTTTGCCATGTTGGCCAGGCGGGTCTCAAACTCCTGAGCTCAAGTAATCTGCCCAACTCAGCTGCCCAAAGTGCTGGGATTACAGGCGTGAGTCACCACACTCAGCCTAGAACACTTGCTTTGTTCAGTAAATATAGTATACAGATTGCTGAGCACAAGCTATGATTTCCAGGTCTGTGTCTTATCGTCTCTTAGCCATGTAATTTAGGTCAGTCACAATTTCATGGAGCCTGTTTCTTCATCTGTATAGTTAATATCTTAAAAATCTTTAGTGCCTCTAGCACAGAGTTGTTAAAAGAATGGAATACAGTGCCAGGGGTGGAGGACTGGACAGAGGACGGCAGGCATTATGCAGCTTCAGGACCCCCTTCTCACTTCAGCTCCAGGAGCTCCACTTATATCTATTTCATATCTTAGAATTCCATGTAAATTTTAGTATAAAGAAAGCATTGCAATGCTTAGAAATATTTGGAAAACATTACTGTGTGACAATGTGCTTGCTAAACTGAGAAGCAGTGTAACTTATTTTTGCAGTATTGTATTGAGGTATAATTTTCCCTGTCTGTGGCTTTTCACTTTCTTAATAATGTCTTTGAAGAGCAGAATGTTTTTAATTTTTATGAAGTCTCATCTAAAATTATTTCCCTATATCAAGATAGGCAAAAAGATATTCTCTTATATTTTCTTGTAGAAGCTTTACAAATTTAGTTTTTATATTAAGCATGATCATGAGAAGTGCATATTTCAATTTGTTAGTTTCTTATTGGGTCTTAAATAAGATGTCTGAGGTTGAGAAATACCATTTGAGTAACTTGTTTCAAGACTTAGAATCTTGCAGATAGATATCCATTAACACTTGTAAGAATCAATAAGAGTATTTAAGTCTAATCTCATTCCATTTGTCCACCTGGCAAGTTGTAAAGAGTTTAAACTAGAACACCCTGACAGTGAAAAGGGGAGTGCCAGACAACATCCTTAATAATGCCAAGACAAGAGTCTTGCCAGGACTTTCCTGGCAAACTCAGGCATATTATCACTCCAGATTTGGGTCTTCTGACTCTTGGTTAAGTATCATCCTAGATATTTCCCATTAAAATAATTCAATCAACAGTTATTAACTTCTGCAGAACTGTTTATTTCAACTACTAAAACAATATTGAGGTGTCAAAAACAGTTGAATACTGGACTCTTCGGTCTTCCCTCTTAGGTCTGGGCCAAGGAACATCAGACATGGTTTGAAAATCAAGACTTGTGACTTATGCATCCTTGAAGACTCACTGTTGAGACTGAACAAAGAATTTTCAACCCTGGTGTTCTATGTCTCCTTTGGGGAGCTCCTCTAAAAAGATACATTGTTACTGCTCCAGTTTGCATCACCATTTGGTTTAATTATTATTTGTAATTGGGAAATAATTAGATAAAACGATGATGTAAACCCCAGTGGAAAATAGACATCTCTTAAGAACTCTAATGTTTTCCGTCTCTTAAAAGGAAGGGGATATGACTTACTAGAGGAAAAAACTAATTAGAAAAGCAGACACATCTTCTCCCTCTCCTCATATTTCAGGCATGCTGGCAAGTGCTCAAAAATGATCACAGAGTGGCCTATTTCTCAAGGACCCCAGGAGAGC
Source organism: Homo sapiens (assembly GCF_000001405.40). Classification (NCBI taxonomy): domain Eukaryota; kingdom Metazoa; phylum Chordata; class Mammalia; order Primates; family Hominidae; genus Homo; species Homo sapiens. The sequence goes on along the minus strand of NC_000002.12, from coordinate 220,310,670 downwards.
ATGATAAATTTAAATCATCATCTCAGGAAAAGTGCCTTGAGCACTTATCTTTGCCATTTTATAATCTCCAGTCAGAAGAGAGAGCTTGGCTCTCCAAACTGGCAAAGCCATACAAAATTTTGGCTGAAGGAAAGCTGAGGTAACACCCACACCAAAGCAAATCCAGGCAGGTTAGGATTCCTGCCAAAAGAAATACATTTGAGCAAAGTGAGGAGACAGAAATGTTTAAGACAATGCTGTTCTCCAGAAAAATGAAAACAAGACTTACCCAGGGACACAAATCAGGAAAGTTCAACAGTACAAGGAGATGAGAGGGAAGTGATTAGATGTTCAGATGTGGGTCTAGCAACTTCAAAACCCTAAGTAAATCTCTCTAAAACACTCTGTCTAGAATTAGATCATTGGATTTTAAAAGGTGGATTAACAATAACAACAAATAAAAATCAGGTAACTACCCAAGAAAAAAAAGTAACAATAAAGCAAATATTATGAAGATGAAATCCCAATGAAAGTCATATTTAAATATTTCCACTTTAAAATGTAAATATTTATTAATAAATTATAATGTAGTTATTTGAAGATGACAAACAGGAAGACTTGGAAAAGAAGAACTAGGATTGCAAATATACAAAAATGCTTTTAACCCTTTCTCCCAGTGGGTCCAGTTAGACATTCATCCCTCAGCAATTAGACTAAAATGTAAATCTGGGTTCCCAAGACTCAATTCTTGGCTATAAGTCAGAATTTGTTAATGATCTTAGCTTAGTCTCTCTGTAGCATAATGCTACAAAGTAAACTTATCTAGCCACAAATATTAATCCTGAATTAAAGAGTTCTGAGAATTCGACTACAATCTGATCCTGAATAGATGCCCTCTCTTCTTCACTTTCCCCTCATCCTGCAGACACACCAGACCAATCTGGTTCAACTTTTATATAACAGTGTTTTTCTTTTGCCATGGGCCTTCAGGTCATGTAAGCCGAAGATGTCCAGATGAACCAAGCATGCAACCACTGGGGGAACCTAAGTGCTGGGACCAAGGAGTGGGGACTGACTTAAGTGGACACCATAAGGTAAGATCTATTGTCCAATCAGATGGAGCTCTGGCATCACCCCCGTGGCAGGATCCAATCAGATCCTGCCTCCCTGCATCACTTCATCAGTTCATTGCAAGATCTAGTCAGACCATACCTCATTACCCTATGCTTATAAAACCTGACCCAGCCCCTAGCTTGGGTAGACACTACTTTGGGAGCTGTCCCTGGTATTCTCTTACTTGTTACAAGTAATAAAATCTCCTTGCTAAATCCTCCTTGGTTGTGATCATTGGGTTGATACCCACCAGGCAACTGAACCAACCCATTTTGTGGGTGACAATCCCTTTATTCATGAAAACAGTAAATTCCCAAACTTTTTCCAAGGTTAATGGGAACCCTTGGCTGTAGGATGTGGAGCTTACTGGGAACTGCCACTCCAAGTTGTACAAAAATATTTACTGAATCACCACTAAGTAAAGCTCTCAGTGCTTGGTAGTTTGATACATAAGTCAATGAGTATTGCAGACAAAATGAGCTACTGTGGGGAAAGGTTTCTCTGAGGAGTGTGACTTTGGTTTAGTCTTGAAGGTTAGACAGGTGGTAAAGAAGTGGGAGAACAATCTTGGCAAAGGCACTTAGATCTGTTTGCGCCCAACATGTATAACAGACTGAGAGGGAAGGAGGAGGAATCTGATAAGAGCAAGGCACTAGTGTGGTGCAGAATTGGGAGTGGCAATGCAGACAGCCTGGGGGTCCAGACCATGGGATGCCTTCTATCGCACGGTGTGCATGAACTTTCACTAAGTGGTGATGACTCCTTGGAAAATTAAAGGAGTGTCATATAAGATGTCTTGCAAACGTACCTTTTGAGAATCTTCTTTTCTGTTGGATTTTTGAAGAAAGATTAATGACTAATAAGAGTGTGTGGGAGGAAGGGGGAACTGAAGTCATATCTTTATTGAGAGCTTCATGTGAATGGTAAAGAGTCAAATCAAAAGCACTGGACCAGATTCTCCCAATTGATTCAGGTTATCCATCAAACTAGGGGTCATTTTCAACAAGGTAAATAAATGCAAATGCCTGCCTCTACTTGACATTATCTATCTGACCTCTACATTGATCCCTATTTTGATTGACATGACTTTAAAATCCATGATCCAATTCTCTTTCCACTAGTAGTGTGCTGAAAAACTGGCTCTCCAAAAAAAAAAAAAAAAAAGAGCCCTTTTTGGTTACATTTTTCAATTTCCATTGTGTAACTATCCCGACCATGACCAATTTCAAGCTTCCAACAAGAGGGAGGTCACTAAAAATAGAGTTGAAAAGAGATGCACAAAACTGACTCTTGCAAGCTGGAATAACCAGCTCTATGACACCATTACACCAACTCCTAATTTTTTCATCTTCGAAATGTACTTATCTTATACCTTTCTTCTAAGGTTTTCTTTCACTGGGCATCCCAAGGTGAATATTGCTTGAGATGAACTTGCCTGCATTCCTATAAAATTTACTGAGTTTCTGTACTTCCTCCCACAAAACATCCATAAATCTGGAAACAAGAAGGGCACATTCACTCTCTTTTCATATCTTTACTAGTCTCAAGAAGAATGGGAAATCAAAGAGTGAGTTAATTTAAATGCATCTCCTCCTTCTAAAGTAAAAACTGAAAACCCTCACCTAGCTGAGGGTGAGTTAATATTATTAGGTTCAAAATAGAAAATAGTGTGTTGCCTTTTCTATAGTATGCCAGATGTGAAAAATGGCTCCAAGTCCCATTTTGGAAATCTCCTTATTTTTAAAAATTATGTTTACAGTTTTGTTCATTTATACTATTAAGTATGGAATGTTTGGAAATAAATAGTGCAACATTTGTTTGTTTTTTCTCTTTGGTAATTTTTTTGCAATTAGTGTCATGAATTCTTTCAAAATCAGGAGGAAAAAATATATTAAGACTGTTTTGTTCTTTCTTTTTGAAACATGGTTTAATGTTTATTGTCATAATTTTGATTGCTATTGCACCACCTCGAGTGATGTATTTTTTACTCAGTGAGCTATTACTTGGCTTACATTCATGATTTGTGCATTAATACCATTCAAGGTTATACAATAACAATCAGAAATTATGATAATAAACATTGAACCACATTTCAACAAAAAGTGATAAACTCATATGAGTTTTTTTAATCTTTTCATTAGCAAAGCATCTTATGCTTCAGTGATACTTTAATTACCAAGAAATTACCCAAGAAAATATGTAATTATTTCTAGTAATTGACAGTGACTCTACATGCAACACTTCTTTATAGTAAAATAATTGCTAAAATGTGGCCTTTTTTTTCCAGACATGTGGTTTAATTGATTGCATTCTCTCTTTTGAGTAAAATGGTAGTACAAATATATATATAATCACTAAAGTACACAAGTAATTCTAGTTCAATTGAAAACTGTTTAGTAACCTCAAAAATAATTTTTGATAATGGGCCAGTATTGATAAAATTATCTTGATAAATTGAGAGAAATTGTTTAGATTTCTTATTCTACCCCAATGTACTAATACATGCTCTTTCTCAGAGTGGCTTTGCTAGTCTTTCCAAAACTGTATGTACATTGCAAAGAACATTCTCTAAAGTGGCTACTCAAAAGATCAAAATCCTTTGCTTATGTATGAACATTCATTAAAAGGAAAAGGAAAAGCTTCTTTCTCAAAATCTAAAGCCACACTTGGGAGAAAATCATTTTGATCTTTGCTACCTTTAACATTTCAATACTTTATGATTCTATAAAATCTATTCATAACGTAGACACATTCTTTAAACAAAGAAAGAAAACCAAGGGTTCAAACGTGTCCATCTCTCCACTTCCTGTTTTTTTTTTTACCTGACAGTTTGGTCTAACAAGAGCCCTCACTCAAGAGCCTTAACACAACTCTTTCCACAAATGTCTGCTGTTCTTTCCCCACTGCTTCTTTTCTTCTCCGAGTCAGGACAAAACATCTACTAAATAAGCTTTTGTCTTTACACACTGTTCCTTTTGAAACTGACCAACAGAGTGGGTTTTTTTTTAACCAAAAACAATATACAACCATGACCCAGATGATAACATTTTATCAATATAGTTTAATTTGAAGAAAAATACAGTTTTCCACACTGTAGAGAAGGACTAAAATGTTTGTAAACTCTGGGCATTGCAGAACATCCCCCTGCACATTTCTATCTTCTTTGTAAAAATCACCTTCAGGAGTCATTCTCCTACTGCAATCTTAGGAGAAGGCCCACAAATCTAAAATCACAGTAATAAAACCCTGACATTTCTGCTTCGCGATCTCTGGATTAGCGTGGGAAGCTATTTTGGGAACTATGGATCCCTAAATATTCGTACAAGCCACTTGAAGGGATGGTTAGTGGGAAGAAGCAGAAGACAAGGTGAGTGATGTGTCCCCAGTCCCTTGTCTGTTACACAACAAGTGGCTCTCTGAATTTATCTCTTGTTTATATCGGGTTTTCTGGTTGCTTATAATTTTAGGAAAACCATCATTTTCTCTCAGTTTATAGATTAGAAAATGGAGTTTTTTCGTGAATACAACAGATTTGCCCTGAGTGAAACACCTGCTTGACGGCAGTGTCAGGTCTAGAATATAGTACATGTGACTCTCAGCCCAGTGCTCATTTTCCTACATGTCTCTATCCTGAGACAGAAAAGTGCTGCAGCATTTTGTTTCATAGTCTATGGACTGCTCATGAGACTTACCACCATGTTTCTTCAGGGAGATAAATTCAGCCATTCAGCCAGAGAGAGATCCGAGGCAACAAGCATCAGTGAACTAAAATATTGGCCCTGAATCAGGACCCAGCTTAATGTAATATACCAGAGCATGTAATATAATCCTGTCTCTCTTGATCCACACTCCAGACAACTAGCCAGCCATGCCCTTGGGAGACTATTACTTGACATCTATGATGTTTAGATACAAAGTAGGGCTTACCGCTCCTTATGTAGATACTTCACTGTTCATCTGCTGAAATCTTAAGCATGACCTCTAGCACACTGTGTTTAACAAGGACAGCAACAATGCCTTAGGCCTTAAGTTCCCATACCAGTCCAATCTTCTACTATATATGCCGGGTGTCTCCTTTCATCCTATCCCATTGACTACAATATTCATCTTTTGCCCCTTGCTGATGGAGAATGTTTGTGGGTTTTTTTTTCCAATGGAATGGGAAGCCTGAAAGCGTAATGATTGCAGAATAATTTTTCCTGTGTTTGTTTTTCACTTGTCTCGATAAATTTTTAGTTTGACAGGTAGAAAGGGCTTTCTGTTTTTCTATGTGCTAAAGAGGGTCTCATCACTCAACAAATCCCACGAGCTTTTACATTCTCAGCACTGTGTCCTTCTGACCTTAAACTTTCTCATTGCCTGGAAATAAAGCTTTTCATGAGAACTCACAAAGCCCTACCAGCTGAGTTTGACAATGAGACAGGCAATACACAGGGCAGATTATCATTGGAGGAAACTGCAACTTCCTCATCAAAATCATTTGTTTAACAGAAAACCCAGGAGTCTACTGTAAGTTAACAGACTTGCTCCCTTACCTCCAGCAGCTTATAATTTCTTGGGAACATAGAACACAGTGGCACTTAGAGAATGAAATGACTTTATTTCTCTTTGCATTAGATATACCCTCCCCCATTTCTGGCATGGAAAGATCCTAAGTTTTTAGTCTCACTTCAGGGAGACCCCATCAGCTAGAGCAGAAACACTGTACCCCTTATACTACTTCTGTTGGGGATTCCATTTAAGAGGCCTCAAGAGGAGCAGGAAGAAAAGGGGGCAAGAAACTACACCAAGGAGGAGAAAAACAACTTGTCCTGAGCACCCCTGGTGGGTTCCTGAGTCACGGAGTGTAGTATTATATGGCTTGCCAATGACTCAATAAGGGAACACTGGAAAGGCCCTGAACCTGCCTAGCTGCCATTGCCTCATCTTTAAAACAGGACCAATTGCACCTGCCTGTGTGCAATTGCTGAGACTTTCAGGCAGGATAAAAAATGTGAAATGATTGGCTCAGTGCTGTTCCAAGCTTGGTGTTCAGTAAATGTTGCTGATTAATATTATTTGATTAATGTTATTTGGTGTCCTTTCATCCTCTTAAGAATTCTGTGAAGTGGGAGGCTGAGGTGGGCGGATCATGAGGTCAGGAGATGGAGACCATCCTGGCTAACACAGTGAAACCCTGTCTCTACTAAAAATAATACAAAAAAAATTAGTCGGGCGTGGTGGCAGGCGCCTATAGTCCCAGCTACTCAGGAGGCTGAGGCAGGAGAATGGTGTGAACTGGGGAGGTGGAGCTTGCAGTGGGCCGAAATTGCGCCACTGCACTCCAGCCTGGGTGACAGAGCGAGACTCCATCTCAAAAAAAAAGAATCCTGTGAAACAAGTGTTATTCCCATTGCACAGCTAAGCAAAATAAGGCAAAGAATGTAAAGGAGCTCGTACAAGACAACACACACTTTGGGAAAGTGGAGTGCCAGGGCCCAATACCATGGCCATGCCATGCATGGGAGCCCAGCAATCTTGTGGGTAGCAGACTCCATAGAAAAGTTTAGACTCCCTTGATTTTCCAATAGATGAGCAGAGAAGGAAGGCAGTTAAGCCTACATTTACCCTTGGGTTGCAGGTTCCTAACCTCTTGGCAAGAGGAAACAGCTTAGTCCAGGCATCAAAGAGAAATGTAATCCTGATAAGGAGAAGATCAGACCTTTCTCCAAACCACGTACACAGGACTGTCCCACCCAGAGGCTTGGAGGAGCATACCCTCTCACTTGCCTGTGAGATTCGGGAGCCCACTGTATAGGGAGCCAGTAGACTGTAATTGTTTCTTGTTTAATTTTCCACCTAGTATGAACTGAATCAAGATTCGGGCCACTATACTTCAAATAACACCCAAGTTATTGTTCCAGATATTGTGGTTCAGTTATTCGGTCAAGCAAGAATAGCCTACAATATTTAAGTCCCAGGTTCATTGTAAACAAAGAAAATCCATCAAAAAGGGAATCTCTCAAGAGAAATCCTTTTCAGGCTTTCATTACAGACTGCAAAGGATAAAAATCTTTCATCTTGCTGATGGTTTCATGTCCCCATACGCATTTACAGTGAGGTGATTGTTTCGCTCAGCTGAAGGCTTATCTATCCTTTGAAGAAAGCCCATCTAAACAGTGATTGTTAAATATGTGTGTGGATCCTGGAAACCCTTCAGGGTCACCCAGATTAACATCCAGACCCAGTATAGTGCCAAAGAGAGAAAATGTTGTTAAACTGTCACTCTCAGACATTCAAGCTCTCTCAGCTATCAGATGGATATTTTATCAAGCAGCTGCCTCCATTTTAAAAACTGAGTTAGAAGGAACTTGCTTCCTTCAGGTCTCACAAACTCAGTGTGGAACCTTGGATTAACTGTGTAACCGCTCCATGCCTCTCTTTAGATATCTGTAAAGTGGGAAAAGTAACTGTCCTTATCTCCCAGGGCTTGTACTAGCCAAAGTTCTTTAGCAAAATAGAACCACTAGAAGTAATAGTATGTGTGTGTATATACAAATATATATAAACACACACACACACAGAGACAGACAGACAGAGAGAGAGATATTTATTTTAAGGATAAGTTCACATAGTCATGGGGAACGGCAAGTCCAACATCTGTTTGTAAGGTCAGCAGGCTGGACATTCCAGTAAGAATTGGTGTTACTGTCTGAATTCCATAGGGCAGGAGTAGACTGGGAAGTCAAGCAGGGTTTCCAGGTGGCAATCTTGAGGCAGAATTGCTTCTTTTTTAAAAATCTTCATCTTAAGGCCTTCAACTGATTAGATAAGAACCAACCCACATTATGGATGGTAATTGGCTTTACTTAAAGTCAATTCATTGTAAAATTAATCGCATCCACAAATACCTCCAAGCAACAGTTAGACCAGTGTTGGACCAAACAGCCAGGTACCCTAACCTAGCCAAGAGGATTCATAAAACGAACTATCACAAGGCCATTTTAAAGTTCACATCAAATGAGTTCATTCATAGAAAAGGAATCTCAAAGGTACAAAGAACTGCACAAATATAGTTATTTAGTAAATATCAAACTCCTGTGTGACATGGGGCTTTGAGGAATGTAGAGATGAATAGATCAAAGATTCACCTTCAAGGGAGCATACCATCCAACTGAGATGCCAAGATTAAATGCACAGGAAGGGAACTGCTGCCCGAAGAAGTGCTGAAGGAACAGTGTGAAGACCCAGGAGGCTGTGGGACAGAGACATTGCTGGGGACTGAAGGGTCCCAAGGAACCTCTTGGAAAGAAGCTGCTTTTCTGGAAAGATCATCCCAGGCACTCACTCTACCCTCATCCCAATTATGTCTCCTCTGTCACTCGCTCTCATGAAATTTATTCTTGTTTTTTTAATAACATATTGCAATACATGACTATTCACTTATTTGCATGTCTCACTGTTTAGTAGTGTTCTGTCTCAAATTAAAATTTCACAACAGCAAAAGGGCCCTGTCTATTGTTCTCACCACTGTCTCCCTAACATTTAACATAGTACTTGGCATGTGATGGTTGTGCAAATTATAGACAGTGAATGTTTGAATAAATGAATATATATAAGTTTTTTCTACAGCAAAATTTTACCAGCTTTTAATTATTTAAGAAAATCCAAATTTACAGAAAAATTGAAAATTGTGCCATAAGCAACCAGATCTCTCTCTCTGATCCATGTGTGTGTGTTTCTCATTTCTTTATCTCTCTAGTTTTATTGCTAAATCATTTGAAAGTAAGTGACATCAGTCACTTGCTTTCTCCTTTAAATATTTCAGCACACATCTAAAAATAAGGTGTCTGCTCTACAGAACCCCAGTACCATAAGCCAGCTTAAGAAACTAGCAATAATATTCTACTCTCCTCCAATATCTAAACCACATTCAGATCGCACCAACTGATATTTAAGTCTCTTTTTACTTTCAAAGTAGCATCTAATCCAGATTCTGGACCCTTGGGAGGCTGAGGTGGATGGATCACTTGAGGTCAGGAGTTCAAGACCAGCCTGGCCAACATGGTGAAATCCCATCTCTACTAAAAAGCAAAAATTAGCTGGTTGTGGTGGTGGGCACCCGTAATCCCAGAGGTTACTGCTCCAGAGGTTGAGGCATGGCATGAGAATCACTTGAACCTGGGAGGTGGAGCTTGCAGTGAGCTAAGATCATGCCACTGCACTCCAACCTGGGCGACAGAGCGAGACTTCATCTCAATTAAAAAAAAAAAAAAAAAGATTCTGGAAGCCCCAACACATACACAAACACATTATTATTATTGTTATTATTATTTTTATTACTTTGTACTGAAATCTTGAAGTAATTCAATTGTCCTCCAGAGTGTTCCACATTCTGGATTTGTCTGCTTGTCTTCTTATGGTGTCATTTAAATTGTTCTCCCATTTCCCATATATACTGGAAACTAGAAGTCAGACCTGACACTGTGATTAGATTCAGTTAAAAATGTTTTCTAAGAATAACTGACAGGCAATGCTTCTTACTTAATATTGCATCCCAACAGGGTGCACACAGTGCCAACTTGTTCACCACTGGGAACGCCGAGGTTAACCACAAAATCAAGATGGTGACCACCTGATCTGTCTGTTATATTGGTGCATTCTCTCCCTTCATACTAGCAAGAACTCATTCAAGCAAACTTTCCAAAATTTATTTATAATTGAAATCCAAGTTAAATTCCTTTCCCTAGGACCTAATGCAATCCAAAACGCTTAGTTTATTTGTAGAACTTCTTTATCCCTTTTCTTTTTGGGTGGATGGCTGTGTGAAGGGTTCTTCAATTACCTTTGCAGGAAAATGTTGCTGAGCTTACTCAAGACTTCATGAATTTTAAAATAAAAGCACCCCTCCATATATTTAAAAAGACAGCATTTTGTACAAATCTTTATAGCATTTTTGTTCAGCATTAATTACATATATCAACTTTTCATCCTTCCTGTAAACTGATATTATTTATTAAACTCACAAGAAAAGACACAATTAATCTTTATGATTCATTGTTTCTCCTGCAAAGAACTAAAGCATCAACTGAGTTGATTTTTAAAGTATTTTTTTTTCTCCTACTGGGGCTGTATAATTGGGTTAAATCAGTACTGCTCAAACCAGAGGACCGCTGGGAATATGCAGCAGAGAGCTGGAGGTACTCCATAAACATGGAGCCTCTTTCTGAAGCATTGTTTTTCCTAGATAGTAAGTAATTTAAAAGACCTTTATGTATCAAAATAAACTCAGATATATTACAGAATAAAATGCAAAATTCACATGAATTTAAGGAGAAAACAGAAGGCCATTTTGCATAAGCCACTAATCACAACCTTCTCTACTTCCTACCACTTTCCCATGGTCTCCCACATCCCCAACCCACAGGTGGTCACTCTGCTCTGCTCTTTGAAGTCCTTGATTAAGTAAAGCACCTGGCTAACATTTAAATCAACAAAAGAAAAATTCTTCTGAAAAAATTATTGAAGCTTTCTTTTCTTTCTTTTTTTTTTTTAAATGGAATTTGCTCTGTCGCCCAGGCTGGAGTGCAATGGCATGATCTTGGCTTACTGCACCTCTGCCTCCTGGGTTCAAGCGATCCTCCTGCCTCAGCCTCCTGAGTAGCTGGGATTACAGGCATGCACCCCCATGCCTGACCAATTTTTCTATTTTTAGTAGAGAAAGGATTTCATCATGTTGGCCAGGTTGGTCTCAAACTCCTGACCTCAAGTGATCCACCTCCTCAGCCTCCCAAAGTGCTGGAATTACAGGAGTGAGCCACCGCACCCAGCCAAAAATTTACGAAGATTTCTAACAGCCAATGTCTCCAACCCTATCCTCTATATGAAAGATGTAAGTATGGGAACTAGAGATTGGGTATATAAGAACCCTTTCATTTTTAATGATTCAATAAATGTGATTGACCTTCCTGCACTTCCATATAGGAGCAAGACACCTATGACTCTCGGTTTCTGCATCCTCATATCTCCTACACACCATCTTTTCCTGAACAAACATTTATTAAGGGTTGGCTGTGAGCCAGGCACCTTTTCAAGCACTTTATTAGTGATAATTCACTTCACATCCACCTAATAAAGTAGGTACTAATGTTCTTGCCATTTTACGGATGAGGAAAGTGAGGCATGAAGAGCTAAGTGACTTGCCCAGCATAGATGGGAACCACTGAAGCCAGTATCTGAAATGAAGCAGTCTGGCATTTTAATAACACCTGGCCCAGGCTTTGCATTTAGTAAGCACTCAAATAATGTGTGTGATAATTGTGTTGATATAGCAAGCAAATTTGGAGTCACCGTTGATTCTTCCTTCTGCCTTATATTCAAGCAATCGTCAAGCTCACTAATACCTTAAAGAGTCCCTTACCTTCTTTACATTCCCACTGCTGCTGCCTTAGGTCAGGTCTTCATTCCCTCAATCCTTCTCAGCGGGACACTGTCAGAGCCCTGTATGTGGCATTTCTGGTCTTTAATCCCTTCTCTACTCTAACCCATCCTTCACGCTCTTGCCAGAGTTTCTTCCAACTCACAACTCTGATTGTGGTGATCTCTCCCCGCAAACCTCCAATGGCTCCTCTTTGCTTACAGAATGGAACCAACACTCTGTTAGTGGCAATCAAGACCGTAACCTGCCTTCCCTGGTGTATCGTGACTGACATCATATACCTGTGAAATGAAAATAAATCTTGGGACCCCAAAATCACTAAGCTAAAGGGAAAAGTCAAGCTGGGAACTGCTTAGGGCAAACTTGCCTCCCATTCTATTCCTTGAAAAGATAGCTACTAAGATTAAAAAAAAAAAAGCTACAAACCCCCTCACAGGGAATTTCCTTGTGGACAAGAACAAACAGAACTCAAAGTCATCCTTCTGCTCACTAAGAATAATGCATATCTGATTGCCTCCTTTGGAAAAGCTAATCAGAAACTAAAAAGAATGCAACCATTTGCTTCTTATCTACCTATGACCTGGAAGCCCCCTCCCCGCTTCAAGGCTTCAAGTTGCTCCACCTGTCCAGACAAAATTAATATACATTTTATGTATATTGATTGATGTCTCATGTCTCCCTAAAATGTATAAAACCAAGCTGTGAAAAATACTATTGAGGACCACAAATTCTTCCTCTCCTTTACAAAGCACAGTGTTTTCAATACTGCCAAATATGCTATTTTGACAAATAGCCAGCACTCCCTCCCCACAGTTCATGGTTGAGTGGGTTATGTCTATCAGTATTTACTCCCATTAGAAATTAAACTGAAATTTTTTAAATATTGAAGCATTAATTTAAAAAGAAGAAAAATCCATTATATATTGATATAAATAAGATGAAAAATAACCATTCTTTATGAAATAAAACAGAATATTGAGTGAAAACAGTAGTTTTATATCTCTGCAAATTTCTCTGCTGTCTGGCTTAACAGACGACAGCTAGATTCTCCTAAATGCTTCTCCATTCAGGCTCTGGCACTATCACACATCTCGGAGCCTCCAGAAAGCTCCACTGTAGGCTTATGAGAATACGAAAGTGAAAAGGCAGATAACGTCTTAGTATTATTATAAAAAGAGTTTATTTTTATCTCGTGGATGCCCTGAAAATGTTGTGGAGAACCCCTGAAATCCTTGGACCGCACTTTGAGAACCATTGCTTTATGTAAATTATGTCTTGCTTTTACACTAGTTCACCCAAGCTTGCAACATTTCCTCTCTTTAGAAAGCTCTTCCACCTTAGTTTCTGCCTGTTAATACTCAACCCATGCATCAATGCTTGAAGTGTCACATTTTTATGAAACTTCCCCCCTCTGCAGTAAGAATTCTTTCCCTGTTTTATAGCACTTTGTACCTTGATTTATATTTAAAATATTCAATTACTTGGGCAACAATTACTGAGTGCCTACTATGTTCTAAGTGTCCTACACTTTCTCTACCTACTCCCCCTACATTAAAATTTATCTTCAGCTCAGCCTCCTCAAAGAGACAATCAAAACAACATAGTAGTGGTCAAATTTTAGGCACACTGGGATACTGGGAAAGGAGTTGTTTTTTTAAAAGACTCAGAGGACCTTTCCATAGCTCTGAAATTACACCATATAAACCATCTGTTTCTGTCATTATTGAAGATGTCTACTATATTTAAGCCACACTAAAATAAATTCAATTATCTTTGGTAAGTAGAAAATTCAGAGCAATTCATCTGATAAATGTTTATAAGCAGGCATTTTTGAGCCACTCTAGCCCTTGTCCAATATACCACGGACATTCAATTTGACAGCTGTTGCTGAAGAATTTGAATTCCAAATGAGTGGCATGACCCTGTAGCCCTACATTTCTAGAATGCTAAGATTCAAATGAGTATCAAGTATTTGAGTAAAGAGATCCAAGTCTGGTACCTCTGTAGTAATGGTGTGTGTAGCTTTAGGCATGGCACTTGACGTTTCTGGAGCTCAGGGTCTTCCACTAGACTAGAATCCTCTTGAACCCAGAAACCATGTCATTTTTATCTCTGCACTTAGTAAGCACTCCATAAATTTTTGATGAACGAAGGACTCCACGATGAAGAATTATGTTAATTAAACCCCAAAGTCCTTCTCAGTTAGAAGAGCACCTAGCACAGGGCCCGCATGTCATGACCACTCATTAAATATTCAAGGTACACATGAAGACACAATTGAACAGTCTATAATTTCTGATTCTGTTATAAGCAAGATGTTGCCCTAGGCACCGCGGTGTCTCAGTAAGAGCTAAGATATTGTCCCTGCCCTCACAGAACTCAAAATTTAGCCCAATATTAGCTGCAAAGACAAACAATCAGGGAGCAAGCAAAACACCTTAGATTCATGATGTTTTATCTGCCTTGGAACACCAGGATATTTCAAGTTCCACCTCTGACTGGCAATATCACTTTTTATTTCTGCTTCTAATAGACACATAACTAAAGGCAAGGGCTAATGGGATGTCAAAGCAGTGTCATCACAGCCCCTTAATTGATGTGAAGGTGCTTGCATAACTATACAAGGCAAAATGATGTTCTCACTGATGGGAGATATAGAATGTACAATTTGCATCTCATCAGAAAAAAAATATTCATTGGTTTCCTCTACAAAGCACTAATGTTCCTCAATACTGCTGACTGTGCTATTTTGAGAAATAGCCAGCATGCCCTCTGCCGTTAGAGAGTAAAAGGAAATACTGCCTCCCCAGGTGTCAGATTTCCTTTCTATAATGGAAGGATGTGTGGGACAGCATTTCAAACACAGTCACAGAGGAAAAAGGAGGCTGACAAGTAAGATGGATGAATGAGAGGGAAAACATGTGTTGAGAAGGAAGCTGTCAGATGTAGATCCCGTTTGTGCAACAGAAGTGTCCTAATTAAAAGTGCCCATCATAAGAGTCTTTGGGGAGGAAAGAAAAAAAAGGAAGCCCACATCTTTGCAATACTAGAGATCTCAGAGAAGAGGCATGGCTCAGGGGCTCCACTGAAAAGCTGCATTCACATTGGTGGCCGTATCCTGGCATCTTGGATATTAACTGCCTCTATACCTCAACCCAGGAAATCTGCATCCTCACCAAGGAAGGCTTTAAATATAAATAATATCACAAATTTAGTTGACGTAAGGAAGTTGAAAACACTGGGGTGTTACTATGCAATTTGAGGCTCAGTTCTTCCAACTTCTCATCAATAATGATTTTTTTCTTTCCCACAATTGGAGTCCTGAACCTTCTGTGTTTACAGTGACATTCGTCAATTCCCTAGATACACCGGGTGAAATTAAATAAAGGACTGCAGGGAAATTTGTCTATAGAACATGAATCTTTAATGGGCCTTCATCCCTATAAGTCGTATACCAGAAAGAGACTTGCAGAAACAGATCTAGTATGCAGCCACCCATGACGGCTAGGTGGATGCGAACAGATAAATGAGTATCCCTATTCCTCTTTTGCTTTAGTTATAGCAAAGAGGGGCTGGATTCAATAAACTTTGAGGTCTTTCCACTCTGACCTTCAGACTCTGTCATTTTTCTCAAATTTCCCTCCTCCTTTCTAGGAAGTACATAGGGGCCACTGTTAATTTGTGGTGGATTTGTAGTGGGAGGAAAGTGGTGGTAGTTAAGAATGTGGGCTCTTATATTAGACTGCTCAGGTTCAATCTCATCTCTACCACTCACTATCTGTGTGACTTAGGACAAGTTACCTAAACTCTCTGTGTCTCCATTTCCTCATCAATAAAATGGGTCAATAATAGTACCCATACCTCACACAGTTGCTAAGATCTAATGGAAAAATCTATACAAAACAGTTATTATAGTGCCTGTTACATAGTAAACATGCAGGAAGTGTTTGCTGATGTGAGAGAATACAATCACTGCACACATGTGAGAGGATACAATCTCTGCCACACATATTGTCGGAGGCAGACCTGCAGAAGTGGAGTAACTGCAGGAATCAGGAGAGGGATCCTTTGTTACAAAATAAATAAATGCTACTTGCTGATGTCAAAATTTCTTTTACAGTGTAAAAAGAGAACAATAGCACACCAGTTTGAGTTCATATTCTGTTGTAAATAGATGTATTAGTCTGTTCTCATGCTGCTAATAAAGACATAACTGAGACTGGGTAATTTATAAAGAAAAAGATGTTTAATGGACTCACAGTTCCACATGGCTGTGGAGGCCTCACAATCATGGTGGAAGGCGGACAAGGAGCAAAGGCACGTCTTACATGGTGGCAGGCAAGAGAGTGTGTTGCAGAACTGCCCTTTATAAAACCATCAGATCTCATGAGACTCATTCACTATCATGAGAACAGCACAGGAAAAACCCACCCCCAGGATTCAATTACCTCCCACTGGGTCCCACCCACAACATGTGCGGATTATGGGAGCTACAATTCAAGATGAGATTTGGGTGGGGACACAGCTGACCCATATCAATAAGTTTTACTTATTTATTGACTGATTGAAAATAGGCTTATAAAAAAGGTATTTGATGGAAGAAAGAGAAAGAATACAAGGATAAATAAATGATCTAGCAAGGGGAAAATATATGAATGAAAGCAATTTCTGTTACCTTTAATATTGCTTGGTTTCATTGTTAATCTTATGTTTATTTATGGATCAAATGGATTTGTATCTTTATAAGCACCTTCTTCAAAATGATTCAGAAGACTCAATATGGGGAGGCTATATTCAGTCTATATTCATGATTAGGTCATATTCAAAAATTTGGTTTTATTAAAACAGATCTCATCCTGAATCGCAAGAAGGGCCTTCCATTGACAGACACCCTTGTAGATTTTTACATACTCTAAAATATTACTACTGCTAAATACAGGTGAGTCACTCAGAGTGTCCCTGAGGGTTTGACTCCACCAGCAGCCCTGCTATAAACCTGAGAACTTTGGGCCAAAGGCCATATGTTGAAAAAATACCTTAACACTGACCAGAGTGCTTTATCAGACACAGATGTCTCCAGAATTAGGCAATATCAAACCACCTTCATGGATTTCAGCCAAACACAAGCCAAAATATATTCAAAGGTACATGAGTTGTATGGCTATCTAATTTCTGGCTCCTCATTAAGAGTAACTTGATAAAATATACCTGAAAGGCATGAGGTTTGGCAGAGAAACACCAGATTAAGATTATAACTCATTAAATATTTAAAAACCCACCTGCATTAGTATTTTTCAGCTGGTAGGATCATCAATCATATTGAACTACAGTTTTTATGTATTTTACTGATGCAAAAACATCATTAACAGCACAAGCCAGAGTGACACAGGAAGCTACATAAAAAAGGAGGAAGAAGGAGAGAGGGAGTGATAAAGGAAGGACAGAAGCTTAGTTTCAAAATTAACTCAAACAAAAAGTGAACAATCCAAGAAATAGCAAAACCTGTCTACAGCCAAAGGGAGGCTTTTGTGTGCCCCTGTATGTCAAATTCATTCAGGCCATTGCTTGCCTTTTCTCATGCCTTATTGACTAAATCAGGTCAGCCAAATAGCCAATTCAATCAATTGTTTAAAAATAAGCTGATGACCTCTTTCAGTGATAGAGATATGTTTTGAAAACACCATTTTTAGTCCAGTGCAGGATGCAATATCTTCTACAAAGTGGTTATCCAATAATAATTTGTTGATAGATCCATCTAATAATGAAAAATATAGGCTGATAATCGAATTAACACCTTTAAAATCAAAAGCTACATATACAATGTGCCACCTTAACAAACTTAAACATTCTTTGAGAATATTAATTTCTAAAAACCTAAAAAAAAGAAACCACCATTTTTTTAATGTGGAGGTTGTCTTTCAATTGTTAGGTATATACAAGCACAGGAAACACTGAATATAACTACTTGGAAGGAATTTTGGCTTTTATAAGTTCTAGTAAATGACTTATAAGAGCAGTGGCAAGAGGGGGTTTACCTCCCTTCATGTTATCTATTGAAGAGTAAATGAGAACCTGCACTATTAAATTGGTCCTTTTTAATCACTGTTTAATTATGTAGGTTATAGAGAATGTACTAATGGTCCTTTTATGAATATTAAATGAGCAGAAATATTCTGTATCCTGGAGTGCAGAATAAGGAATCACTCATGAACATTACTTAGCCAGTTTGCATGAAATAGATATTTAACACTTTCACTGAAATTTAGCACATAGAATTACTTGCTACTTCTACAGAGAAAGCAGAGGCATTTGTAAAAGAATAAACTGGATGGAGGAAATAATGGAGCCAAACATTTCAGGTGTTTTTTTTTTCCTCCTTTGTAGATTTACCTAGTGCTCAAAGATAGACACCAAAATGCAGTGACTGCTGAAGTCAAATAAAGCTTGAGGCAAATTTCTTCAAACTTTCAAGGAATGCTCCTAAAATGAGTAAGAATGTCAAGAATAATCAATGATGAAAGTCAAGCAAGAAGAAATGAAAAACATGGAGATTATTAAAATAGCATCAGACAGAAAATGGCACATTTGGAAGACAAACAAAGATCCAACATATACATAATTGGTGTTTAAAGACACTACAAAATCTGGAAATAAAACTTTTTTTCCCAAAAAGATAAAAAAAAATATTCCTTAAATAAAACAGGACCAAAATGTATAGATTAAAAGACCATATCATATTCCAAAGAGGGATAACACTGACTGAAAAATGCAGACTTTCCCTGTTTAAGTTACCAGACTCTCGTGGGCATGATGTCAAGAACACCAAGTCAACTATGAGAGTAAAAAATCATCAGCTTAGCCTCAGCCTTCCTACAAGCCACATTCAATGCTAGAAACTGCTACACTTTCTACAAAGTTCTAGGGGAATAAAAGTGTGGTCTTAAAAAAGTATATAATTATATACTTGCAACTAGAAAGGCCAAAGATATATATCCTCATATATTCCAAATTTCAGGTAATATAGTTTTCATGGACACTGCTTGGGGAAACGACTTGTAAATAAACCTCAGACAATCAAGACATGAATGGAGAAGCCATAATGAAAAGACTGGTTGTGAACATTATATAAATTTAAATATAGGATTCAGGCTAAATAACTGTGAGAAGAGGATATGAGTTTTATAGACCAAAGCAATGAAGAAATATTATACCTAAAAATGTTGAGAGGTAAAGAAAGGAGGTAAGAGAATAGAGTAAATAAGGTAATCTCCTCTTCTTTCCAAGCTGGGGGTCAAAAGATACAGTTTAAAGCAGATGAATCTCAGGCTTCAGTGTAATATGTTTAAGTACAAAATAACTCCTAGAGAAATTGAAATAATATAAACAGCACAAGAAAGATAGGAAGAATCATAAATATTAATTTCCTCTTATATTAGAGATAAAAAGGAATATTTAAAGATGATAAAAAACAAGTTATAAAATATTTTTAAACAATAAAAACATAAAAATGAAATTAAAAACAACATAAGCTAAATAGTAAGAGGTAAAAAATATAAACAAAAGAAACATCCCAAATAAAAATACCAGAAATGTAGCTTGTAATAGCAAAAGTAAAGTAAATAAGGCCACCAAAAGGGAACTGATTAGATAACTTTTGCAATATTCACACAATGGAATACTATAGAATTATGTAAAAAATGAGATAGAGCTTTTTTGAAAACAACTTCCAAGGTACTTGGTAAAGGAAAAAAACAAAACAAAGTGTCAAATAGTATATAGACGATTTTTCCACTTGTGTAAAAAAAAAAAGATATTCACCATACATACACACAGACACACATACAACAAATATTTGTATAGGCAGGGCATATTTCTGGAGGTACGTAGAAGAAAGTGTTAATGATACGTCTTTCTTGGGTGGAAGAATGGTATAAAATTGAAGAAGACTTATTTTTCTTTGTCTTTCTTTGGGTACAGTTATTAGTACTTTGAAAAAGATAAAATAAAACCAGTTAGTGTGAGAAAATACATATATATATATATATATATTCACATACATATGTATACATATATAGATAAAACTATGTATTTATTAGCATTTAATAAACGTGTGTATGTAAGAGTGTGTGTGTATATTCAAAGAAGAATCACAAACTAACAGTAAATAATAAGTTGGCCAATAAATTTTGCTAAAAAAATTTTTAAAAGTCAGGTTAGATTTTTTACATTGTATTAAAATAAATTCCAAACCAATAAAAGAGATAAATGTGGAAAAAAAAAAGCCAGGCACAGTCTTGTGTTTGTGTGCCTGTATTCCCAACTACTTGGGAGGCTGAGCAGGGAGGACTGTTTGAACCCAGAGGTTTGAGAACAGCCTGAGAAACGGAAAGATCCCATATCAGAAAATAAAAAGAAAAGAAAACCAAAAGAAACTGTAAAGGAAATTTTAATTTGTATCTAGTTGAGAAGTGATTTTCTAAATATTATAAAAAGACAAAAAAATGAAGAAGCATTTGCAACAATATGCCAGTCAAACAGGTTAGTTAATATTCTTAATACTTAAAAAGCCCCTATAAAGCTGTAAGAAACACCTATTCTTATCTAAAAGAAGAATGGTCGAGAAAGTAAATATGGATAATTCAATAGATTTTTATTTAGTTAGTGAACTGGTGGTATTAGGCTTTGAGAGTTTAGAGGTGAGCTAAGAGCTCTCAGGGAGTTTACAGTTTAGTGGAGGAAGTACATTCTAGAATTAGATGAATTCTCATTTCCTAATTAGTTGGTCAAAATGATTGACTTCATAATTATAAAAGGATCCACAATTGGTTACTTTCTTTTGTGATCATTTAAAGCATTTGGGGCTGGGCGTGGTGGCTCACGCCTGTAATCCCAGCACTTTGGGAGGCCAAGCGGGGGTGGATCACCTGAGGTCAGGAGTTCGAGACCAGCCTGGCCAACATGGTGAAACCCCATCTCTACTAAAAATACAAAAATTAGCTGGGTGTGGTGGCAGGTGCCTATAATCCCAGATGCTCAGGAGACTGAGGAAGGAGAATCACTTGAACCTGGGAGGCAGAGGTTGCACTGAGCCAAGATCACGCCACTGCACTCCAGCCTGGGCAACAGTGAGACTCTGTCTCAAAAAAAAATAAATAAATAAAAATAAAACATTTGGAAGCCAGGTGTTATTCATAACTAATTAGTATGGATTTATAACAATATCAATGCATATAGCAATACCAATTCATCCCTCAGTCTCTGCCACCTACTAGGCTATAGAAGTGCATTATTTCATTTCATCTTCACAGCTATAGGAAACTGCTTTTTTATTTTTTCAGTTTTTCCTATGGGAAAACTATGGGGCCTAAAAAGATGAAGCAATTTGTTCGAACTCATTCTTTTGGTAAAAGGCATCATCTAAGTCCTTTTCAACCCCCAAATCTATGCAGTAATGTGACAATATTTGTAAAGAGCAAAATTGGTCAGAAACATAAACCTACTAGGTCAGATAATGTGTTCCATAAACATAGCTCTCTATAAAATATGAATGGTTGATTTTACAGTATAGATGAACTTACTTTATACATTTCTTGACTTTCTGTAAGATATTTTCACTATAAAATATATATACACACATATATATGTGTATGTATATATAATGTTTTCATTTTTGTTGGTTTCATTTTGCCTCTGATAGTCATTAATGCTGCAGTTTGATTAAATGATACAATTGCCCTTGAACTCTCTATATATTCCAAGGCAGCAGAGCAGGAAGAAACATATGGCACCAGTGCCGTGGCAGCACAAGTTTAGGCCTCCTCAAGAATTATGTGGCCATGGCGGTGATTTGCTATCAACAATTTCACGACTCCTAACTCAGAGCAGTGGATTCATGGCCTTAAAATGTGAACCTGTCGCTCAGCCAGGCAGCCTCTCATACCCTGAGCAGTCCAGCTTTTCAGCAGGCAGCTTCTGAGTTTCCCTGCTCATGACCACTGCACCCAGGAAAATTTGGACCAACTCAGCATTCAAGGACAATAGGACAGGCGTGTGCTCTGTAAATCGCACATCGCATGATTATCAGAACAACAGACTTTGTATGAAGCAAAAGGAAGAGGAGTGCTTTTTGTGTGTTTGTGCACGTGCACACATACACACACTTTCCATGCACAAAACAAAAAACTGTTTCATAATCATTTACAAAATCTTGTATTCATTGATTGACTAAACGATTACTTTTGCCATTGTAAAGTTTTGTGTTTGAAAAATAAAATTTCATCTCAACATTATAGTATTTGCATTGGGATTTCTTTTCAGTTAAAAATCTGAAGTGCCCACAATTCTCATCAGTATATTTCTTCCTGTTTTGTTGAATTTACTTTTTCTGGACAGCTTTGCTGTAGTAATACATTTTTATTGTATGAGGCTCTACATTCTGGCAAATTTGTAGTTGATTATCCTAAACTCATTCAGGGTCAAGTTTCCAGAGACAGTTAGCTATGACCCTGTGGAACCAAATGTGGGATGATGATTTTTTTTTTTTTTTTTTTTTTTTTTGCAAACTCACTAAACCTCTTATTATACTTGTATGAGAGGAAAAAAAGCACACTTAGGAATTAAAAGTTATGTTGTCTCATGAAAAATATATGGAGCCCTGCTTTAGATAATGCTGTTAAACATATCAGTGGTTTCCCTTTTTCTTGGACATGCTATACCCTGTAGCCCTTGAGTCCTGATAGAAAGTGTCACCACACTTATTTTCTATTACAACATATATGTGTCTCTTTGTAGAATGTATTCTGGTTTTTGAAATGGCCCCTTATCGTAGATTCTTTGTTAATCATCTGTTGAATTTCATTGTGCCAATAGACAATGGGCACCTTGCAGTCACTAAAAGGCAGGGATTGCTGGTGATAATGGCATGACCACAACCAAGCTGTTCTCCCTTGTCCTGCTCCACAACTGTTTCACTCACTCTCCTGAACCGGGATGCTACTCGAAAACCAAATGCAGTGTTTTCCCACAGGCCTGTTCTCATGAGTTATGGTAAGAAAACACAAAAGGAAGATGACATACATCCCGGTTTTAAATAAGAAAGGAGGGGAATGCCAATACTGATATTATTCAAACATCATAGAACATGAAAAAGGACAGATTGTTGAAGACAGCAATCAGGAAATTCCAAATATTGTCCTTCATCAACTCAAATGCCATAGCCTTTGACCTTGAGCACTGAGAAGCTCACTCTGACATTTACACCTGTTTAAAATCCCTCAGAGTCTCCCTCACCCACAGGGTAAGCACCAAGGGCTTTAACCGGGTACATGAGTGGTGTCTGTGACCTGGGTTCAACTCTAACTGTTTCTTGTCACTCCTTGACCATTTGTGTAAACTTTTCAGAGACCCCACATATCCCAGGCTGTTTTCACTTCTGGACCTTTGCTTAGGTTCTGCCATCTGTCTAGAATCTCCCCCACTGCCATCCCCTGGCTAACACTGGATCCTGTAATAACCATCCTCCCCGAAGACTTCCTTTGCTTCTCTTTGCTCCCATAATATCTTGCACATGGGCTTCTCATTCCAGTGAGATGAATTCCTTACTACTGCCTATTAAATTGTATGTTTCCTCGAAACACTGTGAGGTCTCCCAAGTCAAGGAGTGTGTCTTATTCATCTACACACTCTGAAGCCCTATATAGCCTCTGGTATATACTAGGAGTTTAGGAAATATGGTTTGAATAAGTCCCCAAAGTCAAGGACTATGTCTTATTCATCTACACACTCTGAAGCCCTGTATAGCCTCTGGTATATACTAGTTTAGCATATATGGGTTGAATAAGTCCCCAAGTCAAGGACTATGTCTTATTCATCTACATATTCTGAAGCCCTGTATAGCCTCTGGTGTATACCAGGAGCTTAGTAAATATGGGATGAATAAGTAAATTATCTTTAAAGGCTTCAAGTCCTTATGATGACTGTATCTTCAAATATCAATTAAGGGGAAAAACTGAGACATACAGCATTAGCCTAATCATGTTTTTGTTCTGTTACCTTGAACAAGTTACTTTTCCTTAGAAGCCCTAATTTCCTCATCTGTACAATGGGTACAATACTGCCCACCTCAAAGAGGTGTGACAATTAAATAAGAAAATGCCTTGAAAGATGCTTAGCCAAGCTACTAACATATAATAAGAATTAAATGAGTGTTAGGTACTACAAATGATTAATGTGAAAGTATCCCTTTCACTATCCCTTTGATAACCATATTTTGCAAGAGGTAAATTTTCAGAATCATTTGTTGTTTGTTCTTGCTGGGGTAATTTTTTGTCTCTTTCTGAGAGTTTTGCTCTTTGGTGTTACCCTTTTATCTGAATCATGCTTATCCTTTCCTCAATTTTCTCCCTCTCTGTATAACAAGAAATAGCCAATAAAGAAACAGCCAATAATTCAGGTGCCCAATAATTCAGGGCTGAGTAACTCACCACACATTGAGTCAACAGGGATTCCAATTTAGAACCATATCAACAGATATCATCCCCTGTAAATATTTCAAAAACTGATGGACATGGCTGTTTTCACTATTCCAAATTACCATATGTGTCCATCACTCAAATTTGTTTCCATTCACAAATAAGCTCTATGATGTTATTCCTGAAAAGAATCACAAATCCAAATTTCCATATACATCAGTTTTAGTCATGCTCATTCCCATCAAGATTTGGCAAGGGAAAGGGAGGTTTATAAACTGATGATAGGAGTAAATTATGCATAATCCCATAGGTCAGCAATGTCTTAAAGCATGTTAAAAACTAAAGGTCAAATCCCCAAAAGTCAAAGTTATTTACCAAAGGCAGCAATCTTATTTTACTTCTTTTAAGACCACAGATACTCTTATTTCCCAAAAAGTCTTGAAGATTTCCTTGTACTGTATGTAGAATTGGAAATAAAGCTAACTTTGGTCCTCTACTAATTGCAGACCACCCTGCTGTTTGTGGCAGGGTGGTCTCTTCCTCGTGCCACAAATACACCAGGCTCATTTCCATTTTCTTGCTTTTACTCGAATTTTCTCCATCCTCTAAACTACGACTCTCTCAGTTCAAATCCCGGCTGCACCATTTATTAGCTCTGAGATCTTGGAAAATGTATTTAACATTCTCTAAACCTCAATATCCTTATCTATAAAATGTAGATATTAATAAAAATAGTATCTATCTCAAATGGTTGTCATCGTGATTAAATTGGACAGTGATTTAATTTTTTAGCCCCTTTCCTGGTGTTACATAGCGTACACTTCATGACCAAAGATATTGTGGCTGCTGTTATTCTCCCTAGTCTCTTGCACCCACCTACAAAGGTTTACCCTATACCTTTCGCAGGTACTTTCTCTCTTCACTGCGTGTACTGCATGAGTTGCACTCAGCACTTGATTATATATATATAGGTGACCCATGAACAACAAGGAGTTGAACTTATGGGTACACTTACACCTGGATTTTCTTCCTCCTCTGCCAACCCTGAGACAGAAAGACCAACCCTTCCTCTTCTCTTCTTCCTCTTCCTCTGCCTACTCAGTGTGAAGATGAAAAGGATGAATACCTTTTTGATAACCCACTTCCACTTAATGAATAGTAAATATATTTTCTCTTCTTTATGATTTTCTTAATAACATTTCTTTATCTCTAGCTTGCTGTATTATAAGGACAGAGCATATAATACATCTAACATAAAAAATGTGTTAATTGACTGTTTATGTTATAGGTAAGGCTTCTGATTAACAGTGAGCTATTGGTTAAGTTTAGGGGAGTCAAAAGTTTTCTTTTCTTTTCTTTTCTTTTTTTTTCGAGATAGAGTCTCGCTTTGTCACCCAGGCTGAAGTGCAGTGGCACGATCTCGGCTCACTGCAACCTCCGCCTCCTGGGTTCAAGCCGATTTTCCTGCCTCAGCCTCCCAAGTAGCTGGGATTACAGGCGCATGCCACCACACTGGCTGATTTTTGTATTTTTAGTAAAGACAGGGTTTCACAATGTTGGCCAGGCTGGTCTCGAACTCCTGACCTCAGGTGACCCACTCACCTCGGCCTCCCAAAATGCTGGGATTACAGGTGTGAGCCATTGCACCCGGCCAAGTCAAAAGTTTTATACAGATTTTTTCACTGCATGGGGGTTCAGCACCCTTAACTCCCACATTGTTCAAGGGTTAATCTGTATCCTCTTCATACTATGGTAAATGACAATACTCTGTTCTCCTCCTTTTAGGCACACAAGGGAATTGTCCTTTTCCACCCTTCCTGCTATTTGGGGTGGGGGAAGCCCACAGGAGTAGTTCTGGCCAATGAGTTGTAGTCAGAAGTGACATATCACTTTCAGGCTACGCCATTTAATTGCTGGTGAGAGACCCTCTAGAGTCCTTTCCCCAGCGTCAGTCATCAATCCTGGAAGCATTTGTTGAGACAAGGCCCCTATCAGTCTGGATCCTAAGTGACTGTGATAAGCAGAATCTATACTACTCCAACAATAAAATGAATGAGCTACTGATACACACACTAACATGGATGAATCACAAAAGCATGTTAACTGAAAGAAGCTAGACAGAAAAAAGTATGTTCTGTATGATTGCATTTCTATGAAATTGTGGAACAGATAAAACTAATCTATGGTGACAGAAATCTGCAGTGCTGTATCAGTGGTTGCATAGGGCAGAGGATGGTGGCATCCTGTGAAAGGATACCAGGAGAATTTTTTGGGTGATGGAAATGATCTATGTATAGATTATGGTGACACGTCATAACTCATTGGATTGTACTCTTAAAATAAATCCAGTTCATTGTGTGTAAATTATACTTCAATAGAGTGATTTAAAAACAAACCACACAAGACAAAAATAAGCAGAATCTCCCTGATAATTCTTGCTTGATTTGTAATTTAATAAGAAATAAATCCTGTTTTTAAAGTTTCTGAGACTAGAAAGCAAAGTTGTTTGTTACTGCAGCCTATCCTAACTAACATGTATACATTGGTTTTATCCTCTTGACCAGAATGTAAAAATTTTATGGAGAAGGAGCAAAGTCTTCCTCTTCTTTCTACCCCACAGCACTAATCACAGGCCTAGATACACAGTATCTTCTACTTGACTTAGGCCAACCTACAAATTTCAACATTGCAACTGAGATCCAAAACCAAAAATGCTCCCAGAAACCAGTTTCTAGTCACTAAGGTGGAAATGTGTTAAGCTAAATAGCAAATAATAATAATAATAATAATAATAAATTAAATTAAATTAAAAAAATGCATACTTAAGTAGGATCCTAAGTCCTATATTCAGGTTTCTTTCAAGACAGATTCTAAGAGTATCTAATGGCAAATCCCCAAAACCAGCTATGGTAGAGCTGTAAACAAAGCTGAAGTAGGTCATGTGACTCAGGGAAGCATGGACTGAAGACGTTACTATCAGGAAAGAAAGTTCAGTAGTGGTTGCAAAGATAAGAATGTCAAGGCATCATTTTATGAGATCAATTCGTCAAGAGGGCATCTGCCTAAGAAAAGGACCATGTGCTAATGTCCCATACCAATATCCCACACCAGTCCTGAGTGGGGATGAGTCATTCACCAAGACTTAGTAGGGTGATTTCAGACATCTACAAACAAGGTAAGAGAGGGTGGACAGCCAGATGAGAGGAGACTGAGAATCATCTAAGTATGTTTCAAATTAAAAGAAAACACACATAAATAAGGTTCTCCTCCAAAGGTTCCCACACTTACTAGACAATCAGAATCGATAGGCACGCTTCTCTTTTTGGAGACAGGGTCTCACTCTGTTGCCCAGACTGGAGTGCAATGGCACAATCATGGTTCACTGGACTCTCCAATTCCCAGGCTCAAGTGCTCCTCCCCCCTCAGCCTCCAGAGTAGCCGGGACTACAGGTGCACACAACTGTACCTGGCTATTTTATTATATTTTTAATTTTTATTTTTATTTTTATTTTATTTTATTAATACGGAGTCTCACTCTGTCGCGAGGCTAGAGTGCAGTGGGGTGATCTCGGCTCACTGCAACCTCTGCCTCCCGGATTCAAGCAATTCTCCCGCCTCAGCCTCCCTAGTAGCTGGAACTACAGGCGCATGCCACCACACCCAGGTAATTTTTGTATTTTTAGTAGAGACAGGGTTTCACCAGGTTGGCAAAGATGGTCTCAATCTCCGGACCTCGTGATCCACCCACCTCGGCCTCCCAAAGTGCTGGGATTACAGGCATGAGCCACTGCGCCTAGCCTACCTGGCTATTTTTTAATATTTTTTTGTATATACAGGGTCTCACTATGTTGCTCAGGCTGATCTCAAACTCCTGGCCTCACGCAATCCTCCCATACAGGCACATTTTTAAGACTATAGATTACCAGGCAGCATCCCAAACTGACATACTCAGAATCTCCTGGGATAAGATAGAGGCTGAGAATACATGTTATTAATAATATTGCCAGTTAAGTTTGACAGTCAGTTCAATCTGGGGAACCTCAACTCTATTTTCCTGGAAAAGAATCATTCCTTCTGCAGCTGGGGATATTCTGGGTCCCAGAGAGAAAATCAAGGTGCTGCCCATCCTGTAAGGAAAGGCACCTGGAAACCTGGGAGAATAAAGAGAGAAGCTGGTAGGAACCGTTCCAACTTTCCCTCTTGCCATTGGAGACCCAAGAACTATGAGGAAGTAGGGACTCCAAGGAAACCTGGGTGATCCCCACCTTGTTTTAATTACATAACTCCACTGTCAGGTGTTTTCCTGAGGGACAGAGCCTCCGTGCGTTTACTGACAAACCTGAGAGGCATCCCTGGGAGTCTTTCAGCCTTCTGTGCTGTGTCATTTTACCTGCATCAGGAGAAATTTCAAGGCAATGTAAATAATGTATATCTTTTCTTTAAAAATCAGTGTAAATATTTCATAGACTGTACAGTAAATAATAAATACATTTGGAAAAAAACAATATAAATATTTGATAGTTTGCAGAGCAACTTGTTAAGCCTGGAATTACATTTGAATGTTCAAAAAAATCCAGTAAATCCTGAATTACATACAAATGGTTCAAAAGTGACCCAAACACAGTCATGGATGCAGTTTTAAAAATTGCTGTTTCCCTCTTCACCAGGGGAGTGTTAAATCAAGATGTCACCGTCTGTCACTGCCAGCTTGTGAATCATCTGAAATTTTGGTAACTCCCAAGTGCCTATGCCTTCTGATAATACTTGGCTTGCATCTTAAAATAATAAAAACATCCTCTACCTATGAGAGAAATTCAGGAATACCATGCTATGCAACTGCTGCTTTTAATGCAAAGAAGTTCCAATCCTGCAATGGTTGCTCCATAGAAAGATTGAATAATAAACATCAAATGCCTCTTGCAAACCAAGCAGGTAAAATTTTTCAGACCCATCATCGGTGGGTCGAATTTGGAGGAGGAAGCTTCAAACAGTTAAATTTTTTTTTTCATGTTATCAGGGACTGGTTTTATATTCATAAAATAAGGAATCCCTTCTGCCACTGGCTCCTGGTCCTTGATCTGTTCCATCTTCACATTTCTGTGCTCTTCTATAATGATATGGAACTCCACACAAGTTCATCTGTGTCCTCTTCCGTTCTATTAATTCCTGCCATGTATGCCCTTGAGACTCAGTCCCAGGAGGCCTCCCTTGGGAGATCATTCTCACTGAAACTTGCATGTGCCTCTATTGTAGCATGTGTCCTAGAGAATTCAAAGGGGAGTTTGCATTATTCACTACCATATCCTGGAACCCAGAAGAGTGTCTGGCACATAGTCAACTCCATAAATATTTGTTGAACAAATGAATGAAGGGATGCATGCATCTCTGTCTTACCTAGTGACAAAGGACAGTTTTTTTTATTTGTTTTTGTTTTTTGTTTTTTGAGACAGTCTCTCTCACTCTTTCGCCCAGGCTAGAGGGCAGTGGTGTGGTCTCGGCTCACTGCAAACTCTGCCTCCCAGGTTCAAGCAATTCTCCCGCCTCAGCCTCCTGAGTAATTGGAATTACAGGCATACATCACCACTCCCAGCTAAGTTTTTGTATTTTTAGTAAAGACAGGGTTTCACCATGTTGGCCTGGCTGGTCTCAAACTCCTGACCTCAGATGACCCACCCTCCTTGGCCTCCCAAAGTGCTGAGATTACAGGTGTGAGCCACCGCGCCCAGCCCAAGCACAGTATTTTTATACGTCATGTTCTCAGAGCCTGTTCCAGCACCTCACAGAGTAGGTGTCCAATAAAGATATCTTGAGTAGATAAACAGACCTAACCATGTAATGTGTCAGTGCGTTGTGATGGCAGATGCAGTGTGCAAAACAGAAAGGAAGAGGGAGAGAAGAAATAGGGATGTGCCAAACTCCAGCTTCACTCTTCCTATTGAAATATACATATCCCTGGGGAAGATTAATAGGCACATGCCTTAACAAAGGGTTATGAGGAGCAGGAAGGGTACATTTTATTTTCAAAACTAAATCTTTCTGGTTATACCCATATAGTATTTATATAGTAGATACTTCTAAGAAGCTCAAAGCACAGCCGTGTTTGGCACATTGGATTATGCATCAAACCACTCCTGTGTGGTTAGCTGATGGAGGTCATTTATTCATCTCATTTTCCCCTTGAAGGAAGCAAAGGCAAATTAAAGGAAAAGTTCTAAAGACTTGTCCAGAGGCGCTCAAACATGCAACAGTGGATCCAGAGTCCTTGCCACAGACCTTTGGAGCACATTTCCCCAAAAGGTTAGGTGCGTAAGTCTGGTATTAAGAAGCTCCAGCTGTCTATTATCTACTAATCAACAAAAGTTCATAGAGTCTTAGCTCTTTGGACAGTGTGGAATAAGCTGATAGATCCGTGCACTGTATGTAGGTGTTCCAACATATCCTATTGTTTGTAGGTAAAGAAAATTTTCAGTTAGGTTCAGTAAGGAGTGGTGTCAGGGAGTCACTCAGGTTTATAGTTCTTAAGTGTTTTAGCTATTTGTAATAAAATGCATCCTAGGACACTGACAGGGAGAGGCATCCAGAGAAAAATAAGATATGGTTTCTGACCTCATGGAGCAAAGAATCTAGTTGACTCATAGGATAATAGGCTAATACAATAATCTAGTTAAAGAATCTAGCTGACAAGACAAGTACTCAGGAAATGCTTAAATTTTAATGTGTAGCATTAGATGGCAGGTTTAATTAAATGAAATAAATAATGCATCATTTAGGGTTATGTTTGTTGCATGAAACAGTGACTGAAGTAGAAAAGAAACTTAGTGTAAGCACATGGAGTATCATGGGATAGAAAAGAAGGCTGAAGAGGCATGAAGCCTCAAAATGAATTAACAGTTCTTCGTGTCTTCCAAGATTCTACTCAAGATTCAAAGTCTCAGTAGAAAGAGTCCAGTGGGCTGGTCCCTTTGACCATACTGGGGCAATAATAGGAAGGATCTAATGGAAAAGAACTGTATGGATTTCTCAGCCTCTCACGTAGGAGGGCAGAGCCTCTGGGTTTATCATTTCTCTGCAACTCCACCCACTGAGTAATTCCCCCAAAGGCACTGAGGTGCTATCAGGAGGGAGGAATGCAAGAAGGGAGGCCAAAAGACGGCAAATGTTCTTTACCATGAAAGAAATTCAGCAAAGGGAGAAATCTCTGGACATGAATCAGAGAAGAATCATGGAGGAGGTGGGACTTGAGGTTGGTAGATGTGTTCCCAACACTTAATTAGATGGAGCAAGAAGAAAACTCATGACTAATACAGGAAGAGGTGAGGTTGGGACAGCAGATAATGCTGTCAAATAATAAAGTTCACTGGACTTAAATAATAATAATAAATACTTTTTTTTTTTTTTTTGAGACAGAGTCTCGCTCTGTCACCCAGGCTGGAGTGCAGTGGCTCAATCTCGGCTCACCACAAGCTCTGCCTCCCGGGTTCCCACCATTCTCCTGCCTCAGCCTCCCGAGTAGCTGGGACTACAGGCGCACGCCACCACACCTGGCTATTTTTTTTGTATTTTTAGTAGAGATGGGGTTTCACCGTGTTAGCCAGGATGGTCTCAATCTCCTGACCTCATGATCCACCCACCTCGGCCTCCCAAAGTGCTGGGATTACAGGCGTGAGCCACCGCTCCCAGCAATAATAAATACTTTGTGTGTGTGTCTGTGTGTGTGTGTGTCTGTGTGTGTGTGTCTGTGACAGAGTCTCGCTCTGTTGCCCAGGCTGGAATGCAGTGGCGCGATCTCAGCTCACGCAAGCTCCGCCTCCTGAGTTCAAGCAATTCTCCTGCCTCAGCCTCCCGAGTAGCTGGGATTATAGGCACGCATCACCATGCCCAGCTAATTTTTTGTGTTTCTTTAGTAGAGACGGGTTTTCACCATGCTGGCCAGGCTGGTCTCAAACTCCTGACCTCAAGTGATCTGCCCACCTCAGCCTCCCAAAGTGCTGGGATTATAGGCATGAGCCACTGAGCCTGGCCAATAAATACATTTTTAAAAAAAGAATGTACAAGTTTATTTGGTTGCCAGGCAAGAGAATATATTCCAATGAAGAAATGTACTGAACTAGGTTAAAGGTAAAAGTTGGGAATTTTAAGGTTGACTATTCTATATCCAAAATGCTTGCAATCAGAAGTGTTTCAGATTTTGGATCCTTTTAGATTTTGGAATATTTGCATTAGACTTGCTGATTGAGCAACCTAAATCCAAAAATCTAAAATCCTAAATGTTCCAATGAGCATATCCCTTGAGCATGATGTTAGTGCTCAAAACATTTTGGATTTTTGAGCATTTTAGTTTTTCATTTTTACATTTGGGATATTCAACCTGTATTCACAAATGAGTTGATAGTGGTTATGTCAAACTTGCTCTCTGCACAGTGTGGAACGAGCCAATAGAGCTGTGCAGTGTCCATGAGTGTTCCAACACGTCCTATTGTGTGTAGGTAAAGAAAGTTTTCAGTAAGGACTGATGTAAGGGAGTCACTCACATTCAAAGTTCTTTAGTTGTTTTAGCCAGTTGTAATAAAACACAGCATTCCATTTTGATATCTCTTGGGTAGGAGGAAAACTTTTAGAGTGCTTGGCTACAGTTTTAATCACATATAAGAATAATAATGTTTATATATGCATAACAAATAAACTTTAAACTTTAATGTTTACAAATTCTTTCACAAATGTTAACACAACTGGGCCTCACCAAACTTCTATGCCATATCTATGACCTCCGTTTCTGTTTTCATTTTACAGAAAAGAGCCAAGTTCAGAGAGGTAAATGATTTGCCCAAGATAGCAACCAGGGTCAGCCAACTAACTATGTATTTCTTTTTCCAAGTCATGCTTCACAAGGAGGCGGCAAAATATTACACCACATATGAATTTTAGTAATCCATGCTTTCCTAAGATCTAGATGAAATTAAATAACCTAATAAACATTTATATATATTTTCAAGATAAAGATAAAATTCCTCGGATTAAAAAACTAATAACAACAGCTCTTTTAATGGGAGAAAGAATCATGGAAAGCATGTGTCATCAGGTATCAAATATTTACTCAGTGCTTCACTTTGGGCAAACTCTCCTCCAAGACAAGCCAGGGCCCATGGCCAAGAACCTGGGGAAAAGCCTAGAGTCAGACTGGATGGAGAAATGAGAGAGAGGAATGACTGGCCTGCAACCAGAGTTTTAAGCACAAGGAATCCAAAGGATTTCATTGAAGGCAAAGCTGCAAACCAGAAGGAAGCAAGGGATTGAACCAAAATTTCTCTGCAAAAGCAGAAAAGGCAGAAAGAAATCAGAGAGTTACAAGACTGGAGCCAGAAACCTCAAGCAGAATGGTGGGAAAGAGGCTTTTGGAGGACAGGGAGTTTCCCAAGGCCTGCTGTAAAGAGAGAGAGATGTTGGAAAGAGGGGAAGAGGCTCCCAGAACCTGATAAAAGGGAGACATAAGAAAGCCCAAGAAGGAATCACCCTTAAATAGCTCTCAATCAAGCTGTAAAGATAAAACATAAACATTGAGGATACAGTTAATAGCACAGGACAATAAACCAATAACAAACTAAAGAAGTTAATGGGAGACACAGGAGGTCAGGAAAGGAGAAGACCATTCCAGGCTAGGTCTGCCTCCGAAAATTCCACCAAGGAATGACACAGACCTTGAGAAATGTGCTTATGGCCCATATCTCTTGCCAATTTGCTTCAAAATGCACTCCCAGGCTTAAAACTTATTTCTCAATTTATCACTCTTGGGGAGTGTAGCCCTGGCTCCCTTCATTTCTAGTTTTTCTATTCCTATGCTAGATGATTTTTCTGAAAGCCAGCCAAAGTATCAGATCACTCTGCCTTCATTTCACTGAATTTCAACAGACTTATACTGAGTACCTCCACTCTGCGCTTGGCACTGTACAATGTGTTGGACTTAGAGAAATTAATAAGGGACAGGCCCCTATCCTCAAGAAACTTGGAGTTATTCATTCAGGAAATACAGACATATACACAAATACTTATGTAGGAAGGTCTACAAAAGGAAACAGTGCAAAAGCTAAGAGCAATGAATTCTTTGTGTGTGTGTGTGTGTGTGTGTGCAACAAGGCTGTTTATTTCACCTGGGTGCAGGCGGGCTGAGTCCGAATAGAGAGTCAGCGAAGGGAGATATGGGTGGGGCCATTTTATAAGATTTGGGTAGGTAAAGGAAAATTATAGTCAAAGGGGGGTTGTTCTCTGGCGGGCAGGTGTGGGAGGAGGAAAGACTTTTTTGCATTCATTTATTCAGCATGTTTTTGAGCATTGACCAAGTGCCCAGCACTGTGATGAGCACTGAGGATCACTCACTGTTTATTTAGTAAGCCACAGTGCTTCCTGAAGAGTAGTTTATATTTTAAGTTGGGAAGAAGCCCATCTGAGTGAGAACCAAGAAGAAATGTTTTGGTCATCCTGAGACTTTAGTATGAAAGGATAAAGAGCTGCAGAATGCAGAGTGGGTCTAATACGGTGATATGGTTTGGGTCTGGATCCCCACCCAAATCTCATGTCAAATTGTAATCCCCAGTGTTGGAGTAAGGCTTGGTGGGAAGTGATTGGATCACGTGGATGAATTTCCCCTTTGGTGCTGTTCTCATTATAGTGAGTGGGCTATCTAATTGTTTAAAAGTGTGTAGCACCACCCCCTCCTCTCTTCTTCCTCCCGCTCCAGCCATGTAAGACAAGCCTGCAAGATGTGCCTGGTTTCCCGTTCACCTTCTGCCATTATTGAAAGTTTCCTGAGACCCTGCCCCCTCTGCCAGCCATGCTTCCTGTATAGCCTGCAGAACTGTGAGCCAATTAAACCTCTTTTCTATATAAATTACTCAATCTCAGGTATTTCTGTATAGCAGTGCAAGAAGAGACTAATATATTTGGTATCATCATGATGGACTTCTTGATACATGACCTGTTCCCCCATATCCCTTCCAAATCAGGCATGGTCCTCTTAGGAATTTGCCATGAGCAAAAGTAACAATCCCAAATACCTGTCATTTCAACAAGATTCCTGTATTACTCATCAAAAGGAGCATTCACTACAGCAGAAAAGTTTATGCATGGGCAGAGATGGGACACAGTTCAGGATGGCATCAACTCTGCCTTGCGCCACTCGTACGCATTCTGGCACAGGCCAAGGGGAAGCCAGCTAGAGGGTCTACAGCCCACCACCCCAGAAACCACTCCAGGTTCTTAACCTCTGCCAGACTCACAGAGTTTCTGAAGGACTGGATGACTACCACTCAGAATCATCTCTGGCCACTGATTAGTACCTACCCCATAGGGTTGTTAGGAGGATTCAATGAATTAATAAGTTGCAGGGTTTAGAACTACCTGCTACATAGGAAGTATCCTGTAAGTAATAAATATTCTACCACTATCATTCAGTAATCAGTCCAAATATGTCAAGCAATTGCTTTTTAAATTACAAGCAAACAAGGAGAGAATGGAGAAATCAGTTTATTAACTGGACTTGAGACATAGGGAAAATGTGTAATTGGCTGCAAAATTCTGATTTTTAAAAAGAACAATGATTATCTCCCTGGTTATAAAAGTAGAGTGGCCATGCCCTCCTAGTTATTAGTAATGGCAAACACCATGTGTGTATGTGTTAATACATGTGCATATATGTGTGCCATGTATGTGTGTGTGTCAACCACTTAAAGCAGCCCTAGAGACAGCTATAAAAGCAGCCTTCAAGCATCTTTTTAAATATGATAAGCAGTTTGTTTTCTCCAAAATGTATATCAAGGAATTCACCTCTTCATTTCTCCCATCCATTCCAACCTCACCTGGGTCTTCTTTTCACCTCTTATTCCGAAACTCAAAATGGGAATGACATTTTGGATATGTCTTCTGATATATTTTCCTTTTCAGTAATCTGATTCCTGCCCCCACCAAAAAAAAATAAAAATAAAAAAACTATCCCATTATTACTGCCGAAAGAAGGGGAGAGCATAAACCCCCAGGCTTGAGAAGGAAGTGGTGGGAGCTCCCAGACTGATCTGGGTGATCCCCAAAGAGGAGGATACCTGCCTCTTGCTTTTCAAGGTGCATGTTATAGAAAGCATTAGCTTCCTTGAGAAGATAAAATTTGGACATACAGCCAAATGGATGAGGTATCCAGGCAGATCTTTGTGGCCAAGTGTGGCATCTGGGAGCTCAGAAATTTCAGCAAGCCCTCTCAGCAAGGAGTGCTATGGGAACCAATGGGCTTTCATAGGATTATTGAGGTTGTAGGTCAGCCAAGGCATGGACCGTGGTCTTTAGCAAAAGCAGCCAACATGATTCCCTCAAACCAGGTGAGCCCAGCTACACTCAGTGGGCCGTAGCACCAGATGCCAGTGAATCTCTCAGAGGAATCCAGCAAGGACCCACCAACGCCTATTACCCAATCCCCACCCTCCATAGCTTATACAGACTTCCTCTTACACTATGTGCAATTAGGAAGAAGGAAGAATAGAGGAGATCTCTTCAAAGGAAGAAAACCTGCTTTGATTGGGGGGCTGAGCTTTCAAATGACGATTTGAAAGAGACTAATAGAAATGCCACTGACTGAATCATCTTTAATTGATGCAATCAAGCCCCTCCCCCATTCCACCATAAACAGAACTGAGGAGTTTAGAGCAAGGTGAGGCTCATCATAAAAATAAAGTTGCATGCTTTTACATATCTGGTTAAAAGACTACGCATAAATAGAGCAGAGTTATAGTGATGGGGTTTCCAAATTTTGGGGGACATCCAGTATTATCTATAAATAGTTTATCCCATTGTCCCCATAATCTTAACTTTAACTTAGAAAGCATGAAGATTATCCAAGGAGTATTATCATTTTGGAAATTGTTAATTTTTTTAAGGAAAGAACCATTATGCATTTCTCAACTAAAAGGAAATACTGCTAAACATGTAGAAAACATATAATGTAGGCTTCTCACAAGCAAGTGACACTTCTACTCCCACTGCCTTTGGAGAAAGAAAATTTTTCTCTTGACCTACTTTTAAATAAAAAGAAAAAAAATAAAATCTGCCATACTACATATATACTACTCCCAACTTATGAAGAGAAGGTAAGTGCCCAATATAAATATTACAGCTAAAGAAAACCAGAAAGAATGAAAATTATTATAGAATTAAAGTTAAAATGCCCACAAAAGCCAGGAGAGCAGAACCGATCTAAAAATGTAATTCTGGGTGCAAAGAAGCAGATTAAAGGGTCTCATTTCTTTACTAGATAAAGACTACAAGATCCATGCTCTTCTGTCCTCAAATGTTTCCCAAATTCCAAAGAAGCCTGGCTCTTTTCCAGGGTGGGAATTTGAATACTTTAAAGAGTGTACAACTCGAGATGCAGCAAAAGATAAACAGCCTTCTATTTACCTTAGGTCAGCCTGAGAACTTGAAATTGCCATTGCAAAAAAAAAGTAAACAGATGATAAAAGATAATTTTCCCTTTTAATGGAAAAGAAATGCAAAATAAAATAAAGTAGAGGTGTGATCTTACAGTTTCAAAATCAAGGAGCAAATATTTTTAGTGATAATATGCAATTTTGATGAGGTTTCAGTAATGCAAGGACTGCTGGAAGCCTACAACCTTTTGGTGAGCAATAGGCCAATCTATAATGAGAGCCATAGAGATGTCCCTGGTCTCTAAACAGCAACACTATTATCCAAATTCTGAGAATTAACATAAAAGAATTCAGAAGAAGCAAATGGCTATCTACACAAAGATATTTACTATAGCCTTTTCTATACTGCCAAGGCAAACAAACAAAAAACTCAAAAACTAGAAACAACCAAATGTCCAAAACAGGTTTATGACACATTAACATAATATTCTGCTTCCTTGAAATTATTTACAATGCAATCCATGTAAAAATATGAAGCTATATTTATTATATATTGTTAAATGGAAAAATAGGATATCAATATGTACCTACCCTCTTTCAAAAGACATGAAAATGCATGCAGTATAAAAATAATAAATACAGGTTTACTCTATAGCAAAGTTCCATTTTCTTTCTTACTTAAAAACACCTCAATATTATTTTTGTGATTTCAAGAAACTATTCTGTCTCTTCAAAAGTGTATTTTTTAAGAAAGTCCTTTCAAAAAGCAGTGTGTCTCTGATATAAATCCCGAGGGTAAAACTACAGTGTAAATAATTATTTTTTAAAGGTAGAAAACTTAGAGATTAACAAAGAAGAGAAGTAAAATGGTTGGAGTGAATAATATTGCCTGGGAGAATCCAGTCTCACTAGTAACCATTTCTTAACACAGGAAGGCCAGGTGGTAGAATTTTTGTATTTTGTTTCACTTTGTGTGTGTGTGTCTGAAGCTTTCTCTCTCTTAACTATGGAAGGTGAGAGATTAAAAATAATAATAATAAAATAAAAACTCTCATTGGTTAGCTACACTGCAGAACTCACTGCCAATTCTGAACAGAAAAGAAAACATCAGCTTGGACCAGAGTTAATGCTACATAAGATTCTTACACCTAAGAGATTAATGCCCCTACCGAAAGTACCCATAGGAGCTTTTAAAATCAAAGCTCAAAGTAACGTGTGGGTAGCCCTGCCTTGGACAGAGCCCAATATTTGAAGGTTAAAGTGTTTTCTAAGGAGAGAATGGAAACCAAACTCAATTAAGGAGAGATGGATAGTAAATTGAATTTAGTGCTCAAAGGTGTATTATACTTTGGGAGTTGTACTTCTTTAAATAGTCAGCACGGTAGAGCAGAAAAAGCACTACAGCAGGCGTCAGATGATTGGGTGCTAATCACCGCTTTGCCACTAACTACCTGATGGCCTCAGAGAGGAAAAATGCTTGCGTTTGGTTTTGTTTCATTTGAAAATTGAAGAAATTGGGTTAGATGGTCCAAGTCTGCTCATAGGACAGATCTGTTCCTGGTGGGACTGCTTAGGAGGCTGGTATTAGATATTTGAGAGACTGCAGATTATGTCAAGAAGTGTTGTTGTCATTGAACGACTATTTCACAGAGAATAGGTCCCCATTGCTAATGTCCTCCAGCCCAACAGCACCAGACACACACCTATATTCAACCAAATCAGGCTTATTGGCTCATTACATTGAAGGACCCACCACATTATGGAGAACCATGAAATGGGCATCTTCGTTAGAGGGTTTTAGAATGGACTTGTGTTAGGATTTGGCTTGTTAGGTAACTTAAAGGAAGGCTCAAGAAAGCAGTTTTGTTTCACATAGGGTACCATCAGAAATCAGGGCAATTCTGGCCGGGCACAGCGTTTCATGCCTGTAATCCCAGCACTTTGGGAGGCCGAGGCAGGCAGATCATGAGGTCAGGAGATTGAGAAGAGCCTGGCCAACATGGTGAAACCCTGTCTCTACTAAAAATACAAAAATTAGCTGGGTGTGATGGCACGTGCCTGTAATGCCAGCTACTCAGGAGGCTGAGGGAGGAGAATCACTTGAACCAGGGAGTCGGAGGTTGCAGTGAGCCGAGAATGCGCCACTGCACTACAGCCTGGCGACAGAGCAAGACTCTGTCTCAAAAAAAAAAAAAAAAAGAAAAAAGAAAAGAAAGAAAGAAAAAGAAAAAAGAAAGCAGGGCAATTCTATCATTGGATATCTTAATAATTTTTTTTCTAATAGGAGGAACAGTGAGGCTAAAGCTATAATTGGTAAAGAAGCAGCAATCACTCATATTAGCCCAGAAATGGAAATGTTTGGCCATTTTGGTCTGGACATGTTCTTGTCTTTGACTCTGTTCAGACATGTTTAGAGTTGTTTTGTTTTTGTCTTGCTCCATCCATGATTGGAGACAGGTATTGTCTAATATTGACATTCTGTGAAATTGTTTATGTCCTATAGAACTCTATGGTCTAGCTGTTACAACCAGACAGCTCCAAGCAGACAACAGTCAGAGGCTGCAGTTTTTTTTCTTACCACGAAGGAAATAATTAACTCCAAGGGTAAGTAATTAGCTGACAAGCCAGAAAAGGAGGCCCCAGGCTGGAAACTATTGAAAAGTACTCAATCCATAAAGCTGAAGCTCTAGGAAAATGACCCAGAAAACAAGTAAAAGGTATTGACTTGGAAGAAAAGAAAAAAAAAAAGACATATATATGAGCAGGTGACACAGGATGGATGTAGAGCTGACTCTGGAATAGAGAGCTTCCACCAGGTTGTTCCATTCATGCAGAGGCCCACAGAGTTCATTGCTGAGGCAGATTTTTAAAGAGATTAATCATGGTCAGACATAGTAACATCTCAAGTATTTTCCAGCTCTATAATTATATGAAACCTTGCTCCAAATGCTATTCTAGTTTAAACACAAAATTGATGTGTGTTGAAAATAACAGATGTTGGTTGGTCTATTTTAACAATTTACTTTATTAAAAATAGAATTAAGCCATTAGATGATGTGCTCTATTCGATCTCTCAATTGTCTATGCATGGATCACGGGGACTACCATTTACCATTTGAAAGTTACCAAAAGTATAGAAATAATATTCAAGAGGAAATAAGCTTGTAAAAGTGGGAAGAATATGCATTTCATATTATATGGAGCCTTCCTGGTTTCACAGAGTAAGTCCCACTTCCCAAATAATGTATCAGCTCATATCAGAGCGTGTACTCCGATATTTTTCTCAAATATTGGAAAGCTTGTCTTGCCAATGCAGATCTATTTAGTCATGCTAAAATTCACAGTCCGTAATGGTTAATTGGTTTCACATTCTGGTAAGTATCTGTAAGATAGGATTCTGGATAACACTGAAAATTATTTAAACAGCACATGCTGAGGCACAAGCCTCTCCACCACACATCTGTGGATCTCCTGGGGTGTATGCTTAGAATATAATGATACTATATGCCACACAGGGTTATCAGTATCCTAAGAAGCCCAAAAACAATTTTTGGAAGTTGCAGCCGTATGCATGGCTTGCAGAATGACAGACTAGAGATGGTGTTAGTTCCAGTAATTAACTTTGCAGCATCAGGGGCAGGAAACCCCCTGCTGAGGGCATCAATAACTCCATTCCTCAAGGGGAAGTCTTGCTGGTGCCTGGGTGGATCTGTGACCTTTGGCAGATGGAGTAGTATTTGAATACACAAAATCAGGAAAATAAAAACGATAAAAGGCAGGCAATTTGCTAAATGAAATGTACATAAACTGAACTGCCTGTAACAGTTCATCAGAAACTACGAGGATCACCCGGAGGGTTTTTAACCACTTCCACAACAAATGATCCTGAAATACCCTCTTTTGTTTTTCATTTCTTTCTTGAAAATATGTACAAGTAGTAAATAGAAATACACTTGGCCCCCACCCATTTCAGACATTGTCGCCTGGTCTCCATTTAGGGTGTGTGTGTGTGTATGTGTGTGTGCATGTGTGTGTGTGTGTGTGTGTGCATGCGCGTATGTATGTATGTTCATATTATATACACATATATATACATACACATATATGTTTTTACTTATTTATAATTTTACACCCATTGTAATTTTTATCCGATAACAGAAAGCAAAAGAATATGTCTCCCTTTCAGGTAA
Source organism: Homo sapiens (assembly GCF_000001405.40). Lineage (NCBI taxonomy): Eukaryota > Metazoa > Chordata > Mammalia > Primates > Hominidae > Homo > Homo sapiens. Next base: position 220,269,098 of record NC_000002.12, on the reverse strand, counting down.
AACCTCCTTAAGAGTTTTTCTGAACAAAGTTTAGTGAAAAGAAGAAATCAGGTCATTATGAACCAACCAGCCATTCTTAGGATTCAATTTGAGCTGCTTTTATTTGTATCTCAATTCAGCCTTCGTCACCTCAGTGCTCAGTGATGGGAACACTGACCTTGGAAAAACTGCAAAAGTTTCTAGCAGCTCTCAGATGGGTAACGTGAGGCTCTTGGAGGATATTTCTCTACACTGCATGCTCACACTCATCAACCTAGATCCAAGGGTGCACATGGCCCCCAAGAAGCCCACGCGGTTTCATGGGTTAAGGCAGAAGTTCTCACACTTTACTACATGTTAGAATCACCAGAAGACCTTTGAAACTCCCAATGTGAGACCCCTAGAAAGGCATCAGTACTTTTTAAAGCCCCTTGGATCATTCTAATGTGCCACCAAGTTTGAGAAGAAATGATTTAGGGTTAAGAAAAAAAAAATCCCAAAGATCAGTAAACACCTCATTGTTGTGACTTGGTTGGAATGGGGCCAAGCTACCACCCAATGATGTTTTAGGGTGAGCCACCCCTAAGAACCAGGGAGGAAATAAAAGGACCCGGTGCAATTTGAATAGAGGCCCAGTGACTGCTACAGTTTGTTTGTACAGGATACCATACTCCACCATGAGTTGGGTAGGACTGAGTGAACCTTTCTTGCCAAGCTTAGAAAAGAGAACAAGTTGAGAGAAAATGCAGGGCGAAGATGCCTCTGTGGCTCTCAGCACTCAGGCGGAAATGATTTCCACCTTCTTGGCCTACAACTGATCAACATCCATAAAACCTTTTTTGGGGTATGAAAAGAGTCCAAGGTTACAGTTCTTACTTCCAGTTTTTCCAGGCCCTTCCCTTATTCGCTCCACTTTCCTGCTTCGGTTTGCATGCCTTTTTAAGGTACAAGGCACCTGGGAGCAAAGTCATGGTGACAAACAAGCTTTGACTTCAGAGAGCCAGGTGTGTGAATGCAGCCAGAATGCAGAAATGGGCAGCTGCGATTATTTCTGAAATTCAAGGAAATATTTTGTCATACACTATAGCCAGCTAGTAAGATTCAATTCAGAGTTGTGTATTCCACTCAATATTAAATTTACACAATCAAAGGAAAATTACTAACAAGTTTGCTTGAATACCCTGCTATTTATTGACATTCTCAAGGTCCAGAATCATACCATGTGATCCTAGTTACAGCTGCATATTGAATTCTCAGCTTTTCTGGCTCCTCCTTTTCTGATTGGATGACATAAGCACTTTATATCTTGCGCATTTGATATTTAATAATTAATAAACATTCATTGACTAGGCGAATAATTGTGTGTTAATATGGTATTTATGATGGGCCAGACACTGTTGTAAGTACTTTATAGATATTAGCTCATTTAAGCCTCAATAAGCCCTAGGAGCTCTGTACTAGTATTAGGCCCATTCTACAGTTGAAGCCACAGAAACATAAAGAGGTTAAATCAGATTTGGGATTCCAAGCCAGGCCAGCCAGCTCCAGCAGTTGCCTCTTTGTAAAGAGTGAGTGAATGATGAAGACTTTTTCTTATTACTGTGGGTTTCTTCCTTTAGACCAGGTGTCCCAACCCCAAGGCTACAGGCCAATCTGTAGCCAGTTAGGAATTGGGTAGCACAGCAGGAGGTGAGGGGCAGGCAGGCAAGCATTACAGCCTGAGCTGTACCTCCTGTCAGATCAGTGGTAGCATTATATTCTCATAGGAGTGTGAGCCCTATTGTGAACTGTGCATGTGAGGGATCCAGGTTGCACACTCCTTATGAGAATCTAATGCCTGATGATCTGAGGTGGAACAGTTTCATGCTGAAACCATCTCCAACCCCACCCTCCCAACCCACCCACCATCCATGGAAAAATTGTCTTCCACGAAACCAGTCCCTGGTGACAAAAAGACTGAGGACCACTGCTTTAGACCACGTGCTTCCTAAGGCAATGCTTACTTTTGCAGCCCAACTTATTTGTAAGACTTCCACATTGCTATAGGGAAACACAGCACATTGCTTCTGACTATTGCATTCCATCTAAAAAACAGAACAGATTTGAAAAAGCCATTCCTCTAGGGATGGAGTCCCAGGTTACTCCCAACTTTTGCTACCATAAACAGTAAGCAGGGCGCATCCTAATTTGTATCTATCTCTTGAGGACTTCTACAAGAGTTTCTAAGGTGTCTACCCAGGAGTAAAATTTCTAGGGTGTAAAGCAATCACACATTTAAGTTTATACACATTACGCCATTGTCCTCTCACCCTCCAGGAATGCTACAACAGTTCACCCTCCCGTCAATGATGTGTGAGGAAGAAGTTAGCACTTTATAGGGTCTGTGACCAAGCACAACTAAATAACTAAAAACAATTTAGAATCTCTTATTTTTAAATTGCCATGGTTCTACCTAAACCCCTTTTAGCTTATGCCAATTTTGTTAAGAATTGTTGCAATTATTTTTATTCTCACTAAAAATAGATTAATTATTACATAGTGTTAATACCACATTCCAAATTCCACTTGTGATTTTAAATATGACTTCATTCTATGAATATCTCATAATGTATAAAAGCTACCATGTGTATTTTTGTTTCCTATGGAACAATAACTCAAAATTAATATGAAAGTTATAATATACCTATTCCTACAAAATATGTACAAATATGTATTTGGCAATAGTGCAGTGCTCAAGGAAACACCTTAAGAAATATCAGTCCCACTATAAAGTATGTTGGAATTTAAAAGGGTCTGGGGGCAGCAGCGGAGAAGTAGAAAGAATAAAAAAAACTATACCCAACATTTGAACCACCAGGAATGTGCTGGCCAGATTCAGATTGTTGGCAGGAAAAGATTTTTATAATTTCTTTTCCATAATTTAGCCTAGCTGGATAATTACATTTAGAAAACTAAGAGAGTAACCACAGACGTGTATGTAATGGAATTTTAAAATGTAGATATATCCCTCAAGGAAATAAAAGGGGCAATAGAAGGCTATCATTATCAACTTTAGAACAAAAGTTGTGTTCACTCCAACCCAAAGAATAATTAAAATCAGTCAAGACGACACGGAATGCCAATCTTATACACTTGTCATTTCAGAAAGCTAGCTTGACAGTTGTACACCCACTCTGGTTGACAGTCAAATACGTTTCTAAGGAATAGATGAGCTTTTACAGGGGTGAGTAGCAAAGTCTTTCTATCCAAACCAGTTTCCCTCAAAGAGTTTGGAGGTTTGTTTGAAGCAGCAGCTTTGGCTAAAGTCATTCATGTTTCTCCATAAATAGTTGAAACCGTCACGAAGGCATTGTATAGAAAATAAAAAGGGTATAGGCTTGGGGTCATCTGGATGACAGTTGTACTAATTATATGATCCTAGGAACGTTGTTTAACTTCTCCTTCTGGAAGTGCCAGAGGAGAAATCAGTGTCCTTGCCTTTTCCAGCTCCTGGAGGTCACCTGTGTCCCCTGGCTCATGTCCCCCTTTCAGCAATCACATCACTCTGCTTCCATCCTCATGTCTCCTTCTCTTCCTCTTACCCTCCCACCTCCCTCTTTTATTTATAAGGCCCTTAGTGGTTTACATCAGGGCCCCACCCAGATAATCCAGGATAATCACCACATCTCAAGACACTTAATGTAGTCAAATCTGCTAAATCTATTTTATCCATTCACAGGTTCCAGCAGTCAGGACATGGACATCTTTAGGGGCTGCTATTCTGCTGACCAAATCAGCTGTGTACCGTTTGACAAGGTGCAGTCTTACTGGACCTCAGTTTCTTTCTATGTCAATTGAGGAATGTTCATTACTTTGAGGATTAAATGAAATAATGAGGGTCAAGTATTCAGCACAGGGCCTGGCTCACAAAGCAAGTGCTCAGTAAGTGCAACCCACAACAACACTAAAAACAAAAATAGAACAACAAGAATGATGCAAGTGGCCTGAGCACTTTATAACTAAAATTGTTTTAGTTTTTTCACTGTCCACCTGTGAAAGACATCTTTATGATCATATGGAAACAATGTCTCTTGACTTTTTTGTTAGCAGTGATCAGAACTGGAATGTGTTATAAGACAGAAAGATTGCTTAGAGCTTTAGTAACAGACTAAAAATAGAGCCTAGTAGAAAAAAATTAAATAAGCCATACCTAAGCTCAAAAGAAAGATTGAAATTGGGGAGCAGGCAACATATATCAAAACCCTTAAAACTGCACATTTCCAATAACCCATTTAGCCAACTTATTAGAGTATATCAAAAGGACACAGGAAAACTTAGGTACAAGGGTGTAACAACATTGTTTGTAAAAGGAAAAAAGAATGAAAAACACATTGTTAATCATGGAATACTTAAGATAAATTAAGTCTATATTTAAAAGAAAAAAAAAGGAAGAAACAGAAAAGAGAAGAAGCATGCCAAAATGTTTAAACTATTGCATTATGGTAAATTATGGGTAATTTTTATTTTTTTCTACTTGCTTAGCTTTATGTTCCAAATTTTCTACAGTTTTCTCCTTTGTAATAGACTCAATCTGATCTTGTTTGTCGGTGGAGTCTGTTGATTTTACATTGCAACACGGAAAGATGGAGTTCAGTTAAAATCTGCCTGAGCTGGGCCCACCCACCCACGAGCCAGTTGATCCTACAATCTGAGAGTCAGGCAAGAGACAGCGCTTTCCCAGTTCTTAAGAAATTTAAGCTACATTTAAGTCAGACATAAAAGCAAGCAGGAATCAGAGGAAGGATAGAGGGGTCTTAGATAGTCAAAAAAACTAAAAATGTTTTTTTAATCCTGGGTTGGATGCAGACAGAACTGGAGTGGTTAGAGTCCTCAGAAATAATGGGTCCTTTCAATAAAAACCTACGTTACTCATTCTATGTAATGCCATTGTTAATATTAGCATCCATTCCCCACACATGTATTTATGTGTGTGAACCAGACATTCTGTTGCATTCAGAAACATTGACTTGAGATTATATCAGGGATGTGGTAGGCGGGGGCACAGGGTATAAAGGGGAGAGGAATTTCTGATGTTATAGTCCAACACCAGAGCTGCAAATAGTGTGATCACCCTCAAGTAAGAACACCTGTGCCCTAGACTCATCATTCCATTAATTAACTATGTGACCTTGAGCAGATCAATTATCCTCTCAGAACTTATTTTCAGGGAAGATCAAACTAGAATCTATGGTTTTCTAACTACTATTCCTGGAAATAGCAGGGGGCTGGAATGAGGAGGATCAATGGGAAAAACTCTACTCCATCCACTCTTGCTTAAAACCAGAGCAATTATAGTTTTTATCTCTTTTATTCATTTATATTTCCTTGTAAGATTCGGTTTAAAGAAAGAGTCCTGCTGTCTTTAAACAACAGTTTGAAAATCCCCTAACTAGATGACTTCTAATATGTTTCCAAATTATAGCTATCTACTTATAAGGACCTCAGGTGGTGGCCAAAAGGTCAAGAAACAAAGGAGTCTCAGGCCAGATGCCTGAAGCTTGAAAAGTACAAGGTGTTGGCCAAATAACAAAGGCCAAAAGCAAGGCAACACCCATCTGGCAGCTGGGAAGCCAGTGGATCCGGTTCTGTGTCCCGTCTTTCCACGTTTCCAGTAAGTTTCTACCACCCACATTTCTTAAGAACTGGATTTGCTTTATTGTGGTTATAGAGGCCAGGTCAAATGGGGCAAATATTGGCCGTAACCGTACCATACCCCATAGATTTAGGTGTGAAAGAAAAGGACTAGAGAACATGCACGTATCTTTCCATCTGTCACTTCTAGCTCATTGGTTACCAAGAATAGAAGAAAGGCCCCAAGAAGGGCAGGAAAGTGTCTGTATTTACTCAGCCATAGCAATGAGAATAAAAGCCAGCACTCACTCCTCATGATCCTTCTTTCCCACCCTCTGAAAACCTGTACACCTAACTCCCTCTCAATGCTGGATATTAACAATAATGGCTTGTACTTAACTAGCACCACCCATGCGTCAAGAGCAGTATCAGATGTTCCCCATTCATAATGTATCATACTCCTACTTGGTAGGACCCCTTTTAAAGATGGTGAAAGCAAGGTTCGAGAAATGTAAATAACTTGCTCAGAATCTCAGATCTAGTCAAAAAAGAGTGCAGGACTCAAACCTTGACTTTCCTGGCTGCTATGCCTGTTTTTACAACTTGGATGGACCATAGGGTTTATTACATGAGCTGCTAGGCATGCAATGCAAAACTAGGGAATTCATGCGGTAGTCAAATAAGTAGCAATTTGCTCCCACTAGCTAATTATTCTTTGTAACAAATGCATTTTGAGTAATAAAAGAGCACATAATTTCTTTCTTCAGAATGTCTTCTGAAGGTCATGACTTTTAGCAGAGGTAACTATTTTCTATTTTGGTCTGGCTTTAATTTGGGTAATAGTGTGATTGAACATAGATATTTATGACATTTATTAAAAGCTTTTATTACTAATTTTCCCCAGAAAAAAAATCCTAATGGAGATGTATTGGAGAATTTCCATAAAATTAATGTCCAGACTTAATGGATGTCTAAGATATCATTATTAACGGGAATGTTCCATACACTAGGATCTTTTGATTAGAGATTAGAGTTAGATCAGAACTTATTTAAAACTGGATACATGCCAAAGTATCCAGAAACTCAATTTAAACACATTCTAGAGGCTAATGCTTTATTTAGGTTGCATCTTTATGATGCCAAATGAAAAGCTGCAGTTACAAAAAAATCAATTGTTCTGGTCAGCTGCTAGATGATCTAAAGACCATATCATGCTCAGTTTGATTCCTGCTGATGCCTACATGAAATCAGTTGGTTGAATTAAGATGAATTTTCCATCTGTAGAAATTGACTGCCACCCATCCAGAAGGGCATTCTTACTGGACCAGCAGCCTGGGTCTCACACAATCATTGATTGGCCCAAGCTACACTGATAGATTTGGTGGGATTTTCTGTCTTTCCCAAGACCTCAAACTCAGAAATTGTGATTCTGGACAATGTGGTTAAATCCCATGTCTCCTGCTTTCATCCTACAAAAAGCATAGCAAAAACACCTGGGCATGGAGGCTTCTTCCTACTACATCTTATCCTAATCTCGAAACTCTGAGAGGTCATCCCCTTTCCCAGATTGATAATCCCCTATTTAAAGCTAGTTTAAACATACACATGAAAATTGGCACATGGGTGTGTATCAACTTTAGTTCCCTCTTAGGAGTCCTATGCCATTCTCAACACCCTTAAGCAACTCAAATAGCCCAAAGGTGGCTAAAAATATTAGACAAAGTAAAAACCTCAGTATTTCTAACCCAATCAGGAACAGGATTGAGTTTCAGTCCTCTCACTACCTGCAGATAAGTTCCTGTACTGGTAGGCATGGGATCACCCATCCCTAGAAACCTTTATAAGCAAAGCGGAGGCTAAGCCACCATAGCCCAAAGTCAGCAAGTGATTTTGCTTTTGTTGAGACTTGCCCTGAGGACTCTCGTTTTACAGACCCTGGCTTCTTAACTTCCTGGACCCAAAAGGAAGCATCAAACCACAGTGGGCCATGGACGTATTTTGTTTGGCTCACAAGTAGTGGCCCAAACAATATTTAAAACAAATTGAAAAAACCTGAATTCATTCCTAGCTCTCAAAAATTGCAAGAATTCATGGAAAATGTGAATTCCCAGCTTCTCTGAAAAAATTCAGAATATATGGTACTGCCGAGCACGCATTTCCCCATGGCAGCATTCAGCAGCAGTGCTCAGTTTACCAAGTCTCCACTCCTTTCAATTGTCCCTGATGCTGAGATCAAGTTTTTCTTACACATAGCTCACTTGACATGTTACTATTACCTGCCAGGTTTCTGCAGGCGTTTGATTTTGCAACCCCACTCCAAACTGAAAAAGTCTAATGCAATCTTAGAGACCACCTTCTCCAGCCACCTCCTTCTCTAAATGAGGAATTGGAGATCTGGAGAAAGGAATTGACTTGCTCCAAATTTTCCATCTTGCGAATGTCAGAGCTGCCAGTAGATTGCAAGTCTTGCCTTAATCTATTGATTTCTTCTCCATGTAAAATCAACTCCACTGACACTCTAGCCATTAATACAAAAAATAACTAAAATGTATTGACCCTTTAATATAAACCTCAAGATGTGCTTATCTCCTTTTTTATGTGATCTCATTTCATTTTCATAACAATGCTATGAATTAGGTGCTCATGTAAATTCCATTTTGCAGATAAGGACATTGAGATTTGGAGAGATTAAAAAAACCATCCCAATGTTCGGCAGTGAGGGGCAGGCCCATAATTGAAATCTCATAGCTTAATCTTTTAGCTGTAATACGTATTGCTTCACCTTCCCCTATGTTCTGATCATTCACTCACTCATTCAGCAAATTTGTGAGTCCTACACTTTTCTAGGTGCTGGGGATACGCTAGTGAAGACCCAAAGCAGCTGCCCTCATGAAGCTTGCAGTCCACTGGTGTCACTGGCTGCATGTATCATCATTAATCTTTTAATTTCATGCCATCTCATGTGGTCATATAAGTCTTATCCATATAAAAATCTTCTGCCTATACATTCCGTTAAATTCCAGAATTTTTCTTCTCTCATATTTTCTACAGTGTCATCTAGCACAGGGATTGGCTTCTTGTAGGTGTTGTATAAATATCATTTATCCGAATACCAATGAACACAGAACAGAAAGGTTAATACAGGAAGAGAGCCAGGCTTTCATTCTTGCAGGGAGTTGGCTGGGAGGACAGAATACATGTGCACGTATTGTTTCTGTCTGCTCCCCTGAAAACAAGAACATGCCTATCTGACCTACAATACTTGCTCTGACACCTACGTATTCATAGGCCTCCTTCCTGACTTCTGCAGCCTTCCCCATGCTGCAGAATCTTGTGATTTGGCCTAAAAAATAAAAATGAAAACTGTTTCAATGCCTCATAGAAGACAATTCTGCTGTCTTCAACGGAAACACAGGTCCCCTCCCCTTGAGCCTCTCTCCAGTCAATCTGCTGATGGATGCAAAGATACCAGCTCAAAGTAACTAGAAGCACCCATGTGCAATTTGATTAGAAGAGGGTGCCTGATTACATCCTAACCAGAAGAGAGCTCTTCTTTGCCCAGGAAGTGGACAAAGTTCCAACCTCCTCTTTGTGATGAGATCATCTGATCACTTTGTGATGAGAAATCCCCTAGGCCCTCAGCTGACAGCTGCTGTCAGCCCGAAAAGCAATTGCTGAGCCTACAGACTGCAGGTGCCCTGGCCATTAGCTCGGGTGGTGTGAGAGCCAAAGCAAGACACATGGGGAAAAGCCATACAATGTTTCTTTAATCAACTCACAGTCACCTACACAAGCCATAAATTTCCTCACTTGACTGAAACATCTCTGCAGCACCAAATACACAAACATGCAAAGGGCATCAGAGAAAGAGGCCAACCTGGTTAGTCTCCTGGTTCAAAAAAAAGATGCCACGAAACAATTTATCTTCTAAATCATTGATTTATTAATAACTTCATCAATCATCCATTCTAAAGCAAACAAGGAGTACCTAGTATGGTCCTGGCACACATATATCCCCTAAACACTTCAAGTTCTTTAATACATCTTCATAGATCTGTTATCCTTTAAGTTAATATTTTCAAACTTTTCAGAAATATTTACCTGAGTGGAAAGAGCTTAGATTTTGGGATTACATAGACCTATATTTTATTTCAATTTGAATGTTATTTTTTTTCTATCACTCTCCAGCCCTGTGACATTTATTCACTGGCAACCTCTGCAGGGTTCAGTTTCTTTAAGCAACCCTCTGAGGTGTGGAATTAGAACTTTACATCCTAGCATTGTCCTGAGATTAACTCAGATCACATATGTAAAAAGCTTACACAATGCTTCATGCCCAGTAAAGCACTCAACGAATGGAGGGTTTGATTTTAATCGATTACATTATTAAATATTATTTAAAAATTGTCTTCCCAACCAAAGGAAAAAGCAGAAGCAGCCACATTTCCTTCAAATGTATATGTTAATAAAGGATTGATATTCACCTATGTCATTGAAGGCAGAAGCTCTTAAAGCCCCAGTGGAAGCTATGTAAATCCAGGAACGCAGAAGAGAGATGCTTGATCCTACTTCTATTTTATGGTTGTTAACAATTGCATATTAGAGAAAATAATACAATTATAAAGAAGCTTTTGAAACTGAGAAATCTCTTAAAACCAAGAGTCACAGAAAAATGATCTAAAGATTTCAAGATGAGTGTTATCAAAAACATGGAAGTAGTGAAGAAAATAATATATATTCAAAAGAGACAAGAATTAAAATTAAAGATTCTCCAATCTAGGTGAATGACAATAGAAAGAGAACGAAAGATAGACCATCAACAACCAGATTAATAAATTAAAAGGACAATAGAAAATAAAATCTTTAATTTGCATTACTAGGAAAAGTGAAAACAAAACATGTATGTACACTAAGTATCAGGAATAAAAACCTAATATAATAATCATAACTCCAGTCTTATCAAATATATCTTTTTTTGTGTGGTTTTTTTTTTTTTTTTTGAGATGGAGTCTTGCTCCGTCACCCAGGCTGGAGTTCAGTGGCGCGATCTCGGCTCACTGCAAGCTCTGCCTCCCGGGTTCACACGCCATTCTCCTGCCTCTGCCTCCCGAGTAGCTGGGACTACAGGCACCTGCCACCACACCCAGCTAATTTTTTGTATTTTTAGTAGAGACGGGGTTTCACCGTGTTAACCAGGATGGTCTCGATCTCCTGACCTTGTGATCCGCCCGCCTCTGCCTCCCAAAGATATCTTAAAATAAATGTAAATATATATAGTACTTTTAAAATAAGTTTCTTAAAAGAAAACAACAGATCACACTCTAATCTCAGATTTGATTTGATGATATAACATTGCATGAGATGAGATGAAATAAGATCCTTCTTCTAATCCTCTATTTCTACCAGCTTTTAAATTTCTTTGCAAAATTAAATTCAGATATTGATTCTTCCACTTGTTCAGTATTTTGTGGGATGGCTGGTATAAATGTGTAAAATGCAAATGAAAATAGGTTCAGTATCTAAATTATTCAGATACAGAGGTATTTCCCATTATTCAAAGCAATTTTCTGTTGCCTTTTCTATAACATGTAGATACAAATGTGGTATTCAGAGTATCTTCAATTTGAATTAAAAACTAGTATCTGCCTTTTTTGTACAAAAAGCAGGTGCTAACATGAAAACATATCTGACAAAGAATATCATTGCATAAATTCCTGTGATAGCCCCCTGGGTGTTTTAAACATAATAGATTTTTAAAAAGCCTTTACTAGTAGAAATTTTTGCTTTTCTCTTTAGGTTGTTTTGGTTATGAGTAGCAGAAAGGGAATGTTCATAAAGGAAGAAGTAGTATCTCACAAAACTCAAGAAAGAGTTAAACAAACCAGGCTAGGAAAAATTGGGAAATAGGAATGCTCTGGGGGAGCACCATAGGAATTTTCTCTCTAAATATACATGCTCAACAGGTGTGTGAATGCCCTCAAGTTAGCAAAGATTGATTCCTGGGGCAGAGAGCAATTCAGATGATATCTCTCCTTTTCCTTCTTCTTCTCATTCTTCTCCTTCTTCTCCTCTTCTCCTCTCCTCCTCTCCTCTTCTTCTTCCTTTCTTCTTTCCTCCCCCTCCTATTCCTCCTCCCCCCTCCCCCTCCGCCTCCTCCTCCCTCCCCCTCCGTCTCCTCCTCCTCCTCCTTCTTCTCTCTCTCTCTCTCTCTCTCTCTCTCTCTCTCCCATGTGAGAATACAAGAAGGCCACCATCTGCAAGCCAGGAAGAAAGACCTTACCATGAGTCAAACCCCACCAGAACCTTGATTTTGGACTTCCCAGCCCCCAAAACCATGAGAAAATAAATTTCTGTTATTTAGGCCATGCAGTCTATGGTATATTGTGATGGCAACCCAAGCAGGCTAAGGCAAGAGTTGTTTTTCTGTTGTTTTTAAATCTGAACATGAATCCTTTCTTGGTTATTTGTATTGCAAATATATCTATCCTGTGGCTTGCCTTTTTACTTCCTTACTAGAGTTTTTGATGAGCAGAAGCTCTTAATTTTAATGTAGCGCAATTTATAAATCTTACATTTTATGGTTAGTGCTTTTTGTGTTCTGTTTAGGAAATTTTGCCTACCCTAAGATTACAAAGACATTCTCAAATGTTATCTTCTAGCAGCTTCATTGTCTTAGCTTTTATGTTTAGGTTACTGTTCCCTCTGAATCTGACATTTTGTATGGGGTGTGAAATACGGGAAAAGATTTATTTTTTTCCCTTGTTGGTTAGAAGTGAACACGTTTATTAAAAGGGCATTCCTTTCACCACTGCAATGCACTGACACCTGTATTATAAATCAGGTGACCACAAATGTGAGAGTCTACATTTGTACACCTTATTCTGTTCTACTGCTTTATGCTTGTGCCACTATTATCACATTTTAATTCATTTTGCTTTATATTAAAATCTGATATCTGTTATTGTAAATCTATTAGCTTTGTTATTCTTCAAGATTGATCTTATTCTTGTGTCTGAATTTCTATATAAATTTTAGACACAGCTTGTCAATTTCCATGAAAAGAAAAACCTGCTGAGGTTTTTCATTGAGATTGCATTGATCTATAAATCAATTGAAATTGTTATAATTTTAAGCCTTTCAATACGTGAACATGGTATATTCCTCCATTATTTAGGTCTTCTATAATTTCTTTTAATAATCATCTTTAGTCTTCTTTTTTGGGGTTATACATATCTTGCATTAAGTTTATTTTTCGATATTTAATAGTTTTCATGTGAAAATGGTATCATTTTAAAGCGATTTCTTAATATCCCTTGCTAGATATAGGAAACACTTTGATTACTGACCTTACATTCAATGACTTTGCAAAATTCTCTGAGTGATAATATTTATTTCAAATATTCTACAAACTGAATATTTTCATCAAAGAAAATATATTAATATCTTCCATTCCAATCCATATATCTTTTATTTCATTCCTTTCCTTATTCCACTGGCTAGGCTCTTCAGTACAATGTTAAATAGGAAAAGTAATAGTAATCAACCTATTTCATTCCCTACCTCAGAGGAAAGCATTTAATATTTTATGATTAAATATGATGTTGCTCTAGATTTTCTATAGATACCTTTTAGATTGCGAAATTTCCCTCAGTTTCTAGTTGGCTAAAAGTATTTTTTAATCGTGAATGAGTATTGACTTGTATGAAGTTGATATAAGCTCTTTTTCCTTTTATTCTATTATGAATCACATTGATTAATTTTCTAATGTTAAGTTAGCCTTATATTCTCAGAATAAATTCAACTTGGTGGTAATAGTGCTGTGCGTGTGTGTGTTTGTATGCACAGCATATATATATATATATATATATATATATATATATATATATAAATTGTACTGCATTACTACTTAGTATTTTATTTAGGATTTTTGCATCTATGTTCATTTAAAACGCTGTTCTGTGACTTTGAGTTTTTTAATAATACATTTATCAAGTTTTGGCATATAAATTATGCCATCTTCATCTTCATAAAACAAGTTGGGAAGTGATGTCTCCTTTACTATCCTCTAGAAGAGTGTGTGAGAAGTTGGTGTGAATTCTTTCTTAGATATTTAGAAAAAGTTACTCCTGAGGTCACCTGAGTCCATCATTGTCTTCGGGGAATTTTCATCACACATTTTTTAAATTAAACTAGAAAATTCAGATTGTCTATTTTTTTCTTTCAGCTTTGTTAAATTTTTTTTAGGAATTTGTTCATCTTGTCAATTTTTTTGATTTATGGGGTTATTTGTTCATAATTCTCTATTATATATTTAATATCTATAGGATCTCTATGATAATTTCTTTCTTCATTCTTGATATTGGCCATTTGTGTTTGTTTGCTTTATTAGTTTTCTAGGGTTTTCTCAATTTCATTAGTATAATTAAAAAAAACAACTTTTGGTTTGTTGATTCTCTTTATTGTATTTTTGTTTTGTAGCTCATTGTTTTTTATCTTTATCATTTCCTTCCATTTTCCTAGCTTTTAATTTTCTCTTCTGTTTTTAACTTCCTGAAATGTAAGATAACGCCTTTGATTTTCAGCCTTTCCTCTTTTATACATGTTCATTTAAAGCCATATATTTCCCTCAAATCACTTGTTTAGCTTTATCCCAGAAGTTTTGCTATGTTGTGTTTTCATTATCATTCAGTGAAAAAAGTGTATTTAATTTTTATTGTGATTTCTTCTTTGACCCATAGATTTACTTGAAAGTGTATTGCTTAATTTCCAAACATTTGAGGGTTTTCTAGTTATCATTTTGCATTTATTTCTAGCTTGACTTCACTGTGACTGGAGAATATACTATGCACAATTTTAATCTTTACACATTTGTTGAGACTTACTGTATTACCCAGCATGTGGTCAATATTTGATAAATAAATGTTCTGTGGGTACTTGAAAGTAATTTATCTTACACAATTGCTGAGTGAAGAATTTTATACGTGCCAATTAAGTTGGGAGACAATGATAAACTCTTCTATATCCTTATGTATTGTTTGTCTACAGATTCTAACAGTTGTGTCGGAATTCTAACCACAATTGTATTAGAATAAGTTGTATTAGAATAATTACTTATTATTAGAATTACTTATTGTAATTATTAATTACAACTTATTGTACAACTTATTGTACAATATATTGTAACAACTTATTGTTATTATTAATTACAATTAATGTTGTATTAGAATAATTACTTATTCTAATAGTTTTGGCTATTTATTCTAACAAATCCAATTATAATTGTGGATTTGTCAACATCTCCTTTTACTTCAGCTGGATTTTGCTTTATATATTTTGAGTTTTATTATTAGGGTCATAAAAATTTGGTATTATCATATTTTTTACTTTTATTTTTTCCATAAGTTATTGGGGTACAGGTGGTATTTGGTTACATAAGTTCTTCAGTGGTGATTTGTGAGATTTTGGTGCACCCATCAATTGAGAAGCATACACTGAACCATACTTGTAGTCTTTTATCCCTCACTCCCCTCCTACCTTTCCCCGCAAGTTCCTGAAGTCCATTGTATCATTCTTAGGCCTTTGCGTCCTCATAGCTTAGCTCCCACATATCAGTGAGAACATATGATGTTTGGTTTTCCATTCCTGATTTACTTCACTTAGAATAGCAGTCTCCAATCTCATCCAGAATGCTGCAAATGCCATTAATTTATTCCTTTTCATGGCTGAGTAGTATTCCATCATATAAATATACCACAGTTTCTTTATCCACAAGTTATGTCCCTTGTATGCTGATTTTGCTGAGAGTTTTAGTCATAAAGGGATGCTGGATTTTGTCAAATGCTTTTTCTCCATCTATTGAGATGATCATGTGATTTCTGTTTTTAATTCTGTTTGTGTGGTGTATCACATTTATTGACTTGCATATGTTAAACCATCCCTGCATCCCTGGTATGAAACCCACTTGATCATGGTAGATTATCTTTTTGATATGTTGTTGGATTCAGTTAGCTAGTATTTTGTTAAGGATTTTAGCATGTATGTTCATCAAGGATATCAGTCTGTAGTTTTCTTTTTTTGTTATGTCCTTTCCCGGTTTTGGTATTAGGGTGATGCTGGCTTCATAGAATGAATTAGGGAGGGTTCCTTCCTTATCTATCTTGTGGAATAGTGTCAAAAAGATTGGTACCAATTCTTCTTTGAATGTCTGGTAGAATTCTGCTGTGAATCTGGTCCTGGACATCTTTGTTGGTAATTTTTTAACTACCATTTAAATCTATATGCTTGTTATTGGTTCATTTACGGTATCTAATTATTCCTGATTTAAGCTAGGAGGGTTTTATTTTTCCAGGAATTTATCCATCTCTTCTAGGTTTTCTAGTTTATGTGCATAAAGGTGTTCTTAGTAGCCTTTAGCAGTAGGATGATCTTTTGTATTTCAGTGGTGTCAGTTGTAATATCTCCTGTTTCATTTCTTAATGAGGTTATTTGGATTTTCTTACTCCTTTTCTTGGTTAGTCTTGCTAATGGTCTGTCAATTTTATTTATCTTTTCAAAGAACTAGTTTTTAGTTTCATTTATCTTTTGTATTTTTTTGTTTCAATTTCATTAGGTTCTGCTCTGATCTTGGTTATTTCCTTTCTTCTGCTGGATTTGGGTTTGGTTTGTTCTTGTTTCTCTAATTCCTTGAGGTGTGACCTTAGAATGTCAGTTTGTGTTCGTTCAGTCTTTTTGATGTAGGCATTTAGGGCTATGAACTGTCTTCTTAGCACTGCCTTTGCTGTATCCCAAAGGTTTTGATAGGTTGTGTCATTATTGTCATTCAGCTTGAATAATTTTTTAATTTCCATCTTGATTTTGTTTTTGACCCAATGCTCATTCAGGAGCAGGTTATTTAATTTCCTTGTATTTGCATGGTTTTGAATGTTCCTTTTGGAGTTAATTTCCAGTTTTATTCCACTGTGGTTTAAGAGTGTGCTTGATATAATTTCAGTTTTCTTAAATTTATTGAGGCTCGTTTTATGGCCTATCATATGGTCTGTCTTGGAGAACATTCCATGCACTGTTGAATAGAATGTATATTTTGTGTTTGTTGGATGCAATGTTCTGTATATATCTGTTAAGTAAATTTGTTCCAAAGTTAGGTTAAATCCATTGTTTCTTTGTTGACTTTGTCTTGATGACCTGTCTAGCGCTGTCAGTGGAGTATTGAAGTCCCCCACTATTATTGTGTTGCTGTCTATCTCATTTCTTCGGTCTATTAGTAATTGCTTTATAAATTTGGGAGATCCAGTGTTAGGCACGTGTATGTTTAGGATTGTGATATTTTTCCTGTTGGACAAGGCCTTTTACCATTATATAATGTCCCTCTTTGTCTCTTTTAACTGTTGTTGCTTTGAAGTTTGTTTTGCCTGATATAAGAATAGCTACCCCTGCTGCTTTGGTGTCCATTTGCATGAAATATCTTTTTCCACCCCTTTACTTTCAGTTTATGTGAGTCCTTACGTGTTAGGTGAGTCTCCTGAAGGCAGCAGGTAGTTGGTTGGTGAGTTCTTATCCATTTTGCAGTTCTATATCTTTTAAGTGGAGCATTTAGGCCATTTACATTCAACATTAGTATTGAGATGTGAGGTATCATTGCATTCATCATGCTATTTGTTGCCTGTGTGCCTTGTTTTTTGTTTGGCTTTTTAACTTGTATTTTTGTTTTAGAGCTCCTGTGTGATTTATGCATTAAAGAGGTTCTGTTTTGATGTGTTTCCAGGATTTGCTTCAAGATTTAGAGCTCCTATTAGCAGTTCTTATAGTGGTGGCTTGGTAGTGGCAAATTCTCCCAGCATTTGTTCGTCTGAAAAAAATTGTATCTTTCCTTCATATATGATGCTTAGTTTCACTGGATAGAAAGTTCTTAGCTGATAATTGTTTTGTTTGAGGAGGCTGAAAATAGAGCCCCAATCCCTTCTAGCTTGTAGGGTTTCTGCTGAGAAATCTGCTGTTAATCTGATAGGTTTTCCTTTATAAGTTACTTGGTGCTTCTGTCTCACAGCTCTTAAGAGTCTTTCCTTCATCTTAACTTTAGATAACCTGATGACAATATGCCTAGGTGATGATATTTTTGTGATGAACTTCCCACTTATTCTTTGTGCTTCTTATATTTGGATGTCTAGGTCTCTAGCAAGGCTGGGAGAATTCTCCTCGATTATTCCCCCAAATATGTTTTCCAAACTTTTAGATTTTTCTTTTCCTCAGGAACACCGATTATTCTTAGGTTTGGTCATTTAACATAATTCCAGACTTCTTGGAGGCTTTGTTCATATTTTCTTAATCTTTTTTCTTTGTCTTTGTTGGATTGAGTTAATTCGAAGACCTTGTCTTTGAGCTCCAAATTTCTTTCCTCTCCTTGTTCAATTCTATTGCTGAGACTTTCCAGAGCATTTTATATTTCTATAAGTGTGTCCAATGTTTCCTGAATTTTTATTGTTTTTTCTTTATGCTGTCTATTTCCTTGAATATTTCTCCCTTCACTTGTATCATTTTTTGGATTTCCTTCCATTGGGCTTCACCTTTCTCTGGTGCCTCCCTGATAAGCTTAATAACTAATCTCCTGAATTCTTTTTCAGGTAAATCAGGGACTTCTTCTTGGTTTAGATCCATTGCTGGTGAACTAGTGTGATTTTTGGGAGGCATTAAAGAGCCTTGTTTTTTCATATCACCAGAGTTGGTTTTCTGGATCCTTCTCATTTGGGTAGGCTCTATCAGAGGGAAGGTCTAGGGCTGAGGCTGTTGTTCAGATTATTTTGTCCCATGGGGTATTCCCTTGATACAGTACTCTCTCCCTTTTCCTAAGGATGTGGCTTCCTGTGACCCAAACTGCAGTGATTGATGTCTCTCCTCTGGGTCTAGCCACCCAGCAAGTCTACCTAGCTTCGGGCTGGTACTGGGGGTTGTCTACACAGAGTCCTGTGATGTAAATCGTCCATGGGTCTCTCAGCCGTGGATACCTACACAGTATTTGAGGTGTCTCCTGGGTCCTGCAGGAGCAGTCTGCTTCCTTCAGAGGGTCTGTGGGTCCTCTCTGGATTGCTGGTTTTTTCTTGCAGTCAATCTGGAGCTAAAATTCACAATGCAAGCCTCCACACGCTTCTCTGTCCATCCGAGTTGTAGCTGCAATCCAATCCTGCCTCCCACCTGCCATGATCTCTCTAGTATTATCATATTTTTTAAATTAGTCCCTTAAACAATAAATGTCCTCACTTACCTCCAGTAATACTTTTTTCTTAACATCTACTTTGTCTGATATTAGTATAGATTTACTTTTGGTTAGTGTGTGTATAGTATATATGTATTGGGTCATTCTTGTGTTGCTATAAAGAAATATCTGAGACTGGGTAAGTTATAAAGAAAAGACGTTGGCCGGGCACAGTGGTACATGCCTGTAATCCCAGCACTTTGGGACACCAAGGCTGGTGGATCACCTGAGGTCAGAGTTTGAAAGTAGCCTGCCCAACATGGTGAGACCCCATCTCTACTAAAAATACAAAAATTAGCTGGGTGTGGTGGCATGTGCCTGTAATCCCAGCTACTTAGGAGGCTGAGGCAGGAAACCCAGGAGGCAAAGTTTGCAGTGAACCGAGATAGCACCGTCGCACTCCAGTCTGGGCAACAGAGCAAGACTCTTGTCTCAAAAAAAAAAAAAAAAAAAAAAAAAGAAAAGAAAAGAAAAGAAAAAGAAAGAAAGAAAAAAAGAAAAGAAAAGAGGTTTAATTGGCTCATGGTTCTATAGGCTGTACAGGAAGCATGGTGTTGGCATCTGCTCTGCTCACCTTCTGGGGGGCCTTAGGGAGCTTTCACTCATGGCAGAAGGTGAAGCAAGAGCAGCCTCTTCACATGGTGAGAGCAGGAGCAAGAGAGTGGGGAAAAGGTGCCACACACTTAAACAACCAGATCTCATGAGAGCAGCACCAAGGCAAGCCATGAAGGATCTGACCCCATGACCCCAACACCTCCCATCAAGCCCCACCTCCAACACTGGGAATCACAACTCAACATAAGATTTGGTGGGGACATATATTCAAACTATGTCAATATCATCTTTCATTATTTTACTTTCAACTGTTCTATATCTTTATACTTAAAATATGGCTCTTGTGAGCAGCATATAATACAGCCTGGTAGGATGGGTGCCAGGAGTTAAAATTAAATCAGTTTAAAGAAAATAAAGAAAAGCAACATTTCCTGCACACCTGAGCTTATGAAATAAGATCCATACTGACTGTACCTACATGTAGGTTTCTGTGGAGGGGGGTGAGTACCTGGCTCAAGAACAAGGAACTTGGGACTAGTTATAATAGCAAAGTGGTTTAAGAGTACAGACTCCCTCCTGGCTCTTCCAGCTTCTTGCCAACAGTGGTCAGGACAGGGGTCTCACAACCTATTTGCTTAAACCAGAGGAAGTTGTATCCCTAAATAGTATGGGAATGAGGAAAAGGGAGATAGATTTTCCTAAAACTAGAGAAAGTTCTTTGCATGAGACAATGTGCACATGGTAGCAAAGAAATGTATCTAGAAGAAACAAGTGCCCCTGATACCAGTTTCTTTAAAGAGAGAGAGAGAGAAATAAAGACAAGGTCTCACCATGTTGCCCAGGCTGTTCTCAAACTCCTGGGCTCAAGGGATCCTTCATCTCAGCCTCCCAAAGTGGTGGAATTATAGGTGTGAGCCACCACACTTAGCCACAATATCAGTTTTCTTAATGGGAAAAAAATTGTTATACCTCAGCCATGCAGAATTTTTTAAATTATAAATCTCCTATCTGACTCTCTTGTTAGATTTTAAAATGAAGAGGATTCTATTCACAGTTACTACAATGTAAATAATGCAACCCGGAATTAAGCTCTGCACATGTCTCATATTTTTCACATCATCTCTAGGGATGATCAAACCTCCTAAAATAAATAACACAACAAAGTTCAGAAAATCCATCTTCCTCAAGATATGATTTGGTGTAGAAACCACCAGGAAGTGAAAGTTGTTCAGTCACAATCCACTTAGTTCAAATGATCTAGAGAGGGCCACAGAGCTAAACATTGACAAGACCACACTCTTTTTATTTCTTCACGTTAATTAAAAAGACCAGGTTCATACATATAAGGGATTTATTTTTCAAACTATTATCCCAAGAAATATTTGAATGCAGTAAGTATGTCAATGCAGCTGTATGGTTAAATGTTATAACCTCTGAAGTCAAGAAATTCAAATTTATAGTTGCCACATTAAGCATAGATGTTAAAGCATTAAAGTTAACACCATATACAGTCATATAAAATATTGCATGTGCAAAGGGGCTGAGTTATGTTCATACTGGGAGCCATAATTTAGAATTTCCTGACTTCTGAACATGTAACACGTCATAGTAATTGATCTAGCTCCTTGGAGCTAATATAAAATATCTTGTTAACATGTTTTCTATCCAATTCTTTCATCATTTACCTTTTGGCTCTTGGAGAAACAATTAATCATGCTAAATGTTTTCACGCACCTGCAAAAAACTAATATAGCAATGCATCCAGAACTGAGCCAATGCAATCAGAATTGAGTGAAAAGATTTGTAAATCATGTAAGAATTTTGGACACAACATTAGTGTAGACACAATCTGAATCATGCAAGATGACATGCCTTGAGATTTAAAGCTCTGTTTGCTTTGTCTTGTCACAACGATGGCCTCATAATTCTTATGGATACAGTGGGGTACAGGGTATCAAGGGAGCTTATGCATGCAGAATATCTATAGACTGTTAGTTCATAAAGCTAACATGGAAGAGAAAGGGAGGATAGCCTATTTCATGATGGGACATGACATGTTAATTTCCTGGCACCACAAGAGAATTACATTGTTTAAATTAATTCTCTACCAAGTACTGGGGCTCCGCGTACCTCTACCAAATTCACCCCTATTCTTGTTTTTATTTGACTGAGTCTTAAATTTACCACCTCCTAGCCCATTTTTCTTAGCGCATAGTCCCTGCTGTCTTGCTTCATGACAGGCAAGGAAAACCAATAGCCAACACTTCAGAAGAGATCACCATATTACAGGCACTGCTTAAAGCACCTTGTGGCCATTGATTCATTTAACCCAGTAGAGCAGGCCTTGGCAAAATACAGCCCACAGGCAAAATCTAGCCTGTCACCTCTTTAAGGTGTGTTTTAGGAACATGGCCATACTCATTCATCCAAGCATTGTGTGTGGCTGCTTTCATGGGATGACTGCAGAATTGAGCTGTTATCACATACATAGCTAGGAAAGCTGAAAATATTTGTTAACTGGCACGTGTAGAAAAAGTCTGCTCAACCTGCAGTTGTGTGGTCAGAAAACCTGACTCTCCAAGTCACACGTGACAAATTTAGAATTAACAGAATTATTGGTTTACAGGAAATGGAGGAAGTCTCAGTGGGGGCACAATTGTCCATGCCTAATATTTATGCCTTAAGACCTGCCAGTTGAGTGGGTACTGGAAATTCTGCTTGGCACAAGTCCTAGTCATACTTTTCATCTTTTTGCATTCTGCTTCTCACTCATTTGACTTTGTGAAGACTTTACTTACTGCAATTTTGAATCATAAATTCAACAGTGGCTACCAGTGTCTGAAAGAAGGAAGACAATTGCATACTAGCAGGGGGAGTTGCTTATTATAGACTGTTTACAGCTAAAAGAAGGGAATTATATGCTTTTCACAAATCTCCATGGGCCAATGACTTGCATGTAGAGTTCTATTACCCTCTTTCCAAAAAGAAACATGTACTTCCCCGGCACAGAAGAGAAAGAAGCTTCTTCTGGCCCCTCCTGAAATTTCTCCCTTTGCCCAGAAACTACTCCCTGGGACAGCCACAGCACATATTGGCTAACTCTTCACATTGTCAAAACATCTGGGGTGACAAATGCATTTACCCATTCAAATTATTTTCCCCTGAAGCAATGCCAAACATCTGCCTAACTAGAAACAGCTGTGTATTGGTTTGCTTGGGCTGCCATAACAAAATGCCATAGACTGGTGACTTTAGCAAAAGATGTTGATTTTCTCACAGTTCTGGAGACTGGAAGTATGGGATCAGGGTGCCAGCATGGTCAGATCCTGGGGAGGGCTCTCTTCTTGGCTTGCCAAGGGCCACCTTCTCACTCTGTCCTCATATGGAAGAGAAAGACAGCAAGCTTTCTGCTGTCTCTTCTTTTATGGGCACTAATTCCACCATGAGGGCCCCACGTTCATGACCTCACCTAAAGCTAATTACCTCCCAGAGGCCCATGTCCAAATACCATCACATTTGGGATTAGGGCTTCAATATATAATTGAGGGTGTCAAGGGATACAATTCAGTCCACAGCAGGCTGCATGTAAGCATTAAGTAGGACAGACCTTTGATGTTCATGGGGGATCCCGTAAGCAAAGATTCAGTGAACCAGAGCATCAGAAGCTGCATGACCCCTGGCTTCATTATAGCCTTCATTGCTGCTAACTGCATCCTCCTAGGAGCCTATCTCTGAGGGATGCCACACCAGGACAATACCCATGTTGGTGCCACAGTTCTTGAAAGGTTTCCCTGGGGTCAGCATAAATCCAGCTGAGCCAGGATAAAGGTGGGCCAGACACTTTTTCTGCCATTCAGAATGCAGGGACTTGGGGAATATGTAGCACAATCAGGATCACATGACTAGACACCATTATAGCCATATCTGTTGTTATTTTTGAGTAAAAAACCACTCCAAAACTCATCAGATAAAAAGAGTAAACATGCATTTGTTACTGCCCAGCTGGTTGGTTTAGCTGACCTAGGGCAGACATGGCTGACTTCTGGACTCACTCATAAGTCTGCAGCCAGGTGGCAGGTGGGCTGGGGAGTGGCTGGTCTAGGATAGCTGCAATCTGGGATGACAATGAAGGCTGGGCTATGTTGTTGCCCGGGGTTAATCTCAAGATGCTGACACATTTCCAAAAGAGAGTAGAAGCATGTAAGCCTCTTGAGGCTTAGGCTCAGAACTGGCAGAGTGAGACTTTGGTAACCTCTAAGAGTCAAAGCCAGTCTCAAGGCTAGCCTAAATTCAAGGGGTTGGCCATGGATACTGCCTCTTGATAGTGGAAGCCACAAAGTTACATAGTAAATCATATGGATACAGGATGGGGTAAAGAACTGGGGCCATCTTTGCAATCTACCACAGAAGTGGAATCTGGGAAATAGTAGTTGCTTAATAAGTAAAATTAGCTTCATATAATCATTCACTTCTTCCCCTTCATGCCTCTTCCTCACTATGGAATGAACATGGAGCATTGGATGGTGGAAAAGAAAACAAGCATCTAGGAGACCAAGAGATGGAAGGACTGTGTTGTCTGTTTGTCACCCTGACATCAATGAGCTGTGTCACCTTGAACCAGTCACTTTCTTCCTTTGAGTCTCTGATTTTTCACCCTGAAAAGGAGTGTGATAGACTGCTTAAGCTTAAAGCCTCTCGTCACTTGGAGGTCCTATAGTCAAGTCAGATTATTCCCTCTAGACCAGGGGTCACCAACCCCCAAGCCGCAGACCAATATGGGTCCCTGGCCTGTTAGGAACTGGACACACAACAGGAGGTGAGCAGCAGCTGAGCAAGCATTACTGCCTGAGCTCTGCCTCCTGTCAGATCAGCAGTGCCATTAGATTCTCATAGAAGTGCAAATCCTATTGTGAACTCTGCATGCGAGGGATCTAGGTTATGTGCTTCTTATGAGAATCTAACTAATGCCTGATGATCTGAGGTGGAACAGTTTCATCCCAAAACCATGTCCCCCGACCCCAGTCCATGGAAAAAGTGTCTTCCACAAAACCAGTCCCTGGTGCCAAAAAGGTCAGGAACCAGTGCTCTAGACTTTTCCAATTAACCACCTACCTAAAGCATGTGTTAGAAGTGCAGACATGGGTATTCTCTAGCAAAGAAATGCTTTGATCAGAGTAACACTGGATTTGATAGATTGATTCTAAGCCTGCCTCTTCCACCAAGATTGTGATTGGAACAATCAGACCTCAGAAAGATAATCCTGACTAGGGGAGTTGATGAGAACAATCTTTTTTTTTTTTTTTTGTATCTCCTTGAGATGAGTCCACACCAGCAGGACAACTCAACATTCTTAGAGCTTGGAGGGTGGAAGATGAGCCACTGGGAAGAGAGCAGTACATTTCTTTCTTGCCCTCTACTCACAAGCTTGGACTTCCTCTTTCCTTTTCTCCATTTTCTGTCCTCTAACATGTGAAAAATATGTTGATAGCTAATTGACACATTGTCCAGAACGTAATATACTGAATTTATAAATTTAAAGAGGTGTGTAATAAATACAATCTCCTTGCTTAACAGTATGAATACTTGCTATATTTGCCCCATCCATGCAATATGCATACTTCTCAGAACAGCATATACTTCATCATGGGCTCCATACTTATTAAAGCTTTCTATTCCCCTCTACTGTACCTGGCACATAGTTTGTGTTCATTAAATACTTTATGAATTTGTCTATTTGAGAAAAACAAAAGAAACTTACTTACTATATTAAGGTTGTGTTTGCATGTTACCAACCCTCTAGTTGGAAAATGAAAACTCCAATCATTTTGATGCCAAATTATGCCACACATTCAGACATCTGGGAAGCATTTGGAGCATTTTACTTTCCCCTTAAATGTTTTGGTGTCCTATAGAGACAAGCCTCAGGAAATGGCTGTGGGTGTTTGTGGTAAGGGGAGTGTGCAATGTGGGAGGTAATATTTTGAAAGTGGCTTCTGGAAGGGAATGTGATGGTAAAGTTGAATTGAAAATTGGTTCACTTCCCTATGCTGATTGTCATGTAAATTTGGGCCAGCTTTTTGGTCACAATAAGGCAATTAAAGCAAGAGTGGTCACACTGTCTATTACCCTTTACTCAAAAATCTCACACCAAAAATTCAACAGGGCATAAGGTTTAAGAGAATTATCCTATAGCAACACAATGGGATAGCTCTCATCTATTAGACATATAAAGCATGAAGGCTTTTGAAACCACATGGAAAAATATTTATAATTGGCTAACTAAAAAAACTGGAAGGTAAAATGACCTCTATACATTTTATTTATATACATATATATATACACACCCACACATATATATACAATGGACACATATTATATAATTATGAAGCTAATTCATAAGCTAATTAAGAAGGTAATTCTGCTCTCTCCCTAAACCTGTATCTAAATCCTTATAATTTTTTTGTCTTCATATCCCAACCAACCAATTATCTTTCTCATTTTGTAGTTTATATAAGAAAACCAGACTGACATACTTGTACTTTTTCCAAATTAAATATTATATACTTTCAAAATTAAACATTATAATACAAAACTATATGGACACACTGCCCCACCTGGGGATCCATCATTTCACTGTTTGCTACCAATGGAAAGTTACAGAGAACTCAAAGACCCAAGATTTATATTTAGGGAGCCTGTTGCCTACTGCATTTGGAGATCACAAGGTCCCCATGGCTGGAGATAGTAGAGAACTGAGGATTGGCCCTAAAAAGTTGCCATCAGGAATATAAGCTATACATAGGCATTAAATGTATACCATTCATCAGTTCCCCAAATGCCTTTGATAACCAAGTTCATCCCTAGAAGCTGAAGAGTCAGGGTCAACAGATTCGGGGTGTTCAGATTCAAGGGAAATCTCTCAGCAGGAACTCACTTCTCACCCTCATTTTATTTTATTTTATTTTATTTTTGAGACAGAGTGTTGCTCTGTTGCCCAGGGTGGAGTGCGGTGGTGTGGTCTCTGCTCACTGCAACCTCCGTCTCCCAGGTTCAAACGATTCTCCTGCCCCAGCCTCCTGAGTAGCTGGGATTATGCGCAACCACAACCTGCTAATTTTTGTATTTTTAGTAGAGACGGGATTTCACCATGTTGGTCAGGCTGGTCTCAAACTCCTGACACTCATTTTATTTTAAAAAATATTTTTATATAAGCTAGGTCTAGTTAAATTGATTATCAAAGGACACCAAAATGAGTTAGCATGAAGAGTGTGTAGAAGGATTCTGGAACCATAAGACAAGGTAGAACCATAGGATAAGGTAGTCTTTTGTGATTCAGTTTATACATGAGCCCAGATATTATTTACTACCAGTTGTCCTGTGCTAACTCTTCCCCTGGCAGCCCCCGTACAGTAGCCAGGCCAAGACACCACACAGGAGGCCCCAGAAGTCAGGACCCAGGAAATCATCTCAATTTGTCATATCCCAAGTTGACTTGGATGGTAATTAAATGATAATCACTTTGATATATTTTCAACTGGTAGGGGTTTTTTTTCACTTTAGGCCATGGCAGAAAAATTATGTGACAACAGTGTAGCTGCTCAAAGAATGGAAAAGTCATTTAAGGACAAAAAGAAGGTAAAAAGAACATGTGAGTAATCAATCTATTATGGGCAGGAAAAATTTGGCACATTTCAAAATGGAAAACAAAATAGTATTGAAGAAAAATACAATTTTCCATAACTTCAATTGCACTTCATTTTCCAAATCTGTGTTCTTTTAAATGATTAAGGTTTTTAACAATCCAGACTAAAAAGAGCAAAGAGTAAAAGAAAATAAATCTTTATATTTGAAATTTGCAATATTAAAACTAGCCAACAAAAACACGAGATTGCTTGAACCAGCTCTTGACCATAATTAAATTAAAATGGGTTTAAATTCTTAATGGCATGGTATTTTATACTGAGTTTGAAATATACACCTAAACACTCAAGCCATCATGAGTTATTAACATAAAGTGTCCAATAACTGGAGAAGTATTGCAGCATATTATCACTCCTCTCTGACTAATGAAACCAATCATCCTCTCTAGTGTTTTAGCCACACAAACCAGAATCACTCTCCTCCTAGCTTGAAAGGTTTCAGAAAGCATCGAAGCAGCTAAAAGGCAGCCTTTTTGCCTGATGAAATGACCCTGAAATAAATGTTGTGTTGTTTTTATTGGAGTGTGGGTATGTATTTTCTTTTAAGCATTCGACTTGTCCACTTTTCTGCATGGAATGAAAATCTATTTAGATCCCAAGAGGCACACACAGCATGACCATAGTTTACTAATTGTTATCAGGAAGCCTCTGCATGAGAGGAAGATCACAGTTTAGAGAGCTAAGCTGGCATATTTATTTATTTATTGGGCTTATTTTGACAAGGATTTGCTGAAATGTATATTCAGGTTGAGTATTCATAATCTGAAAATTAGAAATCCAAATGCTCCAAAACTCAAAACATTCTGATCACCAACATGATGCTTAAAAAAATGCTCATTGGCGTATTTAGGATTTTTAGATTAGGGATGCTCAACCAATAAGTATAATGCAAATATTTCAAAAGCCAAAAAAATATATATCAAAATGGAAACACTTCTGCTCCCAAGCATTTCAGATAAGGGATACTCAACCTGTATTAAATAGCCCTTGGTAATAGCTTATGGAAGTCTGCAGAATTCAAATGGGTAAGGAATAATATAGATATCAAGCAGCTAACTGCAGAATCAAGCTTTTAATTAAAGCTGGCTGAACCTTTTAACTAGCAGAATTCATGGGCCAGCAGCGGGACTAAGGGCTTTGGCAAGATCTTTGGTCTCTCTCTCTAGACATTTTGGCATAGACCCAGGGCAGTTTTCCCAAAAGTGTTTCAGTCTGTTCTACCCATTGGTCAATGATCCTCCTAATCATTAGACCAGGCCCTCTAGTGCTTTGAATGTGTCCCCCAAAGTACATGTGTTGGAAACTTAATCCCTAATCAATAGTGTTGAGAGGCAGAACCTTTAAGGGGCAGAGCCTTCATGAATGGAGTAACATTATTATCACAGAAGTAGGTTAATTCTCTCAGGAGTGGGCTCCTGATAAAAGTGGATTCAGCTCTCTCTTGCTCTCTCACATGCTCTTTTGCCCTTCTGTCTTCCTCCATGGGATGACACAACAAAAAGGCCCTTACCAGAGGCCAGCACCTTGATTTTGGACTTCTTAGCCTTTGGAACTATGAGAAATACAATTTCTTCTTTATAAATTACCAAGTCTGTGGTATTCTGTTACAGCAACACAAAATGGACTAAGACACCCTGTAAAGCAATCTTTGTAAAATTATGTGCCAGAGAGTGACAGAGTCAGAATCAACAAAATATTGCTAATACTATGAGCAACAGATAGCTAGCAGCTTTCTCACAATGAGGACAAGATGAATGATCCTAGAATCCTCTTACAAGCCAAATAAATCAGCAGAAATGAAGGGAGATCATCTAAAAAGTAGAATTAAGTATCCAAGATGGAATTCGGTACCAAATAAATATCTGGAAGTAATAAATTTTAAAACAATTTGATTGATCAAGGACTTTCTAATGACCAAACCCAGATCATGGCTAGATTTTGTCTAAGCCCTTGTTGGGGATCCCAGAGCCCAGCAGAGGCCAGAGGAAAGGCAGAAGTTTGTAGGAGTCAGAAGATAAGGTAAGCCATGTACACAGTCCCCAAGTTAAAACAGAAGGATCAGGCTGGCCACCTGATCGATGATCGCTAGGGACATGTATGGAGCTAGGAGTGCAAGGCCAGGCTGAGAAATCAGAAGCCAGAAGCCAAGGAACACAGCAGATATAGAAGAGCAAAAGGAAGCATGAAAATAAGAAAGTCCAAGACAACTGCTGGCATTGAGGCTGTGGGTTACAGGCTCAGCTTTGTTGGGTCTCAGCAGCTTAGGGCCTGGTTTAGTTAGGCCCCTTCATAGGTATGGCACTGGGAAGAATATTTATGTTAGTTTTAAAGGTTTCTTGTGACAATAAAAATAATCAAAATAACCATTATTACTACATACTGAGCATACACTATTCTAGACATTTTCTTAGGGGCTTTTTAAAAATACATTAGAATCAATATTAATAACAAGAAAAATAACACCATTCATTGAGCACTTACATGTAACCACAACTGTGCTAAGTGCTCTAAATGTATTCTTTGTATTTAAGCTTCTAATACCTCTTCAATGTTGTCATTTATATATTATTCCTATTTTACAGATGAAAAAGCTGAGGTTCAGAGAAGCCAAGAGACTTACCCAAGTTCACACAGTTTGAAGTAGCGAAGCCAGCCTTGAATTAGTTTTTGTCTGAAAGAACATATTATTTCTGTTGGCTGAGTGATGGTATAGACAATAGGGACATGAAGACTAATAGGTATGATATGGAAGCTCAACAGTTTTGAGGCTATCAAAGCAGTTACCCCTGTAATCATTCTCTTGTTCCATACTTTGGGCGGTATTACCAATGCCTTTCCACCTATTTCCTAAATAATAATGCTTCAAAACCCTTTAAGAGGACATATAATTTTCTCTTCATAGTGAAGGACACAGATTAAAGATAGCCCTAAGATGGACGGCAGTATGCTAAATCCATGTGAAGATATATTAAAATCTAAAGAAATCATCTCTAAGAAGTGCTTCTGATAAAGACAGAGACAAAGAACTCGAAGAAAGCAGGATGGAGGGAGGATGAACTGAGGTAAGGAAGGAAATGGTCATTCAGTCTCCAAGTATTTACTAAGCTTCTTCTATGACCCAAGCCATTTATGAGTTATCCCTATTTTCAAGTATGAAAACTGAGGCTCAGGGAGGTCACACAATTAGTAGTGGTCCAGCCAGCACCTGAGTCCAAAGCCAGTTATCCTTCTGCTTCATCTAGTGTGGTAGAAGCCAAAGGCCCCAGCAACTTCCTAAATAACCCAGTGAAAGTTCTCTGGTGGAATACCAAGGCCCTGCTCATTTAAGGATCTCCCCCCAACACCACATGTTGTAGCCCAACACCAATTTCCAGAAAAACTCTCTGGCTTCAAACTTTGATTCCTGAAGATGCCAATAGTCATTCCTGGTTCTGATCATGATCATTCATGTGGGGAACAGAAAGCTTTTTCAAGGGTGGCGACTCCACATTACTCATGGGCTGGTAAACACTCATGTACCTTGTTAGTCTCAAAGTTTTGTAACTAGCGCCTCCAAAATTTTCATGAGACGTGAATATCAATAGCCAACTGAATTCCATTTAGCAACAAATCTCTCTCCTCACCAAAGGAAAGAAAAGCCAAAACTGCGAACCGTTGAGTGAGCGTGGATCCACACAATGCCCAAAGAGAGACTTCCGAGCTTCACCGACCTGGGCCTCTCCTCTCGTTGACCGCAGCGTCTTCTTTTCATGGGCTCAGGCTGTGTCCAGGGAGAGAAGTGCTAATATCTCCTAAACAACTTGTGGCTTCACCCATGGTTGCTTCAATAGAGAAGGTGGTGCCTCTAAGCATCATGGCTACAAAATGTGCATGAAAAAAATTGACTCTTTTAACTATATACCGGAGAGAAAATGGAGAAAGCACATAATTGCAAAGTGCATCAACACCAGCTCTTGTTTGTTCTTATCACATTTCCCCCCCAAAGTTTACCTAGCTGAAGAGAAGTTAATGTATTACTCTTAAAGAGAGCACAAATCACATGAATATTAACAAGAGGTAGCCTGGTAGTCTAACAAAGGTTTAGCGAATGTGCTGAACAATCCCTTGAGGAGGCATGTAAGTCATCACAGTTGGTACTAATTATGAAAGAAAACGACATCTTTTTCTTGAAGACTTAGGAGAAATGTAACTATTTCAGCAAATGCCAGAAATAGGTTAACTGTATTCTGACTTCTATTATCAGACTTGATTCCCCAAAAACAGATTTCCTCTTAAAATCTGTTACAGAAGGAATCGCATCTCCCCAAAATGTACATGTTTACCCCTAACCACTAGTACCTCAGAATGTATTCGGAGGTAAATAAAGGTAGTCTAAGGCTGGGCACAGTAGATCACGCCTGTAATCCCAGAACTTTGGGAGGCCGAGGCAGGAGGATCACCTGAGGTCAGGAGGTTGAGACCAGCCTGGCCAACATAGCAAAATCCCATCTCTACTAAAAACACAAAAATTAGCCATGTGTGGTCGTGCACACCTGTAATCCCAGCTACTCAGGAGGCTGAGACAGGAGAATCACTTGAACCCAGGAGGTGGACGCTGCAGTGAGCTGAGATCACGCCAGTGCACTCCAGCCTGGGTGACAGAGCAAGACTGTCTCAAAAACAAAATACAAAAAAAAAAAGGCCAGGCAGGGTGGCTCACGCCTGTAATCCCAGCACTTTGGGAGGCAGAGGCAGGTGGATCATGAGGTCAGGAGATTGAGACCATCCCGGCTAACACGGTGAAACTCCACCTCTACTGAAAACACAAAAATTTAGCCAGGCGTGGTGGCACATGCCTGTAGTCCCAGCTACTCAGGAGGCTAAGGCAGGAGTGTCGCTTGAACCCGGGAGGCAGAGGTTGCAGTGAGCTGAGATCACACCACTACATTCCAGCCTGGGCGACAGAGGGAGACTCTGTCTCAAAACAAACAAATAAAAAAAGACTGAGCGCGGTGGCTCATGCCTGTAATCCCAGCAATTTGGGAGGCCGAGGCTGAGATCAGGAGTTTGAGACCAGCCTGCTCAACATGGTGAAACCCCCCATCTCTACTAAAATACAAAAAAAATTAGTCAGGCTTGGTGGCAGGCGCCTGTAATCCCAGCTACTCAGGAAGCTGAGGCAGGAGAATTGCTTGTACCCAGGAGGCAGAGGTTGCAGTGAGCCGAGATCACATCACTGCACTCCAGCCTGGGCAAGAAGAGCAAAACTCCATCTCAAAAAAAAAAAAAAAAGAGAGAGAGAGAGGTTGTTAAGGTAAGCTAAAATGAGGTGGTTAAGAGGGGCATTGGTCCAATATGATGGATATCCTTTTAAGAAGAGATTAGAGCAGACACACATGGAAAGAAGATCGTGTGAGAACACAAGGAGAAGAAGATGGTGTCTACAAGCCAGAGAAGGAGTTTCAGAAAAAACCCTAATGACACCTTGATCTTAGACTTCCAGCCTCCAGAATTGTGAGAAAATAAATTATTGTTGTTTAAGCCACCCAGTATGTGGTACTTTGTTTTGGTAGCCATAGCAAACTAACACGGAGTCTGTATTAGTACGTTCTCACACTGCTATAAAGACCTACCTGAGACTGGGTAATTTATAAACAAAGAAGGTTTAATTGACTCACAGTTCTGCAAGGTTGGGGAGTCCTCAGGAAACTTACAATCATGGCAGAAGGTGAAGGGGAAACAAACATGTCTTACATGGTGGCAGGAGAGAGAGAGATTGAGAGAGAGAGAGAGAGAGAGAGAGAGAGAGAGAGAGCACAAGGGGGGACGTGCCACACTTTTAAACCATCAGATCTCGTGAGAAAAGCATGGGGGAAATCCACCCCCATGATCCAATCACCTCCCACCTGGCCCCTCCTTCAACAAATGGGGATTACAATTCAACTTGAGATTTGGGTGGGGACACAGAGCCAAGCCATATCAGAATCCTAAACTGTAGATGTTTGACATGGATAAATCCGTGACAGATCGGTTAAAGTAAATATGTAAAACAACTGCTTAATTCCCATGATCATTTTAATTCAACTCTCAAAACTGCTGACAAAAAAGAGTACTGCCATCCTGGAACTAGATGAAATAATATCTCCTCCTCTGAACCCCTGACACCCCAGGGATGAGATGGAGTTAGGTCAGTAGAGTTTATGTGTCTGCTCTCATATCTAACAAATTCCACTGGTCATAATTAAATAAAGATTCTCTTTCTCTCTCCTGATTAATGCA
The DNA here is from genome assembly GCF_000001405.40 of Homo sapiens. Classification (NCBI taxonomy): domain Eukaryota; kingdom Metazoa; phylum Chordata; class Mammalia; order Primates; family Hominidae; genus Homo; species Homo sapiens. The sequence goes on along the minus strand of NC_000002.12, from coordinate 220,235,750 downwards.
ACAGCCTCTTTAGTGGTTTCCTCATTTCCATTCTTATCCCTTTCAATCCATTCTCCTCAAAGCAGTAAAGTGATCTTCTCATCATTTAGAAATTACCTGGTTTACAAGCCTCCAGCGGGTTGGCATTGTACTTAGAATAAAATCCAGACTCCTTAATGTGGCCTCGCCAGCCCTCTGTCAACCAGCCCGGTTCTGTGTCTCCTCCCTGGGTTTGAGCCTAGTGCTTTCTACTCTGTTCTGCTGCAGGACCACTTAGCCACTTGATTCTTCTGCTTGGAACACTCTTCCCAATTCTGTACATAGCCAAGCCCTCTTGATCTTTTTAGGTCTCCACTTGACTATGACTGCCTCAGACACTCTCCAATCATTCTCCTAAAATTCACCCTCTGCACTCATACCTATGGTTTACCATTCTACCCTATGCTTAATTCCTTCATCAGAAGTATTATAACTTTTAAGTATTTTATTTACTCTCCTATGTATTGGTTTTTCCCTAACCACAAGGTCAGGGGCTCTAATTTAACACCATTGTAGTTCCATGGTTGAACGAATGAATGAATGATACAGAGGATGAAAGCACTTTGTGAATTCTATGATGCTATATAAACGCTAATTGTAATTATTAGATTTTTAAGGCCTATTAAAGCAGAACCCATGTATTTTCTTCCCATGCTTCATCTCAGTAAAAGATAACTGAATCGATTAATTTGTCCATTATTTGAAAATGATGTTATGAATGGATTGTCATCACAAACAACTTATGATTTATAGGAATGTATGGATTTTAAAATGGTGTCACATATCCTGGCTCACATTAATCTTCACAACCATCCCATGAGACATCCCATCGAAATTCTCATTCCCATTTGACAGAGGGGGAAACTGAGACTGAGGAATGAAGTAAACCACTCAAGTCTACACAGATAATAAGTAGTAGAGACAAAACATTTTTCATTGCCCCACTGCTGCTATCTCAGTCAAACTGCTTAGTAAATACCCTTGCAGGCCAATGGTGACAAATGAAAGGCAAGGGATACATGCGCATGTCAACAGCGATTGTCCTGTGGGTTTTTGGTAACAGAAAAGAGTTCTTTCTTTCCTTCCTCTTCTCCTTCTTCCTTACCTTCCTTTCCTTTTCTTTCTTTCTTTTCTTTCTTTCTCTTTCTTTTTCTCTCTTTCCTTTCTTTCCTTCCTTTCTTTCTCTCACTCTGCCACCCAGGCTGGAGTGCAGTAGTGTGATCTCAGCTCACAGCAACCTCCACCTCCTGGGTTCAAGCAATTCTCGTGCCTCGGCCTCCTGAGTAGCTGGGACTACCAGCACGTGCCACCACACCCAGCTAATTTTTTGTATTTTTCGTAGAGGTTGGGTTTCACTATGTTGGCCAAGCTTGTCTTCAACTCCTGACCTGAGGTGATTCGCCTGCCTCAGCCTCCCAAAGTGCTGGAATTACAGGCATGAGCCACTGTGTCTAGCCCCAAGAGTCCTTTCCTGAAATGGGTTTTTTTTTTTTTTGAGCTACTAAGGGATAATTTTCCTTAGTACTCTATTTTTTCTCCTTATATGTATCAACTCGTGAACCTGAGCATATTTTGCTATGACAGTCTAAAATATTTCCATCTTCATTCTAATTTGCAGCCCATTTCTCCAAAAATTATGTTGTTTAAGGTATATTTTTATACTCTTGGCCAATTAAAAATTATATTGTTATGTCTTCCATGGTTAGCTCTCTCATATACTGAATTAGGTATTTTTTCCCTGAAGATAGTTCTGTGAATATTGGCTCATTCATTAAACAGATGTTTATTTAATACTGTTATCAGACCAGCATTCATAACAAATTATATTGTTATAATTATTTTCATAAGTAAATTTATAATTATATAAATTACATAAATATAGCAACATAAATATAAATATAACAAATTATGTTATATTTACATAAGTAATGTATATAATTTATATAATTATAAATTATATAAATATAAAGATTATATAATATAAATTAAAGATAATTTATATAATTTATATAATTTATATAATTATAAATTATATAAATATAAATATAATGTATATAATTATAAATTATATAACTATAAACATAATGTATATAATTATGAATTATATAAATATAATTATAAATATAACATATAATTATAAAGTATATAAATATATTTATAATTATATTTATATAAAGTATATAAATATATTTATAATTATATTTATATAAAGTATATAAATATATTTATAATTATATTTATATAAAGTATATAAATATATTTATAATTATATTTATATAAAGTATATAAATATAATTATATATTTATATAAAGTATATAAATATAATAGATATAATTTATATAAAGTATATAAATATAATAGATATAATTTATATAAAGTATATAAATATAATAGATATAATTTATATAAAGTATATAAATATAATAGATATAATTTATATAAAGTATATAAATATAATAGATATAATTTATATAAAGTATATAAATATAATAGATATAATTTATATAAAGTATATAAATATAATAGATATAATTTATATAATTATACTTATGTAAATAATTAAAATTTTAGAAATAATTTTGTCAGAAAAATGGATTTTGTAGTCAAAGTTGAAAGATAAATGATAGAATATGTGAAAAAATAATTTGTAACACATACAAAGGTCAGGGTTAATCTCAAGTATAAGAAAATCTCCTACAAATGAATAAGAAAAAACCCTCAACATTAAAATGAGCAAAAAAATGAACAAGAGTTCATAGAACACATGAAATTATATAGCTAATAAGCAAACAAAAAGACACAATATTGCTAACAAATTAATACATATTAAAGTAGTACTTGTCTAGAATAGCAGTTCAAAACTTAAAAGTTGGAAACATCTATACAAGCAAAAGCATTTTGAGGGGTAAATTATTACAGTTATTATGGAGGGTAATTTTACAATATCCATTTAATTTTAAAATGTGTATACTTGTGATTCCATTTCTAGGACTTTATCTTCTTGAAGTACTAGCATAATTATATGTTAGCATAACAAACCATTATTACATTTAAATAATTTTACATTGTATTCAACAAATAAATGCCATTTATATTCATATATTTGGCAACAGGTATCTGGCCATAGTGGATTCAAGTTTTCATTTGGAAAATTTACTTAATAAAAATTGAGTAGAGGCTAAATGATAAACTCATATTGGGTGGATTGAAAAAACAATTGAACAGTCAAAGCCATAACAACAGCAACATATGTTCTACAGAAGCACTGCCCTTCCCTCGAAACAAGGTCTAATGGAAAAAATCCAGTTGGTCTTGTATGAGTCCTATGTGAGTTCTAAGTTCTAACTCTTATTCTGATGCTTTTTAGCTGTGTGACTTTAAGATGGTTTTTTCACCTTTTTCTTTTTTTCTTTCTTTTTTTTTTTTTTTTGAAATGGAGTCTAGCACTGTCACCCAGGCTGGAGTTCAGTGGCACCATCTCGGCTCACTGCAACCTCCGGCCTCCCAGGTTCAAGCGATTCTCCTGCCTCAGCCTCCCTAGTAGCTGGGATTACAAGCATGCACCACCACGCCCTGCTAATTTTTTGTATTTTTTAGCAGAGATGGGGTTCACCATGTTGGCCAGGCTGGTCTTGAACTCCTGACCTCAAATGATTCACCCGCCTTGGCCTGCCAAAGTGCTGGGATTACAGGTGTGAGCCACCGTGCCCAACCTAGGCCTTAGTTCCCATATCCATAAAATGCATGCAAAAAAACGCCTATCTTTAAGAACAAGCTCATATCTCAGTTGGCTATTGGTTGTAATAAATAAAAAATAGCAAAATTCACTGCACATAAGATGTGATCAACAAATATTAGCTTCGTATATATTTGTAGTCATACAATCTGTAGACCAAGGATCTGTGTAAAAAGGAAGGGGAAGTTGAGAGCAGATAATTCTTTACTACTCTAGGAGTTATTTATTTTCCTATATTTGCTTATTAGCTCATTGTGAGAGATATAGCATTTGGTTCTATAGGTGTAATATATAATGGACAGGTTTGCTGTCAAGTAACTATTTCAATGTATAACTTTTAACATATCTTATCATTCAGACTGGACTGGAATTCCTCAGAAATACCAATAGAGAAAACAAATGGCCTTGTAGCAAGGACAGTTGAAAACAGCAATATTGGTAAGAATAATAATATTGAGATTTTAATATCTGTCAGGTGCTGTTCCATTTACCTTATGTGGATTACCCCATTTAATTCTTCAACATTTTAATATAGGTTTCAATACTACAGGTCTTCATAGCCAATAAGAAATTTGTCAATGCAAGGCACCAAAGTGACTCAAAATTTTAGATGTGTCTAACATAGTCTAGGCCCCAGTTCAAAGCAAGCAGCTCTAAAATGGACTTATATTAGTTTCTATAAATAAAGTATATAAATCAGTGTGATCCAGGAGAAGTTCTTGATCAAGAGGAATAAAAACTACTACCTGGCAGGGCGAGGTGGCTCATGCCTGTAATCTCAGCACTTTGGGAGGCTGAGGTGGGCGGATCATGAGGTCAGGAGCTCAAGACCAGCCTGGCCAATATGGTGACACCCCGTGTCTACTAAAAATACAAAAATTAGCTGAGCATGGTGGCACATGCCTGTAGTCCCAGCTACTCAGGAGGCTGAGGCAGAAGTATTGCTTGAACCTGGGAGGCAGAGTTTGCTGTGAGCCGAGATTGCGCCACTGCACTCCAGCCTAGGAAACAGAGCAAGACTCTGTCTCAAAAAAAGAAAAACAAAACACAAAAATTACAACCTCAAGCAAAAGCAATAATTTGAACAATTTACCATGTAATGGATAACGCCTGACTTAGATCAGAGCCTGCTCACTTGGGAATCTCTACAGAGGAAATATCTGACTCACATAGGCTAATTTATATCATAGTCCAAAGTTCATCATCTGTTTATTTAATATGTATTGTGACCAACTTCTGTGCTCTAGGTGCTGTTCTGGACATTGAGAACACAGCAGTGAACAAAACAGACAAAAAAAATCTGTCCACATAGATCTTATATTCTTGCATGGATATACAGACACTAAAATTAATGAAATACACATATTAGCTGAAAAAAATGATATGAAGAAAAATAAAGGGTAGGTATCTTAGTTGATTTGTGCTGTTATAACGAAATGCCACAGATTGGGTCATTTATAAACACTAAAAATTTATTTCTCATGGTTCTGGAAGCTGGCAAGTCCAAGATCAAGGTGCTAGCAAATTTGGTGTCTGGTGAAGACCTATTTCTAATAAATGGCACCATTTAGGTGTCCGCACATGACAAAAGAGTATTATTAAAGGGCTCATTCCCTCGAGCCCTTTAATAACAGCTTCACCCTCATGACTTAACCATCTCCCAAAGACTCCATCTCTTACTACTGTCAACATTCACCATTAAATTCCAACACATGTTTTTTGGGGGTATACATTCAGATCATAACAGTAGGGATTTAGGAGCTCTGATTGAGGGAAGGGACGGGGAACAAAAATGTTAACCTGTATCCATGACATCAATAGGTCTGGGAAGGTCATCTAAATCTCCAGATGAGTAAATGTACCAAATCAATCTACCAGGTGAAAAGCAAACCAAATTAGAACAGAGATAATGAAGAAACAAATAGATATATTACCATTTTTATACCAGGTTTTCATGTAAGATTCTTGATTAGTACTATAAACACATTAATATTGTATGAGTGTTGTCTGCTTTCTAAAGTGTTTAAAACATTTACAAGAATATGATGTTAGACTTATAATTTTAATTAATATTTAGAAATCTTAGATTTAACCGGTAATTATTTACATGTTTGGGAAAATGTAATTTGTTAAATTCATCACTTTTAATTTATTTGTTGTATAAATAGTATATGAAGAGTTAGAGGAATGTTAAGCTTTTATATTTTTTAAAATACTCATTGATTAGTACATTCATAATGCTAATAAATTGGATACTGAGAAAGTGCAAAAGGAACTGAGTGCTCCTCTCCATGAACAAAAGCCCCACGAACATGTTACACATGATAAAATAGAGGCCCACTGAAGTTAAGTAACTTGCCCTCGTGAATTTCAAAGCTACCAAGGATTTGAACATGACCACTAAACTACCACTAATTATATGAAATGCTTCAAGTATGTAGCACAAAACCTGGAACAATGGAAGCACTTAATATTTCTCTCCTTCTGAATCAAACTATAGTTGACCCTTGAACCACATGAGTATGAACTGTGTGGGACAATTTATCTACAGATTTTTTTAAAATAAATATTTTGGAAAAATTTTTAAAGATTTGCAACAATTTGAAAAAACTCAAAGATGAACCACAGAGCCTAGAAAAGGTTAGGTATGTCATGAATGCATAAGACAAATGTACATACCAGTCTATTTACATGTTAATCGACTGTTTATGTTATCAGTAAGACTTCTGGTCAACAAGCTATTGGTGGTTAATTTTAGGGAGAGTCAAAGTTATATGCGGGCTTTCAACTGTGAGGGGATCAGTTTCCCTAAACCCACATTGTTCAGGGGTCAATTGTACAACTATAGTCAGAGTAATCAAAAATTCCACCAAACAGACACAGACACACACACATGCACACACACACACACTCACACTTGCAGGTTATTCAAACAGTTGTGAGGTAGACCTAACAAAGAAACTTTCTCTGCTCCCTTTGCTCCTGCAAACTTCAAATCCTTCTGAATACAAACATCTGTGATTTAGTGCGATCATTTCACCCATTAAAATGATCTGAGTAGGCAAACGAACCAACTGCTTGATGATTGTGGTCAGCAGTCTCCAAAGTGGCCCTCCAATGACCTACGCATTCCTCTACTCATGACTGTAGATAATCCCCTCCCATTGAACTTGGACTGGCCCCATGACTCACTCACAACGGACAGAATGAAGCAGAAGTGATCCTCCAGGAATTCCAAAGCCAGGCTCACAAAAGCCTTGCAGCCCCTACCTTGGTCTCTTATAGCATTTCCTCAGGAGGGAAACAAGCTGCCATATGAGAAAACGGACTACTACTTCCACTTCTTCACAACATGAGACACCCCCATGCTGTGCACAAGACCAAGCTAGCCACACATTGAGACCATTGGAGAGAGAAAGATCCAACAGCCTGCAGGTGTTCCAGCCTCAAAGCTGGACATACAAGGAATAGAAGCTTCAGATGTCTCCGCATCAGCAACTATCTGACTGCAACCACATGAGGTACCCCAATAAGCAAGAACCACCCAGCTGAGTTCATCAACCCCCAGGACACAGGAGAGGAATGAATCATTGTAATCAACGTAATGCATCGTTTTAAACCACCATGTTTTGGAGTGGTTTTTATACATTAATAGATAAGCAATGATCACTCTGCAAACACTCCATGTGATGTTTTTCTCTCATTTTAATGAACACTGTGTTTTCCTAGATATTAACTCTCTATGCCTAAATGATCAGTCAGCCATGATCTTATTCTACTCTATCTATACTCGGAATAGCAATAACATATACTTTATCTAGTATTTCAAAATTATCACCTATTATGATACCCAGACAAAGAATATTTTCTTTCTCCTTTTTTCAGGAAACAGTTGAAACCTAACTTAATAATGAACATTTTTCTAAGCAACGTTCCACTCTAAAGCTCATGGGAGTTATAAAATAACCCAAAACTAAGAGGGTAGAATGGCTCACCCTTTAAATTCTTTATATCTTGAAGTCTTTGATTTAAATCATTATTTTTAAAAAACTCAAATCACACTGTGCTCTTAATAAAGCATTATTATTTCAAGGAAAAGGATAAAACTTTCCAAAGGCAAATGTTTAGCCGGGGTAGAGTTGTAAAAGATTCCAAGACATTAGTCAGGAGATGGATTGCTTTGCTATTATAAGTCTGGGTTACAATATCACTGGAACCAAATTCCCGTCAGATTAGTCTTTACTCAAAATGAATGTTTGTAATTATGAAATGAAATAAGTTTTAATTTGAATTGCCTAAAAAGGGGAAACCAAATATTGTGTAATTACAGGAGAAGAAATTTGAGATGGAAAACAAGATAGTGTTATTTACAAGTAAAAAGGCTTTTATGGGATTATGGGGCTTTAATGTGCATATTTGTAGGATTTGGGGTGGCAGAATTTGGAACTCAAATATTTTTCATTAGCGTTTATTTACAGTGCGCATGCAAGAAATGGAATCCCAGACACATCTGATATTGGTCTTATTTAAACCTTTTATATCCCTACTAAATCTGAAAAGACTCAATGTTAGCCACACATAATGGAGGTAATCATGGAGTGTGATAAAATAAGTATTTGAAAACCACATGCAACTTTTAGGCTCAAATCCAGAACTATAAAATCCACCTAGAGACATAATGAGCCTGCCTCTTCTTCTTGAAGGGGTAAAAGTAGTATGGGGGAAACATGTCCTTATTCTTTCCCCACAGCTTGAGACACCTGAGCAGAGCCCCCAAATGGCTTGTAAGTACTTTATTGCAAAGGCCGCCCACAAGCACCATTTTGCTCCTTGGAGGGCAGCCATTTCTTATCCTTGGCAAAGTGTGAATTAGATGACTTTATGTCTCTATCTTGTATTTCTCCTGTCCTGTCCTGAAGCACTACTTCTCACATTGAGGAGTCCAGGACCGTAGGACATAGGCTTGTCCCAGCTCTCTTTCCCGCAGCTGGACTGCACTGCTCAGCTTTGATGTCCCTGAACCTTTTACCCCAACCTTTTCTAGGATAAAACCTTCCTGTTAAAGATCTCCTTTCTCTGGCAGGGACAAACTAATTTACAGTAAATCATCCTTCCCAGAGGTCTCCTTGAAAGTATGGCAAAGACAGTTCATGGTTCACAAAATATTTATGTTCCTCTTCATATATTGCACATTGTTACTAGAAAGTGCCAACCGGACATGACATTTCCCAGATCCCCTTGCAGTCTGGTGTGGTCATGTGACTGAGTTCTGGCCAATAAAATATAGACAAGAGTGATAAGTGCTGCTGTTAAGAAACCTTCCATGCAGCTCATGTTCCTTTCCCCATTCAGCTGACTGGGAGATAATCCCCAGGTGATCTGGCAAACCTCTCTTAACCTGAATTCCCTGAATTATTTAATGGAAGATAGCCATCCCATGTATTAATACATATTTTCCCTCCCAATGTGGTTAAAGAGCAAGAAATGCACATTTGGGTCTTTGTTTTTTAACTGTAGTTATACTACCCTAAATACTAGTTAATCCAGAGGAATCATTTCCTAACCAGAGAAACTGAATTAGGGGCAGATTTTCAAAGGTCAAAGAAACTTCCCATTTCCCTGCAAAATACCTAGTTCAAAAGTTACCTAAGAATAGAAGCATTTTAATAGCCCTCCAGGAAAGGTTTGTCATCAGTCAGAGACAGAAACACTTGTACATGGATGCCCACATGAGTGAGCCAGAGGCTCTGCGTTCTGGATTTCTTCCCACCCAAAGACATTCTTTCACCTAGTTCCTCGCTGTTCACACTACCAGTCATTTCTGAGCCTCAGATAATTTCAACAAGATTTCCCAGCATTTCCATTTAGAAATTCACTTATCAATAAAAATCTCTTGTCATAATCTTATCATTTGTTCATTCTTTTGTTCATTCATTCAAATAGTTATTAAGGACCCCAAATACTAAGCATTGAGCTAGGTATTGACTGAACACAGACAGCTTACTGTTCATGGTCCCAGTAGGTGGAGGAATCATCATGAGAACAGATAAGAGTTGTAAAATAATAAAATAGATAACAGGACAATGATCATCATGGAAAATTTATCGAGCACATGTTATGCACCAGACTGTGCTCAGAACTTGATATTCCTTATTTTATTTAATCATCACAGCATTTCGATCTCTATTTTATAGATAAAGAAATCAACGCTTGGCGTGGTGGCTCATGCCTGTAATCCTAGCCCTTTAGGGGGCCGAGGCTGGTGGATCACGAGGTCAAGAGATCGAGACCATCCTGGCCAACGTGGTGAAACCCCATCTCTACTAAAAATACAAAAATTAGCTGGGCATGGTGGCATATGCCTGTAGTCCCAGCTACTCGGGAGGCTGAGGTGGAAGAATTGCTTGAACCAGGAGGTGGAGGTTGCAGTGAGCCGAGATCATTCCACTGCACTCCAGCCTGGCAACACAGTGAGACTCTGTCTCAGAAACAAAAAGAAAGAAAGAAATCAAGACTCAGCAACATTAAGCAACATGCAGAAACTGCACAGATAACTAACAAGAATGGAATTTAATCCAAGTTCTATCTGATTCCAAAGTCATTTACTAACTGTATGCCTTTGGGCAAATTGGTTAAGCACCATAAATCACCATTTCTAATCTGAAATGCCATCTAGGTCCCAAGGAAAGTAATTTCTACTAAGAGTTAGATTGCATGGCTGGGATGTTTACACTCTCACTGCCCACAGTATTCTTTATGTACACTATGTGTAAAAATCTAGCCTCTTGAATAATTTGCTTCTGAAATGGCAGTGGGAGGTTGGGGGAGCTTAAATAAATATTTACAGTGTTTATATCATGGGAGAATTTTCCAAATGGTGTGCCTTGAAATGCCACTTGCTATTACACAAACTGAAACCCTCCAGTCAAGGCATCTCTAGACTTCATCTTTACATCATGAGCTAGTGATGACAAGGTGATCACCAATTATCACATGACCCAGAGGGCTCCTGTTTCCTGAGCCCACATGGGCATGACTATGGCTCTGGAAGGACCAGAAGAGAACATCTCCTGAGAAAGTCCCTGAGCTGTGCGATTCACCCTATCAGGAGCCCAGTGGGTGGCTTTGTTGCCACGTGTGTACTTGATGGGGTCCCTGTGCCCCACGTGCTTATTCAGGCTCAGCTGCGGGCTGAGAGCCAAGCATCCACTGGAGAAGTGGGAAATACACATTTGGAAGAGACACAGAAACTGTGCTGAAAAAAAGGGCCAGAGAGAAAAGCTGCTGGGCAATCAGGGAAAAAAGCCAATCTGTCCCTGTGGTCTAAGGACAAAGGCACGTCTGGGACTTTGTCTCCCAGGCTGCAGCCAGGAGTGGAGAAGTCATTCAGCTCACAGAGATGAACTAAAGTGGTCCTCCTTACAGGAGCAGTTATAGGAGTATAACCAAAACAACAACAAAAGTATTTTTTTTAATAAACCTATGACATCACTGCTATCTAAGAAGAGTGTAGTATAGTTTAAAAAAAAAAACCTTCTATTCTTTTCCTTTTTAAATCTTTCTTTTCAGCTGAGCTGGGTTGTAAGGTTGTTAAGAGTGGGACTTCTGGAGTCAGGCACCTAAGTTCAAATCGTTACTACTTCCTAGCTATGAGATGTTGGGCAAGTTTTTAAACCTCCGTAAACCTCAATTTCCTTGACTGTAAATGAGAGTAATAATTATACCTCCCTCCCAGGGTTAGCAACAATTAAGCACCTGGAATTTAGTTAATGCTCAAGCAACTTCAGATATTTGTATGGCAGAATTGGGATAGAAACTGAAGACATGAATTGCTCTTAAGTAGTAGCTCTCAAAAGTTTTAGTCTCAGGATCAATTTATACTCTTAAAATTATTGAGGATCCCATAGAGTATTTGTTTATGTAGATTATATATGTCAATATTTACCATATTTGAATTTAAAACTGTAAAAACTTTTATGTATAAATATAAACAAGCTCATTTAAAGAAAGATAAGTCCATTATGTTTATAGGACATCTTTTTATGAAAAATAACTATACTTTCCAAAACTAAATAAATAATTCCAAAAATAATTTTACACTAGATTTTTACACATACTGTACAAAAAGAATACTGTGGGCAGTGAGAGTGTAAAATTTCCAAAAATTCCAAAAATAAATAAATCATTTATTAAGAAGAGTGGCATTGTTGTACATTTTTTTCAAACCTCTTTATTGTCTACCTTAATAGTATCTGCTGGATTCTTATATCTGCTTCTGCATGCGATCAGTTGTGATGTATCAATTTCATTAACATATATGAAGAAAATCCAGCCTCATCCAGATGTTTTGTGTGAAAAGGGAAAAGTACTTTACTAGCCTTTTCAATTAATTGTGGATGCAACACTGCAGACTGCATGCACAGTCTGTGATGCAACATCAAAACTCTGCAAGTGGTGGTTTCTTAATATCTAGTTACAATGAATAATCCAAAACTATACCAATAAATTTACATTTGGATCTTTCACTTATGCATGACTTTGTAACATCATGCATTGATCACTTGGGAAGTGTGTCAACATTCATTGGTTCAACGCTCATTAATTGATTAAGAAAATAACAGCTCTGTGCACCTCAAGTTATATTAAGTTAATCTAATCGAGATCAGCCCTTAAAAATACATCTTCACCACCTAACAAGTCAAAGATTTATGAGAATGTTCTTATATGTTCTGACCTGACATCTTCCTGAAGAGGACTGGTGACACATACCCAATATTTTGCTACTCAAAGTAGTAAGCAGCTTCTTAGGAATGAGAAAGTCTGGCCCTACCCCACACCTTCTGAAAAAGAATCTACATTTTGACAAGACCTTCAGAGGATTTGTTTGCATGCCAAAGTTTGAAAAGCAAGGCCCTATTTATATACTGGGGAGAGGTTGGAGAACCATCTTCTTGATGCATAATGCTACCTAAAGAATTTCTTGTGTAAATCTGAAGATTACTTTGCATATTTGGAGTCAGTTTGGGTCTATAGGTAGTAATTACACAGACACACACACACGCACACTGAAAGAAAGGCATTATCCCTGCTCTGCAGAATTTTTCAGTCTAGTGAAGGACTGATGTGTTTCAAAAAGCAACCACCATTCATTGTGATGGTGCAATACTGTTTGTGGTTTCAGGTGTGAGAAAAGGGTAGAAGGCCGGGCACGGTGGCTCATGCCTGTATTCCCAGCACTTTGGGAGGCCAAGGCAGGTGGATTACCAGAGGCCAACATGGTGAAACCCCGTCTGTACTAAAAATACAAAAATTAGCCAGGCTGGATTACAGGTGGATGCCTGTAATCCCAGCTACTCAGAAGGTTGGGACAGGAGAATTGCTTGAACCCAGGAGGCGCAGGTTGCAGTGAGCCGAGATCACCCCATTGCACTCCAGCCTGGGGAACAAAAGTGGAACTCTGGTCTCAAAAACAAAAGGGGTCGGGGGATATAAGAAATCTCCTGGGAACTCAGAAACTTTGGCAAAAAAGACAGAATAGTCAAGGCCCTTTCTTTTTTCAGTTTTAAGACAGAAAACTCTCAAACAGGCTTAAACCAAAAAAAAAGGAATATATTGTTTCATGTAACTAAATATTCCAGAAGCAGCTGGCTTCAGGCGTAGCTGTATCCACATGCTGAAATCATGTCCTCAGAGATCTCGTTTTTTCCTTTTCTTTTGCTTTCTTCTGCTTTGGCTTCATTCTTAAACAAGTTCCCGTTAGGACATTATCACAGAAGCTTCAGGCTTACGTCCACTTTTTGGGATTCCCAAGAGAGCATCTCTTTCCAATTACTTCTAAAATCTTCCATTGGCCTGGCTTTCAGCATATGATTATCCCTGAAACAATTACTGTGGCCAATAGATCTAAGTTTAAACCTCCACTCTATTATTACTAGCTCACTTAACTAATTGGAACTGCAGTGTTCTCCCTTACAAAACAGCACGCAGTAATGTCCCATTTGCAGTAGTAAACATTGTGAATGCTCACAAGTTGGTAACTATGATTATCATCATCATTATAGGCCTGTATTTCTAAATAAATTGATTTAATTTTCAATATGAGGAACCTCTATATTTGTTACCTATGCAATCTTCCTCAGTTATAAGTTTGTGCAGCCCAGCACAGAATTCTATAAACACCTGTATCTATTCAACATAAGTCCTACAAAGGAAAAGTTGTGATCACACCAGCCGGCCCCATGTTAGACACAGGAGCCACTGGAAGAACATGAGGTGAGTCACTTTAGATTTTAAACAGATCTTAGATAGCAACTTTTAAAAAAGAAGAAAAATTTAAAATCCTCAGAGTCACAAAGATTTAAATGTCATTTGTCTGTGACTCCCATTGGCACTTCTGATTCTGATTTGAATCTTTATCCTATGGGAGAAGGTTTACAAATAATTTTTTCTCCTTCCAAGTCAGAAACTCAATGTCTATCATTTCCTCCAATTTCAGCGTCTTGTTTTCATTTTCCAAGTGGACACTAGCAACTGCACCATCGTGATGCCAGTTCCACATGGAGCTTGTCCATTTCCACTGGACAAGCACCCCTAAAAAGGCTCTTCCCAGGCTCTGTGGATTGAAACCTGGGGAGAAGGGGAGCTATAAAATGATGTGCCCTCGGTCAGCTGGAGTTGCAGAAACATGGACCCAGTCCTTGTAAATATAAATAGATTCAGAACATGTTTCTGTAGAAATAAAGTAGGACAAGAGACCATCATCAACCCAAGTAGGACAGAGTTCCAGCCAGGGCCTCCCTACACAAAGATGATCTGAGGGTGAAAAGTTTCACTATACTTCTACTGTCAGCATTAACCATTTACATGAACTTAAACCTCCTCCCTCGATAACAGTCAGACACTGCCAATGGATGGTAATGTGTTTGAATTTCACCTGAGTATTTGAGCAATTGATGGAGTCTCAACTGATATTTTCAGGGACAGATCAAGGGAAAACGACCTATCTATTTATGCTAACAAAAGGTTATCTACAGAATCCATATAAACACTGTAAGAAAACAGATCATCTAAATGACAAATACAGCCAGCCTGCTGGAGACAGATCTTTGTTCTCAGAAAATATGTGTTAAATCAAGTTTAACCTAAAGCTGCCTCCTTAGGTATTTTAAGTTTGGCCTAAAGGTTTCTCTGTACATCATGAACTATAACCTAAATGGAAGTGTAAACAGACTGTAACCTACTCTTGTGCCACTCACCGAGATTTGGTCAATCATAGGAGGCCAACTGTTGAAACTCTGTTCAAATAAGGCAAACACTGAGCTGAAACCAATCCAGCTGTTTCTGTACCTCACTTCCATTTTCTGTACATCACTTTCCTTTTTTGTCCATAAATCTTCTTCCACCACGTGCCTGGCATGGAATCTTTCTGAGCCTACTCTGGCTCAGGAGACTGCTGGATTCACGAATTGTTCTTTGCTCAATTGAACTCTGTTAAATTTAATTTGGCTAAGGATTTTAACACATGTAAAAGGTGATGTAGGAGGAGAGGGACAGAAAGAAGGAGAGCAAGAGACTGCTCCCATAAGCAGCATTACCTATGGTTTAGATCACTAGAACTCCTTCTCTTCCCAGGGTTCCATCTTTCCACTTTCAAGGAAAGTGCTTCCTGTAGGATTAGCCTAACTTTCCCATTTAATAGAAGAAAAAAAAACAAAGGAGAAACACCAAACGCATAACAATGTCGACCTTCAAATGGTTAAGCTTAGAAGTCCAGCTTTCTCTCTGTGCTTGTAGCAATCTCTCAATAACTGATTAAAGGATTAACCACCCAATTTGTTCAAAAGAACACAAGATTTATATACTTAGAAGGTCTGGGAAGACATACACCTGAATTAGCATAACAATAACCTACACCAGAGGAATCAGACAGAAAAGTAATTCACATTTATAGTTTGAATTTTAAAACTAACTATAAAGTAGAAAATAGGGTACTTTGCCACTAGCTCCAATAGCATTAAAGAATACGTGTTGGTATTATCAGTATTTCTCAAGCAAACATGTCTAAATAGAAATGAAAATTGTGCATCAATCGAATGCAGGTTAACAACTGACATATCTACACATATTTTATCTGGGGATCTTAAAGGGACTCTGTCTGATTATAACTGGCATGCAAAAGAGGTGAATTCCAGCTGCAACAGAGCAGAGGACATTAAACGCCACCCTATATATCAAAAAAGGTGGGTCAGACTAGAAGAGTGTCATTCTGAGCAGTGAGCTCACCCCAGGGAGGTTGGTGCTAGAGAAACAATATAATTCTAGGCTTTTGTTTTCTAATCTGGCCCCACCCTCTACTGTATAGAACTGTTTACTCAAAAGAACAAGAATCATATTCCCTGTGTCAGTACAAGTGAAACACACCCTTTCTGGGAGGCTTAGATGACTTGGTTCAGGTATGAGAATTGGTTTGTTGCCCTCAAAGGAAGTCACCTCAAACAAGCCAGCACAGGCAGATGTGCCCTGGGAACTGGCAGCTAACTCCAGGCTGATCTGTCTGCTGATGTCTGATAGTCCTCACTGGGAGATGAAAGGGCAGGGGAGAACCCAATACCCTACTTCTGACCTGCCACCAAAATAAAAATCTGCCTTGTGGGGATCGACCTCTAGCTGCTAGTTCTAATCCATAAGTAGGGTTTCATAATGGAAGGGAGAAAAAAAAGAGGGGAATTAGATTTTTAGTATCACAAAGTAAGACTGTACACTAAAAACCATACCTAGGAGCAAGCAAAAGGAAAAGAATCAATGTGAGTCCAGTGTTCAGGTTTGTTAACTGATCTGGTTTGACTGTGTTCCCATCCAAAATCTCATCTTGAATTGTAATAATCCCCACATGTCAAGGGCAGGACCGGGTGGATATAATTGAATCACGGGGGCAATTTCCCCCACACTGTTCTTCTGATAGTGAGTTCTCATGAGATCTGATAGTTTTATAAGGGGCTTCCCCCTTAGCTTAGGTCTCATTCTTCTTCTCCCTGCTGCCATGTGAAGAAGGGTGTGTTCGTTCACTTCCCCTTCTACCACGATTGTAAGTTTCCCAAGGCCTCCCCAGCCATGCTGAACTGTGAGCCAATTAAACCTCTTTCCTTTATAAACTACCCAGCCTTGGGTATGTCTTTATTAGCAGTGTCAGAATGGACTAATACATTGATTTTCCTTGGGGCTAGGAAATATCTTGCCCATCTTCTGAAATTTTCCTTCATCTCTTCAGCCAGGATGGTTATTTAACCAGTCCTTAACTTCATTTTAAATTTCAGCTCCTTAAGATGTCTCCTTCATAGGATTTCATCACCTTCCTCTGACCTTCTGAACCTTCCTGAATGCCCTCACCTCCTTCAGAATCCAAGTTCATATTCTCCACCTACCCACCCCAAACTGGCTGCTCCTGCCTGGGCTTCCTCCTTCTCTCCCTGAATCTATCTCTATGGCTCTGCTTATAGCCTTTCTTCCTCTAAAGGCTGCTTGAGTGGAAGATGGAAGAAGGCTTTCCAGAAATCTCTATCACACTGCTAAAGTAACTCTAACCAACTCTCCTGAGCAGCTGCTCATTTGTCTGACTCTGGGCAGGGCTCTGTTGTTTTACTGTGTCTTCCTTAGTGATTATTGTATGCCTCGTGATGGGGTACCCCACACACACCCCTCCAAGGAAAATCCCATCTCTTCGCTGTCATCTAATCGTCTTCTGTCTTCAGCACTGAGCTCTGCCTGTTAGTTCACTGGAAACCCATAAATACCCTGGCTGTGTGTCTGGGCCTAAATGGGTAGATCAAGGACACACAGAAACAAGCTAATCCAATTAGTATCAAGCCCAACAAACAATCAAACTCATCATCTAATTTCAGCCACTTATCCAATGTGAGGAGAGAACCTAAGTTAACGAGATTTTGTTGTTCTTGGTTTGGTTCTGATGAAGATACATAAACCATGTTGTTATACCACAATACTTCTTGATTTTTTTTTAACTCAGCTTGAATATTCTTTCTGTGCTATTGGACATAGGTCTATAGTCACTGGGACTCCAATTTCTGAAACCAGAATTCAGTGGCACAGTCTGATGAAGGAATTTTTCCTATGTGTAAACTGACATAAAAGGAATCGTTAGAAAAGTATCTCAATGATATAAAATTAAGTACTCTTTATTTTTACACTATCAAATTATCACCTTTTTAGATAAGAATAAATTATATTGAGAATTTGGAAAAACCAAGAACATCTGATCACTAGTAGAGCAAAGAAATTTTTTAGTTCCTATAATTTTTCTACGGTCATCTAGAAAATAAGCCTGGTCAAATGATAAATAAGAATCTGAGATTACTGAGAGATGCATTTGTAGATCTGTTTATTCTATGTCTCTGACCTGAACTCTTTGCTGCAGAAGAAAAATATGAAAGTGTGTGCATCTTTTGGAATAAATCCCTGGCACCCCATCAAAACAAACCCAAAACGAGGTTTGGGACCAGTCAGACAGTGGAGCAGAGCATGCCGAGGGGACAACCAGAATCAAGTTCAGAGCTTCAGTGAATGGGAAGTAAGCAAGAGGGAGGGACTGAAGGGACAAAGACAGCAAAGGTAATTCAGACACAGGCTGTGCCCAGCGAACAACTCTCATTCTCACAAATGCCAGAGCACCACTGGGGGCTTTACAATGTAAGAATAGCCAAAAATGATCTTTTCTGTGTGTATGTGTGCTGATCAAAGTGATTTCCCAGCAGGACTGCTTTAAAAAGCACCACAAAAGTAAAAATTTTCTCAGAACCACCTCCTTTTTGTGCTCCTGAGCAAGCTCAATCTCAAGAGTTAACTTCATGGAAGTACTCGTAATGTCTGTTTATTAACATTTATCTCAGACACAAGCAGATTTTGGCCACTGGTTTTTATACGGCAGTGGAGGAGGAGTTCTAAGGAAACACTCATGATTTATAAGATGAAACCATTTTCTGATCATTTGCCACTAAAGGGAGGAAAGAGATTAATTGGCATGAAGCAATTTCCAAGGTCGGCTCAGTGACTTTTCACTGATGGGCAAACCATATTCCTAGCATCATAGAATTTTAAAGCTAGGCAGGACCTTGGAGATCATCCCACCAACTTCCACATTTTCCAGATGAGTTACCAAAATCAGAGATAATCAGCAATTTTCACAAGGTGACACGGTGCTATTGGCAAAGCCAGAATTGAAATAAAGGTCCCGGACTCCACATATATATTCAGCTATATCCTGTTGCCTTCTTATTAGCTGAGAAGCCATCTTGGCTCATCATCTCTCGGGAAAATACAACGGCCCCTGACTTACACCACAAAGGCTGTTTAAAGGCTACCTCAGCCACTTCCCTGATATTCTCATTAGATTAATGGTTTGGCTACTTCTATTTACAAAGGCCTGAGTTTATTTTCATATCTGAAGTTACTCATTTCTGCGAAGAACACAGGCAGATTTATTGTTATTCTAAACACTGACATTATAAGCGAACCCACCTGTGGACCCCTCCGGGAGCCCTCACAAACTTCTGGAGAGCTGGCCACTTCCACCAAGCGTCTCCTGGACTAGGAAACTACCTGGAGAATGCATGCATGCTAACTTAGGCATTGAAAATCCATTTTTTACAAACACTGATCAACTCGAATAAAACACTTCATCAAAATCATCTGACTGCTGTGATCCTTTATACAACATTTCTTAAATAATTTTTCAACATTTAGGTCATTCCGTCTATTACAAAAAAAAAAAGAAAACACTTTATTATTTCAGTAAAAGGACAGACCTCTGAAGACCCAGAACCTTCAGGCATTTGGGTTCTTGGATTTCCTGAAGGTCCCAGCTTTGCTATGCTCACTGGTGCTGCCCTGCCCCTCACACACATTTCCTGACCCAGGACCAGGAACAGCTGCCACTTAACCTTGCATTAAACGTTGGTGGCAAATGCTGAAATTCCAGGCCTCTCCCTTTCATGTTGTCATTTGAGTAAAGAGACAGCTGCTCACCATTACACTCAAGATACCCTTCATCTACGTGGAGAGTGTGGTAGTGTCATTCCCACATGGCTTCCTGCGGTTCCCCCAGCATGCCTAGCACTTGGCCTGTGTAGCTGAAAGACAGCTAAAATTCCACTCAGTGAACCATGTTCATGCAGGTTAATCACCCTTTCTTTTCACACTTTTCCAGAGCTTTCCTGGTTCCCCTTTTCCAGTTCCTTGTCCCTATAGCCCCATCTTCCCCTCTGTTTTTATTTTTCGAATAAAGTGTGATGAAGGGGAAGTTTTAAAGGAGAACAGAGGAGACCAAAGCACAGAGACCATGGCTGTTCAAGCCTGCCACCATGCTCATCTCAGAGGGTTTGTGTAGCCCGGATCTTTCAATCTTCTGTCAGCATTGCGGGGGGTGTGTTTGTGTATCTGTTTTGGACATACTTTGACTTCCCCAAAGACCTGACACACAGACCACATTGAGTGAAGATTTCATTAAATTAAATAAAATCCAGTGGCATTTTCATTAACATATTTTGGGCTCAAGTCATCAGATACATTATTTACAGTTTATATTAATACTTCTCTCGACATTTTTATGACTATCCTAAGAAACTGTTTTTTGGTTCTTCACAGGCTGCAAATTCAAATTACAGGATGGAGGAATAAGTGAGAAGAAAATCAAATAAAATGGAAAGAGCTAGAGAAAAATAAAATGAAAAGGAATAAGATATATCATAGAAAAAGATATATAGAAAAGTGCTAAAATTCCTGTTCTTAATAGAGGATTCAACAAATTCTTTCAGACTCATTTTTTATCCCTAAAAATGAACATGTCATTTGAGTGTTGCTGTGGAGAACCGTGGCACAACCTACACAAATGTGCTTTAAGGGCCATAAAACACTAGCAAGTGTAAGGAATAACTGTTAAAGTGGCAGAATGGTTAAGAATGTAGTAAACTTGCCTGGGTTCATCTAATCTTACCTTTGCTTCTTGTTAGCTATGTGACCTTGGACAAATATGTTAACTTATCTTAATCTAAGCATCCTTATCTATAAAATGAGCATAATAAGAGTAGCTACTTCTTATAGGGTGTTTTAAGGACCAAATGAGATCATCCATAAACCTAGCACAGTGTTTAGAACCTATAATGTATTCAAAACTATTGGCTATTTTTATTATTGCTATCAGTTTAGTAGCCCAGTAATAATATTAATAACAAACACATAGTGCTTACCATGTGCCTGGTTCTAAGTGTTTTATACATACAAATTATTTAATATCAGATAAGTATTTTAACAGTCTCTTGGGAATGGAATCATGGCACAGAGCATTCTCAACCCTAGAACTGTCAGCCTTGCCCAGTCTTCAAAGAACATATGCATTTACCTATCACAAAACTTCTCTGCCCCTTCTCCATCAAAATCATGTTCCTACCTTTCCAGATAGGGAGAGGGTAAGGGTTGGGGAAGAGGGTATAGCCATGGAAGCTCTCTATACCTTCCAGATGATAAACAAAACCAATTCTGCAGCATTTTCCAAAATTAATAACTAATTCTCAGATTCTACAGACACCAATTGAGTATCCAATAATTCAGTCCAATTCTGACACTATTTACCTGGGTGGAGATGTATAAGGCAAGCTATGATGGGTGGTGGCGGGGAACTTCCAGACTCTCTCCAGATGCAACATCCTCCCAGCACCTCAATGTATTCACCAACCCAGAAGCCAAAATGATGTCCAAACCTACCATCAGGCACCAATTCGAGAGACCTGAGCAGCATTGCCAAAGCATGTTCCCACAGAATAGGGTTCCATAAGAAACTCCCTGAAAAAGGGATGCTGTGGAATTGAGAAATCCTGCACACAGTGGCCTTATGAATATCTACATTAACATATTAAAGGCCCCAAGAAGTAAAGACATTTGTATAACTTTGCTTACCTGAAGATTCCCAGGTTCAGTTGACCATGGAATTCTTTGTTCTGCATTAACACCTCTTAAAATAACACAGTTTGGGAAATGTTAAACTGAGGACTTCTCTGCCCCTCCAGGTAACTTGCACCTTTTTCTAAAAGTCTTTACATACTTTGCTAAACATAAAAGAGTCAATCTGGTGTTATTTCAAGACCACAACATTAGAAATAGAACAGTCAGAGTAGATGGTAGAAAAAGAGCACGCAGCCTGGCAGCAAATCACACTCTGAATTGGTCATAACAGTTGTTCACTAAATTTGTCCAAGCATAGAGTAGTGTTATACTTCTCTGTCTTTTTTTTTTTTTTTTTTTTTTTTTTTTTTGAGACAGTCTCGCTCTGTCCCCCAGGCTGTAGTACAGTGACGCAATCAATGCTTACTGCAAGCTCTGCCTCCCGGGTTCACGCCATTCTCCTTGCTCAGCCTCCCGAGTAGCTGGGACTACAGGCACTCACCACCACGCCTGGCTAATTTTTTTGGATTTTCAGTAGAGATGGGGTTTCACTGTGTTAGCCAGGATGGTCTCGATCCCCTAACCTCGTGATCTGCCCACTTCGGCCTCCCAAAGTGCTGGGATTACAGGCATGAGCCATTGCACCCGGCCTTCTCTGCCTTCTTAATGTTAGGTTTCATCACATGTCATGTGACTCTTCCAGAAAGAAGTTTAAAAGCTAGTATATAAGCTACCACATCCTTTTCCTATTGGCAAAGGGATTGCAGAAGGCTGTGTGGAGATGTAGTCTCCATCAGCCTGGTCCCTTATGGACTATGATGCAGAGTCCCTTTTATAAACCATGCTAGACATGTAGTCAGAGAGAGAAGTAGATCTTTATAAGCCACTGAGATTTAGGTATTGTGTGTTATCACAGATTAACCTAGTCCAATACCTGCCATCAATTTCACTACTTACTCTACTATATTTTTACGTGGCCCTTCCTCAATGCCTCTCTCCCTCCATCCCCACATTTAGCTGGAGAAACCATCACTATTCATAGACTGAATTCACCCCACAAAACCTGCTCTTTACAAGATTTTAGATAAGAGAATCTTTCAATACTCAGAAATTCCCTATTCTCCGTTCAATGCTTCTCCCACTGTGTGGGGAGGATCGGCCTCAATAGTTTAGAAAGATTCATGCCTAATTTTATTGAAAAGGGAAATCAGTGCATTCCCTTTGTAGATGGTGTAACTGAATAATTCATTGAAAGCTTCATTATCTATAATTGTGATAACACACACTTTAAAATAAAGTATTGCACATATCAAATATCCCTGATACATTTTTGAGCAAATATGTGCACATATGTAATCAGCTGTGGTAATCAACCGCACATCAACAAAGAATCAGAGTGTTTCAGGGGTGTAAAGATGCTGTTACAGTGAACAATCATTTGGCTGTGTGGCTTATTTTAATAGACACATCACTTTAAAATAAGTCTTCACCATCTGCTGCAGCCTCTAATTACAAATGCAACAAGAACATAATTCACAATTGCATCATTAAAAAGTAAGACATAAGGGATTTAATGCATGCCTATGTCCTTTTTTAATGCAGAAGACGTCTGTTCATCTTGTGTTTCAGGCACAAATTGGTGGTAAAACTTTCTTTCTCTCCATGCTGAAATTTCTTGGAGAGGAGAGTGCTGCAGGAGACAACAGGAAATCCATATAAGGGTACTTAGTTGTCATAAATATTCATAAGCTATAATGCTGTCGATATTAGATTTACTTGTCAACACTTTTTCACATGCAAAAAAACCTATCTTTAAACAATTTACATAAGAAGACTTTTTAAGTCTATTCAGCAAGAAGTGCAGATAAAACAACTTCATCTGACCAATGCAAATCGCTTAGAAATTCATGTCTGTCTGTAATAAACTAACCTTTTAACAGCCCACATTCCTAACGTTCAAAACTGGCTTGAAGATACAGGCTTCTCTTAGGCCCATAATTCATATAAAAATATACAGAACTAAAGCATCTTGTTTTAGGTCAATTCTCTGTGTTTTTCTTCTATATCAAACACTAATTATTCAGCGTACTATGGAAAAGAGATGCCCTGTCATAAACCATCAATTTAGAAATCTGGGCTTCTAAGACTGTCCCTCCTCGGTACTTTGCCTAAAATAAGGGTATCCTTCACTAGATAGATGAGAGTTATGGATGTAGCCTTGAGATCTAAATCACAAGATTGTTAAATAAAAAGTATAAAATACTCAGATATGCCTTTAAAAATAAAATAATAATTTTAATTACATACACTTTAATAATAAATAATAAACACACTTTATTTTAAAAAACAAAAATAAACACTCAACTTTATTACTAATCACCATAGGAAATTCAATAGGAGCACATGGAAAAAAACAAGTATATGCATGTGTGTGTGCATATTTATGTGTGTATCTGTGTGTATTCACATAGTTCTTTTAGTAATTTCTAATCCTTAGCAAAAGGCATTGATAACTTAATCCAGCCCTTGTAGATTTCCTTATCTATTGGTATCATCCCCATGAAAGTTGATATTTTTAAAAACTGGATATGTGACTATTTTCTAAGCTAAGAAAAGAGAAAAATATGCATTGCCTTCCTGGTGTCATAACATACATGTGCAAGACTTCATGATTTCATCCAGGTATTTTGTTTCGTGTTATGTTGGCAGATGGCATATATTCCATTCTCCTGCACTCCTGGAGTATTTGAAATACAAGACAAATATTCTTACCACAAAGTTATATTAACAAAATATGCTATATGATCTGTACCTAACATTAGGCTGAAGAGATGGCCAACAGTACCTTTGAATTCCTGGCACTTGGGTCTGCAAAATGCATTAACCTCCTCCACAACCACTGATGGTTTATTACTACTTTTCTGAGGAGTTAGCTTAGGGTGCACTCACTGCTATATTTGGTCTCTTAGCATTTCCCAGGATTTCATTGAACGTAATTACTGGGAAACAGCCTAGAATTTTCTTTCAGTTCCTCTTTAGTTCAGTCTCCTTCTGCATACTAGATATCTTTGCTTCTTTCTTCCTGAATACTATGGTCTCTTCTTCACAATTACTGCCTCCCCCGTGATGCCCACATGCTAGAGGAGCAGAGAAAGCAGAGTTACTCTCCCAGTCATCAGAGGGAGAGCTTTCTCTGCCTGTTACTGATGGTTGCCATCTTGGTTCTATTCATGGTAACCTTGTCCTGTTTTGATCAGAGTCACTTCCTGTCCTCTGGGATGATCCAGGGGACCTATCTTTTCATTCAGTCTCCCATCCCACCTGTTTGGTGCAACCCTTTATTACAGACTTGTAGACCTAGAAATCACAATCAGTTACATGATTGCCTGCATTTTTCATATGTACATATATGAAG
Organism: Homo sapiens; assembly: GCF_000001405.40. Classification (NCBI taxonomy): domain Eukaryota; kingdom Metazoa; phylum Chordata; class Mammalia; order Primates; family Hominidae; genus Homo; species Homo sapiens. The sequence continues at coordinate 220,210,631 of NC_000002.12, read as the reverse complement.
CTATCATCAAAGATTCTTCATTTATACAATCTGTATATTATTTCTCCAAAAGATTGAAATTACATTTTTGCTATCACAAAGGATCATTTTTTACCTCCTCAACCTTTAGATGTTTCCTCCTTTGGAGTGAATATTTCTGTTATTCCAAATTTAAACCCATCATCCTTAGGAGTCATCACAGTGACCATTTTATTCACAGAATTGCACACATACAAAACTAATTCCTAAAAAATATTAGACTTATGAAACCTAAGTCGAAGGAACACAACAATCTTTAAACCATTTAAACAACACTAAAATTTTAATACTAAAATATAAAGCAACTTCTCAACAAAGCTTTGTCATTCCCTTTTCCAAACAGCACAATTTCACTTTCTTACCAAAGAGCAAAACAGAATTTTAAAATGTCATAGAGTCATAGAAATATGAGTCTAAAAGAGTCCTTGAGAGGGTGAAAACTCCTCATTCATCTTTGTATCTTCAGTCAGAAAGGAATGCACTTAAACCACCTCAGAATGATAGCTTCCTACTACATTTTCTTTCAGGAACTTCAGAGAGGGCTCCCCCCACCACATACACACTTTTGTAATCCCTCACTCCCCAAATTGTCTTAATGTATTTCAGGGCCTCCCAGCCCCCTGTGGATGAGAAGTTCTTCCTAAGCTCCCTTCTGTGTTCCCAGACCTTTCTTTTTGTCAGTGGAAAAGGAGAACACGATCCATTCTTCAGCACAATAGCCGTTCCCGTACTTTCAGATTTATTCATTGAGTTTCCTCCAGCCTCACCTTCTCTTGATTAAATAAGGTAAATGCTTTTATCTTGTCGTCATTTTCACTTCTTTGATATTATTTGGTCAGCATCAAACCTTTTCCTTAGAAATTTTATAAAAGTATTTTGAAAATCAGGTTTTTTTTTAGCCAGATCGAATTTTAAGTGACAGCTTCTGCCATTTTGAGTTTTCTTTACTTTGAGAAAGTTCAATTTTCCTAAATCAAATTTTGCATGTCTAAATTTTATCAAGAAGATTTAATTTTGCCATCTTTTAGCTAATAACAAATTCTACCATGAGTTGTTTTAGTCATTGTCAGTTTTATTTTGTTGCCATCAGTTCTACCAGTAATAGCTATTATGAATTTGATAAAAAGAAAGATAGCTTGTATTTATTTCTTAGCTAACCCATGAGAAAATCGTCAGCAGTTTTTGTAAGGTAGAAATAAAGTCAAAAAGCAGAATGTAAAAAAAAGGGGGGAGAGGGGGAGACAAGAGGAAAGACCCACAGATGGAGAAACAACCATAGAGTCTAAAGGGAAACCAAGAGAGAAGCTACAGCAGTCCTTGCTGTATAAATAGCTCCACTCCCAAATACACAGTGTTGTCAAAGTTTTCTCTAGCCAAAATGGTTTCAGGTTTGCAACAGGTTTTCAGTTACTGTCCAGCTTTATAAAATTATATTTTAAATCATAAGGACTGAACCTGAATATCATACTATCCAAATGGTTTGGTCTGTGCACTATGAAAAGACAAGGTTTGTCCATGGTTCGTGTTCATTCCATGTGTTTGTTCATTCACCAAAGAAATACCACATGCTTACAACATACCAGGAACCAGGCTAAGTACTGAAGATACAGGAGTATGGGAGATAGCCTAAGCCCCTGTCTGCTCGCATGGGCAAGACACACCACATATTGTGACAAATAAATGAATTAAATACATGCAAATTGTGATCAGTGCTTTGAAGGAATACATAGAGTGATGAGACAGTCAGTGGGAAAGAAAGCCTCTGGGAGGAAGTGAAATTGGAGTGAAAGCCTAAACAGTAAAACACAGAGCTAGGAAATGACAGATGGGGCAGAGAGCAAGCACCTCAAGGCAGGGAAGAGCTTGGGGAGTCTGAGGAACAGAAAAGAGGTGAGCATGTTTGGAGATTAGTGAACAAGAGAAATATTCCAAAATAAGATATCTTCTCTGACAAGTGTAAATTTGCAAACAGACAAAATGTTTATTTTTCAGTAAATTTAGAATCTAAATGTTCTACACAAATATTAGAACACTAAAGCCAGAAACATTAATTCCACTTTCAGTTTTCCACCAAACTGGTTTTCAATTCACCTTAAGTACTCAAAACCAAAAAAAATTAAAATTATGTAAGTATGCAAGTGATATTTCATATTAACAAATCTAAGATTACATTTTTTAATCTGTTTGAGGGATAATTGGAGGTCTGCTCTTGCTCAGAGTTCCTGAAACATAATTTTCTCTATTGGTTTAAACCAGTATGCAAAGCCCTGAGGAATATTGCAGCAACAAAGACCTTCCCCCATCAAACACAGGAAGAAAACTAACTTCATTTCCTCCTGTTCCTTCCTGCCACAAATCTACCTTCATATCAGAAGATAAACTGACCCCCAAACACAGGTGTAATTCAATATTCTATTTCAAATGCCATCAGATTTGAAACCCAAGTAATTAACAGCTCACCAGGGACGCTATTGAAATAAAACCAACTTTGATCCTATTCCCAAACCCCTTGCCAAATGGATGGGCAGCTCAACCCCCTCTGTTTTCAGATTAATTGAAATGAGTAACTGTATCAGAAGAATGCTGCATGTAGAAGAGCAGGTTACAAGGGGGGAGGTGTGTTTTCCAGCTTGATTATAGAGAAGCTAATTTGAGTGTTGGGATAGGATAAATATTGACATGCACAATTATTCTCCATCCTGAACTAAGCCAGCATCTTGGCTGTCTGGCATCTGGGAGGAACAGAGGCATGTGAGATGTGATACATGGTAACTTCTTTTAAGGTACAAACCTCTGGTTCTTTTATTGTACCCCAGAGAAGGGCCATATTTTATTTCTAACATTTTAATGTACAGAGAATGGCTTTCTGACCAGTGGATGACTATATACAAACTATTAAGTTGGTGCAAAAGTAATTGCAGTTTTTGCCACTACTTTGAAAGGCAAAAACCGTGGTTACTTTTGGACCACCCAATAATTTTTAATAATTTGTTCCTCTTTTGTTCAAATGCTTTGATTATTCACAGTGGTTTACATAGCATGGTCTGAATAACATATTAGCTTTATTTGTAGAAGCTACTTGGATGAGGCCAAAGGGTCCCTGATGATGAATTACTTTGAAATAGATGAACTAGGTGACATAGTTCATGGTTACCAGTACCTATCACACAATAATCATAACCATTTGTTGAAGCCCCACTTTCTTCCAGGCACTGTACTAACGACCCCAGGCTGTTTTCTTCTCTGCTCTGCTGTTAATCACTGCTTCAAGGCACCTCCCAGCTACAGCACCAGCACAAGTCAGATTCGATTGTAGGCCTCCCACTTTTTAGTCTGTGACCTTGCACAACTCACTGTGCCCTCTCTAAGCCTCACTTTCTTCTGCTACATAATAAAGGTAATAAAACCTACCTCAAAGAGCCATGGTGAGTGTCAACTGAAATTCAAAAATAAATAATTTTCAAACAGCGATGTTCTATCTGAATATAACACATACGTATTACCCAATTATTGTTATAAAATACCTACAAACTGCCAAGTAATGAGCTGGATCCTTTACAAACATTTTCTCCAATATCCACACAACCTGAAGAGTAAATTTTAGCCTCACTTTTCAGAGAGGGAAATGGATTGTGCAGAGAGGAGAACTATCTTGCCTGAGGTGGAGCCGGAATAAAATTTTCTGTCAATAATGGCAAAATATTCTGAGACTAAACCAGCAAAACATAAGACCAGTTTGAAACACCTATTGTCTTCTGAATTTTTTTCTGAAGTTCCCAGAAATAATCTCCAAATGTTGCATATATGTGATGACAACGTGTGTATAAAAAATAAATGCACATCTATAATAAATGCAGAAAGCTACCAATCACACATAAACAAAGTAAAATTTGTGCACAGAGAGTGAAAAGCCATTGAGTCAACCCATGTCTTCCTGTGCTCCCTACAGACAACTAAGTAAAATTGGCAGGTGCCAAGGTGGAGAAGGTGAGCCACTGGGGTTGTAAATTTCCCTCACATGTCAAAGGTACAGTAACTCCTGGGTGAGATATGGTACCTTCCCATCTGCTGGGGACATTCATTGCTTTCCAAATGGCCTCAGTCCTTCCTAGGCTGGGTAATGGCATAATTGAATTGGGTGACAACTTCTGCCCAGTTATTTCCATGGCCCCTGTAGAGTTTAACAACATGTTATCCTTTCTCATTCAGAATTCCCAAAGTCTAAGAGAGGTTATATCAAGGAGGAAGAGGAAAGTTGCAAATAAATTGTATGATTGTAGGAAATACATCTATAGGTATCTGGGCTGTTTATGCAATTCCATGAACTATAGGCCACTTGTCTGAGTCAAGAAAGGCTAGCCCAGGCTGGGAAAACAAACCCTAGAGGCTCTATGGCTGAAAACAGAAAATGTTTATTTCCCCTTAGGCAAACTCCTCTCCTGGTTGGAGTAACTCTCCAGAGAAGCCACCCTATTTTCTTCTTGTGGCTTTGTCATCTCAATATAAGACCTCCACAGTCATCAAAGCAGAGGAGAAAACGCTGGAGGGTCATACAAGATCTTTTCACTGCTTCAGCCTAGAAGTGACCCATGTCAACCCCATTTCATCAGCTAGACCAAAGCACATGGCCCTGCCACAAGGAACAGGGAAGTCCCATCCTATGCTACCCAAAGAGGAGGAAAGAATGAGAGGAAACATTCCCATACCCACCACCACTCCATTCCAAATGAAAAGGTGCTGGCTGGGTGCGGTGGCTCATGCCTGTAATCCCAGCACTTTGGGAGGCTGAGGCGGGCAGATCACGAGGTCAGGAGATCGAGACCATCCTGGCTAACACGGTGAAACCCCGTCTCTACTAAAAATACAAAAAATTAGCCGGGCGTGGTGGCGGGCGCCTGTAGTCCCAGCTACTACTCGGGAGGCTGAGGCAGGAGAATGGCATGAACCCAGGAGGCGGAGCTTGCCATGAGCTGAGATGGCACCACTGTACTCCAGCCTGGGCAACAGAGCAAGACTCCATCTCAAAAAAAGAAAAGAAAAGAAAAGAAAAGGTGCTGTGCTAGGTGCTGGGATTCAGAATAAATTACACCCAGTCCCTGACCATGATGCCCTCACATCGTTATAAAAGAGATAGGAACATGTGGAGTTTACCATAAAACAAGGCACACCATAATTTGTCCTATAATCCAGCAATAAATATGGGGCGTTGGAAGTGCAGAGAAAGGAGCAATTAATTACAATGGGAGCATAAGAGAAGACTTCACAGAACAAGTGGCATTTGAGTGAAAATGAAACTTTTACATGGCACTCAACAAAAGTATATTGTGACAATATCTGAAACAAGAAAGCAGCATGGGGTGCCGCCAAGCTTCTCAAGCTCTTTCCCAGAATGGTCCCCAACAGCACAAGGGAGTGAGTAGGCCCTGGAAGCAGGTCCTGAAACCTGGCCTGTCTCACCCTTGCAGGAAATGCCATGTTTATAACACAAATGTGTGCACACTAACATAGCGCTTTGGTTTAAAGCAAACAACACCATTTCCCCCATAATTAAAATTACAAGTAAAATTAATTCTGTATTAATCTTAGTTTGCTCTGATTCCTTTTCTTTTTTTTTCTTTTTTTTTTTTTTTTGAGACAGAGTCTTGCTCTATCGCCCAGGCTGAAGTGCAGCAGTACAATCTCAGCTCACTGTAAACTCCACCTCCCAGGTTCAAGTAATTCTCATGCTTCAGCCTCCCAAGTAGCTGGGACTACAGGCATGCGCCACCACGCCTAGCAGATTTTTGTATTTTTAGTAGAGACGGGATTTCGCCATGTTGGCCAGGCTGGTCTCGAACTCCTAGCCTCAAATGGTCTGCCTGCCTAGGCCTCCCAAAGTGCTGGGATTATAGGCATGAGCCACCACACCCGGCCTGATTCCCTGTACTCTTAACACAACCCTGTGTGCCTTCCTGCAAGCCCAGGGACTCCTAAGTGAAAAGTGCTGAATTGGAAATAATCTAGAGCCAAGAGGCCAGCATTATTGCCGTCTCTACCGACAATGAGCATTGTGGCTTTTAGAGGAGTCACTTCACTTCTCTGCACCTCAGTTTGTACACCTGTAAAATGAGATACCACATATGTAATTTCCAAGGTCTGTTTCTACAATATATTTTCCTATAATGATATTGTAACTCTGAAAATTAATGCAGCAGATGCATAAAAGCCATCAACAGTTGAGGTGGATGCTGTGAATTAGGTCCTTAAACCTCTGTGCTACCATCCTTTCAGTTAGAGAAGTTGAGAACCAAAAGCTATGCTTCCCAGACTCTCCTGAAGTCGGGGGCTCTACCTGAAGCCTGGATGCATTCCTGTAAGATTTCAAAGGCAGGAGTGAGGCAGTGACCACCTGCCTGCTCCTCTTGGCTGCTGTCCCCAACCAGCACAGTCCGGGAAACATGAGACTTTTCTGCAAGTGTGCAGGGTCCCTCCTCCAGCTTCCTGGGCAGTTACACAGCAGTAGCGGTGATGGCAGCTTCTTGATGGGATGTACTCTTGAATATATGAACAGTGGTAGCTACAGAGGTGGTCCTCTGGAGGGTCACCTCCATATTTTTCTGGAAATCATTCCAGAAAATGTAGCCTAGTGGTACCTGCTCAGTGGATTTTATAACCACCTTATTCCTTCTATTAAATGTCCTTTTACTTAAAATACCTGCAGTGGTTTCCACGTAATGCATTAATTAAATAGTCTTCTGTCCTCCTGACCTTTCTTTACCTAAAACTCCCCAGTCTGTAAAGGACAGTAAACTTGAAAAGGAATTAGGTCTTAGAATGTGTCTGGGCCACCTAAAGGAGCCAACCTCATGTTTCAGAGATTTTTACTTTTTTTTTTTTTTTTTTTTTTTTTTTGAGATGGAGTCTCGCTCTGTCACCCAGGCTGGAGTACATTGGTGCAATCTCAGCTCACTGCAACCTCCACCTCCCAGATTCAAGCAATTCTCCTGCCTCAGCTCCTGAGTAGATGGGATTACAGGCATGCACCACTATGACCAGCTAATTTTTGTATTTTTAGTAGAGACAGGGTTTCACCATGTTGGCCAGGCTGGTCTCAAACTCCTGACCTCAGATGACCCACCCACCTCGGCCTCCCACAGTGCTGGGATTACAGGCGTGAACCACTGCACATGGCCAGATTTGCTCTTATTTCATCAAAAGGTGTATTAGTCTGTTTTCATGCTGCTGATAAAGACATGTCACAGACCAGGTAATTTACAAAGGAAAGAGATTTCATTGGCTCACGGTTCCACCTGGCTGGGAAGCCCTCACAATCATGGCAGAAGATGAAGGTAGAGCAAAGGGACGTCTTAGATGGTGGCAGGCAAGAGAGAACTTGTGCAGGGAAACACCCCTTTATAAAACCATCAGATCCCATGAGACTTATTCACTATCATGAGAACAGCATGGGAAAGACCTGCCCCCATGATTCATTTACCTCCCACTGGGTCCCTCCCACTGGGTCCCTCCCACAACACATGGGAATTATAGGAGCTACATTTCAAGATGAGATTTGAGTGGGGACACAGCCAAACCATATCAAAAGGGATGAATAAGGAAGGGCCTTACTTAATTATGAAGAAGTGAGGACAAGAAACCCCCAAGACAGAGTTCTGGGCAAAATACCCACTCAAAATGAAAGGGAGAAGAATGCATACACCCAGGGTGAGACTGCACACAGAAGAGCATGGGTCCTAGGCTTCCCTCTCCAGCAATCAGCCTGGCCATGAGTAGTTATGGGATTGTTAGGACAGACCTTTCTCATGTTCTAAAAGTCTGGCTGCATATAAACACACCCTGGGATGGGGGAACCACCAAAGAAGCAAGAGGGCTTTCTTTTGTTTCTGGGGACAATAACTAACTTTAATTTGCTCTTCAAGAAGAAGGAAGCTGGGTATATAGGGGAATGGCAGAAGTGCTCGCAGATGAACCATGAGGAGCATGGTCTTTAAGAACATGCTGAGAAGGAAGCAACACAGACTCCATCACTGGGGGAAGCACCTGAATAGAGCACTGGTAAAGGCCAGTCTGTGGACCTGAGGCCAGAGGAGATGCCAGGGGTCCAGATTTCATGGCCCACAGAAACGGAACTGATCATATTTGGTTGCTGGCCAGTGTTCCATAGACCAAGAAGGCTGGTAGCAAGTATAGATTCCTCTACATAGCTTGACAGGAGAAGAGAAAGGGGAATGTAGCACACAGGATGCAGCAGGTGAATAAGAAAACCTCCTTTTCCCAGGTTGGTGACAGTGAGTGATCTACAGTGATACTCAAAAGATTGTGATTGTGTGGGAATTCCTGTCTCAATATGCAATCTGCCAAGAAAACACTGTGATGGTTTCTGTAAAGTAACCTCTTTTCTTATCTCTAATTTCACAAGACTCTTTAAATGAGAGTGGTGAGAAGTGTTCTTTCTCACTCACCTAAAACTGTGGTTCTGCCTGGAGAAAAGCTACATCTGCAACAGAGAATGCTGGTTAGGCCAGGTAAAGAGGAGTTGTTTGTTGCTAATCTAGCTGGCCACCATGTGGACATTGAGCACCTCCAGAAGCTTATGCATGTAGGGAAGGTGCTGGAGAACCTACAGAGGGAGAAAACTCCAAAGGTCGTTGGTTTCCGCAAGTGCCTTCCTTGCACTCTATACCTGGAATTTTGAATGCTGTTGGGGCTCGAGACTGCCACCACTGGTGCAAAGAGGTCCAGGCTTGATTCACTGTTGGTTAGGCTTCTTTCCAGGTTTTCCACCTTCTCAGGGAACATTCCTCCAGATTCCTGGTTCCATGTCATTTAGGAACTTTCCTGCTCCCACACACACAAAACTGGCCACCCAGCACTATCATCACGCTGGACTGACCCAGTCACCTGCTTGTGAAGACTGTCAATGACCTCAAAACCAGCCTTTTAGCCAGACTTTCATTCCTGGGATTCATGTAGAATTTGGTTTAACTCATTTTCCCAAATCCCTTACATGCCTGTGTTTTGCAGCTTTTCCTCTCAGTGCTAAGTGGTTCGTAATGGTCAGCTCATTTGTGTCCCATCCGGGACACCAGGCCAGAGCAGAGATGGGGTGCAGGGAGTGAACCTGCAAAGCACAGAGTCTTAGGCACCTGAGCACCACTCTGGAGCAGCACAGTGGTATCCTATAGCGGGCACTTGGCAGGGAAAAGGCTTGACTTGGCAAATCACCTAACCTCTCGGGCCCTCAGTTCCTGCACTTGAAACCCAGTTTCTTCCATTAGGACTACACGAACACAGATGTCCATTTCTGAGTCCTAGTATCCCATGTTAACAAAGTGGAGAGCAAGAAGAAGAGGAGTTTCCATATTTTCTGTGAATGGTTTATAGAAACCTGTTTATTGGGCCCAAATGTCAGATAATCACATCAGAAGAAGCATGCCCTGGTTTAAACCAGGTGAAAATAGAAGCACATCTTCTGATACAAAATAGCAATAATAGTCACTTGTCTTTCTTAAGTATCCCACCCTTTTAAAGCACTTTTGAGAACATTTATCTCACCTAGTCTACTTTATTCTGTGAGACAGATGAGGAAACAGACTACAACCTGCACTTGAGGTGCCCTGTCTCCAGTGTGCTTTAATATAGCAAGATCTTCATGATTAAAATTGTGTATCTGCTTCTACTCCAGGTTTCTGCTGGTCTCAGACCTGTCATCGAGAGTTCTCACTTTCATTGTGCATAGAAAACGATCAGAAGAAACTCACCCAGGACAGACCAAAAGCCACAGGAAGCTCTGCCCATTGGAGCCTCGCCATCTCCAACCATCAGAATGGAGATTCTCCCAGAGCAAAAGCATCCTGCAGGAGCACAAGACAGATATTGGAGGGAAGTTCACATGTTTCTGCCTGAGACTGGGGCTCTGGTAGGAAACTTCAGAGGAAGACACGCTCTGGAAGAAAGCATGCTAAACCTACTTAGACATCAAATTCACAACCAATTGCAGCCCCCAAAGGGAAGGTCTCACTCACATCTTGGGCTGAGACACAGGCTTTCCCTGGGGCAATTCCCCTCATAGTGCCCCATCTTGCTCCCTTAGGCTCCTGCATTTCTCTCTGTCACTCCCTCTCCAACCTTCTCCCCAGGATTTCCCTTTTCTTCTTTCATCCTCTTTTTTTACTGCCACTCTCTATAGCTCTTCTCCCTGTAGCTTCTCCTTTCTTCCCTTTCCCCCCCGCAAGGAGCTGATAAGCCTGTGTTTTTTGTTTGTTTGTTTCTTTGTTTGTTTTGAGATGGAGTCTCACTCTGTTGCCCAGGCTGGAGTGCAGTGGCGTGATCTCGGCTCACTGCAACCTCCGCCTCCCAGGTTCAAGCAATTCTCCTGCCTCAGCCTCCCAAGTAGCTGAAATTACAGGCGCGCACCACCACAGCCAGCTAATTTTTGTATTTTTTTAATAGAGATGGGGTTTCACCATGCTGGTCAGGCTGGTCTCGAACTCCTAACCTCGTGATCCACCTGCCTCTGCCTCCTAAAGTACTGGGATTACACGTGTGACCCACTGTGCCTGGCCAAGCCTGTGTTTTAAGTCTGGGTGGCGTTAATGGGGAATAGATGCTTAGAAAACAAAATAATTTGCAACACTAGCATCTGCCTTCCATGGGATTCTCTTGCTGATTCCTTCTTAACCGGACCTAGCTAGTGGATTATACATTTGGTTTGCTGTTTTCCTTTATCCAGGAAGTTCTTAAAGAAGTCTTGTATTACAGTGCACATTTAATTACTCACTGTTGCCTACCCTGCTATTTATGTGTTTATTTTTGCCAAATAATTCTACAGATTTCTCAGTAACTGGCTAGTTAAAACCCTTCTGCATTCTCTTCTTCTTAATGAAAGTCCAGGCCTCCCTGTATTGATAGAATCATCTTTTATACATGTGAATAAATTGGCAAACTCTATTTCTAAAATGTCCACAGATTTCCCCTTCTAACCTGCTCTCAGGGAGTTATTTCTTGGCCTTGGGCTTATCTGGAAAGGATGCTGTGTAAAAAAAAAAAAAAAAAAAAAAAAAAAAAGGACATTATTTTTGTTTTCAGAACTCTTCTGGGCAGAGAGACTTCTTTTTATTTATTTTGTAATTAGCTGTTCTGGAGCTATTTTTCAAAATCACCCATGAAAAGAGGCAGAGAACCCTAGTGTATCACAGTGAGCCTTTCATCATGTGCCCATGCAATCAAGCTGTTCTGTGACCATCCAGGAGGGCTATGAGAGACAGCATCCCCTTGTAAAGTTTTGAATTTGAACATTGCATCCCTTTCCTGGCTTCATGGTCCCTGGGGGTTTGGGGATGGCAAGATATAGCGCCTATACCATCTGACCTAATGACCAAGGGGAGTGGCAGTCTTCATGCCCAGGCAAAGTCAGTCTCCACGGCTTGCAGATTCTTAGATGATTCACAACGCTCCTGATTAATATCACAGAAGCCTCAATACTGCAGTGATTTGGCAATCTCTGTGGGTGGGTGGGAAGCGTGCGCATGTGTGTGCATGGTGTAGAGTTGCACATGCTGCAACGAGGAAAACCCGGATCCCAATTTCTCTCTTGGGAAAACATTAAAGCACAGCCAAAATAACCAACAGAACTGCCTGTGTCTACACATCAATATTGAGCTTTATGAAATTATACAATCTGAATAAACAATTCTGAATGCACCAAACCAGTAAATACATATTAGCAGTTTTTAAGCAGAACAATCTCCTCACTCACAGTGTATGCACATGCTGGCTCAATTCACAGACTTTACCTGTCCCCCAGTATAGACAAAGAGTTTTTCATTTTAAAGCTACACAAAGATTATGAACACAGAATCTTTTACCTCCTCAAACTACTAGATCCTAATAAAAATATTTTGTTCCAAAGAAACAAACTTCCGCCAGGCAGAGTTGATTTTTATTTTGTGTTATGCTTCTGGAATGTGTTACGCCTATTTAATGTATGGCATCTTAACAAGAACACTGCCTTATGTTTCAGCCACTCTCTTCCATACACAAAGTACTTTCATATTTATTATCTCATTTTTATTTTGTATCTTACAACAAGTCCATGAAGCAAGTACTACCATCTCCTTCATTTCACAGATGCTTGATCTGAGGTTTCCAAAACATAAGTAACATGCCCACTGCCTCAGAGCTAGTTAGAGCAAAGCTGAGACTCCCATCCCAGGCTCTCCAACTTGACATCCAATACTCATTCCACTCTCTGCCATCTCCCTCCCCAGTAAACATCATAATGAAGCTGTACTCTTGGCAATATGGGTGGCAAATGGGAGACCTTAAATCTCCTCAAAGGGCTCTCTCTTCTGCATTACTTTTCAATAGCTATCAAAAACGGTCACATATCTAAAAAATGAACCAGCACACAGCAGAGCAAAATCTTGCACCATCTGAAAGATAAGAGGCAATTCCTAGGGGTAGAAGCTTCCCTCAACCTTTGAATCTTCTCAACCTTGATTCACATTTTCAAGGCCACATGACAAACCTGACATCAGATCCTGAGTCTTCTGCAAAGAAGGCAACTAATCTTTACAACATGTAGTCATAAATCTGTAGAAGTCCAAGATCAGGGGAACAAAGCAAAGACTCTGATCACCAAATTATCAAAGGATCATGGCTTCTTAGTTCTCTGCATTCCTAGAGAATTAGGGGAGGCATATTTTCCCCTGCTCAAAGGTAATAGTCAACATGGCTTGGTAATAATTACCATTCTTGCATGTATATCTCAAAAGATGGGAAACAAAACTAAGAAATAGAAGCAAGAAAATAAAGAAGTGACTGTTGACAGCTGCATCTAGAAACATAAAAGGAACTGAAGGAAAAAAAAAGTCACGTCTTAAAAGCTTGAGAGCATTACAGAAGAATGTTAGGGTGTTGGTTAGGATGAAAAATTACTTGTGCCTAAGGTTGATGTGTAAATGCAACTTCTTGCCACTTCCTCTTCAGGCAGGTTAAACCCCAAGGCCATTCTATATTTTCTCTGAAACCCTGGGTCTCCCAAAAATCTGAGGCTTGTTGGTACTTCCTAGGCAAATAAGGCAGTGATTAGTGCTTAATATTAGTGCTATATATATATATACACACACACATACATATATACACTTGAGATATATATGTATATATACACACACACTTGAGATATATATTACTTTGAACCTGTACTTGAACATGACAGAAAACTAACTCAAAACCTCTAAAATGTAATGAGCACTTTAAACACGGGCGTTCAGAGGAGCTGGCTTCAAGAAAGCATGGAATATGGGCACTTAAACACTTTCCATAGTTCCCTCTCACTTGTGTGTGCTCTCACTCTTGCTATCTCTCTCTCATTCTTTCTTTCTCTCCTGCCTACTGCTTCTGTTGGTGTGTTGCCGTCATTCTCTCCCTCTTACAACATTCCCTCCATGAGTAAGGATAGTCTGAGAGGGTGCTAGGGAATGCCCTATTAGACAATCCAGACTTATAACATCTCAGGTAGCAAACAAAGAAACATATGTCCATACAAAAAATTCCATGGAAAAATTCTCATTGACTTGGTGTGAGTCTCAAATCCATCCCTGGGCTGATCACTACAACCAAGGGGATGGGGCACTAAGATTAATCTGGTCCCCACCACATGACCACTTCTATGTGCTATGCTTAATGCAGTTGTCTACACCATCAAAATCCAATAAAATAGTGTGATATGGTTTGGCTGTGTCCCCACCCAAATCTCATCTTGAATCATAGCTCCCATAATCCCCATGTATCATGGGAGGGACCCAGTGGGAGGTAATTGGATCATGGGGTGGGTTTTTCCTGTGCTGTTCTCATGATAGTGATAAGTGTCATGATATCTGATGGTTTTATAAAGAACAGCTCCCCTGCACATGCTCTCTTGCCTGCCACCATGTAAGACATGCCTTTGCTCCTCCTTCACCTTCCACCATGATTGTGAGGCCTCCCCAGCCAGGTGTAACTGTGACTCAATTAAACCTTTTTTTCTTTATAAATTACACAATCTTGGTATTTCTTCACTGCAGTATGAAAAGGGACTAATACCTGATGGAAGGGAATCTTCTCCACCCACACACGCCTATTCAAAGAAGAAGTAATACTATCAGAATAAGGGTTGCATGAAGAAATTCAGAGAAAACCTATACATATATATATAATCTACAAATCACAGTCAAAACAGTTCATCCTGGCTTTCCAATTCATGCTTCCCAATGGAAAATCAAGGAGTAAAAAACTAATGCACGTGCCTTGACCTGCCCTGCATTTTATAAGATTTATTTTCTTCATTCTCCAATAAAGAAAATCCAAGATACAATCTAACCAGGCTTCTGTTGAAAACTGAGAGTCGCTAAATTTTTATAAATCTATGTGACTTAAATTATTCCTTAGTCTACAACTCTATGTAAATGCCATTTGTGGATGCATAGGGAAAACTAACTCCGAATTTACCAATTAAGAAGCATATTTTTCTTAGAAAATGCAGGTGAGTCCTTATAATTAGGGGAGTATTATTATTCCCTAATACATTAAATCAAACCAAGCCAGCAGCAAAGCTGGGAGGTTAGGAGGACAGAGGAGTGAGAAAGCAGTTTGCTTTCTCTGATGGCATTCTTCAAAGTTGCCCTTTAAAACACTTTTAAAACTAATAAATTAGTTGAAAGACTACAATGAAAATAAAAGAGTTGAAGCAAAGCCCTAACATGCAGAAAGAAAGTAATCAAAAGGTAGCACCAAACTTACATGCTGCTTTTCCAGGGAACTAAAAGCTCAAGGCCCTTGTCCCAGGCCTGGCCTCAGGCCTCACCTCCTGCCTTTATCAGAAGATGTTTATTCCCCTGAACTAAGCTATTTGTGCCAGAAAAGTGAAATGAAGCATTAAGATCATTATTTAGATACTGAAGGCAGAACACACACCGAAAAGAAAATCAAGGAAAATTCCTGTTCACTTGAATTAACTGAGATGAGCATTTATTTTTCGTTTAAGTTGACCCTGTAATTTTTGCTACTTCTTTCCTCATGAAATATGTGGAGATAACACCTCAAGGGCTAGTCCGTTTAC
Source organism: Homo sapiens (assembly GCF_000001405.40). Taxonomy (NCBI): domain Eukaryota; kingdom Metazoa; phylum Chordata; class Mammalia; order Primates; family Hominidae; genus Homo; species Homo sapiens. Next base: position 220,195,516 of record NC_000002.12, on the reverse strand, counting down.
AGCAAGAAAGAACTCAGCACGGCTGAGATGCCCTATGTCATTCACCCATGCAGGTCATACAATTGATTCTCTTGCGGAGACCGGCCATATGGATTGATTTAACAGCATTTCACCACTGCCTAAAGACAGGCTTTAGTTATCCTGTATAAATTACTTAACTCTCCACCACAAAAAGGAAAAAAATGTTTTCTTGCACAGCAGTTGCAATTAATGTTCAACATGTTTATGGAGTTTAATAATATACAGCCCAGCACCAAGCTCCGTATGCAACACCATTATCCTGAGAGAGAGACTTAGGTGGTGTCATCAGCATACAAGACACGGATGATTGATTCATCAATAACTGGGCCTGGCCTTATTACAGCAAACAAATTAGACACCATGGAATATATTGCCATATAGACAGGACTTCCTTCTCTTCAAATATGTCATAATTGATAATGGTGACCTTTCAGCAACACTGAAAAACAGTTTGCAATTAACAGGCTTTCTCTTCTTTTAGTGTCTGCACCCGTAAGTGGGTATTCAGAGCTTGGCCCGGCTTGGTGGAGTGGAAGAAGGCCTAGACAACAGTTTCCCAGGGAAGAGTTTGCTAGGAAGGTCAGTCACTTCTTTATCTTTCTCATATTTCATTCTGAATTAATGCAAAAAGGAGAGCAGTGAGTCAGCCAACAAATATTTATGAAGTCACCTCTGTGTGCCTGGGACTGTTCTAGGCACCAAGGACAGAGCAGAAAACAAGAGAGAAGGACACCTCCCCCCACAGGAGTGCAGAATGACAATTATATAAATCCGTTCTCACATTGCTATAAAGAACTACCTGAGACTGGGTAATTTATGAAGAAAAGAGGCTTAATCGACTCACAGTTCCACAGGCTTTACAGGAAGTATTGCTGTAAGCCCTCAGAAAACTTATAGTCATGGCAGAAGGATGAAGGGGAAGCAAGCACGTCTTCACATGTCAGCAGGAGAAAGACAGAGTGAAGAGGGGAGTGCTACACACTTTTAAACCATCAGATTTTGTGAGAATTCACTCACTATCATGAGAACAGCAAGGGCGAAATCCACCCCCATGATCCAATCACCTCCCACCAAGGTCCCTGCCCCTAACATTGGGAATTACAATTCAACAAGAGATTTGGGTGGGGACACAGAGCCAAACCATATCAGCAATAAACATGTAAAAAAAATACAAATAAAAATATTAAGTTCTGATAAGTGGTATGCTGAAGATAAAATAAAGCACCTTGAATCCATGTATTTTTAAATGTCATGTAGGGATTTTAACAATAAGAAATATTTTATGTGCTCAGCATCCCCATGATTAAATAATCATCAATGTAAACAAGATTCTATTACTTTTATACTTTCTCTTCGCCAAACTTTAAAAATATAAGCAGCAATTCTGAATACAGATGTGTATTGTTCATGATTCAATAATTTTAAACATTTTCAATGTTTTAAAACAATTATTGTGGCATTTGTATAGCCAAGATTAGACAAAAATAGATGGATACCCCAATGCTTAAGAAATTATTTTATATTTTTTAAAAGCTTGCTATGCTAGTCATAATGTTCAAAAAATTGTGCTAAGCCACATTAGAATCACAAGAATAATGTACTACATTTGTGTAAGTTGAACCATTCATGGAACATGAGGTCTGTGTAACATTTTTTCCCTATAAAATTTTTTATCTCTTGCAGTATGATGTAGGTTATGTCTATACAAAGAAGTTGAAATTCATATTTAAGGCAATTGTCCAAATAATAGAACTCCATAAAAACGAATCTTTTAAGCTGAAATACTGTCACAGGATCCTTGGGAGTGTCACTTTTCCACCTCAAAACCTCTGTGACAGGTGGTGCCTTTGCATGCGTTTTGCTCAGGCCCACTGGGCTTGTTCTGCCCACTCAGTCCAGCAGGCTGTGCTCAGCTCCTGCTACCGGCCCAGATCCCACATCTGCCATGGGCAAGCCAGGTGTAGAGTAGTGAAGGATGTGTGAGTGAGCACAGGGTCTGGACTTGGGTATCTCTACCCTCTTGGGGGCCCCAGGAAGCCCCCTGCCCCCACAAGCTTGAAAGTGCCTGATTCCACTCTCCGGCCTCTCCCTGCTCCTGGTGCCCTCTCTGGAGAGGATCAAAGATGTGGCCGAGCTTGGCCCAGCTTGGTGGAGTGGAAGAAGGCCTAGACAACAGTTTCCCAGGGAAGTGTTTGCTAGGAAGGTCAGTCACTTCTTTATCTTTCTCATATTTCATTCTGAATTAATGCAAACAGGAAAGCAGTGAGTCAGCCAACAAATATTTATGAAACCACCTAGTGCCAGGCATTCTGGCTGTGGCAGGGTGGTCAGCTCCAGGTGCTGGCATAGGCGCCAGATCTTTGTGAGGCTGTGGTTGGATCATGTATACTGCAAGTGGCTTCCACTGCAGGCACCAGGGAACATGGTGGCACCCAGAAGCCTGGAGACACCAGAAGCCATAGATCCCCAAAGAGGGTGTCATAGCCCCAGCTCAGGGAGCTCCTAGGTCTGGGGCTGCAGCTCTTCTTTCCCTCTCTCTTCGAGACTTCTCATCACCTGCAACATGGTGAGCAAGGGGCATGTTTCAGCCCTGTTTGCATTACAGCTCTTTCAGTCCCACCATTCAGCAGATCCTGAGTTCTTGTCCCTCATCCAGGAAGAATGAGGTATGCAGACAACTGGAGGGTGAGCAAGGCAGAGAAGAGCTTCATTGAGCAACAGAACAGCATTCAGGAGACCAGAAGTGGGTAGCTCCTTTCCACAGGCAGGTCATCCCAATGAGTGTCCAGTTCTCAGCAGAGAGGACACCCACAGTGGGTAGCTCCTTTCCACAGGCAAGTTGTCCCAAAGAGTCGAGGAGACCCAAAGTGGGTAGCTCCTGCCTGCGGCTGATAGTGCCCACGTCTGTTCCAGTCTGGCTAAGTCTGGGGTTTTTATGGACTCAGAAGGCAGGAAGTGCATGCTGATTGGTCCATGGGTGGGCCCAAAAATAGCACCGTAAGTTTTCACTTCCAGCCGCAGACTTCAACCAGAACTGGCAGCGCAGCCCCCAGGCTTATGGTGGGGTTTCACCAGGGACTCACCCCTTTCCACGCAGGAAACTCTCTGCCTCCTGCCATCAACATTCCATCCATAGCGCCCAGGCTGTTCTTGCCGACAGGTACCTACAGACATGCCCTGAGCCACTCTCAGTCCCCATTTGGGCTCCCTCCTGTGCTTGTCAGTGCCCAAAGTCTGGAGGGTACCAAGGCACCAGGGGGCTGAGGTGTCAGCACCACCCTGAGCACATGCACACCCAGCTGGATTGCAATAGCACCCAGGCTCGGCCACATCTTTGCTCCTCTCCAGAGAGGGCACCAGGAGCAGGGAGAGGCCAGGGAGCGGGATCAGGCACTTTCAAGCCTGTGGGGGCAAGGGGCTTCCTGGGGCCCCCAAGAGGGTAGAGATACCCAAGTCCAGAGCCATTGCTGGGTGACTGCATCTGTGCCCGGGAGCATGGGGCTCTCACCCCATCAACTCGGTTGAGGGTGGGGCTCCCACCTGTTCCCAGCTCCTGCCAGCTCCATGGAGTGCACGGCCCTGGCTGCGCCTCCCCCACTGCAGTTGGCATCCCTGCAGTGGCTGCTCCAGGCAGGGTACTGCCACTATCAATACCTAAATAATTGAGATAAGTCCTTCTCACATAAAGTCTCTACAATCTTCCTTCAATGTTTTGCCCTAATTTGTAGACATCACATGGCCCATTTATACATGGAGAATCTTCTAACCATGCCTTGCAGTTCTCAGCCTCTAAGTGACGATGGTAAACTTGGACAGTTGGGTTGGTTATGAAACTTGTCTCTGTCATAGGTGATTTCTCTGTTCTTTGTCCCACAACAATGCCAGTTCTCACACCTGTGAATCCTAATGTCCTTCTCGTGTGGGGAATGAGAAGATATGTGCACTTGTAGTGGCTAATATTCCTGGGTGCGTTCGTGATATTCACGGAGATGTGATCTGCAAGTCCCCATCATCTTATCTGGATGTCACAGACAAAAACACTGTCATGAATACCTGCACTAAGTAAATACTGATTGAAGGAAGAAATGATTACACATGCCACTTTAGGTAGCTTTCCTTCCTATCTCTCTTATTTTCAGAATGAGGGGACCCCAATGAGTCCACCTGTTTGCCCTCAGACCCTTCACCACCCTTCCACTGCTCAGTTCTACATCACAGGGAACTGCTTGCCACAGGCTGCATTAGTCAGCCTAGCTGACTTCCAGGCTGGTTTCCACCAATAGGAGCAATGAGCAGGAGAATGTACAGCAGACAGCAGGGAGAACCATGGCATTTCTCTATCCGTCTCTCTTGCTTGGGCATCATCTTTCACAGTGGAGGTTCCAGCTGTCTGCAGTTAGACCCTCCTTGGTTCCAGCTTCCACTAAGCAGCCTCAGCCCTGTAGCTCTGGCAACTCTACCTCCTCCCAAGGTTGGTTGAATTTCCTGCTGTTGCTTCTTCCTGATTTGCCTCATTGTTCCATGTTTGGCTTCTCATCTCTTCCATTATTTGTGCAATTAAAGTCTTGGTATTAAATTCCTCTATTTTCAATATTGAGTGGTTTCTGCTTTTTCTTTTGGTTGTACACTAATTGATATGAAGGGTTTGCAGTAATTCAGTTTATTTTTTCTTGAGCATTTACCATATGCCAAGCATCATGTTATCCACTGGTGAGATGCATAAGACATCATATCTACTTCTGAGGTGGTCTGAATCTAGTAAAGAGATCATTTCAAGATGAGTTCTTGAAACCATGACAAAAAGACCATGGCTAGGGGCTCTATAAACACTGAGACTAGCCCATTAGCTGAATCTGGTGGTCATGGAAGGCTTCTAAGGGAAGACTATGGTTGAGCTGAACTTTTTGGGCTGAGAGTTAACCAGAAGAAAGGATACTGGAAGGGCTTTTCAAATAGAGGAAGCAGCATGAGTAACTGCACCAAAGTATCAAATTGAATGCCTTGTGTTTCCTGGGTTGGTGTCCAGGTGGGGAATGATGGGGCAGACAAAGGCAGGAAACAGGGCAGTACTACTAGACCACAGAGCATGAGGCCAGAGGAGAAGAAAGGGGGTCAGGAATATAAGCGGGTAATGGGCTTGAACTCTCTTCAGTGTGCAATTAGGAGTAAATAATGATTTTTTTAAATTATACTTTAAGTTCTGAGATACATGTACAGAATGTGCAGGTTTGTTACATAGGTATACACGTTCCACGATGGTTTGCTGCACCCATCAACCTGTCATCTACATTAGGTATTTCCCCTAATGCTGTCCCTCCCCTAGCCCTGCAGCCCCCAACAGGCCCCAGTGTGTGATATTCCCCTCCCTCTGTCCATGTGATCTCATTGTTCAACTCCCACTTATGAGTGAGAACACGCAGTGTTTGGTTTTCTGTTCCTGTGTTAGTTTGCTGAGAATGATGGCTTCCAGCTTCATCCATGTCCCTGCAAAGGACATGAACTCATCCTTTTTTATGGCTGCATAGTGTTCCATGGTGTATATGTGCCACATTTTCTTTATCCAGTCTATCATTGATAGGCATTTGGGTTGGTTCCAAGTCTTTGCTATTGTGAACAGTGCTGCAATAAACATATGTGTGCATGTGTCTTTATAGTAGAATGTTTTATAATCCTTTGGGTATATACCCAATAATGGAACTGCTGGGTCAAATGGTATTTCTGGGTCTAGATCCTTTAGGAATTGCCACACTGTCTTCCACAATGGTTGAATTAATTTACACTCCCACCAACAGTGTAAAAGCATTCCTATTTCTCCACATCCTCTCTAGCATCTGTTGTTTCCTGACTTTTTAAATCAGTAAAATAGCATGGTCACATTTATAATTTGTAATTTAGATGGATCACTTGGGCCACAAGGTAGTAAATGGTAGCTCTACAAGAGACAAGATAGAGAAAAGAACAAAAAAAATTTACCAGAGCCAGATTATACTAATAATTCAATTCAACCTACCAGCCTCTGGCCCCTGAGGGCCAGCAACTCACTGTGCTGGGAGGAAGAGAAATGTGCACTTGTGAGGGATATACGATAATCATCCCCTACATTTGTGTGGTCCTTCAAAGTTTACTGTGTAATTTTAAACACTTCTCATGATTCTCATAAAAACCCTATGAGTTAGGTATTAGAATCCCTATTTTTCAGATGAGGACACTGAGTCTCAGAAGGTGATATAATCTAAGGTCATTTAGTGAGTAAGAATTAAACTTTGCAGTTTCCTGACTACTGAACTTAATAAGATAATTTTCTTCTTCCTATTATGTAATCAGATAAATTGAGGTCACTGAAAGATGAATATTCAGTAGCTAAAGAAAGAATATGGAGACTCCCATATACACACACATCGAGCTATTTCAGAATGAACACATATCCCATCGAGGCATGGGCTCATTTTAGGGGCTTTTTTTGTTTGCTTGTTTGTTTGTTTGTTTGTTTTGATTACTACTCTCAAGGCAGATTCTAGTTCCTTAAGGAGATAAGAATGATCATAGGTAATTCACTCAATGATGAGGACTGGCAGAAGATAGCAGGTTGTAGCCTGTAGAATCTCAATAAAAGAATTCTAAGATTTGCAGTCTTTCCATTCTTCCCCCATGTATAACAGAGGCATGAAAATATGGAATATTATCCCAAAGAAAGTAATCATACCAGTTTTTGATGAACAATATACATGGAGCCTAGTGAACAACAGAAAATAATTATTTTTTCTACTGAGTGGGCTTTAAGTCCCTCCAGCAGAAGGCTGTTGGTCAATATCCTAGAAACTATCACTGCAGACTTCTTATCAGGAGGGTGGTGATGGTGATACTTCACCATTCATAGTAACTCAGCTCTTCAGAGGAGTAGACTTAGGTCCTCCTGGTTTTCCATATCATTAAACTTCCTTCTTGCTAACACCAATCCCCTTTCATAACAAAATACTAATGCATCCCAATTAGGGTTAAAAAAGAAAAACAATGAAACCAAGAGGAGGTAGATAAATCAATGCCATCGCAGCTGTAATTCCCTCTGGAAAACCTGCTTCTCAACTCACTTCTTCCTTTTCCTCAGATAGCCACTCCCAAGCCAGGAACAAAGATGTTGACACACTCAGCACCTCCTCAAGTGTGAGCTAATGATTTACAGGCTTATTTCCGCCCCAAATGACTCCCATCACTAACAGTGATTCATTTGGGCAGCCGCAATTCTGCCCACATTTGAGAATCACATTTTGACTTTTATGTGCATGCATTCATACTCCACATCTTTGTCATGAATAAATTCCCTGTCACCACAGGGGATGTGGAGGTTGGCACAGTTCTAGAACAGACTCTCTTATCTTTGGACCCCATGTGTCATGAGGCTAACCATGTGAATAAGACTCCAGTGTACCATAAGCTCTGTAAGTACAGGGATCTTTCCTATCTTGCTTACTACTGTATCCTTAGCATCTAGTATCTTCCCTGGCACATAATAGGACCTCAGTAAATGATACTAATATTTATTGAGCACATGCTATGTGCCAAGGCACTGTTCTATGCATTTCTTACAAATAAGTTCATTTGATCCTCAAACAACCCTATGAATTAGGTACTACCATCTGCACTGTAAAATATGCAATCTGTACTGCAAAATAGTTATGTAATTTGCCTTATGACATATATACAATTAAAGAATTTGGGATCTGAACTTAGGCAGTCTGGACAAAGAGCTAGTATTCATAAGCATTAAGCTACACAACCTTTAGTTGATTAAGTAGCTGGGCATCCTGGTCTATAAGGGAGATTGTGCCTATCCTTCTTTCTGACCTATCCTCATATGAGTCTGAAGAGGTGAAGATCACTGATTTAAATAGTGTATCCTGTCTAGGTGACAGTCCATCTTCAAAGGAATTTTATTCTCATGCTTTGTCAGTGGCTTGAGAGTTAAAACAACCTTGAGAGTTAAAACAAAAAAACAAAAAACAAAAAATAAACAAACAAAAAAACCTTTCAGTAGCACAGGCAGCTTTACTTTCTCTTGTATGAACCTGTAGTTTCTTCTGTCCCTAGCTTCCTTGGCTATGCACAGTGCCCATAAGTTTTCTTAAATAAAACCAGAATGCTGGATGGCAATTTGTCACCTTTAGCAAGACCAGCATCTTCTTTCACAGTGGCTATGTATTTCACAAGTTTCTTGTTAATCATGTTCAAGCTGGATTCTGATGAAAACAAAACCCTTTGGATATGAAATTTCCTCCTCTCCAAATATCTGTTCTCGCTTCTCATCAGAAAAACCAGGGGAAAAAAATAAATGCTCTCAGCTTGGGCTGAATTTACACTGAAATTTCATATCTCAGTAGCACTGTGGTCTTTAAATGTGAGTGTGTCTTTTATAATGGTTACCCAGGTGATTTTAGTCTCTCCAGAACATTTACCTTCTGATCCTGTTTTAAAAGAGATGATACCACTAAAAAGCTGCTTTAAACTTGAAAGCAGACCCTCAACACTCAGAGGAAATGCTTATAAGGAAGAAAGATGATTTTGACCTATATACGAACATTTGGGACTAAAGTGGTTATTACTCTTCAAGAGCCCTGCAAATAGCCAACTTTTCCAGAATTGAAGAAAAAATTCAGAGACATCATTCTCACTGAATGCTGGACACCTCCCTTTGTTTTCTAGCAAGGTAAATACTACATCAAGCATCATGCCTATAAATGCAGTTTGATCTCATAAATTCCTCATGCCAGAGCCAGCTAGCTAGAGTCCAGGTAACCCAGTTGGATGAATTCATTGGCCACCCAACTGCAGCATGATGAATGTGCAGAGCAGGAGGGGACTGTGAGGAGAACTAGACTTGCTTCACCTTTAAGCCCTCTCTTTCACCCATATCCCCCATCCACTCGATCAGCAAGTCTTAGCACCTTTACTAACTAAACATAGTAATGTAGTGGCCCAAATCCATTCATTTTCTCCATCTCCATAACTATCCCCCAAAGGCCAAGTCCAAGATAACCACTCATCTACTTCCTATCTTTGCCTACATATAGAATCATATAATATGTGGTCTTTTGTGACTGGACTCTTTGACAGCCTACTATTTTTGAGGTTCATCCAATTTGCAGCATGCATCAGTACTTTATTCCCTTCTCATTATCCAATGGCATTCTATTGTATGGATGTGCCACATCTTGTTTATCTATTTACAAGTTGATGGGCATTTAGGTTGTTTCCACTTTGGAGCTATTGTGAATAACCCTGCTATGAACATCTCTGTAATACAAATTTTTGTGTAGACATATGTTTTCATTTATCTTGGGTTGATACATAGAGTGGAATTCCTGGGTCATATGGCACATCTATGTTTAACATTGTGAGGAACTGATCAAACGTTTTTGCAAAGTGGCTGCACCATTTTACATTCCCAACCAGCAACGTGTGACAAACAGTTCTAATTTCTCCACATTCTCACTGATACTTACTATTATCTGTATTTTGATTATAGCCATCCTAGTGGGTATAAAGTAGTATTGCATCATGATTTTGATTTGCATTTTCCTAATTTTAATGATGTGGAACATCTTTTGTTCTTATTGGTCATTTGCATAGCTTCTTTGGAGAAATATCTGTTCAAATCCCTTGCCCATTTTATAATTGGGTTGTTCATATTTTTGAGTTGTAAGAGTTTTTCTATATTCTAGATGCTCATTTCCTATCAGATGTATAATTTGAAAATATGTTCTCTGCCAGGTGTAGTGGCTCACACATGTAATTCCAGCACTTTGGGAGGCCGAGGTGGGCAGATCACCTGAGATCAGGAGTTTGAGACCAGCCTGGTCAAGATAGTGAAACCCCCTCTCTACTAAAAATACAAAATTACCCGGGAGTGATGGTGGGGGCCTGTAATTCCAGCTACTCGGGAAGCTGAGGCAGGAGAATCACTTAAACCTGGGAGGCAGTGGTTGCAGTGAGCCAAGATGGAACCACTGCACTCCAGCCTGGGCAAAATGAGTGAAACTCCGTCTCAAAAAAAAAAAAAAAAAAAAAAGTAAAGAAAATATTTTCTCCCATTCTGCAGGTTGTCTTTTCACTTTCTTGATAGTGACATTTGAAGTATAAAAGTTTTTAATTTTGATAGTATTATTTTTTCTTTTTTTAACTTGCTCTTTTTGTGTCATATCTAAGAAATAATTGCCTAACCCAAGATTATTAAGACTTACTCCTATTCTTTACACTAAGAGTTTTATAGTCTTAGCTCTTCTATTTAGGTCAGTGATCCATTTTTAATTAATGTTTGTTGTGATATTAGGAAGGGGTCCAATTTCATTCTCTTATATGTAGACTTCCAGTTATCCATTTGTTGAGATGACTATTCCTTCCCCATTGATTTGCTTTGCCACCATTGTTGAAAATCAGTTGATGATAAATGAAAGAGTTTATTCCTGGACCATAAATTATATTCATTGATCTGTATGTCTATCTTTATGCCAGTAACACAGTCTTGACTACTGTAGCTTTGTAGTAAGTTCTGAAGTGAGTCTTCCAACTCTATTCTTCTATTTTCTGCTTCTATTCCATCAAGGAAAAAAATTATTTAATAATATTGTTGAAGCCCAGTAAGGAAGACTTTATTCAGAACCAGCGAGATAGGTATGAGGACCACTGCAATGGATCTTGCAGTGGGAGAGAAAGACTGGGCTCAACTCTGAATACGGCTTTGGCAAGCAGAAATTTATAGCCAAGGAGTAGTATGGAAGTCAGTGGACTCCTTCTAAGAAGAAACCTTAGGGTTAAGAGAGATTCTGACTAAGCCAGCCTAACAGGATTCTTGCTGAAGACAGGCCAGGGTGATTAAACATCACCTTGGGGATGGTAGAGGATTAGGAAACTGATCAGATATTAAGGATGATCAGATATCAAAGATGAGAAAGGTTTTGCTAGACTGACTTAGCAGGGCTCTTTCCTAAAACTGGATTTTACAAGGAAGTACACAGATGGGCCTGGGAGAAGATTCAGAAGCCTGACTAAAGTTTGGCCAAGCAAAGAATCTTTGTCAATTCTTGCCACACCATGGAAATTGGTGTGTGCGTGTGTGTATACCCACATATAAAATTTAGATCTTGTCAATGTTAAGAAAGTAGATATGTTTTTATATAACAATTAAAGAATATATTTTGATACTATATTCTAATATCATTGTTATCTTTTATATTTCCACTTATGCCTAGAATTTTGAGGAGGTTTTTGTACTTAAAAACCTTCCCCTAGGCCAGGCATAGTGGCTCATGCCTGTAATCCCAGCACTTTGGGAGGCCAAGGCAAGCTAGTCACCTGTGGTCAGGAGTTCGAGATCAGCCTGGCCAACATGGCAAAACCCCATCTCTACTAAAAATACAAAAATTAGCCGGGTGTGGTGGCAGGTGCCTGTAATCTCAGCTACTCAGGAGGCTGAGGCAGGAAAATCACTTGAACCCAGGAGGCAGAGATTGCAGTGAGCTGAGGTTGCACCACCACACTCCAGCCCGGGTGACAGAGTGAGACTCTGTCTCAAAAACAAAACAAAACAAAAAAACAAAAAATACCTTCCCTTAAATCCACTTTCTACTCTACTGTCTACTCTATAAGCCACCATCATATCTCTTCCCTGCTGAAACTCTCCAACTGCCTTCAGTCACACAAAGTGCAATTCACAGTCCTGCCCTGGCCCCTGTCCACTCACTGACCCATCTACGTTCACTTTTCCCATACTCTCTACTCTCAAAACTCATCAGCCTCTTTCTATTCTTAAAATCCCAGGTACTTTCTCACACAGGGGCTTTTGTTCTAACCACCTCCAACCCCTAGGCTGGCTTTTATTTCTCCTGATCACAGAAAGTGAATCTGCTAATCAGTCGGTCTCAGCTCCAGTCCAGGCTTCCTGACCTTACAGTGGCATCGATCCTGGGGGCAGTCTCAGAAAGCCTATGGGCACCTTCTCAGAATAATGTTGTTAAGCATCTAAAATAAAACACAGAGACTAATAAAGAAAACCAATATTGGAATGCAGTTATCCAAATATTAAAGAAACAAGTTATATAATATACAAGCTTCTTTATTACTACATTAAATAGTAAGATCTAGTTAGTCTAATAACTATCAATGACTTTGAGGTGATAATGAGCAGCGAAGACATTTCAAGATACCCACAAACACCATAATGTGATATGAAACTATCTATGATTTCCATGGGTGACAAGTCACAGGCATTACTAATACCACTGTGGCTTGTTGCCTATTATCATAACTGCTAATATTTCAATTAGAGATTAGAGAAAATAAAGGGCTTCTGTTTTTTGTTGCTGTTGTTTATCATCAAGTTAAAAGGCATCCTGAAACACTTTCTGGCTTAAGGCTTCAGTAAGAATGGAGTAGAGCCAGGAATCTGCCTTTGTAACAGCTCCCAGGTGGTTCCACCTGAAACGGTGCTGTGTAAGGCCCTGGGATAAACAGTGATGGAAGGAATGTCACATGCCGGGAGGTTGTTTGCCTTGCACTGAGTTTCCCCTTTGTCCCATCAAGGGGCCTACAATGCCATTATGGACTTGGGCCTCAAGGACCTTTCAAAAGAGCTAAATTAAAAAGCAGCTCTCCCTACGCATATACATCTTCTGCTAAACCTGGGGAGGAGAAGCTAAGCCACATAAACTCAGAGTGAAGCATCGTCCATCTACACAGAAATCTTACAGACCTCTGAGATACCATAGGCCTGTTTACAGAGGAGGTGCTGTGCCTGTAAGTCAGCAAAGGAACAGGCCTCATGCCTAAGACAGTGCTGAGGACAAATTAAAGAGTTGGGGCACTGAATAAAAGAAATGCATTGGCCCCAAAATACAAAAGAAAAAACACAAAAAAAAATAAGAAAAAAAAGAAATCTGTGAAATCTAAAATTAATGTATGGTTCAATTAAAAGTCTACACTGTAAAATTTAGTAAACTAGTCAACTGCAACTAAAAATAAATTAAATTACAGTCATGTGCTGCTTAATGACAGAAATACATTCTAAGAAAAGCATTGTTAGGAAATTTCATCATCATGTGAACATCATGGAGTGTACTAATGGCACACCTACATTCTAGGGTATAGGCCATGGTACCTAGGCTACAAACCTGCACAGCATGTCACTGTGCTGAATACTGTAGACCAGGGGTGTCCAATCGTTCAGCTTCCCTGGGCCACATTGGAAGAAGAAGAATTGTCTTGGGTCACATATAAAATACACTAACGCTAATGATAGCCAATGAGCTGAAAAAAAAAAAAAATCACACAAAAAAATCTCATAATGTTTTAAGAACACTTAAGAACTTGTGTTGGGCTGGATTCAAAGCCTTTCTGGGCCACATGTGGCCCGTGGGCCATGGGTTGAACAAGTTTGCTTGTAGACAATTGTAACACAATGTATTTGTGTATCTAAACATATCTAAATATAGAAAAAGCACAGTAAAAATACTGTATTATGTAATCTTATAGGTCCACCATCATTGACTGAAATGTTATTATGCGGTGTGTGACCGGACATGTAGATGATACTTTCAAAAGTGAATGTAGGCCAAGCACAGTGGCCCGCACCTGTAATCCCAGCACTTTGGGAGGCCGAGGCAGGCAGATCACCTAAGGTCAGTAATTCAAGATCAGCCTGGCCAACATGGTGAAACCCCGTCTCTACTAAAATTTTCAAAAATTAGCCAGGTGTGGTGGCACATGCCTGTAATCCCAACTGCTCGGGAGGCTGAGGCACAAGAATCGCTTCAACCTGGAAGGCAGAGGTTGCAGTGAGCCAAGATCACCCCGCTGCACTCCAGCCTGGGCAACAGAGTGAGACTCCGTATCAAAAAAAAAAAAGGGAATGTACCCAGAAACAACAAGGTCTTAAAACGTCTCTAATACCCAAAACCATCCCTTCACCACCCCTCAGCCCTACCCCACTCCAAGCTAGGAAGCACTGTGCAAGACAAGTAAGACCCAAGGCTGTCATTTAAAGAAACCTCAAATCTCAAAAACTCAAAAAGATCAGGGAAGTTACACCCTTCCTTCCACCCCAGGTCTGTGAGTCAGTGGACTTCTGCCTTATTTATTCCTTGGGACACTGCCCAGTCTCCTACAAGCTCTCTAAAATGCCAATTTGAACCTAGCTAAGGGTCAGAACTTCAAATGCCGATGGGGATCCAGGGGATCATTTGATTCCTTAAGCATTACAGCATTACAGCCACAGTATCTCAGGCCTATGTACTTTTATTTTCTTTTTTTTTTTTGAGACAGGGTCTCACTCTATTGCCCAGGCTGAATTCTAACTCCTGAGCTCAAGCAATTTTCCCCGCCTCAGCATCCCAAGTAGCTGAGTTTACAAGCACATGCCACCATGCCCAGCCTGGGCTTTTCCATGGCCTGTGATAATCGCCTGAAAACTGAAAATATATATATATGTATATGTGTATGTGTATATATATATATATGTATTCCATAATATTAAAAAAATGAAAAAATGGAAATTATTTTCAAAAATAAAATTATACAATCCTTACTAAACCATTTATGACCAAAAAAGAAATTCCATATTTAATGTGGGATGTAGATTAAATATATTTCATATGATATGAAGCAGGACCTTTTAAAGTAAGAATGCCTAGAGCCCATGAAATTCTTAAACAATCTTAGAAGCAAGCAGGAAATAAAATGAATGGAGAAAGGTATAAATTAACGATCAGCAACTGACACTGAGCTTCCATGTTGGCTCTGGAAATGTGGCAAGTACATGTTCCTTCTGAAGGAGACGCTTGTCACTTAGCTCTAGCTAATTATCTCCTGGGAGAAGGGTTTTCATGTTGCCAGTAGTCCAATTTCCAAGCAAAGTCAGGAATCCGGATTCTTGTGCAGAATTTCCAATTTCCAAATGTTGACAACTGATTCAAGATTTTAATCTACAGTCTTTTGGCCACAAGCAAAGCTGGGCCACACTGGCCTTGGAAACACGAGTGCAGATCACTAATTCTTATCCAAGATAGAAAACATAAAAAATGTCCCTCTGAGTAGTTGGAACAGGCAATTTCTCTACCATGCAGTATGGGGTTGGGGTACAGGAATGAGCAGGAGCACATACTATAAACGACTTAAACCTGTATTTATAGGTTCAGAATTAGGTTCAGCATGAATATTATAAAATTATTTGAAGAATAATTAGTTCGATAATGAGTCTGCAGGTGAAAAGCAGCTGTTTTGCCCCCGGGCTTAGGGTCACTGTCTCTGCTGTGTGAAGAGTCAGCAATAATTAGAAGAACCCACGGTGCCAAACTAAATTAAAATTTTTCAAACCATTACTCACTGTATGATATAATTTTGTTTCATGTTCCCAGGATGAGAAAACTCAAATTAAGTCTCTATTCGTTACAAAAATAGGCTAACTAATTTAAGGCTATGAACTATCTGTTTGTCGATGGTATAGAATAGTTTCTATCTACTGTAACAGATCATTTCACACTAAAATAAATGGCAGGTGATCATATGCCAATGATTTATTTAATAGCACTCAATTGTGCTGAACTCTGAAAATGTAATGGGTCTCAGTGGACCCTCCTGCTTGCTATTTTTCTGAAAATAAAATATTGATGTAATTGGATTTCCCACCCACATTGATCCTTGAATGCACAGATGAGATCAGTTTAAGCAAAAATTGGGAAATGAAGAATTTGTGATAATCACTGAATAAAGTTAGTTAACTCAAGATACTTGGGGTACATTCAATTAAGCTGCCCTGAAATCCATAGAAACCTTTGTATGACGGTTTCAAAAGTCCTAGGCATTGTTGTAGAATCCAAGATAAAAGAAAAGAAATCTACAAATGAACACTTAAAAGCAAAGAGAAGCAGCCTTCAAAAAGACTTCATAGACCATATCCCTGAGATACCAGACCAACTGGTTGGCTCAGCTGAATGAGGAAAATGTCACAAAACCAGTTGTTCAGCATCTTCTGGGAGAAAAACAAAACAGTTTATTAATTGAATCTTCCACTTTTCAACCTAGTATTTTGCTATTGTATTGACATAGCTTTAATCACACCCTATCAACGGCCAATTTCAGTGATGTGACGGTGTCAGCAAGACCACAGGGTTGAGTGTTTAATAAGATGGGCTTACTCTAATGAAAGTTCTTTTGGCCTTTCCTTTTAGTTTTTCTGTTTTCTTTAGTCATCAACCTCTGGACTAATCCTGTTGATAGAATGATTTTGCCTGATTTCTTAAACATCTTCTCTGATCCGATCCAACTTAAGCAATTGAAATACTTTCTTTCATCAGCACTCAAAAGGTAGCTTTAGCAACAATGACAATACGAAGGCTGAAATCCCTACTGAAGTTTCTCATCATTCCTAAAACGAGATAAACAACTCCCTGGAGTATTTAAGTTCTGAGCATCTGGATAATTAAATATTTTTTGTCTTGAACATAGACCACACCCTCACAAGGGTATTGGTCAAATGGTGCCACCCAAAAGTTATTTTGAGATCTACTAGTGTTTTGATATTGCAAACAAAAATGGCTCCCTTCCCTCACCTTCAGCCCTCCTGTGTGAGTGAATCTTCATGCTGGAGTTGTGTTCCTAAAGTGATATGAATAGTGGCTTGTAAATTAGACCACATTTTAAGTACACTGGAGATCCTAATCGTTTAAAGAATTTTGTTGTGAATTGTTTTGTAAAGTAAATAATATATTTTCTGTGAATTTGGATTAGATTTCCTTTAAGTAAATTTACCTAAAGAGTGTTTTCATCTGGCCCCCAACAGATAAAATGCGATTAAGAATACAAAGTGGGCCGGGCATGGTGGCTTACACCTGTAATCCCAGAACTTTGGGAGGCCGAGGCAGTTGGATCACCTGAGGTCAGGAGTTCGAGACCAGCCTGGCCAACATGGTGAAACCCCTTCTCTACTTAAAAATACAAAAAGTTAGCTGGGCATGGTGGCGTGCGCCTGTAATCCCAGCTACTTGGGAGGCTGAGGCAGGAGAATCGCTTGAACCCGGGAGGCGGAGGTTGCAGTGAGCTGAGATCATACCACTGCACTCCAGCCTGGGAGACAGAGCAAGACTCCATCCCAAAAAAATAAATAAATAAAAATACAAAGTGCAGTCCGTGCATGGTGGCTCACGCCTATAATCCCAGCACTTTGGGAGACTGAGGCTGGTGTATCACTTGAGGTCAGGAGTTTGGGACCAGCCTGGCCAACATGGTGAAACCCCGTCTCTACTAAAAATACAAAACTTAGCTGGGCATGGTGGTGTGTGCCTATAATCCCAGCTACTTGGGAGGCTGAGGCAGGAGAATCACTTGAAATCTGGGAGACAGAGGTTGCAGTGAGCTGAGATCACACCACTGCACTCCAGCCTGGGTCACAGAGCAAGACTTTGTCTCAAATATATATATATATATATATATACAAAGTCCATAATCAGATAGCCTGGGTCTTAGTCTAGCTCTTTTTCTGACTGAAACTTTCTGAGTTTCCCCATCTGTGAACAGAGGGTAACGATCATTTTTACTTCCCAGACTCTTCAAGGAATTTTTTGTAGACTATTACAGATTACTAGTGCTATACGATATAATTGTTATTAATTTGAATTTTGGTCACAGTGTGGAGGAAACACAGCGCTGGCCGGTCATCAAAGCCATGTAGGGTAGACTGAGATTTCCAACCTGATCCTTCAAACATCAATGGGAATAACCTTCTTGATTTGAAAAGATTGGTGACGGTCACTTGCCTGGCCCCCAATATTCCCTTAAAATGTCTTATCAAAAACCAATTCAGCTGGAGCCTCCCTCTGAAAGTGTATTGAGTTTCTGAATATACACATAGATGCAGACCGCTGGCATATTATTAAATTAGCTCATGAAGGAGTCCCTCGTGTTTCCTGGGGCAAACTAAAGAAAATCTAGTTTCATGTTTTTAACATTTTAGTAGTTCATTTCTTTTTCTCTGAGGAATCCTATGCACATTTTCCACAGTAAAGAGGTAATTGGTAAATATTTTAGATTTTATATTTCCCACCTGATCCATGGAGAAATGTGAAAGTGGTGGTCAGGTAGGCATCCAAATGGCAACCAGGGTAGATGGGGGAGCTTATACAAATCAGTATGCCAAGAGTCTAATATTAGTATTAGTATTAGACTCTTGCCCATAATATTACAGGCAAGCCAAATTTATTCCTCCAATTGTATTCTGAAAAAATGTACCAACACCTTGTAAAAGTCTGAATCAAGGCTGTGTAAGGGCATTTTCTGAAGCCACTTAATGGGAGAACAATGACTAGTAAAAAGAGGTCTAAAATTAGTTTCTTATACCAGGTCTCCCCCAAGAAATGGTAAAACCAAGCACTCGGGAGGTCTCCATCCTGTTCTCTATTCCACTTCCCTGAAATCTTATGTAACATGTGAGAGTTATTTAACCTACGTTTGTCTCTTTGCTCCACAATCTTTGGAGTTGAGCTTTAGTTCCAAGCCTAAAAGATACAAAAGTTGAGTTACATGCTTTAATCCAAACTAAGGCTACCAGTGAAATGCGTTAAATCACAGGATAAAGATTATCACAAAATCCAAAAAAAATAAACCACCTTAGAATGTTAATACTGGAAAGCATTTGAATAAACCATTGGTGATCTGGTGTACATCAGTCTGTTTTGAGTTTGAGTATCCTGGGTCAGTCCTCTAGGGATTGATCATTCTGAACTAACTGACAAAAATCAATCTGAGTATCTCCAAATCTGAAGACTTTAAACTTCTGAATATGGAAGACGGTGCCTCGTCAAGGTCCTGCCATCAATGAGACTCTGCCCTGGAAGGGTTTCATGCCCTGGTAGCCACATTCATGCTGTACCATCTACAACCATCCACTATTTCCATGGTGTTTTCACTCTTCTTTTCATTGCAACCAAGTCTCGTATTTGTACAGCTTTCACTGGTTTATAAGGCACCTACATACACATTATCAGAGTGGGATTATTCATTACTTACAGAGGAAGAAGTCATTTCTGAGGGCCCAGGTAATACCTCCATGGTTTACATTACAATAAAGTAGTGGAACATAGTCTAGAATCCCTCTAGAGGGGGATTTCAAGCACTGCTTAGACCACATATCTGAACATATCTGAAATTATGCGGTTTAATACTACAGAGTGCCCGAAAATGTGTCACCCACAATGCCTAAGATAATCTGGAGCAAATCATACACATTGAGCTAATACTCTCTGATTTCCTTGGACCATCTCCCAGAGCCCTCACACACCCAACAACTAAACAATCTCACCTTATTCTCTTCCTTGTGATGATTCAGAGTGTATTCTGCTGCAGACCCAAGGCTTCCCTCACAAACAGCTCCCTTCAGTGACAGAACCAGCAACTTTCAGACCCAAGACCAAGGCAGCAGACACCCTATTTAGAGGATGTGTGGCTGCTAATGTGTCTCAGAGAATTCATCCAGCCCCTTAACCTCCCTTCACCCCACCTTTGGATCTCCACTGTTGCTTATTTTTTCCATTTCTGACCTGCGGCACAAATCCTCCCATTCTGCCTTAGCCCTTGGTTTTGTCAAGGTTGTCTGCTCATTCACTGATTTTGGTCCCTCCCCTTAGTGTTGTCTCCAGTGCAACAGAGCCCCAATGTCCTGTGTGGCTAGGAAGAATTATGAGTTGTTTTTCCAGAGATGGCGTCTCTCTCTGTCACCCAGGCTGGAGTGCAGTGGCATGATTATAGCTCACGGTAGCCTCAACCTCCCTAGTAGCTAGGACCTCAGGTGCATGCCACCATGCTCAGCTAATTTTCAAATTTTTTGTAGAGATGAGATCTTACTAAGTTGCCTAGTCTGGTCTCAAACTCCTGGGCTCAGGGGATCCTCCTGCTTCAGCCTCCCAAAGTGCTGAGGTTGTAGACTGCAGCTACCACGCCTAGACAGAAATATTTTTTAAAAAGCAGGATTCTCTCTGCTCACATCAACCACAGTATCATTTTGTGTTATTTCAAGGGCCTTATCTGCATACCTCCCAAAACTCACAGATGCATGCCTGAGGCCCAGAAAGTGGCTGCTGCATAGAGCCTGCTTCCGTTGGTGCAAGAGCTGAGCCAGGAGCTAGCAACCTGGCAGGTCCTTAGGAGGTGGTGAGCACACAGCCAGCACCCAGCATCTGAAGTCTTTGAAGTCAGGCCTGGGGCCCCAGAGCCTAAAGAAGAAATGGGCAGAATTTGCCACAGCTTTAGTTCATCAATGTCTTCCCTGAATTCTAGATTTCCAAATGGATTTTCAAGTACCTGGACACCATTCTCCAACATCTTCACAGGCCTAACTTCTCCTTGCTCTGGTGTTTACTCAGATATCAAATTCTCAGGGAAGAATTCCCTAACCACACTGAATAACTGCCAAAGAGCAAGCCTGGCCTCTACCTGCATCACCTTCTAGCCAACTGCCAAGATTATGTGCTTTCTGGCATCGAATAACTTGCAGAATTGTTTATGTTTCTCTCTTTATTGTCTCTTTTCCACAACTAGACTGTGAACTCGATGAGGACAAAACCTTTGTCTATCTCATTTATAGCTGCTAGAAGAACCCCTGGCATAGATGGGGTTTTCAATAAATATTTGTTTAAATAAATGATTAAATGGATGGATGAATGGATGAATTGGTTGTGAATGAACAAATCTACCACCACTGATGCCCTTGTGTGTGCCAAGTACCATATTAAGTATTTTTCATACGTTCTCACAGTGATTTTCATAAAACCAATTTTGTATTCAGGCAAAGCCTAGTAGGAAATACAATATATGACCCAGAAAATGAACACAAATGAAAAAGCCAAAGGGAGCAATAATAGATTCCCCAGCTCTTCCTTCCCCTCCAAAGTGTCTTATTATCTCATTTAATTATCTTACCAATCTGCTGGATATGAACTATCATCAGTCCCATTTTACATATTAGAAACCTGGGGTTCAGGAAAATTAAGTGACTTGTCCAAGGTCATATAAGCCAAAAAGTCATAGGACAAGGTTATAAACCAATTTTGTCTGACTCTAAAACCCTCTTTAAAACGTGATTCTAAAGAAGCCGAACATTCTCTGAAATCCTGGGGAGCTCTTTCCAGAATAGGTTAACATTAGGCTGGTATTTTCAGTGCTTGTTTAAATAAGATTGGAACAGCTTATTGTAGTGTTTAATAATTAATTGCTGTAGGTATATGAAGAATGACTTTTTCTTAATGAAAAATTTCAGGATGATATTATAATGTTAATATTCTCAGAAAGTACTCTCACGTGACATGGACCTCAATGCTAATGGCAGAAAGTATATTCTTTTTTTTAATCACCTATAATTCTTGAAAGCCCATGTATTTAAGAATCTTTATTGAGGCAAATTCTATCATATGAGAAAAAAGCTGCTTGGCAGTTTCTAAGAATTTAATAAATCTCTCCAAGAAAATGCTGGTTTCAAAAGAAAATTTCAAAAGGGACTCAAAAATACTCCCTGTTTTCTTGTACTTGCATTTCAAATAAAGAATCTTTTTTTTTTTTTTTTTTTTTTTTTTTTTTTTTTTTTTTTTTTTTTGGCCAGCTGTGAGAAGCCAGAGAAAACAAGAATGTTCGTTTTACATTATTTGGTGAGTGGTGTTGTGTTACCTTTTTTTCCTTTTAATATGAGAAGCCCACAGATTTCATGGCGCAGATTCGCAGCTCCAGAACTCTTGCTAAAAGGTCTGTGGAATATCACTTTCACCAAGCCACATTACCTCAGAGTCATCTGTTTTTAAGATGACCTCCGTGAGAAAGGAAGACAACCAAACGAGTGGTGGCTTGCAACACCTACTCCGGGCACCTTACACTCATCTGCTTTTTACCCTTACTTTTGGCCATGCATTTCTCAGTGTGTGTGTGTGTGTGTGTGTGTGTGTGTGTGTGTGTGTGTGTGTGTGTGTTAAAATATGTATAACATCAAATTTAACACTTTAACCACTTTTAAGAATACGGTCCTGTAGCATTCAGTACATTTACAATTATTGTGCAACCATCACCACCATCCATCTCCAGAACTTTTTCATTTCCCAAACAGAATCTCTGTACCCATCAAACAATAACTCCCAGCCGGGCGCGGTAGCACACATCTGTAATCCCAGCATTTTGGAAGGCCGAGGCAGGTGGATCATTTGAGGTCAGGAGTTCGAAACGAGCCTGGCCAACATGGTGAAACCCCGCCTCTACCAAAAATACAAATATTAGGCTGGTGTGGTGGTGGCTGCCTGTAATTCCAGCTACTCAGGAGGCTGAGGCAGGAGAATTGCTCGAACCCAGGAGGCAGAGGTTGCAGTGAACAGAGATCATGCCATTGGACTCCAGCCTGGGCAACAACAAAAGTGAAACTCCATCTCAAAAGAAAAAAAAAACTCCCATTCCTTCTTCCCTTCCAGTCCCTGGTAACCACTGTTCTGCTGTCTATATGAATCTAACTATTTTGGTACCTCATATAAGGGGAATCATATAATAGTTGCCCCTTTGTCATACCATGTTCGTGATACCTTTGACCTTTACTTCCTTTGAAAAAAAAGGACATTCTCTTGTGTCCGCAGTGAAGTTATACAGAGTCCCGGCACTTTGAAAAGGTTATTTTTATTATTTAATGCTGGATTGATACTCAGTAGTAACAGTGCTAATGGGTCTGCAATATTTTGACAAACAAATGAAGATTATATCATTTAGTCTTTCCTTCATTCAAAACAAAGTTGGGGGGTGAATTAGTAAGCCCCTCTCTCAAGGATAAACAGACAATACTTGACACAAATCATCCTATAGAGCTGTCTAGAAAGTCAGGAACTGCAGTCACAGAGAATTAAAATGGGAAAAGACCAAAAGAAATAATTTTTATCCCTGCAGCCTTTGTGAGCTTCTGTAACTTTGTTCATGAGTTTTACTTTGTAACCTTGTCTGTTTCCCCTGTGATGGTTAGCAAGAAAAAAAAATTAGAGAGAAAAAGAAACTTCCTGTAGCTGGGGGTGGAGGTTAGATGTGGAGAAAAAGCTTGAGAAACAGCACAAAGTTGAGAAGCCTGGTGTTCTCATCCACTTTGCAGCCGGTCTGGGAAAATGAGAGTGCCAGAAGGAAAAGCAAGTGGTGGTAGGGAGAGGCAAGCAGGTGGCATCCCAGGGCCTTTGAGGAGGAAGAAGGCATCCCAGAGACTGTGGCCCAGGATGGAAGACAGACCTCTTGGGTGACCTAGCTGGCAGTATGTCAGCCCCTGGTCAGTTCAAGGCTGGCTCTGGCGCTCAGATCAGCACAGCCCAAGGTAAAAGCCTCTGCGAGGAGACAGAGCACGCAGTTTCCCGCGGTGCTACAGCGGATGCCAGTTTAGGAACCAAGAGATGATTCCAGTTCCGGATCTTCCTAGCATATCTGCATCGGGACACTGGTGCTTGGACAGAATTCAGCCTGCTGGTATTGGGGGCAGCAGGGAAAGGGGGCAGTGGCATTTGAAGAAAAATGCCATATCAGATTGCTTTCCAGTTTACCACCATCCCCACCACTTCTAACCGCATGGTGCTCAGGCAGCTTCTATCCCTGCATTCACCAACTCAATGCAGACAACCAAGAATGGATTCTTGGGTCTCGTTATGGGTTGACTTGTGCCCTTCAAAAGGTATGTCATAGTTCCAAATCCCGGTCGGTACCTGTGAATGTAGCCTTATTTGGAAACAGAGTCTTTGTGATGTAATTAAGTTATGATGAGGACATTAGAGTAGGTCTTAAGCCAAGATAACTAGTGTCAGCATCTCTCTGTACCATGAGCACTCCCTGAAGACTTGCGGTTGATTTCTAAGAAAATTCTATTGTGCTTCTGCCAACATGGACCTCTCTGCCTCTTTGCTCTACTATATGGATTACATAAGATGATTAACGTAAGAATGCAAAAATGGAGAAATAGAGTGAGGTATACAACCATTTTTTACATTGTGCTCCTCCTGTTCATACTTTGAGCATAGGAGTGTTTGCCCACCCAAGATGCTGATGACATGGGCAGAGGAAAGATCGGTCAGCCCTCAGGTTTATGATCAGCTAATGTAGACAAGAACTGCCTTGGTCCTCACCCTCTTCCCATTTCCCACTTCTATTGGGGGCCCCAATTTGCCACCATTCAAGGAATTGGATCGACCCATGGTTTCAGCCAGCACAGTGGGAAACATACAATGAGACTTGCCTTAGTTTCCTAGGGCTGCATAGCAAAGTACTACAAACTGGTTGGCTTAAAACAACAAATTGATTGTCTCACAATTCTGGAGGCCAGAAGTCCAAAATCAAGGTGTCAGTGGTGCCGTGCTCCCACTGAGGCTCTGGGTTGAATCGTTCCTTGCCTCTTCCTAGCCTCTGGTGGTTGGGAGGTAGACCATGGGCTTTTTTTTTTTTTTTGAGACAGAGTCTTGCTGTCAGGCAGGAGTACAGTGGCATGATCTCAGCTCACTGCAACCTCTGCCTCCTGGGTTCAAGCCATTCTCGTGTCTCAGCCTCCCGAGTACCTGGGATTACAGGCCCCCACCACGCCTGGCTAGTTTTTGTATTTTTAGTAGACACGGGGTTTCACCACGTTAGTCAGGCTGGTCTTGGACTCCTGACCTCAAGTGATCTGCCTGCCTCGGCCTCCCAAAGTGCTGGGATTGCAGGCGTGAGCCACACCCCCCCAGCCAACCCTGGCCATTCTTTGGCTTGCAGCTGCATCGCCCCAGTCTCTGCCTCTGTCCTTACATGGCATTCCCTCTGTCTGCTTGTCTTCACGCGACATTTTCCTCTTCTTATAAGGACACTAGTCATCTTGGCTTAAGACACACCCTAATGCCCTCATCTTAACTTGATAACATCACAAAAACCCTATTTCCAAATAAGGCCACATTCACAGTTCCTGGGGTTTGGGACTATGTCTTTTGAGGGGCACAATTCAACCCATGGCAAGACTCTGACCTCAAACTCTTGCCTCATTTGGGGCCCAGCTTCTCTGCCTGGCTTCTGACTTGCTGATTCCAAAATTCTTCCCAAGATTTACCTCCTGTTACTCTTTTTTGTGTTTTTGTTCTTCTTGGCTGACAAATCAGACTTGTATTCGCTGGACCCAAGCTAAAAAATCAATTGATCCTTTGGCATTGGCCTGACTACCCAGATTTTGAGGCTAATACAGTTGGTTTCAGGGAATAAGTCAGATCTGTCTGCATCACCAGGCCCCAGGCTCTGCCACAGCCACTGCCTCTAAGTCCACCCTGGATTCAGCCCTTCTCTGGCCCACCAGCTCTAGAGGCCTCCTGAGACCTCCCTTCACTGGATCCAAAACTGGCTTCTACCACCTGCCAGGCCTGGCACAGTCCAAACAGAGCATTCATTTTCCAAAAGTGAATTTTTCAAGTTTGCTTTTTATACATTTCAAATAAGGATCACATTCGTGATGATGAAAACGATAATCCCTCCACCTGTACCCCATGCAATTCTCATACAGCTTTAGGCATCCATATATAGTTACCATAGTTTCTCAAACTAATTTTGAGAGGCAGAAAAAAATTAGTTAACTTTACATTACAGCAAGGCAGGAACTAAAATAGACTAGTGGAGGGGCCAGTTATGAAAAATAAATTAATTCCTTCAAAGATGAAGTAATTAAATTAGTTCAGGTTTATACTAACAAAAGTGTAAATGGAAAGCTGCAGTAATTTTCCAAGTTTTGGATCTTAAAATAAGTCTTAGCCACAAAATACTAGATTGCAAATTTTGCTCTAATTATCAGATTAATTCTACTAATCTTCTATTTACCATTTTGACAGAGACCTGTTCTAAAGTCAGATGTGCCTATAGTAGCAACCACAGCTAATCCAATAACCCACCACCCTTGATCTAAACAATAGTGCTGGGTCAGCTTATAAAGATTTTAGTATCTCTCGGGTCCACAAAAAGGCATTTTCTAAGAAGCCATTATTTCCATTCCTTCAGCACAGAGAGATGGCCAACAGCAGAATTAAATAGGCTAAACTTGCCAGGAGTCATGTCATTTAAAAGCTGCAAAATATCCTGTTGCTTACAATTTATATAAAGATTAACAGCTTGGCCATGCTTATAGTCTACAGACATAAACTTAATGACATCATTAGAATCTTCCAATTGACCACATACATGAACCCAAGGAATAAAGCTAACAATTTTCCCGCTACTAGTCATTCTGATTATTGATATGTATGTATGTGTCTCTCATCTGCCTGATCCTCCCTTGTGAAATTTTAAAATAAATCATCTTCATTAAATAGAAAGGAACTCGGAAAGTACAACTGACCAGCATGCACACGCTTTGTTGCTGTCCAACCCAACCAATTCTCCAGCCACTATTTCTGCTCATGGGGCCACCAGAGTCTAAATGGAATATTTTCATCCCCTGCCAGGAATACATGCCAGTATTTACTAGTACTTGTGCAAAATAATTTTCCAGAATCATTTTTCAAAAGCTGAATGCTCAGTTGACTTATAAAGTCTAAAATGGATTAATAGGAAAGAAATAGACAGTCCCAGATGTACAAGTTATCAATTTTATGCACAGGATGAGTAAGCCTTATGTATTTCAACTAAGAATTACAATAACCCCATTTCTCTCAGGAGAAATGGCGGCTGCAGTAAAAATGAAGATGTGCTTTGTTTTACTTGCATAACAGGAAGTATTCTTGGCTGAATTAAAATGATTGGCATGAAGGCTTAAAGATGCTGCCTTACTAATTGATTTGCCTTACCACCAGTTCTTAGCAATGCCTACATGACTTCAGTGGGCTGAATGATGTAAGGTCTTCTTTGTATTCATTTATTTATTTGTTCATTAAACCAACACTTACTGAGCACTTATCATGTAGAAGGCATTGAACTAGGACCTCTGAAATCAAAGAAGAAAGTGTCCCTTCTTGAAAGAAACTCATCGTCTGGGCCTTTTACAATCCTCATATGTATTGCCTTTGAATCAGGCAGGGTTTTTAGGTTGTAAGCAACAGAAAGCTTCTCTACCTATCTTTAAAATATAGCAATCTTCAGAAGGATGAGGGTGAGCTCACAGAATCCAAGAACAAGGCAAAGAACGAAGTCTCAGAAAGGACAGGAGCCAGATCCCTTTTGGGTTTCTAGGTTGTAAGAAAAATGCATGGAGCCTTCAGGTTGCTTCTCCCTAGTTTAATGCTTTATTTTTTCAGCCTTTGTCATACCACTCGGGATTTTAGTCAGCTTCCGTTGTGCCACATAGCCATCCCTTTACCACATAAAGGTGGGGCACCTTGATTGACAGACTCACTAAGATTGTCTCAAAAGGAGAAGCAGCAGTTCCCCAAAGCAAACTCAGGCGCTCTTTTTAGAACAGGCAATGGATGCTGGGCAAGCAGAATAGCCCTGGCCCAGCCTTTGTCCTTCCCACATCCCAAAGTGCACTTCCCCTGTGGCTAAGGCCACTTGATCCTTTACCTGAAAGTTAATTTTTCGGGCTTTGAGAGGTGCAGCTGAATAGCTCAGAAAATTATTATTAGTTCATCTTTATGTTTGATGCATTTCCAGCACAGGGTTCCATCTTCTTTCTCTATATTGCCACCTCTGCCCTGAATACTTGTGCAGGTACTCTAGTCCCTACCAAACTAGGCCCTGCTCCTCTTCCCAGGCCTGATCTTCCTCCTTACTTTTATCTAAAAACTGGAATTCTGCACTTGAATCTGGGCTATAAAACTGGATGGGGTGCAGAGGTTCATGCCTAATCTCAGCACTTTGAGAGGCTGGGGCAGGAGGATGGCTGGAGCCCAGGAGTTTAAGAGCAGCCTGGTCAACATAGTGAGACCCTGTCTCTAAATAATAGTAATAATAATAATAATAAAGCTAGCCAGGCATGGCGGTGCCACCTATAGTCCCAGCTACTCGAGAGGCTGAGGTGGGAAGACCACTTGAACCCAGGAGTTTGAGGTTGTAATGAACCATGATCATGCCACTACACTTAGCCTGGATGATCAAACAAGATGCTGTCTCAAAAAAAAAAAAAAAGAAAAAGAAGAAGAAAAAAAACTGGTGGTTAAGAAACAACATTTTTGAGTCAGAAAAGCTACGTGATCTTGAATAAATTATACCTTGCTGAACCTCAGCTCCTCATCTGTGAACAGGTACAATAATATTTACCTTATTAGGTTGTTGTGGGTATTAAATGAGATTAGTATTTTTAATTACTTAGAAAAATGTCTGCACATAGTAAAATGCTTAATAAACCAGCCTTGATCCTTCAATCAAACATGTTTCAAAATTTTACTTATTGTCATATTCCTGCTATTTGACTCCCTGGGTTGCAGACCTCTGCTTACATTAACCACCAATCCCCAACTGCTCCCATGCTTCAACCTTCTATTTCCCACACTTTGGATTGGCCCCAGCAACTGATATCTAGACTGCCTACTGGTGGCTGTGGCCTACTCTCCCAGCACTGCACCCACTTGGTTCACCCCAGCACCTTCAAACCAAGTTCCCTTCACTGCAGCTTGATGGGCTCAAGCACAAACCTCTCTCTGTCTTCTCCCCACTTGCAGCCTGACAGACCTGACCAAAGGACTTGACCCTTCGGATTTACTCATCCTCATTAGGACTGTTGTGAAAACAGCTGGTCCTCTTCCAGAGAAACAACTCTCCTGGGACCACTCAATACTCACCACGTTGCTAAGCAAGTTCCGATATTTTATTTTTTATTTTTTTGCTACAATTATTTGGATGAATCCTTAGTTACCTAAATCCTAGAGAGGCCTTTTGCCCTCTTCAGCAAATAGTTTATCTAAACATACTGATCAGTTTATATGTGCCAAGCACTCAGGTAAGCAGCAGAGCCAGAGAGGTATGTAAGACACAGTCTTGCATCCTACTAAGAGATAATACCAAGGCAGAAGAATCACAGACAGAGATGCCATTACTAGTCATCTCCTTCCATTTTAACTGCCAAGCAACGCTGACACAGGGAGCCAAAAAAAAAAAAAAAATCCTAAACTCTAAATAAAACATCACTTAGGCTGAGTTCTGGAATATTCTTTGTAGATTACATTTGCAGAGAAGTACACCAATTGTAAATGTGCAGCTCAACGAATCTTTACATCCAGCACCCAGATGAAAAAATAGAACATTGTCAGAATGCCAGCAGCCCTCTCATCCTCTCTCCCATCCACTCCCCCCAACTAGGAGCCATTGGGCTGACGTTGCATGGATGCACACAGTGTGCGCTCCTGTGTGATTGGCTTCTTTCATTTATCATTATGGTTGTAAGGTTCATTCATGTGGTTGCATGTACTTTCGGTGTGTTCATTCTTATTTTTGAATGGTACTCCTTTCTGTGAATATTTTCCACTTTACTTATCCATTTTCCTTAAATGGATATTCTTTTTCCAATTTTTATGGTATTATGAATAGTGTTGCTATTAACATTCTAGCACAATGTGTTTTAGTTGATATAGGAACTCCTTTCTGTTAACACCTAGGAATGGAACTGCTAAGTCATAGTATATGCGTATATTCAACTTTAATAGATTGTTCCAAATGGTTTCCTCTTCTGCAGGTGTTTTTGAAGAAGATGGTGCTATTCTAGAGAAATAGCAGTTCTTTCATGGAGGTTTCACTCTGTGGGATCTAAGAAGCTGATTCTAGGACCTGCACTCATAGCTCTCAGTTCAGTTCCCCTCTTTGTGTTGGCTCTTTGTGCTCAGGGGAGACTGTTTTTATTACCTGCTGAGCAGGTGCAAAATGCCAGCATCAAATCGAGAGCTTAGGTACTCCCCGGGAAGGCTGGTGGAAATTCCCCACAGCCGAGAGGATAGTTTACCCTGGGCTTCAGGAGCCACCTGGCGTCAAGTGAGGGAGGATTTGATTGGAGATAAGGAGGGGAAGGGTGATATAAAGAGTCAGGTTAGGAAACCAGGACATGGGATCCAAAAACAGGTTTCCAAGAACTTAGAACTGCCTGGGAAAATACTGAGGAATAAGTTGAGAGTGAGCATGTAAGAGGAAACTACTGAATAGCCAAGGAGAAGGCAGCATGGGACAATACCTCAGGCCAGAGCAGCTGCCCACCAACAGCTGCCTCTTCTCTGTTTCCCACAGTGTGGTATTGGGTAGGTGATACAGTTTGGCTGTGTCCCCACCCAAGTCTCATCCTGAATTGTAGCTCCCATAATTCCCAGGTGTTGTGGGAGGGATCTGGCAGGTGATAATTGAATCCTGGGGGCTGTTTCCCCTATACTGTTCTCCTGGAAGTGAATAAGTCTCACGAAATCTGATGGTTTTATAAGAGGTTTCCCCTTTTGCTTGGCTCTCATTCTCTCTTGCCTGCCACCATATAAGATGTGCATTTCACCTTCCACCATGATTGTGAGGCCTCCCCAGCCACGTGGGACTGCGAGTCCATTA
Source organism: Homo sapiens (assembly GCF_000001405.40). Taxonomy (NCBI): domain Eukaryota; kingdom Metazoa; phylum Chordata; class Mammalia; order Primates; family Hominidae; genus Homo; species Homo sapiens. The sequence continues at coordinate 220,165,012 of NC_000002.12, read as the reverse complement.
AACCACTTTTTCTTTATAAATTACCCAGTCTCGGGTATGTCTTTATCAGCAGCATGAAAACAGACAAATACAGTAGGGGAACAGCCAGTAAGGAGTGGGACAAAGCAGACATCACTTTTTCATTTCTTTGCTAAGTCCTCAAAGTGACTGCTTAAAAGACCAGACCTAGTGGCTGAATTGCCAAAATCTTTCTCCATGTTGCCAAATCTTTGAAACATCCATGTCTACTGGTGCAAGCTATTTGGAAAGCAGTATAGCAGTAGATAATTACCTATAAGGTATACATACCCTTTAATGCAGTAAGCCACTTCTGGGAATTTATTGTAAAGCTATCATTCAATACATGGGATGAAATCAAATGTATTAATCTGCTCATTATTGGTATATTTATATACTAAAAATAGAGGAATAATCTAAATATTCAAGAGTAGCCGATAGTGTATCAGTTTTATTGATTGTTACAAACCATTAAAGCTAATTAAAATTAAATTTCTGTGCAAACTTGTTTAAATTAAAATCTCAGGATACACAATTGTACAGACATTAAAATCACAATGAAATAAACATGCACATGGAAGTGAACAAAAATTTTAAAGGAACAAGGACAGTAGCTAACATTTATGCCCACTGTACACTAGTGCTGTGCTGGGTGTTTTATACAAGTGACTGCATCCTCTCAACAACTTTATGGGAATCAGTAGTAGTACCAATGCCATTTTACAGATGAGGAAACCAGCAAAAGTAAATTTTCCAAGTTAGTAAGCAACAGGACTCAAGAATTTTGTCTTCCAAGTCCTTAACACTTAAGCCTTTAACATGAAAATACAAGTAATAATAAGGAATGGGACTATTAGACTTCTCCATCTTTGTATGTCTTTTAATATCTTTATAACTAAATCAGGTAGGACAAACACTTGAGCATATATTAAGTCTCTTGTATAGAGCTAAATTCTCTCACAGGCATCGTATCACTAAATATTTACAAGAATCTAATGCCATTGGGATGGTTATCTTTATTTTAGAGATTAAAAAATAAGACAGACAGATGTTATCTAATTTTTTATTAAGACCTCAACTACAAATACAAGAGAGCAAACCTTATGAGGTTCCATAAATCAACATGGGAAGTAGAAGCACACAGAGAAAATCAGCCTTAATAGGAGGGAAATTAAGCTCCTCTTCCTGTGAGAAAGGAGTATGGCCGAATCATAGAAAAATTTCACAGCCTAACACTAAGTAGTACACACAAATTATCTGAATTTGTCCACTCCTAGAGGGAAAAAACAACAAATGGTTAACTGGGGAGTTCTGGTTTTCCTTGAGGTCACTCTGAGTCAACACTAGACAATCACAGAGCATGTGAGCTCCAGGACTATGGAAAGAGATTATACGAAGGTTCTTTGAGGATGTAAGTTTAAAAACCTTTGGTCTTGAAATTAGGCTAAGAGAGATTGTCTTAGTGCTGATACAGTAAGATTTTTTTCCAGGCCTAGAATATGGGGATTGGGCATTAGACCTAGAGTAACATGCCTCAATGAGTGTCAAAATTATTGAGATATATATATACATATATATATGTACATGCAAATAACATATATGTGTATATACACACATATGTGTGTGTATATATATAGATATATATATAGATATATATAGATATATATATAGATAGATAGATATAGATATATATAGATATATATAGATAGATATATAGATAGATAGATATAGATATAAATATAGATAGATAGATAGATAGATAGATATAGATATATATATATATAGTTTACAGATGTTAAAGTAGCAGGAGTTATAAAATTCAAAGAGCACCCCCTCCACATAGATTGCCAAGACCACCAAACCTCTGACATATCTCAATATAATTACATGAGAGACCTGGGGGAGTTTCATCACCAACCTGCATCTTCATCTCCTTTATATCTGCTATTCTAATGTGTTGGCTTAGAAGGAAACCAGAGCAAAAGTAACCTGACACTGGATCCCAGGCAAAGTTTTGCCCATCTTGGAAATCAAACTCACTTCCAGCTTCTGCCCTAACTCACATCTATCTTTCTCAATCACCACTGCATCCATCCCCAACATGCAATGCAGTACCTTAGCACATAGTAGGCATTCGCTGTTGAATAAACTACTGTCAGATGAAAATAAGAAAGAAAAGCCATAGTCCTATCTGCCAGGAGCTCATGAACACTTCAGAAAATGGTAATTGAAGTTAAGAAAGGAGCCCACTAAATTGTACTCTACGTACATGTGCCAAAGTGCATAGTGCAGACATTTTGTATACTAAAGGTCTAGCAAGGGGAACAGTTTGTGAAGAGGGATATGAGTGAGAGCATGGGCACTGCCCTGGACTCTGGAGTGCACATGCTATCCCTATGCTGCTTCCAGCCAACTCTGGGTATTTGCAAGTCTCCTCACTTCCCTAAGGTTGTCAATCAGCATCAACGAGTCACAGCAGAGACTGGAGGGCACTTAAAATCCAAGAATGTTAGAGCTGGAAAGAGATTACTTAATCTAACTCTCTTGTTTTGCAATAAGAAAACTGAGACTGTGAGGATGAAAGCATTTTTCCCAGTATCATAGGCTATTCCCATGGGAGCCAAACCTAGAACTACCTTCTTTATACCACAGAGAACATTTTACTACATCTCAGTGACAGGAGTCAGAGAGCAGCATTTGAGAGGGCAAAGATGGAGAATCAGCACAGCCAGTGCCACTAACTTGCTAGAGATGGCAAAAGAAAAAAGGAAGTCGATCTGGTTCCCCAGTGTAGCATAGCCCAAAGGCAGGCAGAATATAAAATCCTACAGGCAGACCTGGAATATATAAATCAGAACAATTGGGTATAATAATTCAGCTATCAACTGTTAGCCCAACAGAAAGACATTTCCTTGGGAGGAAAGGGGAATAGAAAGAACACTTTGTTATACATTGCACTCAAACCTGGTGGAAACATCAAAATAATCTCATTAAACAGTAACACAGTTACTCAAGACAGACAAAGGGAGTTCACAACGGTTTTAAAAATCTGTTTAAGAAATTTCACTTAATCCTGTCCTTTGGTAGACTTTTGTTGTTGTTTTTCCAAATTTGCCTGTAGGCCAATACTTACATCATTTTATTTAGGGCAAGGGCCTGTTCCTGCAGTTTTTATAATAAATGTTCCTTCCATGACTTGAAAGGACAAAAGTTGGTATTGATTGAGTCAAACCTTTCCAGTTCATCTGGTGACAACCTTTTCTGCAAACCTTAAAAGGTGACCTATCTTCTCATTCTTTAATAAGCAGTAGTTTCTTTTAGGCTAGGAGGTAATAAACAAGGTCACTTTTAACGCCAAAGAAACATTTACATAAACCAACAGCATCCAGAATGTGCAATTAAAAAAATGAATAGTTAATGAGTCTGCAAAATTATATGCACCCCTTCCCAGAGCAAATCTTACTGAGTGATGAGTGATGGAGTTTTCCATGGTTGAATCTCTTTTTTAATTGAGTAAATAAGCTAAGATGAGAATTAAAGCATAAAAACACAGACAATATGTGGAAGAATGGGGGATAAACACATTCCAGTATAACAGTAGGAGTATTTGTTTTCCGGGTTTTTAAAAATGATTGTATTTCTTTGTTATTTAACATTGTGTGTGTGTGCATGCACATGCACACAAAACAAACTGTAAAGTTGGTCTTGGGATCACATCTGTTTTGCCTAATTCCTGCACTCTCCATATTCATTCCTTACCACTCCCACCAAGAAAAAATATATATTATTATGTGAATCTGTCATCCACTAGACGTGGTGCATTGCATTCTAGGTTCCAATTCTTGACCCATCCTTGCACTCTTCATTTTATTCAGCATGGGACTCACTTTGGCCAATAGAGTGGAATAGATGTGATGGTATGGTGTGCCAGGGACTTAAAATGCCTTGCAAGTTGCTTGTCCTCTTGGGTCTCTGCTACCACCTTGCAAAGAGCTTGCCCAGGCTAACCTGCTGGCCCAAGAGGAAGATGAAGGATGCACAGAGCAGAACAAATCTGGCCATGCCCAGCCTAGTGGGACCATGTGATACAGCCAAGATCAGCAGAGCCACCCAGCCAAGTCCAGCCAAGATCAGCAGGCCTACAGCCAACCCCCAGGTTCCAGAGCTATAACAATAACATAATAATATATAATAACATAATAACTACTACATTATATTGTAACTATAATAAATGTTTTAAGCTCCTGAGTTATCGAATGTCTTATTACACAGAAATAGCCAATATCTCTACCACGCATGCAAAAGGTACAAGCAAAAATACAGTATAACAATCTTATAAGTGATCTGTTGTTGAACAGATCTTGTAAGTGAACAGATCACTTTTAAGATTATTATACTGTATAAGACTATTATTATACAACGGTGATCTCATTATAAGATTATTATACAATGATGGTCCCATAAGATTATAATACTGTATTTTTACTGTACCTTTTCTATGTTTAGATGCACAAATACTTACCATTGTATAACAATTGCCTACAGTATTTCATACAGTAACATGCTGTACAAGTTTGCAGCCTAGAAGCAGTAGGCTATATCATATAGCCTAGGTGTGTAGCAGGCTATACCATCTAAGTTTGTGTAAGTACAATCTAAGATGTTCACACAATGACATTGTCCAATGACACATTTCTCAGAACATATCCCAGTCATTAACTGACATGTGACCATACTAGATTTGTTTTAAAATTCAACAAATGAAAGACCTCATCCTAATGTATATCAAGTATGGAGAAGACATTTCCTTGTCAGTGCTTTACTTCTCCCATTTGTATGCAAAAGCTGATACTAGCTGTTACTTTCCCAAGGAACCACGAAGATTAACTGTCCCTAAGTTTCTTAAGCTAGAAAACTCACACAGCGGAACACAAAGGATTATGCTATGATACATTGAAAGGTGAAAGAAAGAAAGAAAAAGAAAAAGAAAGGGAAAAAAGAAGGGAGGTAGGAAAAGAGAAAGGGAGGAAAAAGAGGAGTAGGAGGGGGAGGAGGGAAAGGGAAGGAAAGGAGGGAGGGAGAAAGGAAGGGAGCAAAACTCTTCCACTCTAGAGGTCGTTGTATTACTTGAAAGGACACACAGTAAAGTAGTGACTAAATGCACACACCCAGGTAGATAACAGGTATTTGTTAAGATTGATGGGGATGTTGTCTCATTACAGATAATTCCTTTGCATAAGAACATATAGGTTAAATACAAAATGATGTTTAACTTTCTTCTGTTTATATAAATATGTTATTAGTATGTGTTACAAAATTGTGTAAGATTCCTATAATTCTGACGTGCCTAGGTATATGTCATCTTTAATAGTGGCTGTCCTAAGACTTTTGTCATCCATAGACAATTCGTCTTGCTTTGATCCCTTTCAAAAGGTAGTTTGTAAACAGATATAGGACTCTGACAGCTACCTTTGAAGTCAGGTCTCTGATATCTTTAAAAATTGTGCTATTGGAATAGAGGAAGAAAACAAACTTCTAGGACTCTCATGGAGAGCTGATGTGTTAAACATCGATAATCCTCTTGTTTCCAGAGTCAAGAAAACTTAACTCTTTTGAATTATTTACAACTTTTAGAAAGTGAGTAAAGTATACTCCTGGGAACAAAATTTGAAGCATATTGCTTTCTCTCTACCTGATTTCTCCAGAATTTAGAAATGATTTGTGAGTATTCTCGACTTATGGCAGCATAGTGCAATAAGAATCTGTTTTTTGTAACAGGACACAATTGGAGAAACTTGTTATTTTACCAAGGCTTTGACCAAAATGGCATGCTTTCTTTAAGGAATCAAAGTTGACTTATAGAGCCAATAAAAGTCTCTCAAGAAAGGTGGCCTCATACCTTGTCTACCCAGTCCCTCTACAGGATTCCTGACCTGTGGTAAGTAAAGAATGTCACTTTCTGACAGGCCCAGGAGCCCCAAGTTATCTTGGGACCTCAAGGTGAGAAATTCACAGGTACTTGCAGGCATAGATAAATTTGTGACTGGGTTTCAAGGCTTTTAAAAAGTACAGTCTGAGATTCCTTATAAAACAAAGTTTCAGCAAACCCAATACTAAAAATAACCTATGTAAAAATATTTAATAATTAGTCTTGCTGTGCTTTATGCAAATAACAGGCCAAGTATAACAAGAATAAAGTTCATTTTGCAAACAAATCAGTCCTATCATGATTTATTCTTAATAAAAATGGGGACTGGAGAGACAAAAAAATACGCTTCAAAAAAACTATAGTACACCTATTATTAGTTGTTTCTCAGTTTTTTTCTGCAGTTTGGACTAAATCCTAAATTCTCTGTGGACTACAAGTCCCCAAACTAATGCTTTCAAATCTTCACTTTTAAAAGTGGGAATTGCACTCCTTATCTTAGTACTCATTATTTACCTTATAATACGTTGTTCTCTTGAAGGCGGTACTAAAACTATAGATGACAATACTAATGCCTTTGTCATGCAAGCCTTGGAATCCCAACCAGGCCTGCGTGAATATGTTCAGTTGCAAAGCAGTTCCACTCCTCTCGCCTTGGGGTCAACACCTACCCCAACTACACCACGGGTCAGCAGGAAGAAGAGTGGTCCTCACCTTTTTCCCATCTCCATTAACCAACACCTTAGGATTAAGGTGTTATAAAACCCAAAGGGAGGGATTGAAACTGCCATTGCAAAATTATAACTGAGACAATGAAAGAGATCTGACCTAACCAGCTCCAACTGGCTTCTAATCTCCAAGCTGTCCTTGTTCCTTCCTGGGCATAGACCAAACTAACTTTGGGAGGAACTTAGTTTATAGTGCATAGTTTGAAACAAAGATGATAACAGCCCTTTCCCTAAACAAACCCCTTGTTTTGCCTGGGAACTAGACTGCCTTTGTAGGACTAACAAATTAGCCACAAGATTCAAATTATGGTTTAGGAGTTATGCAGCTGGAGGCTACAAGATTCTGATTCGGACCCTCCCCAAATTGCTCCTAGGGATAAAATCATTATAGTAAAACCTAAGAGGAGTGCCTTGAGATATTTTGTAGACCGTGCACTTGATGGATCAGCTGGCAACACCCAGATCAATAAACTGGCTCATCCGATCTTGTGCCCCCAACCCAGGAACTGACTCAGCACAATAAGACTGCTTCAACTCCCTATGATTTCATCTCTGACCTGACCAATCAGCACTCGCAGCTCACTGGCTTCCCTGCACCATACCCACCAAGTTGTCCTTAAAAAGTCTGTCCTTAAAAAGCTCAGGGAGACTGATTTGACTAATAATAAAACTCCTGTCTGCCTCAAAAAAAAAATATATATATATAGGTTAAAGATATATCTAAAGATACATCTGAATGTCCCAGTTGGGTAGTACTCCCTAGAAACTAGAACAGTGGCATCTGCTAAGTGAAGCCCAAATTTCTTCTTTTCTTCCAGGCAACAGCTAAGAAACCCCCACTAGGGGTCCGCCTCCAGAATGTGACTAACAACCTCAGATTGCAGTCTTGTTTGGTGAGTGACTGAGGCTGCAGTACCCTTTGCTCAGGTGTGACAGGCACAGCAGACATCTCATGCTCCACATTACGTAAGTGAAGTCGGGCTGAATCCTTAACTAATTGCTAACCTGCCCTGACCACCACCTAAGGCCTTACTGCCCAAATTGCTGATGAGATAACTGTTGGCCAGGTCCACACTGCTAAGATAAATCGTACTCGTGCAAGTAGCCATCGCCCGAACATTTAATTGACCAGAGAATGCTCCAAAAGGAGGAGTTGTGTGTCTCCCACTTGACGAATCCAAGCACAGAAAGAGGCAAGGTCAGGCATGTCTTTATCAGTCAGAAATTGGCACCATCACATCAAGCTGAGAGAGGCAAAAAGGTTGGAGATGGAGTGCCGTGGGAGCCTCTAGCCCAGTACCAATGTACACAGACATACACAGAGGACAATTTATAAGCCAGGCAAGCAATCTCCACCTGTCCACCACTGAATTCACTACTTGCTTCTGAAGTTCTTAAGTTAGGTTTCCTTGACTCTTAGACACAATTCTTCTCTCCTTCCCACCAGAAGGTAACCTCTAAGATTCTGCCCATCCTGGAACTGTTAATAAAAACAAACAGGCTACACCTTCAATCAGACATTCTCATCTACATGCAAATACATCTAAGGTGCCAGATCTATTTCACCTTGTCAACATCTTTTCTCCATGTACCATTAAGCATTCCCTATGCTGCTATCCAGCAATTAAGAGAACCTAGTGTCCACTAATAAGCTCCCAGATACAAAAACATAAGAAAGTTTACCTAGTCTGGGCTTATGGAAATATATCACACTTTATAGCTGAAAGGAGAGACAGTACACTTCTAACATTGCTGGAGAAAAGGGACTTGTTTCCCAGGTGTCCTTGTGGGATTAGTGGAGGGAGGCCTTCTTTACCAGGCAACATCACCGTGGCTCTAATATTCACTCCCTTTAGTTAACTAACCCTTCCTTCACAAGGTAAATAAACCCTTATATTGTCTTAGGAGAATAGAGAGCAAATCGTTCACAAGTAAATGTGAGTGTGATTGGGTTGTTTCTGTCCAATAGAAAAAGGTTAATGGTGACAGAATGGCCATTTGTTGGGTTGGAGGAAAAAAGGCCAGTGTGGAGCACTAGGCTATGCTGGGGAGGAGAAGAGATTTCCAAGTGTGGATTCCAGGCTTTCCAGTGTCCGTGAGGTTGGGCCTGTGTGGACCCACACACTGAAGATGCAAGGGATGAGAGCAGGAGGACAGCAAAGTGGGAGAGGGAAGCAGAGAAGTGTGGTGCCAGGGAGCCATTCACATATATCTGTGCTGGGTTTTCCATACTGGGAATGGTCACAGATGTACCCAGCATCCGTCTAGTGGGGCCTAGAGCACCCAGAGTCCTTGTGGCCATCACTAGCCACAAATAGCTGTCTCCTTTTAACCTCCTTTTACCATCCAAATAGTGCCTTTTTTTATGTGTGCCATGATGTGACAAAGGTTAGAAAGCCCTGCTGTAGCCTAATGGTGTAACGGAGTAAATGGGCTTTTAAAAATATATCTCTCCATTTTTACTATAGTTAGCCACTTGAGGGCCTTTCCTAAAGCCAGTCATCCCAGGTTTCTGCACCATCATTTGTGCCCCTATCTTCTCATCTATGAAATGAGATCATATTAGATGATCTTTAAGGTTTAAGGTTCCTGCTGGCTCAAGATCTCTGCTGTCTTCCTGACCTTCACATTCTGCAAAGCTCTACCACTCCCTTCCATGGTCCCATCCTGGGACTCAGCTTAAATGCCACCTTCTCAGAAACGCCACCTTCTCAGAAACGCCACCTTCTCAGAAACGCCACCTTCTCAGAGAGGGGTTTAACTGGATTAAACCCCTCTGCCATATTGTACTTCCCCTTTGAAAAGTCTCAGCACACTTGCAATTACTTCATCCATTCATTCATGCGGCAAGGATTTGTTGAGGGAGAATCCTGCCATACAAGTGCGTGGTCTGAGAGACTGGACTGACGGATTCCGATCCCGGTGCTGCTTACTATCTGGGTGACCTTGGGTAGGTTACTTAACTTCTGCGTGCCTCACTTAGTGACAAAATGAAATTAATAAAGGTGTCTACATCTCAGGGTTGTCGTAAGGGTTAAGTGAGTTAATGTGTGTAAGGCACAGTTCCTGGCATAAAGTAAGCACTCAATAAATCAGCATTTGTGAGTTGGATGATGATTTCTTTATACAGCACAGTACGAGGCTTCTATCCAATGGCATTCTCCTGTCAGGCCGTGATCCACATTTGCTTCTTTAGCACCTTAATCTGCAGTGCCTTGCACAAAACCTGGTATATAATCATATAACAGAGGTTTAAAATAGTGGTTAAGTGAATTAATGGACACGAATAGCATGTTTTGTTTTCAGTCCCATCAAATTTCTCTCTGTGCTAATTTTCACAGTTTAAATTTTCTGCCTCCTTAGCCAAAACTGAAGCTTTGCAGAGAGCAAGACCAAATGTAAATTTCTCTGCTCACAGGAGAAATATTACCACTTGGGGAAGTTGCATGAATAACTTTCCCCAAATCTCTTTCTCCCAGTTCCCCACTCTAATTGCTCTTTAAGGAATAACAGTTTGGGTAGCTGAGTATCATAAACCACAAAAGAGGAAAATTTTTAAATTTATGCATTGGATTTCCAGATGTGGGCAACTCTTGTTTTTGCCTAAATGCTATTGACAATTTACGGTTGTCTTCGGAAAATCATTTGATAATGATCCAACTATCTAGAACCTCTTTGTTTTATGCCTGTTAAAAGAAAAGAAAGTTATTACCCAGGAAAATTTCCAGACTGCCATAAAAGCAAAGCAATTGCTGCCAAGAACCATCTGCCATAAAAGCTCCTCTAACAGCTTCTTACCTTCATGTATCTGTAAAGCACTCCTTTTAAAAATGAGGAAAGGCCATCAATCATTCTTTTTTTTTAAGGAACAGAAGGTTTAATAGACAAAAAAAAGAAGACAGAGAGAGAGCTTCCTCATGCAGAGGAAGGGGGCGCCCAAGAGAATTTCTGGCCATCAATCATTTTTGTTAAGGCTAATTGCAGATGTTTAATACAGAAGTTAAATATTATAAAGTATGAAATAAGGTATGTGGCATTCTAGAATTAAATAGAAGCATTTCCTAGAGAAGAAAACAAGTGTGAAGGCTGTGGAACCAGAGGTGCCACTGACATGTTGCGGTAGCCTCCACAATTGTTCCCCTGGGCCGCCTTCCCTCTCAGCGCCCACAAAAGCTACAAGAGGGTGGCTGGAGGTAGTCCCAATGACTTTAAAGGGTTTTTATGAGAATCAAATGAGATAAGAGAAGTGAGAGCACTTTAAAAAATTAGATGTCATATGAAAAAAAAGATGTAAGGTTTCTTTTTCTTTTTTTTTTTTTTTTTTTTTTTTGAGATAGGGTCACACTCTGTCACCTAGGCTGGACAGCAGTGGTGCCACCGTGGCTCACTGCAGCCTCAACCTTCTGGGGTCAAGTGGTCCTCCCACCTCAGCCTCCTGAGTAGCTGGGACCACAGGCACATGTCACCAACCCTGGCTATTTTTTTTTAATTATTTGTAGACACAAGGTCTCCCTATGTTGCCCAAGCTGGTCTTGAACTCCTGATCTCAAGTGATCCTCCTGCTTCGGCTCCCAAAGTGCAGGAATTACTGGCACGAGCCACTGAACCTGGCCTAGGACTTCTTAATGAGAGTAAACAAAACAAAACAAAAAATCCTGTATTGGTAGGTTCATGTTTATATGATATTCAAAACTGCTGTAATAAAGATGCAGTAAAATAAGGGGACTGGGCTCTAGGTCAGTGTTTCCTAACCTACTTAATAAAACAGAGGTTTAAGTCCTTCCATGGGCCTACTGAATTAGAATTTCCATAGACTCATTGAATCAATGTGTGCATTGGACCTGGGAATCTGTATTTCAGCAAAATTCCCAGGAAATGCTGATGAATAAGGAAATTGCAGACATCCTGGGCTGGATGATTTCTAAGCTTCTCTGCGGCAGGAGAAAAAAGCAAACCTATTATCCGTGTTACCACCGTTGTTCATGTGTGCCGCCACCACTAATAATCCTTGTGTCAAATTGCACTCTGTATTATTGCTCTGCCTGACCCCTGCCAGTGCCCAATCAGAGGAACAGAATGCACACTGCTACAGGCACCAGCATCACCTCCCTCCACTCATGGCAGTAATAAAAAGGAAGGTACCAGTGGAAGCAGAGAGAGACAGATCCCTCTCCCTCTGCCTGCAACTGGGGTTCCAACCTGAGTGCTAGTACCCTGAATATGGGGCATTTCACATTATAGCCATTGATTAAAAGATTCTAGTGGAAACTGGAAATTTATCCAAAGCAAGTGAGCTATTGGATCTCCCTTCCTCCTTCCCTCGTTTCTTCCTTTAATGTTTATCTATGGGGTAACTACTATGTACCAGGCCGTGTGCTAAATGCTGGGGGCACCATGCTGGGCCTGGTGCAGGTACAGCCTCGTTCTGGTAGGGCAGATCCCACATGATGTCGCCCTGAGATGATGCTGTGAGGGAGGGGCACTCAGCTGCAGAGCCCATCACAGAGGAATCTGACCCCATCTGGAAAACTGACCCATGAGCTATAAAGATGAGGAGAAATTGATTAGCAAAGTCAGTTAACTGGCAAAGATAATCCAGGCAGAAGAAACAGTTTACACAAAGGTCCTACTGGACTGAGGCCAGGGTGGCCTTCCCAGAGAATGAGGGAAGAGTGAGTGACATGCAGTGATACCACAAGAGCTGATCAATGCCTAGTGGGTCATCGTTTAACATTTTAGATTTTATCACTTGAGCAATGGGAACAACATGAAAGGGTTGTAAGCAATGCAGAGAGAGGAGTTGACAAGAGCACTCTGACGCCAGGGTGGGAGTAAGCTTGGACACCAGGAGACAATTAGGGCTATTGAGTCTGCCCACGTAATGTGGCCAAGGCAACAGCTGTGGATATGGGAGGAAATGGACAGTTTTAATGGATAAAATTAGCAAGGGATGAATTAGTTTTTATTGGGAAACAAAAAGATCACAATGTATTCAGTTTGGCAGGAGAGCAGGGCACTTGTGGGAAGGAGTCAGAGGTGTCCTTGCAGTTTGAAGAAAGAAGTTTGAGAAATTGTGATCTAATCCAATACAGACGAGGAAGTTCTGACCCAGAGACGTTAAGCAACTTGTTTAAGATCACAGTTTGGTTGGGTTACAGAGTGAGGGCTCGAACACGCTGGGCCCCAGGATCAGCATGGGTGATAATCAAGGTGGAGAAATGAAACCAACTGGGGCCAGATTCAGAGTGGGGCTAATACTAGGCTCTGCAAAACTGTTGCAAAGAAAAGAAATATATTCAGTGGCCCTAGGGCCCACAGCTGGCCTGGACCTGATAAAGCTCCATGCTACAGCACACCACTATGAAAACAAAGATTGTGTGAAGAAGGAAGCCAATGGCACTGTCTCCAAATATGAGGACTACAACCCCCCTCCTTTCACCTAGCCAGAGTCAAACAGCATCCATTGTGTACAGGACAAATGCAAGTCAACCAGATCTTGCTCTTGCTCCCTCATGACACTGTAACCCCCCTTCCCATCCACTCATGGGGGCCTCTCACACCTACTTTCCCAGATGTGTTCATGGGGCTGATGGAGCACAGCTGGGTGCACAAGACCCCCCACCCCACCCATGCAAGTCTTGGGGCTTTGCAGACAATTGCAGAAGTGGAAGCAAGAGGCTTCCCCTGGTGTGTATTACACTCACCTTCAGCCAAAAAGATGAGCACAGTCAAAGGAGTTAGAGATCCCAGTGATATCTGAAACAACTCGCCCCTCATATGGATTGATATCATGGCTGCCACAAGATTAATTGTATTTTTCCTGGAACAAAGCTGGAAATCACTCAAAGAGCAATAAATGCTGAAATCTGTCTATGCTCTGCCAAAATTTCAGACAAAAAGCCAATAAGACAAATTTTACCTTATGTGCTTGAATGGATTTTTTAAAAAACAGATCCACGCTGAATGCAATGGACTAGATCAGCCCAGGAGCTCAAAAAAGGCTGCTCACTTTGGTTTGAAAAGTGAATTCTCCTGGGTCAGCAGTACTTCAAACCACATATTGGCATATACCACCCAAGAGAATCCTTAGTCTATACATCCTTATTAAATTTCATGCAGAAACAATGGCTTACCAGGTGTGTGAACAACACAGAGTTTCCTAAGATCACCTCTTCTTAAAGTAAAGCCTCACACCTGTAATCCCAGCACTTTGGGAGGCCAAGATGGGCGGATCGCGAGGTCAGGAGTTTGAGACCAACTTGGCCAGCATGGTAAAACACTGCCTGTACTAAAAATCCAAAAAAAAGATTGGATACCATGGTGGTGCACACCTGTAGTCCCAGCTACTCGGGAGGCTGAGGCAGGAGACTTGCTTGAACCCGGGAGACGAAGGTTTCAGTGAGCCGAGATAAAGTGCCACTGCACTCCAGCCTGGGTGACAGAGCGAGACTCTTGTCTCAAAAAAAAATAAAAAATAAAAATAGTAAAGCCAAGAATGTAAAGTTTATGGTAGCAGGGTGAAGAAACCTGTTAGCAACAGCTACTTTGGGGTTTTGAAAACATTTCAAGGTTTGATATTGCAAAACTTCATCCTGGAACCAGACCAAAGGCTTTCAGCTCCTTCAAGGTTAAGTAGATGGTGGTAATAACCTATGTCTTACATGTATAAGTCAATTTACAGGTTATAAAGAATTTTCATACATTATCACATTTATCCTCCCAGCTACTGTTTAGATATTATTAATGTCACTTTACAGGTGAGAGAACTAAGGATCAGCTATTTTAAACTGGCTTGTAGAAATGTATTAATATTAGATAGAAGGAATGATAAGACAAATATGTAAAGACTGCCAAACATACAACTGTGTATACAATGTATAAACACATTCAGGGCTCCAGCAGGAAGTAGATGGCAAGCTCAAAATGGAATAATTTTAAGAGGTTTCATAAGGAATTATTTACAGAAGTCGGGGGCAGGTGTAAAAAGCACACAAGGGATTGACTGGTACTCCAGAACTCACAGTGTGGCTGTTAAATTCACAGTCTGAAAGTGTATGGAGAGGAAGCAGGTGCTAGAATCTACAGAGAAAGAGCTGTAAGAAGGCGGCCATCTTAGGAAGTTCTGTGACCTTCTCTCAAAGCAGGCAGCAAGCTGACAAAATAGATATACCAATTGCCTGGGTCCCAAATGGGCCAAAACCAAGAGTAAGTCAGAGGGCAAAAGCACAATTGAGGAAAACCAGATTCTGGGCCCCCTGGAGCAGAAAGCGGGATGGAGAAAGGTAAGGAATGGATCTAGAGAGGCAAAAGGAAGACACCCAACCCAGAGGTCTTCAAAGTATTATTTATAATGAAAAACCAACCCATACACCCAGCATTTGGAGAACAATTAAATATACAATCATTCTTACTAACAATAGAATATTTGTGTAGCCATGACTAACCATTACTATTCTTAATGAATAATGATAATACAAGTATGCTCATAATATAATAAAAATTCAGGAAATCTAAGTTTTTTTAAAAAAATCTGCACACATAGTATGATTCTGAATATGCTTGAAAGAAAGGCTGGAAGGAAAGACACAGAAACGTGAACGTCACTGGGTATTATTTCTGGGTTGCGGAATTATAGTTTATGGTTATGTTTTATTATTTTTGTGTTGTGTGTTTATTTTTTCAAATATTCTATAAGAGCATATATTATCATTATAACCTGGAAAATATATATATTTGGCAGATTATCTTAAATTCTTCAGAAATTCTTCAGAATAAAATGTTAAAAATCCTTGGCTCTATGTAACTCTGGAATCCTCAACACAAGGAAAAACAGGAAACAAAAAAATCATCTATTCTATTGATATCAAATTACGTGTTGGTTAATCTCAGGACAGCTCAAGGTCAGTTGTTTGTTTTATAATGTATCTTCATGGCAATCCTGTGACAAAGGAATCATCACCTCCTTTTACAGACAATATGACCAAGGCTTAGAGAAAGTGTATCACCTATACAAGTTCATGCTACTAGAAAGTGACAGACCTAGGACTTGAACCAGATTGTCTGATTCCAAAGTCAACACTTGTTCTGAGGAGGGGCTGGGCCATCTCCCAAACACCCCTGTCCTCCAGAAACAATCTCTCCTTGACTAATTAGGACTCTAAAGAACTGTACTCCAACAAACATTTCCCAAACACTTCCTAGGCATTCTGAACTAACAATTAAGATCTAGAAATTCCATGGAGCACACAAGAACAAGTCTTATCTGGGGTTCTGTTCATAAAGTCTTCAGAACAAGAAGTCTGGTGATATCAGGCCGGGCACAGTGACTCATGCCTGCAATCTCAACACTTTGGGAGGCTGAGGCGGGGAGATCGCTTGAGGCCAGGAGGTTGAGACCAGGCTGGCCAACATGGTGAAACCCCATCTCTACTAAAAATACAAAACTTAACCAGGTTTGGTGATGGGTGCCTGTAATCCCAGCTACTCAGGAGGCTGACGCAGGAGAATCGCTTGAACCCGGGAGGCAGAGGTTTTGGTGAGCTGAGATTGCGCCACTACACTCCAGCCTGGACAACAAGAACAAAACTCCGTGTCAAAAATAAAACAAAGAAGTTTGCTGCTCTCAGTGTCACACAGCCAAAGATGTATTGAGCACTGACTCTGTGCCAAGCACTGAGCAACATGCTTTTCTACTCATCTCATTTCATCCTCAAAACCTTCTGGGGAAAGCCTATTACTATCTCTGTCGTATCCAAAAAGACATCAAGTCCCAGATAATTTAAGTATAATAATGCTTGCCCAAGATCAAACAGCTAAGTAAGTGGCAAACTGGGATGTGAGTGCAGATTTGTCTAACCACAAAACCCAGTCACTTGGGGCTTCTTAATCAGCTGGGGAGCTAGACCATGCTTATTTGAGAAAGTCATAGAATAATAAATCAGCCATACTTATTAGTACTTAATAATAATGTCTCCCACTGGCTTTCATGATACTCAAAATCCTACTGCAAGGACATCATTCTACGGTGTAGCTCCTTTCCCCAGCGTGAATTAGATGCCTCTCCTCCATGCCGAAATGTCATCTGCCCTTGTCCGCAAGAAGAAGAGAGGGGCATAGACGTTGGTGAGCATTCATAGTGTCTACAACAGACAGAATAGTAGCTCCTTCCCTGAGTCCTCAATCCCAGAGCTCATCCCTAAGAAACAGAAGGAGCAGAGGTTTCTAAAATGGTTCAGCAAGAGACTTAAAATTAGCCTTCACTCAAACCCCTTCCCTCTGCTCTCAGTACCATTTCAGAATAGCCCCACAAAGAGGCTGGCCTCCAGTGCCACGCACAGCCTAGTACTAGGCAAGACACTAAAGCCTCTTAAAGAGGTGCAGCCACAGAATCTCAACTTTGTCTTTCCTAGTTTCAGGAGTTCACAAGAATTAACCAGTAGACATGTGTTCTGCCCTTCACATGTCTACACCCTGGGGAATGGCAGCAAGGCTCACTGGAAGCATCTCTCATTCCAGCTTCTCCAGCTTCCTCTCTCACCCCTCCACTCCAAGTCCATAGCCAGAGTTTACTCTTCTCCCCACAGGGCCTCTGTACATTAAGATTCCATTTCACAGTGGGGTGAAAGGATAAGATGTATCTTAATTTACCTGGTGTTCTGCCTGCCTAGCTTATTTAGATTTTCAGCCTGCTGAGAAGGAATCGGGTCTAGCTTAATGATCAGCTCAACACTTAACCTGTTGCTGACACTTGGTGTTCTAACTCAGGTGAAAATTCAGGGACAGCATTTAAGCAGGTAGCCCAAGCATAGGAGATTCTCCCTGGCTCTCTGTCATTACTTCATTTTCTGCCAAGCAAAATCAAGAAAATAGGACTTGGAATGAGATTAAGTCCGAACTTCAATAAGGTCATTCCTTGAATTCCAACTACTGGTTTTAATGCTTTTTGGCATGGGTGAGGCCTCATATTTCTAGCCTGACACCCGAGCTTTGCGGTCCCTACAGCTTCCAGGAGCTTGGTGGTTTCTCTGCTGCCTACCCTCTACAAATTATTAGAAATTAATTTGACTTGGTTCAGCATTATCTGACAATTGCACTGACCCCCCTGTGAACCTTTCTGGCTAATTTACATCCCCGCCACGTGGCTTAATGTCTCCAATGCCAGCTCACATTATTTAAAGCTCATGCCAATTATAATTTTTTAATACAGTCTGAAAATCATGCTGTTACTTAGCAACAAAGGTCACTCCAATAAATAATAATATCTTGTGAGCCTATTGATACCCCCGATTCTTTTTCATGGGGATTGAGAGTTAGCAGTGAGACCTTTCCCAGCTATTGCCAATGCTTGAACTTTTGACAGGTGTCCACTTCCTGTGGTTCCTTCAACATGTGTAGGCTCAGCTGCCCTTCTCCTCACTCCAGCCCCTTTAGGGCAGTGACTGGGTGGGCCTGGAGAAGATCCCATCCTCCCATACCCCTTTCTTCAGTATCCCTTATGCCTGTGGGCCTGTATTAGTCCTTCTCACACTGCTACAAAGAACTACCTGAGACTGGGTAATTTATGAAGAAAAGAGGTTTAATTGACTTGCAGTTCTGCAGGCTGTCTAGGAAGCATGGCTGGGGGAGGTGAGCAGGCTCAGGAAACTTACAATCATGGTGGAAGGTGAAGAGGAAGCCAGCACGTCTTATCATGGTGGAGGAGGATAGAGAGAAAAGGAGGAGATGCTACACACTTTTAAACAACCAGATCTCATGAGCATTCCCTATCATGAGAAAAGCAAGTAGGAAATCTGTCCCCAAGATCCAACCACCTCCCTACAGACCCCTCCTCCAACGTGGAAGATCATAATTCAACATGAGATTTGGGTGAGGACACAGAGCCAAACCGTATCAGGGCCACAATAGAAAAAGTGGTTAATATGCAGATCCAAAGGGGAGTGGGATTTACAGACATCAGACTAAAGTCCCAGAAAACTTATTTCAGAACTCAAAGCCTGGATATCATTATTGATATGGAAGACCATGACTTTTTTCTCCTTGTAGACTCTCATTTTCCTCTGGGAAATGATCTTAGCTACAGGCACATTGCATGGGTGAACCTCTAGTGGACAACCCCAGGGGTAATCAGGGATTTGAGATTCCACACCATATCTGAACCCCAGACTTAAACTCCAAGGGCATCTCCCCTTGGTGTCTCCCAGGCCCCTACAGGACTCCCTGCCCTCCCTTTTCTGTTGGGAAAGAAGAAGGCTCCTTCCTCCCTGGGCAACAGGGAGCTGAAAGTCTCCATTGCAACTTGGGAAGCTCACCACACAGGGTCGTTACGAAACTGTAAAGTACTGTATATGCAGAAAGAAATCCTTGTTATGAGCACACAAAGAAGATCCAGCAAATCTTCACGAAGCCTGGCAGTCCCTAGGGAAGGAAAGGTCCAACTACTCTCTCTGCCGTCTTCCCACTACCCAACATACGTTATTCCGCAGGTCAGTCTCAGACAAAAAGCCATTGACTTTTGGTTTACTCCTCCCCATCAGGAGCCTCCATTCTTAGAGAGCCAGACTAGGATTTTCTTCTTAGGGTTTGACCTTCTTAGGGTTTGAGGTCTCTCAGCGACCTGCACAAAGAGGACATGGTTTTACACTACCAATTCATCTTCTTTGTTCTGTAGAAATCAAGCCTGATGTTATTAGTTCACATTAATTCATTGTCAAGTACTAAGCCAACCACCTTACATACCTATTTAATCTAAGGGCATAGGTGCCACTGTTATTCCCATCCTACAAACGAGGAGCTGAGACACAAAAGAATTCTGTATTATTTGGCTAGTATGTATCAGAGACAAGATTTGTAAGCAGAGATTTTGCCTCCTAAAATCCATGCTTGTAACCATTTCCCTTAACTGCAAGTATACTATGAAATCACTCTCTTCCTCTCACTAGCGATAATACATATTTTAAGGGCCAAGAACTCAGACCAGACTGGAAAATTTGGGGTGGTCCTACCTTCTATAGCTAAGCTATGAAACAAAATTACAGGAGATCTTGTCCTTTCAGTTTCCTTATCCCAAATGAATCCCAGCAAACTGGACCTGCTAAATTTCTCACTCCATGGCCATTTTTTCTGTTGTAAGGATCCAGCCTTAGTAGCACAATTCACTGAACACTGTTCATTTGCCAGGCACTGTACTAGGCATTAGAAGGCAGGATGATAACCAGACAGAAAGTCTGTTATCATCCAAACCTATGTATTCTTGTCGGGAAACATCATAGCAGGATAAAGAATCTAACTGAGCAGGATCTTAGCACCATTTAACTTTATCTTTCCTATAACTATCACTCCACTTCATTCCCAGGGGCTGTAGGGAAATGCAGCTATCACACAAACAAGTTTCTTTCCAAACCAGCACTTTTCATATCCAGGTCAACGGTCTGTAGAGGAAGGGCTCACTTCAACAAGTGCCTGCAGGACCTTCCCAGATTCACCCTCAGCCCTAAACCACCAGCCTTGAGGCCAGGCCAGAATGTTCCATCGTACAGGGGAATTTTCCTCCATTATTTCATTTGAATTAAAAATTATTTGAGATTCTATTCTAAAGCCAGTGTAGCCTGGGGCCTCTAAAAAAGACAGCTGTTTCAACCTGTTCACCATCTTACAGCTTCTGTAGCACATCACTCAGAAACAGAGTGAAGCCCACAGCCCGCTAGCTCACCCTCTGGCAGGACACATCTTCCTACAGTCATCCATGGGACCAAAGCCAGCCACGCCATCAGGAACCACCAAGAGGCCAAAAGGCAGGCAGTCATCCTCTCATATACAATTCATTTCAGTATCTCTGCCTCCCAGTCCTGCTTTCTCTTCCTGCCCTGTTAGAGTCCTGCATCCTATTTAACCTGATTTCTAAAATGTGTTCATTATGCCTCAGCAGTTTGCATGTTTTCTTAATCTTTACCTTACCCTCACTCATTGGCATATAAGAGCTATCATAAAACAGGGTGTCCATGTTCTCAGCTTGTCCATTCATTCATTTACCCACTCGTTCACCAAATATTTATTGGGAGCTATTTATGTCACACTGTACAAGATGTTGAAGACAAAATGAATAAAATACCACCTTTGTACTTGAGGAAGTAGAGTCAAGTAAAGAGGCAGACAGACATGTAAATCAATCATTGTAATATATACAATGAGTTTGTTCAAAATTCAGAAATAACACAGAAAAAGGTGGGACAGACTGGGGAGGAATGAAGATACCTACACAGAGGAGGGAGAGAAGTGGGGTGCTAAACTTTAAGGACTAGAGAGAGGAGGGTTCCAGAAAGAGGAAGTGATATAATCAAAAGCAAAAGGACATAAAAGAGTCAGATGGGTGGCCAGGCACAGTGGCTCAGGCCTGTAATCCCAGCACTTTGGGAGGCCAAGGCGAGCAGATCACCTGAGGTCAGGAGTTTGAGACCAGCCAGGCTAACATGGTGAAACCCCGTTTCTACTAAAAATACAAAAAATAGCCAGGCGTGGTGACACGTGCATGTAATCCCAGCTACTCGGGAGACTGAGGCAGGAGATTCGCTTGAACCTGGGAGGTGGAGGTTGCAGTGAGCCAAGATCACACCATTGCCCTCCAGCTTGGGCAACAAGAGTGAAACTCCATCTCAAAAAAAAAAAAAGTCAGATGGGTTTAGGAAACTGCAGTAAGGGCTACATTGTCAAAGTGCAGTATATAAAGTACAAAGCACAAAGGAATGTGAGGGGAGACAGGAAACAGGGACGAAGTTTCAGAAGGCCTTGTGTGACTCACCAGGGACTTTGTTAAGCAATAGTAATGGCTATTTTTCAAGTTTACTATAGGCCAGCCCCTGCACAATGCATTGCACTGGCACTACTTCATCAGGTCCTTATCACCCTTCATGAGGTAGGTATTAGATTGAACCATAAGAAGTTCAGCAACATTCCACCATTTTGACCTATAGACATGAAAATCCCATGATCTAACCCAATGCTCTTATTATCGTCATTTAAGAGATGAAAAACCACATGACATGTTTCAACAAGATCATACAGGCTACTGGGTAAGGATAGACTGCAGAAGGGCAAGGCCAAAGGTAAGAGGGCCAGTGAGAAGGCAAAAGATGATGGTAGTTTGGACCAAGGTGGCAGCAGTTGAGGAAGAGAAGCCATCAGGGTTTGTTGATGGTCTGGATAAAAAAGATCTCAAACAAACAACCTAATGGTACCCCTGAGGGAACTAGGAGAAAAGAACAAACTAAGCCAAAAGTTAGCAGAAGGAAAGGAATAACAAAGATCAGAGCAGAAATAAATTAAATGGAGACTAGAAAAACAATAGAAAAGATAAACAAAATTAAGTTTGTTTTTGAAAAGCTAAAAAAATGGACAAACGCTTAGCTACACTAATTAAGAAAAAAAAGAGAAGACAAATAATAAAATCACAAATGAAAAACGAAACAACACAGAAATACAAAGGATCATAAGAGACTACTATGAACAATTACATGCCAACAAATTGGACAACCTAGAAGAAATGGATAAATTCCTAGAAACATGTAATCTATCAAGACTAACCCATGAAGAAACTAGAAATCTGAACAGAGCAATAATGAGTAAATAGATTGAATAAGTAACTAAAAGTATGTCATCAAAGAAAAGCCCAGGACTGGATGACTTCATGGCCAAATTCTACCAAACATTTAAAGAACTAATACCAATCTTTCTGAAACTCTTCTGAAAAATTAAAGAGGAGGGAATACTTCTAAACTCATTTTATAAAGCCAGTGTTACCCTGATACCAAAGCCAAACAAAGACAGTACAAGAAAAGGAAACTACAGGCCAACATCTCTAATAAACATAGAGTAAAAATTCTCAACAAAATACTATCAAACCATACTCAACAGTACATTAAAAGGGTATCATCATAATCAAGTGGGATTTATCCCTGGGAGGCAAGGTTGGTTCAACATACACAAATCAATAAATTATTGCCAGAATGAAGAAAAAACATATGATTATTTCAATAGATACAGAAAAAAGCATTTAATAACATTCAACATCCTTTCATTATAAAAACTCTCAACAAAGTGGTTATAGAAGGAATGTTTCAAAACACAACAAAGACCATATATAATAAGGCCACAGCTAACATCATACTCAACATGAAAAGTTGAAAGCTTTTCCTTTAAGAACAGAAACAAGACAAGGATACCTACTCCCATAACTTCTGTTCAACATACTACTGGAAGTCCTAGCCAGAGCAATTAGGCAAGAGAAATAAATAAAAAGGCATCCAAAAGGAAAGAATAAAGTGAAATTGTCTCTGTTGCTGACGACAAGATCTTATATATAGAAAATACTAAAGACTCCACCAAAAAACCGTTAAAACTCAAACAAATTCAGTAAAGTTGCAAGATACAAAATGAATTTAACAAAAATCAGTAGCATTTCTATACACTAACAATGTAATCCCAGCACTTTGGGAGGCCAAGGTGGGTGGATCACGAAGTCAGGAGTTCAAGACCAGCCTGGCCAAGATGGTGAAACCCTGTCTCTTCTAAAAATACAGAAATTAGCCGGGCGTGGTAGCAGGTGCCTGTAATCTGAGCCACACGGGAGGCTGAGGCAGACAGTTGCTTGAACCCGGAAAGTGGAAGTTTCAGTGAGCTGAGATGGCACCACTACACTCCAGCCTGGGCGACAGAGTGAGGTTCCATCTCAGAAAAAAAAAAAAAAAATTAAGAAGACAATCCCATTTATAATAGCACCAGAAAAAAAATATTTAAAAGTAAATTTAACTAAGGAAATGAAAGATCTGTATACCGAAAACTATAAAACATTGATGAAAGAAACTGAAGATGACACAAATAAATGGAAAGGTATCTGTGTTCATGAACTGGAAGAACTAGTATTATTAAAATGTTCATACGACCCAAAGCAATCTACAGATTCAATGCAATCCCTATCAAAATTTCAATGTCATTCTTCAAAGAAATAGAAAAAGCAATTCTGAAATTCATATGGACCCACAAAACACCCCTAATAGCTGAAGCAACCTGGACTAAAACAAAGCTAGAGGTATTACACTACCAGATTTCAAAATACATTACAAAGATATGGTAATCAAAACAACATGCAATGGTACAAAAACAGACACACTGACCAGTGGAACAGGATATAGAGCCCAGAAAAAAAAAATAAAACACATCCCTAGACAATTGATTTGACAAGGGTGCCAAGATCACACAATGGGGAAAGGACTGCGTCTTTTAATAAATGGTACTGAGGAAACTGGATATTGACATATAGAGTAACAAAAATGAACTCTTATCTCGCCTTTTTTACATGAATCAACTCAAAATAAATTAAACACTTAAATATTAAGACCTGAAACTATAAAACTACTAGAAGAAAACATAAGGGAAAAGTTTTATGACATTGGTCTGGACAATGATTTCTGGAGTACAACCCCAAAAGCACAGGCAATAAAAGCAAAAATAGACAAATG
The DNA here is from genome assembly GCF_000001405.40 of Homo sapiens. Taxonomy (NCBI): domain Eukaryota; kingdom Metazoa; phylum Chordata; class Mammalia; order Primates; family Hominidae; genus Homo; species Homo sapiens. Next base: position 220,140,851 of record NC_000002.12, on the reverse strand, counting down.
GGATTGCATCAAACTAAAAATCTTCTGCACTGCAAAGGAAACAATAAATAGAATGAAGAGACAACCCACTGACTGAGAAAATATTTGCAAATTATACATTGGTTCTAATATCCACAATAAACAAGGAACCCAAACTATTTAGTAACAAGAAAACAAATTACTCAGTTAAAAAATGGGCAAAGGGGCTGGGCGCGGTGGCTCACGCTTGTAATCCCAGCACTTTGGGAGGCCGAGGCGGGCGGATCACGAGGTCAGGAGATCGAGACCATCCTGGCTAACACGGTGAAACCCCGTCTCTACTAAAAATACAAAAAAATTAGCCGGGCGTGATGGTGGGCGCCTGTAGTCCTAGCTACTCGGGAGGCTGAGGCAGGAGAATGGCGTGAACCCGGGAGGCGGAGCTTGCAGTGAGTCGAGATTGCGCCACTGCACTCCCGCCTGGGCCACAGAGCGAGACTCCGTCTCAAAAAAAAAAAAAATTGGGCAAAGGACTTGAACAGACATTTGTCAAAAGAAGACATATAAATGGCCAACAGATAAATTTTTAAATGCTCAACATTTCTAATCATAAGAGAAATGCAAATTAAAATCACAATGAGATACCACCTCACATCTCTTAGATTGGCTATTATCAAAAAATAAAGGGGTTGTCAAGGATGCAAAGAATGGGGAACCCTTCCTTATACACTGTTGATGGTATTGTAAATTACTATAGCCATTTTGGAAAACTGTATGAACGTTCCTCAAAAAACTAAAAATAGAGTTACCATATGATTCTACAATCCCACTACTGGGTATTTATTTACCCAAAGGAATTGAAATCAGTTTGTCAAAGAGATGTCTGCACTCCCATGTTCATTGCAGCACTATTCACTATAGCCAAGATATGGAAACAACTTAAGTGCCCATTTGGATGAATGGATTTTCTATTCAGCCTTAAAAAAAAAAAGAAAAAAAGAAAGAAAAACAGAAAATTCTGTCATGTGTGACAACATGGGTAAACCTAGAAGACATTAAATGAAACAAGATATTAAATGAAGATATTAACGATATTAAATGAAATAAGAAAGGCACAGAGACACCAAAACCATATGATCTCACTTATGTGTGGAACCTACAAATGTTGAACTCCTAGAAGTAGAGAGTAGAATGGTGATTACCAGAGGCCAGAGATGAACGTGAGGGGTCAGAAAGGGAAGATCTTGGTCAATGGTTACAAAATTTCAGCTGGATAAGAGGAATAAGTTCTGGTTTTCTACTGCATAGCACATGACTGTTAACAGTTAACAATTTAGTTATAATTAATTAATAATAATGCGTATTTCAAAATAACTAAGAGAGGATTTTAAGTCTTCTCACCACAAAGAAATAATAAATATTTGTGACAGATATGCTAATTAGCCTGATTTGATCATTCCACAATGCATACATGTATCATAACATCATGTTGTACTCCATAAATATGTACAAATATTATTTGTCCATTAAAAATAAAACTTTAATAAAAGGACAGTGCCAAGATTTTAAAAGAAAGAGATTGCATTAACCAAGATGAGGAAGTTTCTGGTAGAGTTGTTTAGCAAAGATTATCAGAAGCTCAGGTTTGGAAATGTCAAGTTTGAGATGCTTACTGGACCATCTGAAATGACCAAGTAGGCAACTGGAAATATGGGTCTGTGGTTCAGGGGAGATGTTCAAGCTGGAAGATCTATTTGGAAGCCATCAGCAGACAGATGGTATAAAAGCCATGTAACTGGATAATATCACCTAGGGAATGCATACTGATTGGGAATGAACCATGGGGCCCTCGAGTTTTTAGAGGTCAGAAACCTGCAAAGGAACCAGCAAATGAGATTGTGAAAGAGTGATCAGAAAAGTGAAAACCAAGAGGTAGGCATTGATTTTAGCAAAAGAAACATCGGGAGAGGAAGAAGGAAGAAGAAAAGGAGGAGAAGAACTGTTATCACTTCCCAGGTCACTTTCTTGTCTCAGGCACCAGTTTCCCATCTGCCCAGTGTTGCCAGCCAAGGCCCAGACCTCAGTGCAGCCATGACTATCTGAACTACCAGGGCACTTAATTACCGGTGGTTGCTTAATTGTTCCAATATCAGTATGTTTTTTTTGAGTTAATAAGAAGACTTCATTGCCTGAATTATGTAATTGCATACTCTTTGTAGTCAGAGAATTCTCTAAAAGTAGGAATAATTTTATTTGTTTTTGAAATCCGGGCACTTACCATGAAAATAATTTCTGAAAATTTTGGTATTTTTTATCTAATTTCCTAAAACTATCCATTTTAACATCTGTAAAAGGACTCTCTTAATTCATTGTTAAGCCAATGAATTAACAAAGCTGGTAGCTCCTAAACAGACATAAATCTCACCTATTAGATGCTGATGCAAAAGCAAACTTTCATCAACAGAACATCAAATTGGCAGTCCAAACACAGAGAAGTATAATCAAAGGCAAAATCCTATTTCTAAAATTTGCCCCTTGGGTTCTAGCTTTTATTAAAAGTTTTCTATCCAATGTAGAAATACAGGTCACTGTCATGATCCTCAATTCACTCACACACACTTTCATTTCCTTTCCCATTCATAACATTCTGCTCTAAGCAGCATTTTCTCTTCCAGATCTGTTGTAAAAGAAATGATGACATTTCACTGAACACAGAGTCAAAGATCTATATGAACAGATATGTGTAATATAAGCATGAATGAGTTCCATATGTCTTCTGAAAAGCAAGGTTCTACTAGAGCAAGAGGTCATCCAATATTAATCATACACACATGAATTTTACTTAACGATCTGCCAGTGGCTTTGATTTCTGAGAAAATTAACACTTTAGTCTATGTAAATAATCTTTGACTTTGAAAGAAACAAGAGAAAATGATGTTTTTCCTTTCCTACAACAAAATGTTCTCCTTCTGGTTAGAATGCACCAACTAAGGTCAATAGGAAAATCTTCTACTACCATCAAACACTCACCTTCACTTGACCTTGGTTAATATCTGGAACAGTTGACAACCTATGCTCTGACTGTCCAAGTCTTACTCCATACCTAAAGGAAAGGAGAAAGCATTTCTGCACAATGCAATGGACCTTTTGCATTCATTCAAGTAGTTATACAACGAGAACTGCCACAAACTACGTTCCAGCAGGTGGTACTTTCCTGGCAATCCCCAGATCATACGGATATGCTGAACCTTTATTTGATCTTCTGAAGATTTTAATGCATCATTACATGATCTCATTGCCTTTTACCTGTGTTAGTGTTAATGTATGTGTTACACTTTCAAACAAGCACTGTTGCAAACATACTCCCATTCCAAAACAAGGGGAAAAAGACTTTGATGATCCTCTGGAACCATCCTAACGTGGCATGATAATTCCCACTATGATCTTCAGAAGAGTGTAAACCCCAAGGGATTCGGTGTTGTTGTCCCATTTTCACCTAGGAAACAAACTCCCAAACAAAATCAAAATCACCTCATTTTAAGAAATCATGGATGCGGGCCGGGCGCAGTGGCTCACATCTGTAATCCCACCACTTTGGGAGGCCAAGGTAGGCGGATCACGAGGTCAGGAGTTTGAGACCAGCCTGGCCAATATGGCGAAACCCTGTCTCTACTAAAAATACAAAAAAAAATTAGCCAGCCATGGTGATGTGCACCTGTAGTCCCAGCTACTCGGGAGGCTGAAGCAGGAGAATCACTTGAACCCAGCAGGTGGAGGTTGCAGTGAGCCGAGATCGCGCCACTGACTCCAGCCTGGGTGACAGAGTGTGACTCCATCCCAAAAAAATAAAAAAGAAAAGAAAAAAAAAAAGAAATCATGGGTGCTTGTAATACATCATTTCAGGAAGAAAAGCTTCCGTCACTTTTTTATAAAACTATGTATACATCTCTGGCAGCTATTTGGTTAGAAGTCTTTTGATGTGTGATCTTGACACCAATTAGTTTTGCCAGAGGAATTGTTGCAGATGACCTCAAGTTCCTTGTGGAGTCCCACAGAGTGGCTTCAGCCACGGCCTTCCTCAGCTGTAAGGCAGCTTTGGGAAATGGACAGGGTGGGAGAATCCTGACACCTGGCTCGGAAGTGCTCCACCTTAATAACTAGCTGTGCAAATGACATAGCTCACTGCTCCCTTATGGAGCTATACCTTCTTAGTTCAAAACTGAGGTTATCGTTCCAGGTAAGACAATCTAAATATTCAAAAATAGAGGAAAGACTAAGTAGCCATAGCACATCCAATAGAGGGAATACTCTAGCGCTGGGATAAAACATGAGGGAGATCTATTAGTGCAAGCATAGAAAGATTTTCAAGACACACTGACAACTGCAAAGGAAAAAAGAGCAAATCAAAGAGCCAAAACTGACAAGATTTTCCCACTTATAGAAAAAGCAAATTCCATGTAGAAAACTGTAAATTTCCATATGTTTATGGAAAAATATATATGAATACGTGTATGTATTTATAGATATATACAGGTTGAGTATCCTTTATCTAAGATGCTTGGGACCAGAAGTGTCTCAAATTTCAGATTTTTTTCATATTCTGGAATGTTTCCAAATACATAATGAGATATCTTGGGAATGGAACCCAAATCTCAACATAAAATATATTTATGTTTCATATATTCCTTATACAGAGAGATTGAATGTGATTTTATGCAGGTTTTTTTTTATAATTTTGTGCAGGAAACACATGACTCACCACACAAGGTCAGGTGTGGGATTTTTCACTTGTGACTTCATGTCAGCACTCAAAATGTTTTGGATTTTGGAACATTTCAGATTTCAGATGTTGGATTAGGGATGCTCAACCTGTGTATACATATGTGCATGTGACGTACCTGTCCATGCTTACACATAGGGGTGAAGGGATAGTTATGTATCATATGGAAACAGCAGTAATTCTCTCCAGGGAAGGGCGTATGGTTGGGGTGAGTTAAGAGTGGAATTTTCTTTTTATCCTGCATTTTTTGGCACTCTGGATTGTTTTTTTTAACAATGAGAATGCATTTAAGTGTTACTTGCATTATATTTTAACGACAGCATAAAATGTGTGAGATTATAGGAAGGAATGATATCTAGAATATAAATAATAAAATATAGAATATAAAGAATAAGTTAAGAGTGCCCAATTTTTCATAGGAGTGTGGAGTCAGATAAATAAGACACTATGTATGAAAGTCGTTTATAAATGGGATAATAGTATGCAGACAAGGACTGATATTTTGCATATTGGTCAAGGTGTGCTATGAATAGTGGCTAAAATTTCACACTCTGGAGTCAGATCACAGGATTTAAAGTCTCAGCACACCACATATATGGGCTATGGGTCTCAGGAAAATGATGAAAGTTCTCTGTACCTCAGTTTCCTAATCTGTAAAATTGGAATCATGATAGTAATTACTCCCATAGGACTATGGTAAGGATTAAAACAGTATTACATTAGAGGGTTCAGCACACAGCCTGGTGCGTGGTAGCCCACAGGATGAGTGAGTCACAGTTATTAACACACAACTTAAAGGACATCTGAAGGCCTCTACATGCCAAAATATACCCTTCCGCTGCCTCCCCATTCATCAGAAAAAGTCCACAATAGTCACGTTTGGCTTAGAGCCTCAGAGACGACTGTTATGAAAGAAATGTAGTGCTCACCTGAGGAAGGTTAAATCTTGATATTATAGAAATATTTATAGGACAGCTGTGACATGCAAGCAAGGCACTGAGGAGGATAAAAAAGAATGCCAAAGAGATGCTCTGTGATCTCAGGGAACTCAAAGAGGTAAGACATAAATGCAAGAAAAGTGAAAGAATATACAAGAGATAACAGCTCAATGCTGTACAAGAAGTGTCACAACCCAGTGCATGATTAATTGCCAAACAGTGATGCAGGGGAGGATTAGAGCCATGCAAAGACCAGAGAGAGAGCTGAGGGGAAACGACCCAGGACTGCTTAAGGAGAAAAGGAAATCTGCACCAAGAATGGGATGGCTTTAGATGAGCAGAGAGGAGCTGGCAGCAGAGGGTCGGGGGGAGTCCTCCCAGGGTGAAGGTGAAACATAAGCCAAGTCAGGAAAACAAGAAACCTCTGAGCATTATTAGGGGAAGACACAGGGATGGAGACCATAAATGAGGGAGTGAGTCTGACCAAAGCAAAGGAGTTAAGCAAGGAGCGAGCTATGAGCAGGAGGAATGCAAGGATAGCCTGGAATCTGTATATGGAAGACTTGAGATAGATCAAGAAGTCTGAGATGCAGCCTGTGACGGCGGAGGGTCACAGAGGTTCCAAATGAGCAAAAATGATGACAGCCATGTTTTGACACTAGTCAGGAAGCAAGGCGCAAGATTCCAGGGCTGAGAGAGTGAATCACAGGAGAAAAGAGACTGAGGCCTGTTGTAGTGACACAAATAGGCCATCTTGGTGAAGATCCTGAACTAGGATGTGTCAGAGGGAAAAACAAAACCATTGATCCATTTAGCAGTCAAGGAACCCACAAACAAATGGTAAATCTTTTCTGATTCTTTTACTATGATCACCTTCACTGACATTAGTTTATAAGGTTAGTTACTGTAAGGAGTGAGACTGTAAGGAAAAAGAGCAGGACAGGTAAGTTTGGAGGTGTCAAAAGAGAAAGGAAAGCTCAGGAGCCAGGCATAGTGCCTCTGAAGGCAAAGTGTGCATGGAAGTGCTGGGCTCCAAGGGAGACAGAGAGAAGCACAGAAGAGACAGATCTGTTGTAATAGGTTTGACCCATCTTGGCCAATAGATAGTCTGGGCTCAGCTGAGGTCAAGTAAGCAGAATCTCCCAAATATTGGGACAGCTATGCCTGTGTGCATAACCTCTATGCTCAGTGAGGTTAGAGTCTAGCAGGTCTCAGTGATGTGCTCAAATATCTGTAATGCAGAACCCAGGGTTTACCGCCATCAAAAACAACCAAGTGCTTTGTGAGCTCAGACAAAGAAAGGGCTACCGTGGATGGACTGGGGAAGGGGTCTTATACAAAGTGAGGTGGGGTGGAGGAGGTAAACTTTAGATGGTCTTTGAAAGTAAATAGGCTTGTAGGCCAGGCACGGTGGCTCAGCCTGTAATCCTAGCATTTTGGGAGGCCGAGGCAGGTGGATCACTTGAGGTCAGGAGTTCGAGGCTGGCCTGGGCAAAATGGTGAAACCCCGTCTCTATTAAAAATACAAAAATTAGCAGGGTATGGTGGCAGGTGCCTGTAATCCCAGCTCCTCCAGAGGCTGAGGCATGAGAATCACTTGAACCAGGGAGGCGGAGTTTGCAGTGAGGCAAGATAGCACCACTGCACTCCAGCCTGGGCAACAAAGCAAGACTCTATCTCAAGAAAAAGAAAGAAAGAAAGAAAGAAAGTAAATAGTCTCTCAGAAAAGAGAGGAATTCTAGAGAAAGAAACCTCACAAACAAGTCCTATCTGCAGAAAAGCCTTGCACTTGCTTGAAAACAAAGTAGCCCAGCTCTGCTGTAGTAAAGAGCAGAATGAGACATGAAGCTGAACACACAAAGATCCTGGTGAATTGTCTGTCTTAATGAAGAGTGGAGAGTCACCAAAGGGTCTCCCCATCAGTAGCGGCATTGGTGGCTACATATCTGGAGTCTAAATCTGACCATTAATGCTAATCCACGGTGGGTAGCATGGAGAGGAGAGAGGAATTTCAAGAGAAGTACCTTATGATTAAGCCTCCATCTAAGGTAATGGCAGTAGCAATGGAATGGAGAAGGTAGGTATGAGCAGACCAGAGGGCTGGTTAGATACAAGAGTGAAAAGACAAAAAGGGGAGGAAAATATGTAAAGGCCAGTCCAAGGTATAAATCTTAGTTGACTAGGAGAGAGATCATTTCTTTGTTAATGTAGGATTTGAGAGGTCCACAGGAGGTCCAAGAGGGTAGTACAGCAGGCAGCTGGAGATGTGAATACTGAGCTCAGGAGAGCCACCACATCTCTGATCTAGCATGGTGAAACCTACTAAAATATAAAAATTAGCTGGGCATGGTGGCATGTGCCTGTAATCCCAGCTACTCGGGAGGCTGAGGAAGGAGAATCACTTGAACCTGGGAGGCAGAGGTTGCAGTGAGCCAATACGCCATTGTACTCCAGCCTGGGTGACAAGAGCAAAACTCTGTCTCAAAAAAAAAAAAAAAAAGAAAGAAAAGAAAAGAAATTTTGCAAGCAAAGCAAAATAATTCGTTGCACCTGACATGTGATCATGAGCTCATTGTTTATACCATGGGGAAGGGAGTGCAGAAAAGTCCCACTTGTGGGGAGAGGAAGGAGCAGAGGGAAAACAAAGCAAAATGTTACTGAATTTATTCCTTCTGAATGCAGAAAAATTCCTTTGGGAAGCTACAGAGGACTTCATGGGAGCACCAGGTCTTGGCACAGAACATGAGGGCATCTCAGGAACTAAGGAAGGTTGACTTGGAAAAACCAGAGGGAGCAGAGCAGCCAATTGGCTCAACATGAAGATCATCACCAGAGACAAGCTGAGAGTCAGAGTTGGAGAGTTTCAGAGTCAGCCAAGTTCAAGGCCAAAAGTAGGTCTGTGAGGGTTGTTTGAAGAACTAAGCATGCCTCCCCACGGACTAATACATTGACATAGGACACAGAGCTTCCTTAGCACAGGGGCAAGGCATCCTCAGCCTCATGTGGTACATCTTCAAGATCCGCATCTTCAAGAATCCACATGTAAAGGCTGAGCCAATTTTGAAATTCTGAAAGGGGTGCATAGTGGGCAGGAAGGTGAATAGAGACCAAGGTTATCTTTGGAGTGTCTGGGGAAATCAGATCCTGTGGAATCAGCCTAAACCTTATAGTTTATGCCCTAATTTCTGCCTCTGTGTCACTTTTTCTCTGGGAAGTTTGGGTCTGACTCTTCTTCAGGACAAATATGGGGGTCCTCAAATGCAAGGGTGCAAATGTGAGGAAAGAGTGAAGCACAGCTTATTAAAATCCAAAGCACATTTATTGAGCACACACTATGTGCTCATCATTGGACTTGGCTGGGGAATCAAAGATGGACCAAACACTGAGTGTTCCAACAATCAACAGCTGCCTAACAAGCCACCCCAAAATATGTGGCCCAAAACAACCGCTGTTTTAACATGCTCATGGTTCTGGGGGAATCAAGAAATTAGTGAGAATACAAAGGAATAGATCAAACATCTTGAGAAGACTGGGATAGCCTTGCCAGAACCATATGTGTGTGGCATAGTTTCTGGCTATCTGTTAGATTCTTCAGTTCTTCCCTGACACATCCTCTTCAAGTGGCTTCCTCACAGCATGGAAGTCGCAGGGTAGTTAGACTTCTTAAATGACTAGCCACAGATCCAGAGAAATGGAAATAAAGAAAGCAGAACCTATTAGTCCCCTTAAAGGCCAGGCCCCGAACTGGTATAACATCACTTCCACCATGTTCTGGTGGTCAAAGCAGTGACATTTGAGTAAAGGGAGGGAAGGGATTGATGGCAGCCATCTTGTGAACAAACTCCCACACCACACTTGCCTGTGAGGAGGTGAGAGGCTGGGAGCTCTGTGAGGGCACGGCCCACATCTGTCTGATTTACTGCTGCATACCCCAATGCCTACTACACTTCCCGACACATAACACATGCACAATAACTACTTACTAAATGAACGAATAAGATGTGATGTGTCCAGCAAGACTTCATACCCCAGTTTATCCCTCGGCAAAATACGTGTGTACCCTCAAAGAGATGTACTTTTAAAAAAACACTGTGGAAATGTGGGTAGGAACATAGCCCTGACTTCTCTAGTTTGGTATTAATAGGCCATATTTATCAGAAATTAACCAACTTTCCACACCATGTGGTCAGATGTGGTCTTGTTACCTATCTACAATTCTACAACTACATACTATCTTCAAGATATAAAACCAAAATGCTGTTCCATTGAATTCATGATACTCCTGACAGAGCTCCTGCTCTACTATTTTTCTGTGATACCCAGCTGAGATGGACAATACAGAAACTTCGTGGTTTCCTTCACCCCTCTCACACCTCAATATCCCATCAGAGTCAGCACTAAACAGACAGAAATGTCCTTCCTTATACTTTGGTCGCACCCTTGGCTTACTCAGTCCTCCAGAGCCAAAGGTGCCTCCCAAGCAAAAGACACCAGGCTGCATCTCACCATTGTGAGCAGGGAGTGCACACTTCCTACAGAAATGAGAAGGAAATCAAAGAAAGGCAAACTTCCAACACTCAACCAGGGAGTCCCCTTCTGCCTTTGCCATGTAACATTCTTCAGGCCTAGAGGTTAAGAGATGGCTTGAGTTGCCTAAACATGTCTTTGGTGCGTGCATGCGTGCGTGCATGCATGTGTGTGTGTGTCACAAAATCTTGCTCTGTTGCCCAGTCTGGAGCGCAGTGACATGATCTTGGCTCACTGCAACATCCAACTCCCAGGCTCAAGTGTTCCTCCCGCTCTACCTCAGGAGTAGCTGGGACTACAGGCACGTGTCACCACACTCAGCTAATTTTTGTATTATTTTTGGTATAGATGGTTTTGCCATGTTACCCAGGCTGGTCTCAAGCTGCTAGGCTCAAGTGATCCACCCACGTAGGCCTTCTGAAGTGCTGGGATTACAGGCATGAGCCACCATGTCTGGCCCATATAGGATGTTTTTCATGCATGGCAACATCTCTTTAAAAAAAAAAAAAAGTCAACATTTACTAAGCATTTAGTATGGGTCAGACACTGTGCAAATTTCTGTTCACAAGTGATCTTCCTGAAGCCCCACAATCCTATGAGATACATTGTAGTTTTGTGCCCATTTTGTAGCTAGGGAAACTGAGATTTTAAATAATGAGAAATTTGCTCAACTCACATCGCTGGTGGACAGCAAAAATAACATTTGTACACAGGCAATCTAAACCCAAGATGCTGGTTGATGACTGAGATCACTACTAATAAACGGAGGGCCGACTGGACTCTTGGAATTAGGGTTGATAATTAGGATGCAGAGTTAATGACAAATCAAGCTGCTTGGCCAATGAGATCCTGCTGAGGCCCCCGAGGCTCTTCAGACAATCCAACCCTCTATTTAGCCTACCAGATAGATAATGCTGTTCCCACACAGGGAGGGAGGGTGCCCTCCATGAAAGTTAATCTCTACGTGAGAAGGGAAAATTCAACTCCCTGCCAAAAACTCAGCCCTGGCTTCTTTTCCATCACGATGCTTGAACGAATCCACCATAGGCTTTTTCTTTCTTGTCAGGAAGCCAAGAGTGGCATTTCAAAGGACACGTTTACCCCCTAGCAATTTCTCTCTTCCACCACCATGCGCTTTCTTCTCATAAAATCAGCCCAGACAATGAAGCTGTAAACCCAGCTGGTGAGATTGATGTCCTGTTTCTCCTCCCTCCCTCCGGTGGGTATGGCTCAGGAGCTGTGCATCATGAACAATAAACATTTAAGTGAAAATGCTTCAAGACAGAGACAATCACAGTTTAACAACAACAACCCCCCACCGCCACCCCCCCCAAAAAAAAAGAGAAAGTAAAAGATTTTAATTGATATAGCAGAAGGGTGAATTTGAGAGAACCTATGGCATACGAATAACAGGATGGACAAACCTGCAAGGAAAAATCTCAACCTCGGGTTCCTGAAAAGCTCTGCCTTAATGCTCTCCAACATCTGGAGCAAATACATGGGGAATGGACTGTCCCTGTGAAATGTACCAAACAAATCGGCTCCTCTGCTCTTTAGTTCAAACACTTGCATTTTTACAATGAATGGGAAATCCACAGCAATCACTGTTATACCACTTACGTTTTAAAAAATCATCAGGTAGACAGATTACATAAAGTAAAACAGAGTTTCACATATTCTACAATCCCATCATCTCTGCCAAAAATGAACCGCTAAAGGAAATCCCAGAAGTTTTATATTTGTCTGCCATCTTTTGTTCTCTTACCCCTCTATAGGACTGCAAAGGATAGAACTTCAGTGGGACCTAAGACAAGCTGACTTCACCAGACTTGAGATATGGCAAATTTTAAGAGACATTAAAAGTCATGTATGGGTTTCTCGTTCCCTCTATTTTCTGTGACAATGGACAGAATAACTTTTCCATTCCCCAAATTCCAAAAATGAAACATAAAGTTGCTAAGTGTTTTAATTGTCAAAATAAATGTACAAAAACTATAGCACATCTAGTGGTGGTGGGCTACTTGCCAACAAAAAAAAAAAAAGATGTACTGGTAGCTTAAAATGAAAGAAAAAAAATTTTAATTGTTTTCCTTCAACTTCTCCATAGAACTTAAACACATGCCCATTTTCAGGAACTGAGGTTAATTTTTCACACCTATAAAATGAAAGTATTGGATTAGATGAACACACAGCTGCCTTCCCAAGTGAAACAAATTCTATAATTTTAAATATGTATGTATACATATATACATGTATGTGTATATACACATGTATGTATATATAAATATATCACATATACACAATATATAAAATGCATACATAAGCATACATATATGTGTATATATGTGTGTATACATATATGTGTATTTACACATATATAAGAAAAGAGTTACTATGCTGACATGTCAACATAATTTTGATATGAAAATGTATTTTCCCTTGCATCTGATAAGCATTTAGTCGCTCTGGGCTTCAGTCTTTGAATCCGAACAAAAATAAAGACTTGGACTCATGGGTGGAAAATGGGTTTCGACCTGCTTGCCAAATCTTATCCTTTGCCAGGGTCATTATGTTGAAAAGCGTCAGTGAAGCTATGCCTGGGCTCAGCATAAAAGGGTGCTTATATTTATAATGAGTACTTACAATGAGTATTTATATATAGTGAGCATTTATGATGAGTAATTATAATAAGCCATATCACAAGGCAGATCATACACGATATTTCTATTGCTCTCATTCAGCCTATTAAAGTCTAAATTCTGTTCCCTTTGTGAGAGAGTTATTGTGGGGACAAAGAGAAGTCGAGAATGGGTCTACACATTGGAGGTTCACAGAGGCCCAAAGAAATGAAATTCCTTGCCTGTAGTCAAAACTCGAATTCCAGCATTTTGAGTCCAGAGCCATTATACTACACCACCCCACCTTCCTTAAATGCTATCAAGCTCTATGCAAGGGAGTGCCTACCTGTGATCAGTGAATCAATCAAGACCCAGCCAGGAAGCAGAAACCTCTCCTCTCTAGGTATTTTAAGCAGAGGAAATTAATTAGGGAATTTGTAACACGTAACTGGAGAGCTAAGAAGCAAAACCAGTGAAGCAACCCAGGGATTAGTAACAGCAGAAAGTTGCTGTCATTCTTAGACTGAAAGAACACAAGGAGAAGGTAATGTTCCCTAAACCAGTTCAGCAGCTTTCTGGTAAAAGTTGGAACTATGGAGGGAGAAACCGTGGGGAGCTAGAATCATAGAAGAGGTATAGCCACGATGAAAAAATGAAGGCTTCTCCCTGCTCCCCTACCTCTAGTTTTCTGTAAGTGTCTCCATTGACCAAACCACTCATATGTCAGTTACCAAGAAAGCCTGGGAAATATAGCCACATGATTGTAACAGCAGCAGTAACAGACCAAATAATGTATTGCTAGATAAATAGATAAATATAGACATGATTTCAGACCATGAGGTTTCTTTTTTTATTATTATTATACTTTAAGTTTTAGGGTACATGTGCACAATGTGCAGGTTTGTTACATATGTATACATGTGCAAAACAAAAAAAGGCTAGGCTATATCCATATCCTAAGGATAGGCCCAGTTTTTTCTCCCTAATCCATTAACATTTTCCTATTAATATACGAAAACATCTCCCCTCTCTCAAATGGAACAGGAAAGAATATTTTCTCTGTACTTGAGTCTCTTGCCTCTAGCCTCACAGTCAAGGGGCACAGACTGGCACATTACCTATAGAACTCTTGATGGAATTTTGCATGGATGCCAAACTAAAAACAATCTCCTATTCAGATCACTCCAACTCTTGAATGAAGGTTTAAGGCATTGAGAGAAGAGGAAAATTACGAGAGAGGGAGGCCGAAGAAAATTAGCTGTCCTCAGAGACTCATAAGTTAAATGAAAATGTCTTCAAAGCTATAGATTGAAGGGAGTTCTGTAGCTGCAATACCCCCAACCTCAGAGTCAGAGACAATGACTGTCAAAACATGATCCTGGCTGTCTAGATCAGAACCACTTTGAGACTTGTTAAACACCTAAACTCCATACCCATAGAACTAGTAAATCTAGACGTGGAAACTGAGTATTATATCTTTGGCAGAGGCTCTAAGATATTTTTGGAATAAGGGTGCCAGGAGTAGGAAATCGTTGGCATCAACCAAGAATTCAGGGTGTAGCTACCAGCATTCCTTCCAAGGTGACCCAGTGATGCTGTCTATCGATTCACGTCAACTATAGCTGTCAAGGGTGTATTGCTGTTTGATCATCCGCAAGAAGTCCTGCCCACTGCCCAGTCCTATTCCTAGGGATCTATTCCTCCTCTTGACTGTGTATTTGTAGTTCCTTCCTTCCCTTTTCCCCTTCCCTGGGGAAAAAGTATGGGGCCTGACAATTCAGAAAGCTCGCTTCCCTTCTTCCCTGCAGTCCTCCTCCTGTCTCCCTCTTTTTTGCTTCACAATGATCTCCCCAAGAGATCTCTTCTCCTGAAGCTGCGGGACCCAACCTGCCAGCTCATTTCCCATGTCACCCTAAAGTGACAGAGGAGGTGGATGTAGTAGATCTGACTGCCCCAGCTGCTGGTCTGGGAGGCTTGTCCATCACAAGTGGGGAGGTCCTGTCCCCTCTGGGGTTGACTGGGGTTAAAGGGCCTCAGTCAACCCCAGAGGCTGGTGCCATGTGGCTCTTGATACTGGGAGGCAAGGTCCCCCCAGAGATAAGCCTCCACTCCACAGACTGACAACCGCCCTATTTTCCTCTCTACAGGAAAGGGATCGGGATGCAGCATTGTTATTTGTGCCTCATGTAACAGTGTTTCTTTTCCTTTAAACAATCGACAGGGGCCACCTTCCAGGGAATGGAAGATGAAAAGATGGTGAGATTACCTGCCGGGACCATTTAGGCTTTAATGATTTTCACGTGAGTGCTCCCGGAGAAGCTGTACAGCAACCGAATCATTGGATGCTGTTGTAATAAAATTAAAATTACTAAAATAAACTGCTGGGCATCTGGAAAGCACCGAGAACACAACATATTATGTAAACTGACATCAAAACATTGTACATCTACATGGCCCTTGAGTTACAACAAAGGCATTATGCATGCTAAAGAGTTCTTTTTTAAATTTTAATTTCCTGGTAAGTGGATTTTTATCACTAGGTAGCCAAATCATATTCAATATCAATATTCTTTATGTGGTCCAGTGTTTTATAGTTTCTTTATGTCAAATTCTCAAATTCACATTTACACACATTCTAGAGCTGCAAATACCAAACAAGAACTATTCAAATGAAAAGTAAAGGTGTTTACATGTATCCAAATAATAGATTGCCCTCCTCCTCCTTTTTTTCACTAGCTATGTTTGGAATCCATTAGAAACAGACTTAAGATAGGATTAAAGATCTAAATATGAATACTTGGTGACGATGAAAATCAAGTTCTGTGTATCACTCTTTAAAAAAAACACTAAACACCAAATGACATTCAGTTTGATCATGAATATTGATAATATTATATTTATTTTAAATATAATATATTCATCGGTACTCAACCAAAAGTAAAATTAAACTCATCAGGATCAGAATAACTGTTTGGTTTTGCAAAAGTCAAGGACCCTCGTTGGGTGGCTTAATGACTTCTTGTTTGTGTTCTGTTTGCATAAATTATCCATCAAGTGCAGCCATTACCCCGGATGCAGCATGGCACTTGCAGAGGAATGAGAGCTGCATCAGGATCCTCATTAAAGGGAAATGCGATTGGAATGGAGTCATCATTCCATGTCTGGCAAGGATCTGCTGTCTCCATCCCTTTGCACCAATTCCATTTGAAGTTGGAACTGGGCTCACAGACCTGGATTTTTAAAAGCAACGGATGCAATCAAACAATAGATGTTGTAAGAGACAGCCGCTGCGCCCGTAGCCAAATGCAATAAAGAAGGGGGAGAAAAACAATATAATGGGTTTCAAGGCAATCAGATGAGTCTCTGAGAATACAGGTGCTGGATAATTCTCTCTCCGTTCATCTAATTGTTTATGTACCACAAAAAAAAAATTCTTTTCTCAATTTCTACAGACGCTCTTTCTACCTCATGGTGTTACACCCAATAAGCAGGGTAGGGATTGGACCCCAGTCATGCTGTGTGTGTACTAATTAAGCAAGACAGGCAAAAATAACGGCAACCCTGTTTCACATAGCACAAGCATCATGTTCCAGTCTGGACACATCCTGCAGCTATTCCAATGTAATTGTATTACTTAACTCAGGAAAGCCTCTGAGAATGTTGTTTTCTAGAACAAGATGAGCAAAATGAAGTTGTAGAGCACAAGAGAAGCCACATAATAGGAAAAGAGTAACTTCCCCACAGAGTGATAAGATGTTGTGTTTCTGAGATGTACAGAGCTGAGCATATGTTGTATTGGAATAAAAAATGCAGGTGAATCCAAGGGAAGTGAGAAACACATTACTTCTTATTGCAATCTTAAATAAAATTGCCTGTGTACCTAGAGACAGTTCTGGTTTGGTTCACAGACATTCAGCTCTGAAATAAGAAATTGAAAAGCATTATCAAATGATGATCATAACTGTAAACTGGCCTTGGCTAAACCTGCCCTCAAGGCTGGGACACCATTACCAGCAGCTTAAGGTTGTCACAAATGTTACATGCAAGACAGCATATCCGTGCAAGATCCACACAGCTGGGACTCAGAGTCAGACTATAACTGGCTCAGACTGGTCTTTAATACTCTAAACTGATACCAAAAACAGCTGAGATGTGATGTACTTAGTTATAAGTACATCCTCAGGCCTAGTAATACCTCATAATACGACCTTACAGATAGGTTCAAGTACATGAAGGGACACTGTACACACAGGTGACAGGAAACAGCTGTGTTCCATTTATACAGGGGACAGGAAAAGAGGGAATGACATTTGAATTACAATAGGCAGGTGTGACAGGTATAAAAAAACAGAAATGAGGACAACTAAGTTATTAAATAGGAGCCACATAATTAGAACAGTGCAGGAGGAATGGACCTCAAAATCTCAAATGTTAGCATATGCATATGTGACGAAATGACATGTTGATTAGAGCAACCTGTACTCAAAATTTTTTTCATAAAATATTGTCTTGAACAATATGAAATGGCCACTGTTGTAAACCACAAATGGTCAAATATCAGCAATTTGATGTGATTCAATTCAATATTCCTGCCTTAAATAAGAACTTTGAACAACACCTAATGCATATTATGGTTATCAATAAATATTTGTAGGGTAGACGACTGATAAATGAATTTTCAAATATTTTAAATGAGAATGTTAAACTGAAGGAACAAGAGTTTTCTTGGTTGCTTTGCATAGAGAGCATTCTTGTATGAATTTCTTTATTGCACCTGCATTGATTATTTTTCTGTCCAAGGCATCTTCTAGTTTATCTTTGAAGTTACACTTGCTAGTGTCAGGGACTTTGACCCTTTGTAGACACTGCTAATAATCATCTTCTTCATTATTTTAGGTTGTCAATAATGATGGTTAGTAAAAATAATCAAGCCCATGTTTTTTCCTAAAGTTTTTAAATATTAATTGGAAAAACAGACACCAGGGATTTCAATAATCATCGTTTGCTTTTGGGTCTCTGTGCTGGCTTAAAAATGTTAAAGGAAAAATGGTCACCTTCACTGAAGAAGCCTGAATTCACTTTGTGCGGCAAGCTTATCTAGACGTATGGTAATTTCTTAGCATCTTAACATATGCCAACTCCATTCTTTCAGTTGCACAAGACAAAACCCTTGCAAATGATCCTTATTTTTATTTTTGTATTTCACTCACATCCCATATCTAATTGATCAGCAAATCTAGAAGCACTACCTACAAAATATGTCCCGAATCCAGCCATTCCTGACTATGTCTTCTGCTATTCACTCTCACCCATACCCCAACCCTGACTTCAACCTCCTAAGAGATCCTGAACCAGAAACACGCAGCTAAGCTACTCTCAGATTCCTGACTCACAGAAACTTTGAGGAAATAAATTATTATGGTTTCAAGCATCTAAGTTTTGAGATAATTTGTTACATGGCAATAGCTAACTAATACAGCCCTTATCACCATCTAGGTATATAAATCTTACTTAATTATCTTGTTTATTGACTGTCTCCCTCAAGGACTGTAAGTTCTGTGAGAGCAAAGATACTTGTCTATTTGTGTTCATTACTATGATTGCCACACCTAAAAAATAAATTAATATGTTACTTAAAATAATAAATGAGGTGGGTATCTAAGATACCCACACATTAGTGGATCAGGGATCAGCAAAAACAGGACATTCAAACACATACTTACAGTGGTAGCAAGAATATATATTACTTGGGCTCAGGTAGTACAGACAATGATTACATTTGGCAGTACAGCAGACACCTGCCACAGGTATGCACAGGAATAATGACTACAAAGGGGATCCTATTTTCCTACTGGATACCAAAGATGTGTTTTCACAGAAAAGAAAATCAACCAGTAGATAATTTGTGAGTTGTTCATTCTTCATTCAGGCAGACAATGGAATCATCAGCAGAACTTTCTACAACCACACATGCCCAGACTTCACATCCCAATGTCCTGACTCAGGAGGTCTGAAGTGAGGCCTTGGCATCTTTAGCTGTAAAGAAGTCCTCTAAATTATTCCGCTGCACAACCAACACTTAGAACACTTTCACTGGGTGGTAAATAACTAAAGAAGGTAGGCAACTCCACAGCCCCCTAGTCCTGGAAGCATTTCACATCAGTGCAGCAACCCTGAAATCCCCTTCTTCATTCATCCATTTGTTGATTATATATCAAGATGCTGGGCTTTTTGCTAGGCCCTGAAGAAATGCAGAGCCTGGGCTGGGCGCGGTGGCTCACGCCTGTAATCCCAGCACTTTGGGAGGCCGAGGCAGGCAGATCACGAGGTCATGAGATCGAGACCATCCTGGCTAACACGGTGAAACCCCGTCTCCACTAAAAATACAAAAAATTAGCCAGGCATGGTGGTGGGTGCCTGTAGTCCCAGCTACCTGGGAGGCTGAGGCAGGAGAATGGTGAGAACCTGGGAGGCGGAGCTTGCAGTGAGCCAAGATTGCACCACTGCACTCCAGCCTGGGCGACAGAACAAGACTCCGTCTCAAAAAAAAGACAGAAAGAAAGAAAGAAAAGAAAGAGAGAGAGAGAGAGACAGAAAGAAAGAAAGAAAGAAAGAAAGAAAGAAAGAAAGAAAGAAAGAAAGAAAGAAAGAAAGAAAGAAAGAAAGAAGGAAGGAAGGAAGGAAAAGAAAGAAAGAAAGAAAGAAAGAAAGAAAGAAAGAAAGAAAGAAAGAAAGAAAGAAAGAAAGAAAGAAAAAAGAAAGAAAAGAAAAGAAAAGAAAAAAAGAAAAAGAAAAGAAATGCAGAGCCTGGTGGAGCTCAGGATCTGGTGAGAGATTAGACTCTCACCCAATGAGACGTACATCCCACAAAGCCTGTTGTTAGCCTCCTAGCTACATCCCTGCCCTTCCCCACAGAGGCTGGACTCACCCCATCCATACCCTGGGGTGAGGACAGATTGGGCACAAGTCATCAAAGAGACATAAGCTGGGCAGCAACTAATGACAAGGGAGAGCTGAGGTTATCCCAGGAGAATATGTCAAGTGCAAAAGAAAAGAGCTCCCAAGCATCCTAAGGAACCCCAGAAGTTAAGGACTGCCAGAGAAAGAAGGGCCTGCCTGCCAAGGAGACTAGAAAGCAGGTTTCCTAGAGCTAAGAGGAAAACCAGACAGTAAAAAGTGTTTTAAGTCAAAGGCACGGCATACCAAAGCATGAGGTGGCCAGGACTCATGTCTCTGTAATAAGGATTGATGTCCATATTGATGTTCAAATCTGTAAACTGAACATTTTGTAAAATGCGTTTCATCTAAACAAGGGATAACTTTATCCTAGTAACTGATAGTTTATTTAACCCTTGGATAGCGGAGCTAGCTCACAGCTAGGAGTCCTCTAGACCACAGTACTAGTCCTGGTCTTCTATTAACTCTGGAGTCTTAGAATATAATTTAAATCATTTCAGGATCTGTTTCCTCATCTGCTAAGTAATAGTGAAGGAAGAAATAATCTTTAAAGAGTTGTTTTTCTTTCTCATTCTACTAAAAATTTTAACATTCTATTAAAAATTATGTATGTGAAGATGTGTGTGGGTCCATTTGTAACCCAATATTATTCTCTGAGAACTGGAAGGCACTGTGTACCAGAGAGAAATTGTGATTTGACTGTATTGGTAAGGGAAGCAAACACTGGCAGGCATATGCTAATGTTCAGAGTAGTGGCTGACAGCCTTATCCTTCATTTGGAAAGTATTTCAATACCAATTGGATGAGTTAGAACAAATATCCCTGGGCATTCTAGCAGTACCAGAGAACTGTGAAGACGGAGATTAGACTCAGGAGTTCATTTGGGTTACACAATGCCCTGGGCATCTAGGCAACTGACAACATAGAGTGCTGGCCCTCCTACCTCCATGTTCACCAGCTCATCCCTGGTTTAGGGAGGGCATTTGAAGTCTGCAGACCCTCAGCAGCAGCACAACACGGTGGCTCTCCACCTCCAGGCTTGGCATACGCAGGAACGTGACTGATGCTACAGCAGGTGGCAAGCTGATGGCTGTGGAAGTTTGCAACTCCTTTTTCCCTTTGCCAATTAATTCCCAAGAAGGAATCATTTTAAAGAGAGATTTTCAGCCCACTTTCTACTCCTTATGAAGGAAAAGAACTAGAGATCCAGAAAAAACAGAACAAGATGGGGACCAGGAACAGTCATTCCCAGCATACTCTAAAGCAAGGTTTCTCAATCTCAGCATCATTGATATTTTAGGTTGAATAATTTTTTATTATGGGCTGTCCTATGCATTGTAGGATGTATAGCAGCATCCCTGACCTTTACCTACAATGTCAGTAGCACCCCTGTCTCCAGCTGTGACAACAAAAATGTTTCCAGACATTGCCAAATGTCCCCCAGATTTGTCCCATTGAGAAACACAACTCTAAAGAATGTCACCCTCAAAAGGTCCTAGATGAGCCAGGCTGGCTAAAGGCAATATTACCCACTCTTCGAAGTGAAACTTCAATCAAATTTCTCTGCATATGGCCAGGCACGGTAGTTCACACCTGTAATCCTAGCACTTTGGGGGGCCAAGGCAGGCAGATCACCTGAGGTCAAGAGTTCGAGACCAGCCTGGCCAACATGGTGAAACCCTGCCTCTACTAAAATTACAAAAATTAGCCAGGTGTAGTGGCGCGTGCCTGTAATCCCAGCTTCTCAGGAGGCTGAGGCAGGAGAATCACTTGAACCCAGGAGGTGGAGATTGCAGTGAGCTGAGATAGCACCACTGCACTACAGCCTGGGTGACAGAGCAAGACTCTGTCTCAAAAAAAAAAAAATACATATTATATACATTATATATATATTTTTTATATATCCATAACTTTATGTTTTTTATGCAATTAAGAATAAATAAATAACAAAACTTCTGCAGACAGCTCCATCCTGCTCTGTTCTGAAAATCTACATCTTGATGTTGAAAGCTCCAGCTTACAGCTTGCCTTTAGGGAATCCCACAGCACAAGGGGAACCTCCACTCTTATGTTTCTAGCCTCTGTGCCTCATCCCTGCCATTCTGTCTTGAACTTCCTTGATGTGGCTCTCAAGAACAGCCTGTATATTAAAGGAAGTCCTTGTGACAGAGAAGAACAAACTAACAATCAGAATGCCTAAGCTGAGGATCCATCTACATCATTTCCTAGCTGTGTGACCTCCAGCATACCACCTAAGTTTTCTGAAGCTGTTTACACATCTGCAAAATGAGAGTAATGCTATCTGCCTTGCCTTTCTCAAATCGTGAAGCTCAAATATAAAGCATGCAACGTCTGTAGAACACTATACAGTAGTTAGGAATCAATTCCTTGCTATTTATGATTATTTTGTTGTCATTACAGCATCCCGAGTCTGTGTTAACGCTGCAGGAACTTGAGGAATCTCTGAAATACCAGTCTTCTTTCATTTTAGTGCTAACTTGACTAGAAGTCCTCTCAGCTTAATGTCCCAAAACATGAAATATCTCCAGGCAATTTCTTCATGAAAGATTGTCCATGAATTCCAACAAATGTCAACAAATATTCATGTAAAGGCTCTATATGCTGTTAGGATACATCAGTGAACAAAATAGACTAGGATTCCTGCCCTCAAAAGGCTTACTTTTTACATGGGGGGATATAAACAATAAACAAACAAAAACATGTAATAAATAAGTGAGTTACATAGTATGTTAGAAGATGATAAATACTCGGAAGGAAAGGCAAGTAAAGTAAAAGATGTAGTATCAACGTGTGAGTGAGGAGTGGGAGGCAGGTTGCAGTTTTAAATGAGGTAGCATGGTTGGGAAGTGAGATCTGGGCAGAGGTGAGGAATTAGCCATGGGGTCTCTGGGGAAGAGCATTCTGAGCATAGGGAACAGTCAATGCAAAGTCCCTCAAACTGGAGTATGCTTGGTGAATTCAAATGCCTACAAGGAGGAGATCATCATGACAGATTCAGAGTGAGGAAGGAAACAAGGAGTAGAAAATAGGGTCAGATGAATCGGAGGGAGTAGCTGAGGCAGTGGACAAATACAGAGGGAGCTCAGCTTTAACCCAGCCATTGTACTAGGCACTGAGGATGCAAATCCAGCAACTGTGTTCCTGCTGCAGGGAGCTCGCAAACCACCAGAGGAAGGTGTTACCAGAGGGGAGGAACAAAGGGGCTCTGTGCAAGCCCAGCTGAATTCTTGGATGCTGGCCTTATAGAGGAGTTCTTTATAAGGAATGAAGGGGTTAATGTCTGTGTCATAGTTCTTTGTTCAACTAGAGATCACTGGGGCATCTCAGATGCTGTCTGTGCCACACACTGCTCCACCACTACCCTCACAAAATGGTGACATGTCTTATACATGGGATACTTGGTGGCCAACTCAGAAAGGGAAATATTCATCTCAAGTGACTTCCCCTGCTCCTTGGCAGATGTTCAGTCTGACAGAAGGCAAAAGGCAAAGGCTCTGGCTCAAGGAGAACAGGAAGCCCTGACACCAAGTTCACCTTTATGATGTTGGTCCACTGACACTTCTACTCCCAAGCAACATCTGAAGGGGCCTGTGCTGTGCACTGATGGGGAGCCAGAAGCTCACCTCCTGGCTCACACCATTTTTCCCCAGTCTCCTATGCCCCGCAGGAGGAAGCCAAGGGCCTTGAACTGTAGCTTCCATGCTGGATGCAACTATCTCAACCCTGTATCTTCTTTCCTAAGTTATTTGCAAAGAGGCAGCTGCATTAGAACGCACAGTTGGCTTTGTGCCCGAGGGAGAGGCAGTCTATAGCAGCAGGGGATGTGCCTCTCCCAATAAAAATTAATGGAACAAAACCCCCCTGTGTGCTACATGAGTTTTATCTCCCAGGGAGTTTACATTTCCATCGTTCTCCCACCAATCCTCCTCCTGGGTTCTCCTGTCCCCTGGGTGTCTTTGGCATAGGTCACAGGACGATTACTAAAGGGAAAGGGGCCAAGAGTAAACCAGACAGGGCATTCTCACACATGCAACACACATGCACATATACACATTCACATATGTGAATACACACACACTTGTACACATATGTACCTTTTCAGTTTTTGTTTAACAAGTGAAATCATTAGCAATCTCATGGAGGAAAAGAATAATACAAACAAGGCAACAGGAGATAATTATATGGAAGGATAGAAGAAAGCCTACTAAGAGTTTGCAAAAAAAAGTCAAGAGACTCTGATTTCCTTTTTGTCTTGGTTTCCACACACAAGCAGTCCATGTGAGCATTTTTGTCGTGAAGGATTCAGGAAAGTGTGAAGCATAGTGGACAAGTAACCCTTGACCTCCTAGCTCTCACTCCCTTCCTCAGAGGTAAAAACCCTATTGCGCTGAATTATTCTACTGTCAACTTGGTTACTTTGGGAACAATATTTCCCAGAATCGCCTTCCTTTTATGGGCTAGAGTTGGCCAAAAGTAAAGTTTCTTGAGATTTGGGAGACAAAAGTGAAGCAGCAGTCATTACGTTCTAAAGGTTGTCATTGGTCAAAGGTGATGAAAGACAGAGCAGAGACGCCAGCCAAGTCCAGTTTATCATTGTCTTCCCCTTTCCATTTCCAGCTTTCCTTTCCAACTGTCAAGCTCTTGACCAATAGTGACTCTAGACAACCTCTAGATGCTTCATTGTAAACATACAGAGCTGGAAGCCATGAACAGTTGACAATCTTACCCAAACCCCCTTTGCATCCTGCTGCAGCAGCTGGACATGCTAGCTTCTAGATTTCCCTGTATACTCTTACCCATTTGCTGTACCAGAGCAGGGGAATAACTGTTCTCTGATCCTTCAACTTCCTTTTTTGGACCCTTTCCTGCTCAGCTCTTCCCATAATGTGCAAGGACCAATTTCTACAATAAAATCCTTATTCCATAATACATTGTATTTCTGCTTCCCTGATTGACTCTGACTGATACAGCTATCGGCAGTTTGGTGTGCATCCTGTCACTTCATTTTCAATACAGAGGTATATACCCAGATATTTCTCTGTCATTTTTCTTTAGATGTGATCAGATTTTAAGAGAGAGAGAGAGAGAGAGAGAGAGTGTGTGTGTGTGTGTATGTGTGTGTGTTTTAAACTTAACAACACCTTGGTGAGATTTCTGTGGCAAGACACATAAATTAACCTCATTTTTATGGCTATATAATATTCCATTATATGTAAGATTCATTTAACCATCCCCATATTGATAAACAGCTAAGTTGTATCCAATTTTCTACAACAACAAATAACACTGCAATGAACTTTTTAGATATACTTCTTTATGGATATTATGCAAACCTTTAGGGTTAGGGTTGATTCCTAGTGGTGGAATAATCAGTTGTATATATTTTTAATGTCTATAGATATTACCAAATTGCTTTCCAAAAGACTGCATTTTCCAAAATGTTCTTGCCATGGCAACAATTTTGCCCTTGTTCACTAAAAAGGGCTCTTCACTCTGGTTTCCCTGGAGATCCATGGCTTGACAGTGCTCTGCTTGAAGGGCAGAGGGCAGTGGACACTTCAAGGCAAGGTTGTGGACATTTGGAAAGCAAGAGGTATGATCGTGAAAAGCATCATGCTTAGAAGAACTATACAACTGGCTGGTTAAAGACTAAAAGAAGAAAACCCAAGAGAACTGGCATCCACGTGAAATGGGTAGAATGAAGTTAATAGTAGGAGGACAGGACTGCTTTCTTTGTGTGATTTCAGAGATTTCCCAGCTTCCCCCAAATCACTGCTCATGCATGCATCCACGGATATCCATGCACACAGACACATACATACAAGCATGCACCAGAATCTGCTGCTGCAGCTTAAACTTTTTTCAAATATTTTCATCCCACAAATAGACCTAAGGTTCAAATAAAAATAATCCATGTCAATAAGTAGTAGTTACGTGTGGGAACTTTGCTAAGTATTTTACATGCCTTATGTCAACCAAGGTAGGTGCTATTTCCATTTCACAAAGGAGAAAACTGAGGTTCAGAAAGACGAAGCCAAAGAACTAATGAGTTGCAGAGTATGGATTTGAAGTCAGCTCTGCCTGAGCAAACGATCTTTTACCACCGCACTGCCTCCCTGGAAAAAGGTAATGAAGCCTCAACTCCACAGCGAGGTATAGATCGCTTCTGCAGGACTCCTTTCTGAGAGCAGCTTTTCCTGGGGGAAAGGGCATTGGGTGTTGCAAAAGACCAGCTAGAGAAAGAAGAGAAGGTAGACAAAGAGGACACTGAGGGCATAAGTCCAAGAGTCTTCTACTTCCTGGGCCAGTGAAAAGGAGACAAAGTTAGATGAGCTCCAAGAGGAATGAGGGAGATGACCTGAGCAAGTGGAAGGTTGACTTTCCCAATTGGAGTGGCAACTGCTGATTCTTGTTTTAAGAGCATGGCAGAAAACTGGAAGTGGTACCAATGAGTCATTTCTGCCAACTCCCTCCTCCTAGTTATCGTATTGCTCCAGGACACATGGGGCCTACCCCATGGCAGGTGATTTACATACTGGAAAATAATGTGATCCCCACACAATTAGATGATTCCAGAGGCCAAGACTGACAGCCTTGGAACAAAGAGCTGGGGAAGAAGCACAGGGGCTAATGGATGATGAGGTGCCAGCTCAGGGGCAGGGCAGAGCAGGGTGGGTTGTGGGATCATCAAGGAAACTAGCGACATGGACGAGAGGCTTCAGGAGGAAGCACAGGGTACAACACAGGGAAGAGTGCCAAGGAAAAATGCACCACCTCCCCCTTGCAGATCCAACAAAAGATTGTGTGTTCGGGGCCAGGGACAGCAAGGAACACTGTACAAATTCCTGAGAACCATGGAAATCCTAAGAAAATCACTTAAGCAGTCTACCCTTTCCAGGAGGCCCACAGAATAAATTGCTTCACAGGGTTCTATCCCACTCTAAAAAGTCCTGCCCGTTTCAAGATAAAGAGATAACATGCCCCCTGGGAATTTATTATGGGACAAAGAGGGAAAGCAAAAGTGTAAACACAGCATCAAGGGCTTTGAAGTGCCAGCAACAGGGTACCACTGCACTGGGGTGCTGTGGGCATGGCAGCACACTCAGGGAGGTGACGTGAAAGAGCTGGCTCATGGCATTTTAACTGGAGTGGCGGCCTGTCCTGTTGCTGTCCACCTCAGGGCCCATGCAAGGCCTTGATGAAGGGCTGAAACGGGAGGCAGATGAATTAGCCAACCAAGCCTTCATCTCTACAGAGACCTGTCGATGCCAAGAGATGAGCCGTTCCAGCCACAGCCACAGCCACAATTATTTGCGCTAAACTCGGAGTTAAAGAAGACAAAGGGGACCGGGCCTGATGGAATGGAGAATATTAGGAGTGGTGCTATTTATCATACAGAATGCTCAAAAGCCACCTAACTAGAAGTAATGATACAGCGCTGATGGAATATTATACAGCTATTAAGGCTGAGAGTTATGAAGACTAAGTAGCAATTTAACATGGAAAGTTATCATAAGATGTAGCATCCACTGATGAGTACAAATACACTCTCACACTCATGTGGATAAATATCACAAGAGAAGATCTCAAAGTGGCAGCAGTCAGACCCAGGGGACTGTAGGATTAGGGGTGATTTTTTTCCTCTACTTTCAATGTTTTCCATATGTCAATAGACTGTCATTACTATAATGTGGGAAAATGAAGACAGAAAGTGATCTGGCCATGCACTGGGGTACCCAGGATGAACCTAGATCTCTATACAGTGTTGGTCCAAAGTGAATGTGAGTACCAGATGCCACACAGGCACCCAGCATGAACAAATACACACAACACAAACACACGTACCACACACAACACACATACCTAATCACACAACACACATATAACATAGATGCCACATGCAACACACACATATACATGCCATACATACACACAACACACACCATACATGCAATACACACAGACACACAACACACACATACCACATGCACCACAGACCCAATACACTCAACACACATCATACATACAACACACACATACCACATACACCCCCAACATACCCCACAGGGGCATATTCATGTGCTTTTTTTGCCAAGTGCATTCCACATGGCTGTCAGTTCCTGTAAGAATTTTGCTCTCAGGGATTCTGGTTAGCCAGAAGTTTCCTATCCAAGTAGGGCATGCCGTGAACCAACAGGGAGCCCTAAGCCACTTCCCACTCCACAGATTATTTACTTGAGCACAGTGTCCCGGACTTGCCAATGGACTGGGCATATAGTGAGAATCCTGACGACTACTTCTAGAAAAGCCACGTCCTTGGTTTGGGAAGACCCAGCCCTCACGTGTGCAATGCAGGAGAACACTCCTTGTTTCCCTTGCACAGACTGACTCCCACAGCTTTATTTGCTCCAAGCAGGTGAGCTTATACATGTGAAGTCAGTTCGTAATGGTAGTGTCTCATTTATGTGGCTGGTATCAGGCTTGCTGGAGTCTTCCAACATTCAACATTAGGCATGGTACATTGCATGTATATAAATCAAATTAACATACACTGTCACTGCCCGGTTGAGCAGCTGTATTCTTTGTGTTAAATTTCATAGTTAAAATGAAACACTTTTCCATTACTAGATTGCAGCTCCGCTGGGCAACTGCAACGGTTACCTGCCAGAATTAAGCCCCGTAATGCCAGCTCTGTCTCAAAATGGCAACTGCAAAGTGGATTTACAAAGTGACTGAGGAGTTGCTAATTGCCTCCAGAATAAAACATTGATGTTGATTCAAATCACTGAAGCTGAAGTTTCTATAAACTCAACACTGTAAGTAAGAATATGCCTGGCTCAGTTGGTTAGAGCAGGATGCTGTGAAGGCCAAGATTAAAGTTCAACGTGTGGCCTAATTAACTGGCTCCATTTATGGTCAGAAAGTCCCCACTCTCTTGCATATGCGTGCCATGCTGACCTACATTGTGCACCTACTGCATGCAGTGCACGTTACAGCATTCCATGCATTCATTTTCAAAAATAAGCCATAATGGATGTTATTAGTCCCATGATACATAAGAGGAAATTGAGACCCAGGAAGACTGTGACATAGTGGCACAACTAATAAATGACATGATCAGAGCTCAAACCAGGATCTGACTGAATCCAAAATCTCTGTTCCTTCCTCTTTGTCAAACTGTCGCGGATGGTACAGTGTAGACCCATGACCGCTGGAAAAAGCAAAACCACTCAAAGCACATGCTTTGCTGGTGATGGATTAATAGTGGCATCTTCCTGCAGAACATGTAGCATGGTTATTGTTAGCACACTGAGTGCCTGCCCTTAGGACCCCAGACATCCTTTTGCCTGTCACGTGTGGTAAATATGGTCCATGTACAAGGCCCAAGTAACAAGAGGCAAAGCTTCTACTCCACTGCCCCATCAAGCCCAGATGTCAGAAACATCCCTTGTCTTCTGCCAGCATGATGCTTAACAGTCAGGTTCTAGTTGCGTGTTCCCTCAATTCTTGGCATTTCACCTCTAGGTGGGCTCCCAGGCCCACAAAAGCAACCTCCACCCCACCCCACCCATACCAGCCAGAACTGATTTTAATCTCTGTTCAATAACAGATATGCTTTCTGTCTCCTAACCAGACCCTGACCACTACACCCATAGCATTCACAGCTCCTTGGACCTGCCTAAGACTCGAGCCTCAAATCGTGTGTAGATTTCTGTATTTTGAGAGTGTTGACACTGTGAAAGAAAGGAAAAGCAATCAATCCAACCTACACTGAGTCTGTAGGACATAAAACTCTATTCTTATGAGGGCAGCACACATTTCTGTTTCCAGGGCCAAGAGCTGTAAATCTCTTTATATGCACGCAGAGTCTACGCAGCTACAGAAGAACCACCATGGGTGAGGAAGCCTAAGATTGGACAGCTCTAGCTAAAGCAATTACCCAAATATTTTGGTAGGCCACAGAGTAAAAGAATTATTCATTTTGGACCAGAGATGTTTTTCTCTGCCAAATAGCCATTTTACTGCAGAGTGGTAGTACACATTTTCCACTCCAGAGAGATCAATGTGGCAATTAAGATGTTCAGCAGAGCTGACCATTTCAAGTGTAACCTCAGTGGGTGACCGCATCTTGTGGCGGAGGGTGGGTGTTGTTTAGGAAGGCTCATGGTCTGACCCTCAGCATGGTGAGTTTATGGAACGATCAGACCCTGAATGTTGACTCAGGTGTTCAGAAACTTGACTGATACGGTCAATGTAAGCTTTCTCTCAGCAGAAAATACACAAGCTTTAGGAGCAGAGAAATCTGGGCTTTGCCAGTGGATGTGGCAGTTGTGTGGTTTGGGCAAGTCACTTCCCTTGTGCACTAGGCAGCCCAGCGTGATAGCAAAGATCACAGACCCTGGAGTCAAGTGTGTTCTAATCCCAGCTCTGTCATTACTATCTGTCTAACCGTGGGCAAGTTACATGACCCTCTCTTTGCCTGAGTTTCCTCCTCTGTGAACTGGGTTTAAAAGTAGTACCCTTGTTTGCTTTTGGGGTGATAAAAATGTTTTGGAACCAGGGAGAGGTGGTGGTTGTACAACATGGTGAAGGTATTAAATGCCACCGAATTGCTCACTTCAAAAAGGTTAATTGTATACTATGTCCATTTCATCTCAACAAAATACAATTTAAGTAGTACTTACATCATAAGATTGTTTTAAAGATTTAAAGTTAATATATGTAAAGTTCTTAGGGCAATACCTGGCCCATAGTAAGTCCTATGTAAACACTGGATTATTATTTTCCAGGAAGTACACTGAGCAATTTGTGCACATCAAATTCTCACAACCACCATGAGACAGATACTGCTGTTACTCCCATTTTGCAGACAAGGACACTAAGATGCCAAAAAGTATCTTAAGTACTGTTCCAGTTACTATATCTGTGCAGAAAATTACCCCAAACTTGTGCTCTAAAGAAGTCATTTATTAGCGTATGGATTCTGGGGCCCAGAAGTACGGATAGAACATAGCAAGGATGGTTCATCTCAGCTCCACCATGTCTGGGGCCTCAACTGGGAGACTCAAAGGCAGGGGGCGGGAATCATCTCAAGTCGTATTCACTCACGTGTCTGGAGTTCGATGCTGGGAGCTTCAGTTCCTCTCCACAGCGGTCTCTCTGTGAGGGTTTCCTCCCAGCATGGTGGCAGTTTCCAAGGGAAAAGGCCCCCAGAGAAGGAGAGCCTGGTGGAAACCGCATCAACTTTACAGTCTACCCTCAGAAGCCAGGCAGCATCACTTCCACCTCGTTGTATTCATGGAGGTAGTTATGAAGTCTTGCCTAGGTTCAAGAGGAGGGAAAACAGACTCTACCCCTTGAAAGGCTAGATTCTAGAAGAGCACGTGGGAGCAGAAATGTTGCTGTGGCTATTGTCGGGCAAGACACTCTGCCACAGGTATCTTCCTAAGGCCACCAGGCAGTGAGTGATGGAGCTTGGGATACAAGACTTTGACTCCAGAGCCAGGTTCTTATCCACTGTGTGTTGAGCTGCAGTGTTTTTATCTGTCAAATGGAAACAATAACATCTTCTATGCCAAAACCCTTTAAACACAAGTTAACATATCGGGGGCTTTAGTTTCCTACTCTTTAAAATTAGGTTAATAAGAGTTCCTATTTCTTTGGGTTTCTGTGAGGATTAACCTACTGTTAATAAGTAACAGTGATAAGCAGGCTGGAATATTCATATCAATTGCCAGTGCATTCTATTCCCAATGGGAAATCTACCTGGGAAACCAAATGAGGATCAGAAGTTTCTTTGCTTAGTATGATCTGGAAGGACTACGCCTGCTCACCCAGATTTTTTTTTTCAAATACATTCATCATTAAATTTCACCTATTTCTAAAATGAATTTTACTGAGATTCTTTTGCTATATCCAATCTCAGTATATGAAATGCTGTATTATAAATCCTCAGAAGCAAAACTTCCAGTTTCAGAAAGTATTAGATTTAAGAAAGTATACGTAGCGTGTGGGAGAAAAACAAAAAACAAACAAACAAAAAAAAAAACACATAACAATCTAGACCAGAAGTCAGAAGACTTGAGCCCTAATCTTAATTCTGGTTAATTTGATGTTGGTTTAGCCTGAATTTACTAAAGTGTAAAACAAAGATAATAAGTCTTCCACAAATTTGCCTTATACTCTTAGGTTCTTTTTCACACAATACATTTTATTTTATAAACTACTTTGTACATTTTATACCATTATGACTATTTTCCATGCCTTAAGTTTCTAACCTTATCATTTGCAATGGCTACATTAGAATGGGTGAACTAGCATTTATTTAACCAGTCCTCTCTTTTTTTTTTTTTTTTTTTGAGATGGAGTCTTATTCTATCACCCAAACTGGAGTGCAGTGGCGCAATCTCAGCTCACTGCAACCTCCACCGCCTGGGTTTAAGCGATTCTCCTGCCTCAGCCTCCCAAGTAGCTGAGATCATAGGCAAATGCCAGTAGCTGGGATTACAGGTGCAAACACCATGGCCGGCTAATTTTTGTACTTTTAGTAGAGACAGGTTTCGCCATGTTGGCCAGTTTGGTCTCAAGCTCCTGACCTCGGGTGATCTACCTGCCTCAGCCTGCCAAAGTGCTGGGATTACAGGCGTGAGCCACTGTGCCCGGCCCCAGTCCTCTCTTGTTAGATATTGAAGGTTTTCCATTTCTTTACTATAAATAACCTTGATGAGTATCTCCACAGATAAGTCTCTAAGTGTATCTATTGTTATTTTTTTTCAACTTTTAAGTTCAGGGGTACATGTGTAGGATGTGCACATTTGTTACATAGGTAAACACGTGGCATAGTCTGTTGCACAGATCATCCTATCACCTAGTTATTAAGCCCAGCATCCATCAGCTATTCTTCCTGATGCTCTCTCTCCCACTGCCCCACTTCCTCCAACAGGTTCCAGTGTGTGCTGTTCTCCCCACATGTGTCCATTGTTCTCATCACCCAGCTCCCACTTATAAGTGAGAACATGCTCACTCAGATTTGGACCTACCAAGAGGAACAGAATTTTCATTTCTGCCCCATACTCTGTAGACAGAATGGCTACTCTAATTCTTTTCTTTCAACCTTATTGCCACCTTACTTCATGTGAAAATTGGATGACTGCTCATCTTATATTAATTATTGTACAATATTGTCTCCCCAGTAAGGTTTTTAAAAACACCCTGGACATAAGCAAATTTTTTTAACTTCTATTAGCAAAGATTAATTTCCAGGAAGAGTTCTGCACACAGCGAACCTCCCCCATTTTTCATGAACTCATGTTAGTTTCCCTTCCAGCCAAGAATGCTTCCGGGTCTTGCTTCTTAATTCTGGAGGTTGTACTTTATTTGGGCCCTGTAGCTCATGTACAGGCAACATTCTACTTCAGTCAGATCACTAAATGAGGCAATTGAGTCACCGCCACCCACAGTAATAACACATTCTGACAAAAACATGAAAGATAGTGTATCTCTGCCTTAACTCATGTGGGTATCAGTAGAGGGGAGAAAGTAAATTCTTTTAAAATACAGACAGAATCTTTTATCAATGAAAAACTGTCATCCGGTCTTTCTTATCTCTTTGTGCAGTGACAGCAGGATTTATCTTTCTTAGAAGCAAGCCTCCAAATGAATATCATGCCTGTTTTGTCAAGGTGAATAGTTTTTCATCACGGGGCAAGTAGACTTGTTTTACATGGGTGTTGTGGTGCACACATACATTTGTTATCGGTCCCTGTGCCCTCCAAGGTGTCCTGAAGCCCATAACACTAGTCCATTTCTCTCACCAACAGGAGAGCCCCCACGTGCTCAAAGTCTGCTCAACAGACCCCAGGTGAGCAAAAATCTCATGATTCTAGGGCAAACTCCTCTGTATGCTATTATAATGGTATAATAGACACATAGTATAAATTTCTGCAAATCCATAGAATGCATTTATAAATTTCTGCAAACCCAAAAAGTGAACTCTAATGTAAACTGTGGACTTTGGCTGATAATGATGTGTCAGCGTGGGTTCATCCATTGTAACAAATGCACCACTCTGGAGAGGGATATTGGAAATGGGGGAGGCTGCATTTGGGGATGAAGAGGTACATGGGAAATCGCTGTATCTTATGCTCAATTTTGCTGTGAACCTAAAATGTATCTAAAATCAAAGTCTTTTTTAAAATGTGATACAATCTCTGCACTTGGCCATATTAGCTCCCTTGTAGCTTCTAGCCTAACTGCTGAGAGAAAGCTGGGCTAGAAACCTCTCCTTTATTGGATGAACAGTCCAGTCTGGAGTCAAGAGTATGAAGAAGTTTTTCCTCCAGGCAGGAGAACTCTGCCATTAGCATGTCTCTCTAGGCACCAGCAAAAAGCAATTCATTGTTTCCATTTTTTTTATTTTTAAAAATGCTTTTATTTTCCTATTAACCCAACTTGAGATTTTCTTCTATATGTTTACTCTCATGGTAATAACAGAAGAATGTCCAGTATCAGGATAATACTAACAGCTAACATTTATTGAGCATTTACTGCATACCAAGGACCATTCTCGGCATGATATGTGTTTTAAGTCATTTAATTATTACAATAGCCTGTGAAGTCATATTATCATTGTCCCCATTTTACAGAGGAAGAAACTAAAACACAGTAGCCTGGGAGGTCACATGGCTGGTAAGCAGGAGAGCCAGGATATGAAGCCAGGTAAACTGGTTCAAGAACCTGTGATCTCAACCACCTCTTTGTTTTGCCCATCAAGAAGCTCCACCGTGGTATTGCCTCATAACATGACTACTTTCCAAACATCCCAGAAGAGTTACACCCTGATAGCAAGGACTTCCCCGGAGACCTCCACTGTGTCTCTTCTCTTTTGCTCAAAGTGGAAGGCATTGTTCCTATGAAGCCCAAAGTGAGACCAAACCCAATGTGACAGGGAAAACTTCTCCCACTCAGGCCAACTCAGTGTCCTCCATGGAGAGTTTCTAGTTGAGAAAGCTTAGAAGTGCTATCATTTAGGACTTGGGGCTAACTTAAGCCAAACAAGGGAATATATTAGAAGAATACCCGAGAGACTTACAGAACTGAAGGAAGATGGAATCTCAGACCTCAGGAAGAATGGGAGCCACAGCAGCTCTGGGGACCCAGCAAAAGGGGCTCAGAGACAGCCTTGTGGGGCAGTTCCAGGAAAATCGCTGTGCTCTCACTGCAAGCTTCCCTGTTCTCATGTGGCTCATACACAGATGTAAATTTCCGGGACAGGGCATCTTGCTGGCTGACCTTGGGTCATGTGCCCAAGCTTGGGGGTCCTTTAGAGGGGCCTCCAGAGGAGCTGTGTGGCTAATTATGGTCACAGAATTACTCCCAGGGGACAGTCAGCTCACACTCCAAGAGATACTACAGCTCACCTTGTTACTTTTAAGTTTATTTTATAAACTGGACAATACAAAGAATAGCTGTCATTAGAAGTTCAGGCTATTCTGGAAATGTAGGACAAGTATTGTTTTCTATTCTACAGATCAAGACTCTGAGACACGGAAAGATTAATTTCCAGGAGATGCTTGAGTTTGTGTTGAATCTCAGATCTTCTAATTCCTGAATGCCATTTTTCCACCTACTTTGTGTCCTGCAGAGCTAAGTGCAAATGCAGAAAACTTTTTATCTCTTCATGGTTTGGCATCTCGAGGCTTTATTTCCCCTCCTTCCTCTCTCCACCCAGCATACGCAGGCATGCCTGCAAACATACTCATTCGCTAGCCCACACACTGCCAGGAAGGAGATAAGCTACACAGTGCAAGGACCCCCCCTGTAGGGAAAGGAGGAGAAGATTAAACCACTGAACGTTTGTGCCCGTGGCTTTGTCAATGGTGATGGATCCTGAGCTGCAGGATCTGCTCTCTCTTGGCAGAGATGCCCAGGAATGTGATTGCCAGCCTCTTCTGCACATGGCTGCCAGCCATCCTGGGCCATGGGCAGGCTCTCATCACTCACATTAGTGTCTGTTTTCCTAGAGCAGGACTGGGGGAGAAAGATTTTATTAGATGCAGCAGAGTGCGTGGCTCACGCAACACT
Organism: Homo sapiens; assembly: GCF_000001405.40. NCBI lineage: Eukaryota > Metazoa > Chordata > Mammalia > Primates > Hominidae > Homo > Homo sapiens. The sequence goes on along the minus strand of NC_000002.12, from coordinate 220,104,969 downwards.
TGAGTGGTTCTCAGTCAGGCATGAACCGTCTGCAGCTGAAGGTTCTGGGATGGTGGCAGGGAAGGAGCCAGGCAGCACTCTCCCTTTCACATCTGGGAGAGCACCTGGGTGCACCCTCCAAAATGCAGTGCCGGTGGGAGAATCAGCGCTGATTAGGACCCCATCAGAGTTAACAAAATAACATTCACTTATGCTAATGGACGTCGAGGGTTAGTTCATCATTACTAGGGAAGCAGATTGGCCTAAGAGAAGCTCAAGTCATAAAACACACTTAAAATCTCTGTCTTGAAATAAGCAAGGGAAGAGACAATTTTTTATTATTGTTTCTCAGTCACAAAAAGAGAGAGAGAGAGTAAAAATGAGTGAAGGTCACCATTCCATTCACAGCTGATCGACTTACATTTCTCTTGGTTCCTGTGCCTATACAGTAAATTGAAGTTGGAAACAGAGGCACATACTAGACGATTTTCTGTTCCTACTTTCATTTTCCCCAAGAGGAGAAGGGACAGTCCTTTTAAAACAACTGAGCTCTTATATCACAGTGATCCTTGTTTAAAATTCGAACGTCATTGGAAACATGTTTCAGCAGAACTAACACAAAACAAGGATTGTGAGAACCACATTATCTCAAAAATAAAAATCCCAAATATACACGCAGTTCAGTGCTTCAGTTTTCCAAAATGTATATGTATAATAAGATTTTGGTATGCTTACATATATACTATCTACATGTATATAATATATAAATACACACAGATAATACCATGTATATATGTGTGTCAATTATATATTACAGGCACGAATATTATACCTCTTTGCATAGGTAAGATATACGTAAAATGTTTGACCCTTGCTCAAACTCTGGGAGGTAGATGGATGAAATTGAGATTCACCATTCGACTGACTTGCCCCAAGACATAAAGCTAGAAATGGCAGAGCCATTCAAGTTGGCTTTTCTGATTCAAGACCAAGTATCTTTCCCCTACTTCATTTTTTTCCATTTTTTCATATATTAGCCCAAGACATATTAAGATGTCTCAAAAAATTATCCTGTGGCATGCACACCTAAGTGCATTGGTGCCACTTGCCCCATGGTGTTATTGGACAATCGGCAACAAAATGTCTACAATAAAACAGCATGTAAACAAACCCCAGATTGGTATAGATCCCTCAGGAGCAGGAAGTTCAGGGTCAATAGCTCTGGAAACATGGATAAATATTTAAACCAACAGAGGAATTTTCCCCTCTGGGAAGGTGCTTAGCTTTGAGAGTGCTTAGAGTGTGCAAGAATGTGCCGATAGGAGCCCAACCTCATCCCAGGACTGATCTGGGAAGTGGAGGGTGAGAGGAGGTGGAGGGGTCTTCATCTGGGCCCCTCACCCATACCTGGGTCTTCCCTCTGGCCTCATCCAGGCTTGTCCTTCATTCTAAATAAGTCACATTCCTACAGCTCTCTCAAAAAGAGTTTAAGCACCAATGACGTCTGCCTTAGTATTAATATCCAAATTTGTAGAGCTCTGAGCCCATATCTGTTCTCACAGCACTGCAGTCTTTCCTCCAAACCTCCCTTGGTTATTTTCGGGAGGCCCTGGGGATGTTCCCGTGCTCCTGAATAAGTCTGTGGAGTTTCTTTCCTCTGGCCTCCTGGGCAAGGGCTGCGCCTCCATCTGTGTGGCTAGTAACTTCACTGAGATTCTGCAGGGCTCGTTCTATAGGGCTCACTGGGGCTACCCACATGGGAACTCCCAGTGCCAGAACTACATGGAGATCTGTGAGGAGTTTGGAGAAAAGAGCCCTGTCCCCATTTCTGTATCTCTGGGCCCTAAATTCCCCTGTGTGTATGCCCAGGATCTCACAAGTCAGCAGAGACCAGTTTGTCAGGCCCTCTATTCAGGTTATGTAGAGAGATAGCCAGTCTTCTTATCTCAGAGAATTCCCTCTCCATGGTAAAAGTCCTACTTCGCCTTCCAACCCAATACCCACCCATCCCAATAATAATTCATGTCAGATCCGCAAGCAGCAACGGTTCAAGCTGAAGCTACCCCTTCCTGTCATGCACACTCTGAGAGGTCTGAGAAAGCTGCCATTAGGGAGGCCGGAGTATTCCTGGAGGGCTTCCTGGTGGAGGTAGCAGTACTTTCAATTCTTAAAGGAAAGACCCGGACAAAAAGGTAAAATAGAACATTTCAGGCCCAAGAACCACTTGATCCTGATTTGTTCACAGGAGATCAATTGAACATACACCTTGAAACCATATGTGAGCAGGCAAAAGCAAGCCATCAGAAGAAAAAAAATAACATTCACTGTTGGAAAACCAAGGCCCTCTCCATATTGACCAGCTTTCCTCCCGCTGCCAGGGTATTTTCCTTTCCTAAGCACAATTCCATTTCCTCTTATATTTGCTCAATGCATTTTCTGACTGCACAACCCCACTCCTCTCAGAAAACACAAAAGAAAATACTGAATCTAATATAATATGTCCTCACCTCCCTTGTGGTCCCTTCACTTTTCTGCTTTGGATATCAACTTCAAATAGTGAATCAGGACGGAGAGGATACACTTTGGAATATGAAACTCTAGAAAGCTTACCCTTTGGATAGATGCAGAATCTGCCCCTCAAATCTCCTGGCCATTGGCTGTATCAGCGTCACAAGGTCCCTAGGGAGATAAGAGATAAGCCTGAACCCCAGCATGCTGACTGCAGTGCGGGTCGGGACTCCAGAGCTGAGGTTTCACAATAGCCAGGCCCTTTCTCTGGGCCCCGAACACACATTCTCACATGTTAAAGCTTCCCATGACTTTAATGCAAGTTCCATGCATGTACGGCTTGCAGGATTGGACCCTATGGGAGTGTAAAGTGACAACATAATAGAGAAAAATCACTTTAGCAGGCAACAGTGACAGCTGGGCATGCATTAAAAAAAAAAAAAAGGAAAAGGCCTCGGTTTAGACAAATTACTGAATGAAATGATCACATGAAAATCCCTTTTTACAGCTGCCACTAAGAAATCCAGAAAATATAAAACATGTGAAAAAGTAAATAAAGGAATTTTTGAACCTTTTTTTCTCATTAAAAGTGTGGTAAATAGTTAAAATCCTCTAAAAAGATCCTCGGTGTTCTGAACCATGGGCTCAAATGGAAAAATATGGCTATTTGGGCTTTTCATGTCAATTACTATACAACCGAGAAAATATAAACAATAAAAGTGCTCCAAAAATCCTGGAAAATTCCAAAGCCTATTTCAGAGTCTCCACGATTATACTCAGATCCTCTCATTTCCATGACTTTTGACATCTCATTACCCTGCATTATACTTTTACAGACTCATTTTCCAGCATATATAAAAATGACTTAATGTATCCTCAGAACCATCTCAATTACCTAATTGATGAATTCTATCAGCCACTTAAAAATAAAACAGGCATCCTTAATAAAAATCCTTAGCGAGGAAGAGAGGATAAAGCCCATGTTACAAAAAAAAAAAAAATTTAAAATATACGAGGCAGCATGATGTACCAGGGTAGCAGCACCCAACTGGGAGTTGAGAGATCTGTTTTCTGGGATTGATTCTGCCGCTAATTTGCTGTGTGATTTGGGGCGAATATGAACCCTCCTTGGGCCTTGGTTGCCAGATCTCTAAAATGAGGGAGTGTGAAAGGATGTTCTCAAGGCCGCTTCATGCGCTGACAGGCTATGATTTTGAAAGCTTCCCAGAGGAAGACCCCTTTAAACTATGTGCTCATGACCTAGTCATTTTCAAATTTAAAGACAAAAACCTTTCTAAATTCTCCCTTTTTCTGTCTACAAACTCAGTTACAAAATTAAGAGGGGCCCCAAAGAGGGCCAAATATTACAGTGATGCTCTTCTGAGCAGAACTCAATTTTATAAATTCTCAGGACTATCTCAAATGAAGTCCAAAGGTATTTTCAAAACAGAAAAGAGAATTTTGGGAATTCCTTAGTTTGCAAGATGGAGGCACCTAATCCAAGGGCCTCTATAGTACATGTTTAGCTCCAAGAGCCAGGCTAGTATTAGGAAAAAAAGTGCTTGAGCCAGCCTATAGCCTAGCAAGGGACACACACTTCAGGAAGAAAGGAAATTATGACAAGTGATTAGCATATGCATACTTAGACTGTCATAAAATTGATATACAAGAAATACATTATCCAATGTGAGGGCATTTTTAAAGCTCTTTCTTCTCCCTGAGTTTGGAGAGATGGAGAAGCAAAAGATGTGGTCAGGTAGAAACACTTTCAGCTCATTAACGTTCCCTTTCCCTAGGACCTAGGCCAGTGATTCTCAACTTTGGCTGCTCATTGGTATCACATGGGGAGCTTTTAAAAAATACTGATGGGTGCAGCAAACCAACATGGCACATGTATACCTGTGTATCAAACCTGTACTTTGTGCACATGTACCCTAGAACTTAAAGTATAATTAAAAAAAAAAAAAAGAAAAAAAATACTGATGACTGGGTTCCATCCTCAGAGATTTCAATTTAATTATTCTGGGTTGCCACCTGGAGAATTGAGATTTCTAACCACTTTCCCAGATAACTCAGTAATTTAATCAGGCAGCCAACTTTGAGAGTCCCTGGTCAAGTCCCTTGAATTCAGTGGTTCTCAAACTTTGCCAGGCATCAGAATCACCTGGAGGACTCATTAGATGATCATTGCTATGGCCCGGTGCGGTGGCTTATGCCTATAATCCCAGCACTTTGGGAGGTTAAGGCAGGCAGATCATGTGAAGCCAGGAGTTCGAGACCAGCCTGGCCAACATGGCAAAACCCAGTCTGTACTAAAAATACAAAAATTAGCCAGGCATGGTGGTGTATACCGTAATCCCAACTACTCGGGTGGCTGAGGCACAAGAATCACTTGAACCTGGAAGGTAGAGGTTGCAGTGAGCCAAGATCACATCACTGCCCTCCAGCCTGGGTAACAGAGCGAGACCTTATCTTAAAAAAAAAAAAAAAAAAAAAAGATTGCTAGATAGATCTCACCCCCAGAGTTTCTGATTAAGTAGCTATGGTGCAATGCCCCCAAACTGCATTTCTAACATGGTCCCAGGTGAGGTGCATCTGAGGGTCTGGGGCCCACACTTTAAGAAGTGGTGTCCTAATCTATCAACTTCACTCAGAGTGATGGGAGTTCTGCTCACACAATGCAATTCATCATCTTCTCTATCCTTGATCTTCTCCCAAACCACTCATCTGTGGCCAAGCCAGCCCTATTGCTATGGGCAACCTATCAAGATTCAGGACCTAGGTGTAACTAGAGAACAACAGAAAATCACTGTCTGCTTTATCCACTTTTACATGAACCAAAGGAAAGAGTTTCACTCTCCTGAGAAGATCATTCCTCATGAACATCACACGATGCAATTCTAAAGACGTAAAATAGAAGATAGCATGAGAAGAAACCCAAATGCCAGAAGCACAGCCCTTGATCAGTGGGTGAAGAAGCCTTGTTTGGCTGGAGGCCCAGAACCTCTTCCTTTTGGAACCTTCATCTGCTTAACCATGAATGATGGCTAACCTTGTCTTCTTCCATGGCCTGGGTTAACCTCTGTGCTCATAAAAACATAGTCCTGCTGTTGGGCCTGTGACTTCTTCCCAGTCACTTGAGGTCCATGCTCACCCCCATCTGCATGATGATTCCTCCTGCAGGGGACTGAACACCTGTCCCTGCTAAGCAAAGATTCAACACTAATCTAGGTCAGAGCAAGTTCAATGGTAAGTTGGGAAAGCCTTTGGTTTCAATAGCACCTTAAGAGTAGTCCTGGAGATAGCCATAAGGACTGCAGGGCTAAGACGTCAACTCTTCTTCTCCATGTGCTTCTTCATCTGTTCAACATCCCAGCCCAGGGAAGGGCAGCAGTCACGTGGAGGGTAAGGGTCTCTGCCAGTGGGAGTGTCACCCTCATTATCTGAATAAGTCACCATCCAAAGAGGATGGGCTGAACAGGGAATGCCAGGCACAAGTTGGCAGAAGTGATCTGGGGTTCATAGCAGAGGATGGGAGGCCAAAACTAGAGTCCTTATGTGAGGCAATGAGGATAACCACTCCCAGGTTCTGATCCTCCAGGTAGGGGGCTGGGAGCAGTTAAATGTGCCAGTCTAGCCTAGCTAAGCTAAGAGCTGGGCTTTTTCTGAGACTTGGCCATAAAAGTGGCTTCATATTCCTTTTCACTCTCTGCTTGGAACTGCTTGGGACTTTTCCTCCTGAGAAAGGATACTCAGTTGGCTGTCAGAAACCCACATGGGGATGTGAGAAGCAAACAAATATTTTGGATGGTAATAGAGGGCCCAGAGGTTTTTACATCTGTCTTATTTCTACCAGTGGAGATTGGAGGTAGTGGGTGTGGAGGGAACTCAGGACAGAAGCCAGGAGGGAGTGACAGAGCACATGCACTGGAAACATGGTGGAAGGTGATCGGGGATGTAGCAGGTATCATGGCTCCATGATATGAGATCAAGCATTGACCCTCTAGAGGGTCAGAGATACCCAGGGCACTGAGCTCCTAGCCACAGGAAGGATGAGAAAGAGAAAGAGAAACAAGAGGAAAAAAAGGAGCAGAAATGGAAGAAAGAGAATTATGAAAATAAAATATATACCAGAAAATCCAAATGGTCCTTTTATATTTAGATGCATTCATTATTGAGGGAAAATTTGCTACAGTGTAAGAAGACAATTGCATGGTGAGAACAAACACCAAAAACATCAATTAGCCTTTTAAAAAGCCCTTTGAGCAAGAAGCCAAAGCCCAATGGTATCTCTATCTCTCACCATCATCATTGACTCTGGTCACAAGTTAAGCATGCTGACATGATTATTCTCCAGCAAGGCCTATGGTGGCAGATATTTCAGCTTGATTGAATTGCTTTGTCCAAAAAGACATGGAACACACATTTTCTTGCCCAGTTCCTTCTGCAAACATGGTGAAGACATGTTCACAACACGGTTAAGCCTATGACATGGCGTGGAGGTCTAAATAGACTAAGTCCTGACGTTGTCCTTCCAGCCACCACTTCTAATAAACCCACTTGCAGGAAAGGATAACCCCTTCGTCCTGGGATTGACTTGATTCCCTGCCCATCACAAAGAAGAGCCTGAGACACAAGCTCACATGCCAGTGGTTTATTTTTAGAGGTGTTCCCAAGGAATAGGAGAAAGGGATTGAAGAATGAAACTGGGAAGAAAGGCAGGTCAATACATTATATCCTTGAGCTGGGCACAACTACAGAAACTAGGGCTTACTCTGTGAAGAATGTCCCTCAGAACTGTCCACCTGAGGGACAAAAGACAGTACTTAACAGCAGCGCCTGACCCCCATTGGCAAGGATCTCCCCATCAGACAATAACTCACGCACATTTCCAGGCAATACATGCCTAAATGTTGAGTGGGCTCCTAGAGTGTCCTAAACCTCATCATCAGAGAAGCTCCAGAGAAGCAAATGAGAAATGCACAGGGTATCTGGGCAAGGTTCTCTCAGGGCACACCTCCATGAAGCTGTGCCACAGCAGTATATGGTGGGCAAGGAGGAATGGGGCCAGGCATGAGGGGTGTCCTAGCCTTCACACCTCAATGGAAATGTAAGCCAATATGTTACTTCTTCCAAACATTTTTGCTTTTTTGTTGATCATTCATGTCAATTTATCCATCAGCATTTAGGACTTGGATGTAATTAGCAGCTAAAGAAGACCTCTAAGAGTCTCTGACATTAAGTGCCCCTACTCTGCTTTTAGGTATAGAGTTAATGTAAAGATATTATCAGGGTTCTGCAGTCACCAAAGTTGAGAGGTAGAGCTCATCTCACGTGAGGATGGCATTAGCTTACACTATCCACATTTGAGCAGTTGAAGCCTATACATCAAGCCTAATTGTGGATGTTGTCTTCATGCCCAGTGAGATGTGAATTTGAGTGAAGAAGTCCTGCTGATCACAAAATTCTTGTTAGCCTCAATATAAAACAATGTATCTCCATCTCGAATTAGGAGGAAAGGTCACCCATCCTCAGGTGAGTCACCCTCTCCTCAGATGCAAACTTCAGCTCTATCCTCCTCACTCCTGACTCTGCTTTGCTTTGGAGAGCCAGCAGTCATAAGCTCACCCTGGAAGAGCTCTAAAGCAGCCCAAAGACATGGGCCACTGATAAAATATTTCAAGGCATGTCAAACATTTCACAGAGTCCATATTAGATACAGCCTGATGATCAGGACAAACTCTGTAAGGCCTTGTCTTCCATTCCTACTGACACTTCTGCACTTTAGATTCCTATCAGATCATCCCTAGTCTATCCCAGTCATCCTCAAACTAGTCTCCTGCTTGCACTCTCCCCAGCATCAAACCAGCCGCATAGGGCTAATTAGTGTCCCAAAGTGCTTTTTGCAGTGTGTCAATCCCAAGTGAGTGCCTTTGGGATTATGTCATTTCCAGGTTCAAACAACATTTGGCATTCCTCATTGCAGAGAGAGTAGCAAAAATGCCTTAGTCTGGCGTTTGAGACCTCAACCTAACTTTCCAGGCTTATTTCTCTTAACTCTTGTGCACAAACCCTAGGGTTCAGACGATGAGAACTCTCCCTCGCTCTCTCTCACACACACACACACACACACACACACGCACACGCACACCTGCATACGCACTGACCACTCAGAGTCAAGCCCAGCCTGTCCTAAGCCATCACTGTGCTCCTCATCCCAGAGCCCACTTCAAGTCTTTGCCCCTGGAGTGAGTATGTGGAATCTCATTCCTAGCCCTTATTTCGGGTCCCAGCATCATGATTAGGAACACATTCATCTATGTAAATACTTGTTGACCACCTTTGCTGCACCGAGACCTCAAGATTCAAATGAGTAAGAATAGTTCCTGGCTTCGAGGAGCTCCACATCCAACTGGGGAGAGAAACATACAATCAAATAAGTGCAAGACACTGGGATGATGCTTACAGAAGAGAAACAGATGACTCCCAGGAGTGGGAAGATTAACTGAGAAAGAGAGAACTCCTGATTGAAATTCTGAAGAAAAGCAATCTCCAAACAGCCGAGGGAAGGATGGGTGTTCCGAGAAGAGGAGCGACATGAGCAAAGGTACAAACCCAAGGCCTGAAGGAGCAGAGCAGATGCAGGGAGCCACAGAAGAAAGAGCAAGGCGAAGTAGACTCACTCAAAAGGTGAGTGACACAGCAACCATGCAGACCCTGAATCCCGATTAGGAGTCTACTCTCACTCTGCAGGCAACAAGGAACCATTGGCTGAGTTTGGGGGAGTGAGGGGTGTGGGGCGGTAATCAGATTTGCATTTTAGAAATCTCATTCTAGGTGGCTGTGATACAGATGAGGTACCTAGGACAGAGGCAAAAAAGACCAGTGAGGACGTTATTGGGGGGATGCAGGTAAGAGAGAGGAGATCGTGAACCAGAACAACGGCTGAGGGAATGATCTTGAGGGGGAATGCCTTTGGACACTGTTAGGCATTGGCTAGGTTTCAGAGTGCAACTGGGCAACCTGGACAACTTATTAAGTATTCTCTGAGTTAACCAGTGGTTTGTGGTTAGGGTCAAGATACAACGCCACAGGACCCGTGTTCACAGGACATACCCAGCCTCCTTAACAACTCTCTTACAAATGACCATTTAGTCCCAGCGCATCCTTAGAGAGGTCGCTGTTTGTATTCATCAGGTACTGTCCTCTGTGCTGACAGAACACAAGATCTTTCTTCCAACATACATTTTTGTTTACTGGACTCATGATTAGCATCTCTTAATGTTGTGAAACTCAGCTGGATTTTTCATTTTATTTTTTAGTAAATGTAATTTTTTGTATTTGTTTGTGAACGGCTCTAGCAAAAAACTAAATAAAATCCTTCTGAATAGCCTTTGACAGATTGCAAACCTTGAGCAATGACCAGGACAAGAGAAGGTGGCGATGAAGAGGGGTTTCCCTGTTGGGAAACATGGAGAAGAAGGGAGTATGTTATTCCTCCCATTATCTTTCAGCTTTTGAAGGATAGGGAGGAAATAGGACATCCTCAGATGTAATGCAAAAGAAGAAATGTTTGGAGTCTAAGCTCCGTGGGGGTAAGGACTATGCTGACCAGTGTGCTCCCTTAGCAATGTGCCCAGCACATCAAAAATATTAAATATAGGCAGGGAGGGAGGAAGAAAGGGAGGGAGGAAGAAAGGGAGGGAGGAAGAAAGGGAGGGAGGAAGAAAGGGAGGGAGGGAGAAAGGGAGGGAGGAAGAAAGGGAGGGAGGGAGGAAGAAAGAGGGGAGGAAGAAAGCGGGGGAGGAAGAAAGGGAAGGAGGGAAGGACAGAAAAAGAAGAACCATTCATTGTGATCAAGGAAGAGTGTTTGACAACTCAATGACTGTCCCGTGGCTGCTGCCTATTGTCCACTCATACCCACACCTCACATCAAGCCCAGGAAAGGACACAAAGGACCAAAGCAGCTCAAAGTACATCAGAGTGTATTTAACCACTCCTGCCTCAGGGGTTCACCACTCACTCAATGGGTTACCAAGTTCTGCTTCTGAACATATAAGTCTTTTGTAAACACCACACTGCTTTACCCTCTGCCTGGAATGATCTTCCCCCAGGTCACAACTCAAATATGACCTCCTTAGAGCAACCTTGACCCATCCCCACATCTACTGTAGACCTGCAGGCATCATCATCTCCCCATCTTTTATTCTGTTCACAGTGATTATTCTGATCACTCCCCAAAATTATACTGTTTGTGTGTTAACTTGTTTATTGTCTGTTTCTTCCCGGTAAAATGTAGGTTCCAAGAGAGTAAAGATCTTATTTTCAGAGTTCATCACTGTATCTTCCAGTTAAGAACAGTTCCTGGCACATAGTATATTCTCAATGAATATTTTACTGAATGAATATCAAATCAAAAAGATGAAGACACACAGCAATAAGGGTGGATCTGTATAGTGCTTGGTGAATAAAAATACAAGGAACAGGCTGGGCATCGTGGCTCACACTGTACTTCCAGCACTTCGGGAGGCCAAGGTGGGCAGATCACTCGAGGCCAGGAGTTTGAGACTACCCTGGGTAACATGGCAAAACCCTGTCTCTACTAAAAATACAAAAATTAGCCAGGAGTAATGGTGCACGACTGTAGTCCAGCTGCTAGGGAAGCTGAGGCATGAGAATCGCTTGAACCCAGGAGGTGAAGGTTACAGTGAGCCAAGATCACACCACTGCACTCCAGCCTGGGTGATAGAAAGAGACTCAATCTGGAAAAAAAAAAAAAAAAGCAAGAAACAGAATGAGATCTATAAAAAAATCCATTTATGTAGATTAGAAATGCTGGTATGTAAGGCATTAATACATTTGCAAGGCATTAAACCATTGACTGTGTTGAGGACAGGAGAGGACTGAAACATAGGAATTTTTTAAGTGACACACATACAAGCAAGAAAGAAGTCACTACTCATCATGCATTGATTTTGATCATAGCCATGACCTGAGATATAGAAAAAAAGAAGAGGGAATATTAGAGGTACTTAATATCAGACTCACACTGGGTTACTAATTTATATATAAGTTTAGATAAATAGATGACAGATATTGGATGGTATAGATAATAAATAGAAAGATAAATAGATGAAAAGATAGATTAGCTAGACAAACAGACAATAGAGAGAGAGAGAGAGAGAGAGAGAAATAGGTAGGTAGGTAGGTAGACAGACAGACAGACTACTTGGTAAACTGTTTATGCCATGATATGGATTTGCTTCTCCTCCCTTGACATTTTGGTAGTTATAACAGAGTTCCAAATAAAATTCTTCCTCCAGGTACCATAGAGGAGAGAAAAACAAAATGCTTGAACAAGTGGGCATGAAAGTCAAGATTCTGCTCCCCAGAGAGAGCAACCCAGAGAAACCACCCTCCTAGGGGAGGAACAGAGCCTCGTCCTGCTTTGGTTCCACACCCAGATCACTGCGTGCCCTTCAGGAACTTATTCAGACCTACGTTCCTTTATTTATCAAACTGTTTCAACTGATTTCTTTTTATGGTGCCCAAATGTTAGGGAGCATTTTAGGAACATGAAACCAAAATGGTGTGCAGGGATCCCCGGGACACAGTGTTAGGAAGCGGATGGGAGCCGATGATTAGACATGATGTGCAAACCACACAGGGGTCCCTGTAAGCCACAGCTGGCTGTGTAGCATAGATACAAATAACCCCAGACTCAAAGAATGTTAGAGCAAGATGAAGTCTTTAGCAATCTAGGCAGACCCCCCTCCCCTCCTGGTTTGCACAGTCTTAGAGAAACTTGCATTTACACTGAGTAAATGGCAAAGCCAGGGTGGGAACTCTATTCTCCTGACTGCTTCTCTCCAGTGCTCATTCCTGGAGCCTGAGGATAACCCTGTGTTTCCACATAGTCCCACTGCTGATGTGCGTAACGAGGATGAGAAGCCAGTTTGCCTCGCCCGCCCCAAAGGAAGTTGTGTGCTATACTTTTGAAATACATTAAGTTTTTTTCACCTGAAGTGAGTCCTTTCCTTTTTTATCTATTTCCCAATGTTCTAGACATGCAATATTTTTACTAGTAATATATACTGGCTTATGTACAGTGACTCTCAAAATATATTTCTTGGTTCTACTTTTTGATTCTAAAAGTATTAACAAGTAAATATACATATATATGTCTACACACATATGGGCATCTATATCTATATAAATGCATATACTTTCAAATTTCCACATTTATATACAGTGCAATCAGGACTGCATTCTATAGTTATTACCGCCCCACGCTCTCAACCATCCTTATTTACTTTTGATGTAGAAAGGAAAGGAAACAAAAAGGAAACTCTCCACTCTTAAGATAACTTGCTGGTGACCCCGGGTAAATGACAGCCAAGCAAGACTTCAAGGAACTTGTTACTTACAGCTTGAATTTCAGGCAAACATCTTCCTGCATTTCTAATGAAAACCGGATTCTTCTCCCTTCTTTTGAAGTGCTCTTTGGGAATTGTTTGAGTGTTCTTTGCAATCTTTTATACCCAGCCTAAGGACTCTGACAAACTCTCTCTTTCCCTTCAAAGGCTTGTTAACTATGTGATGAATACACCTGTCACTTCCAATTCTAACCTTACTTTCTGTTGTGATGGCTGTAGAATTTGGTATCTATGGCAACTTTTCAGTGGCTCAACATCGATTAAAAAATGATTGGCTTATCAGGGTTGCTTGGTTGATTGATGGAAATGATCAGTTGCTCAAAATAATCATGACAGATAAAGTCTCCTAATTAGCTAGTATTTGCAAGATTCAGAAATTTTAGATTTCTTTTTTTTTTTTATTATTTCCATGCAAAAGTAACTGGGATCTAATTCTACTAAAGTAGTTACAAGTTAATTTGGACTGCCTCAATGAAGGGAACTTGATTCAATTCACATATTTTATTTCGCAGCCAAATGGCACATTTTGTCTATTTTAGAAAATTTACTCCTTGATTTTCTAATATCTCAAGGTCAGAGGCCAATTTATGTGTTTTAAAAAAATTAACTTTGGTACTAAAAAAAAAAAATAGCCAGGTTTAGAGCATTTGCAAATGAATTCTAAAGATTTTTATTCTAATCCTTACCCAAGTGCGTAAAACAAGGAAAGACAGTATTGTATGGGAGAAATGTTAACTACAGCCTGACCTTCCCAGGAAATTTAAATGCTTTATCTTTGAATAGAACATTTTAAATCAACATCTTCAAAAGTATAGTGATATATCAGTGATTGTATACAAGATAAATTTAGGTAGTCCACAAACTTTCTTAATAACCAAGTAGTTATTTATTTTACTGTGACACTGCTGTTGTTCAAACATTTTTTAAAAAGTGGCAACTTCATATGGTTTTGCTTAATATTTTATCTTTAAAAATAACTGTATTCACTTTCTAGGACTGCTATGAAAATGTACCACAAATTAGGCAGCTCAAATAAACAAAAATCTATTGGTTCACAGGTCTGGATGCTAAGAATTTGAAATCAAGGTGACAGCAGGCCATGCTTCCTCTGAAACCTGAAGGGGAATCTTTCCTTGTCTTTTCCAGGCTTTGGCATCTGCCTGCAATCTTTGGCATTAATTGGCTCACAGATGCGTAACTCTAAATCTCTGACTTTGTCATCACATGGCATTCTCCGTCTTCTTATAAGGGCACCAGTCACATTGGATCGGGGACCCATCCTACTTCAGTATGACCCCATCTTAACTAATTACATCTACAATGACCCTACTTCCAAATAAAGTCAAATTTGGAGGTAGTGGAGGTTAGGACTTCAACATATAAATTTTGGGGGGACACCATTCAACTAATTAACAATAACTAGCCCATTAAGTCTGTGATTTCACAGATAATATTGCTTAGTATGAGGCTAGAACGGCTTTTGTTTTTAAGTTACAGTTGATGCTTTTAAAACTAAATAGGGATGGTATGTGAACATGGCAAAATTTGTCCACATCGCACTGAGAATGACAGAAGCTGGAGGGTGAGCTTAACCGTAAAACCAGCCATAAATGATCCCCTCCCTGTTTCCTCATCCCTTTACAATGTTCCCTTGCAGCAATTCCCATCAAGAAGTGGAGTCTGTTTCTCTACCCCTTAATTCTGGCTGCCCTCATAGTTTGCTTTGGCCAGATTAGCAAGTGTGCCCTAAGGGGAAGTTTGAAAAATGCTTGCTCATTGGGCTTGCCTTCTCTCCCAGGCTGCCCTGCTGAAAGATGAGAGAGATGACACGAAGCAGAATTGAGACAACGAGCAAATGATCAGCAGCCCCTAAGCTGACCCAGCTGCAGACTCCAGACACAGACTTTTGCCCCAGACAAGACTAGCCAGCCCCGTGTCCACATATAGCAGAGCCATCTAGCTGAACCCAGCTGAAATTGTCAATCTACAGAATCTTAAGCTTAAAAAGGAAAGAAAAACGTGCGCTCTTTAAAACTACCCATCAAACTTTCTAATCAATTTTCTGCTTATTTTACCTAGTGATTACAATAGATAGCAGTTACACCAATTTTATAGGTAATTTTTTCATCAAAGTTGCTTTTAGGGTATCAGAAATGTTGGTTGGGGATGAAACACTGTATTGCTCAGGGTTCTCTTAAAGGGACAGAATTAATAGGAGATACACATATACGTGTGTGTGTGTGTGTGTGTATATATATATATATATATATATATATATATATATAAAGGGGAGTTTATTAAGTATGAACTTACATGATCACAAGGTCCCACAATAGGCTGTCTGCAAGCTGAGGGGCCAGGAGAGCCAGGCTGGGTCCCAAAACTGAAGAACTTGGAGTCCAGGGTTGAGGGCAGGAAGCATCCAGCTCGGGAGAAAGACGTTGGCTGGGAGGCTATGCCCATCTTTCCTTTTCATGTTTTTCTGCCTGCTTTATATTCGCTGGATGCAGATTAGATTGTGCCCACCAGATCAAGGGTGGATCTACTTTCCCCAGCCCACTGACTCCAATTTTAATCTCTTTAGGCAACACCCACACAGACATACCCAGGATTAATACTTTGTATCCTTCAATCCAATCAAGATGATACTCAGTATTAACCATCACAAACACTGAGATAGCTGGAAAGAAGGTGGGACGGCTGGACAAGGAAGGTATCTTGCAGCAATTCTGCTTTGAAGTCCATTTACTTTTCTCCCCTTCTCTTACTGGTCTGTGAATTCAACCAAAAATAACCTCAGAGGCAGAGAGAAAGGAGCCAGGCCTACCAGGAGCACTGCAGATGAGGCACATTTTCACCAACATCCCCTGTCTTCCTGTGAGATGTTTTCTGCCTGGTCTGATATGAGAGAAGCCAAGGAAGAGATTTCCATAAACTACAGGAGCCATTATTGGTGACCACACCATGGGGCTTTACGCTCATTTTTGATCATTTGTCCCGGAATCCACCCTGGAAGAGATGTTTGAGACCCAACTCTGAACAGCATAATGGAAAGAGAAATAGACTCCAAATTGGTTTTTCTGAGATTTTTTTTCACCCCATAAGGACCCACATTTTCTCTGATTTCCTCCCAATTGCTTTTTCATACTCTTGCCAGAGTAATCTTTCCAAAATACAAAACTGATCACGCTACCTCTGTTTAAAAACCATCCAGACACACGCCTGTAATCCCAGCACTTTGGGAGGCCGAGGCGGGCAGATCACGAGGTCAGGAGATCGAGACTATCCTTGCTAAGAGGGTGAAACCCCCTCTCTACTAAAATATACAAAAAAAATAGCCAGGCGTGGTAGCGGGCGCCTATAGTCCCAGCTACTCTGGAGGCTGAGGCAGGAGAATGGCGTGAACCCGGGAGGCGGAGCTTGCAGTGAGCTGAGATCTGAGACCGCGCCACTGCACTCCAGCCTGAGCAAGAGGAAGGGGAACATCACACACCCGGGCCTGTTGTGGGGTGGGGGGAGGGGGGAGGGACAGCATTAGGAGATATACCTAATGTAAATGATGAGTTAATGGGTGCAGCACACCAACGTGGCACATGTATACATATGTAACAAACCTGCACATTGTGCACATGTACCCTAGAACTTAAAGTATAATAAATAAATAAATAAATAAATATATATATATATATATATATATAAACCTTCCAGAATTTTCCAATTACTCTTGGAGTAGCAACCAGATTCCTTAAGATGCCTATGTGGCTATATTTGTCTGCCCCTTGTGCCATAACAAACACCACACACTGGATGGCTTAAACCACATAAATTTCTTTTCTCACAGTTCTGGAGGCTGGAAGTCCAAGATAAAGGGGCAGCAGGGTTGGTGTCTGGTGAGGGTTCTTTTCTTGGCTGGCAGATGACCAACTTCTGTGTCCTCACATAAATTCCTGTGTGTGTGTGTGTGTGTGTGTGTGTGTGTGTGTGTGCATCCAGATGTCTCTCTCTCTTCTTATAAGGACACCAGTCCTGTTGAATTAATGACCTGATGACCTCATCTAATCTTAGTTATCTCCATAAAGACCCTGTCTTCATATACAGCCACATTGAGAGGGCTTCAAGATATGAATTTGAGGGGCACATAATTCAGTCCATACAATGGCTTTGTTGGGCCTGTACTCGGACCACCTCTCCAGAACCCTCACATGCCATTAACACTTACCCTCTACCCTCCACCACTCTAGTTTGTCCCTTTCTTAAATTGCACCAGTGACTTAACAGTTGTGATTTTATTCTTATCCAGGTGATGGCTTGCCCTCATAAGAATGAAATCTCCAAGAGAGCAAAGAAGAATTATACCTGGTTTTGCTCATCAATTTATCCCCAGGTTCAGTACTTGGCATATGGGCCCTTGATAATAGTTTGTGGAACAAATGAAAAGTTTAACAAAGGGCTTAAGATGTATTGTAACCATGCAGGTCAACATGAAGATATAAAAATTTTCCTACCTAGTCACTTATTCAGGCAATCAACATTTATTCAGCACCTACTGTGTGCTAGGACCAGAGAACACAAGGATAAATAAGACAGGTAGGTATCAATGCAACCCCTCTGCAGATTATTATCTTATTGTACAATATTTCCTTTTCCCTTTATATTCAATCTTCAATCTATTTTTGACTAGGTATAAACAAAATATCAAAATGCTGAGCCCTTTTTTAATTATGTAATACTTATTTAGCTTTGCTGTTTTATTACATATACTATTTGAAAACCCTAATGTTAGAAATAAAAATTATTCCACATCATTAAAAGTTTCAAAGGCAATTATCATGTTTTCAGAGATGTGTCCTAATTGCAGTCCCAGGAAAATGACTGTCAATAAAATAAAATCTTTATGGTTTTATGGGTAGCTAAAGAGAGAAAATATAATACAAGTAAAGATTTTTAAATATAAAAATAATTGAAAGATACATACTAATTTTAAAAAGCATTCTCCAGGATTAATGTGACTATTAGATGAGTCACATTTTTTTCATAATATTATAATATGAAATGAATTAGGAGGAAGCAAAAACAAAACACATATATCAAATACACACCAATGCTTCTAAAAGCCTTGCAAAACCTAATAAATTTAATAAGGGCAGAGTTTAGGAGAATTTACTGGCCCCAAAACTTGACTTCGGGCTGGGTGTGGTGGCTCAGGCCTGTAATCCCAGTACTTTGGGAGGCCAAGGTGGGCAGATCACTTAAGCTCAAGAGTTCGAGACCAGCCTGGCCAACATGGTGAAACCCTGTCTCTACTAAAAATATAAAAATTAGCCGAGTGTGGTGGCGGGTGCCTGTAATCACAGCTACTCGGGAGGCTGTTAGGCAGGAGAATTGCTTGAACCTGGGAGGCAGAGACTGCAATGAACTGAGATTGCAAAACAAAAAACTTGACTTTGCAAATTCCTTTAAATTGAAAATTGTAGCTACAGTTTTGATGTTTATCTGAGATCTGCCAGACTCTCAGTTGGACACTTTACACATATTATTCTAATCCTCCCGGTCCGACATATAGACTAGCAATCCTCACCTCCATTTTACAGAAGGGAAAATTTTGGATCAGAAAGCTTAAAACACAAAAAGAAGTAGAGCTGGGGTTCAAGGACAACTATATTCAAGACAAGTCAAACTCCAGCCAGTCTGACCTCAGACGTTCTCTGCACAATCCCAGGCTGCCTCAAAGCTATTAAAAATAGGTTCTAGCTGACTCCCTTTGTGGAAAATCTGAGATATAAATAAGTAAATTAAATGAATTAAAGTAGGTTTTTGTCTCTATTTTGAGACTGGGAATGTGATTCCTAAATGCTTCCTGGAGCCCAGGAGAAAGCAAAAGTCCTAAAGCCATTCGTCCATCTCCATGAAGCAATTCAGACAATTTCCCCTGTAAGAGTTATTTTCACCTAGGCAGAGAGTGATACAAGCATAGCCTCAAGCAAGGCCAAATGTCTTCACCTAGGAGAGTTGGGGACTGATCTTCTCTGATGTGACATCAGGAAGGGTGAGGTCACACTGTGAATCTTTCCCCCCCCGCCTGCTACAGACCCTGGTATTTCCACAAGGAGAGCTATCCTTTTAGTTAAGCAGTATCCACCAGGAATCCTTTTAAAATGCATAGGACCCTAGTAGAATACTTAAGTCATTAATTCCTTAGCTCATTTGGTTTGAGAGCAGTTAGCCAATTGCCTGTCAGTCCTTAGAGGAAGACAAATTCAGCGTGTAATTGGCTTTCCTTTTCTTACAAAGTTGTCAGGGACCAACCCTAGCTATGATGCAAATAGATCTTCCTCATTTTGCTACCAGGAGTTCTGTATTTTGATGTTCCCTTCTGTAAAATGGGGATAAAGATAATAACCACCTCATAGGGTTGCTTCAAGGTGAAATGAATCAAGCAAGCAGCAGACACTGTTCTGCACACTAAGCAGAGTGCTGAAAACCGTGCCTGGTAGGCAGTGATCACTCAATGTACATGAGTGTTTTAACCTCCTTAGACCTTAGTTATCTCCTTTCTAAAATGAAAGTAATAATGCTGTAAATTGGAAATGCCTGGCTTTCCTTGATTTATCCAATAAATATCTATTGAGTGCCTACTATGTGACAGCCAAGATGCAACAATGACTATCATGTACCCATTTCCTGCTTTCATTGAGCTTGCACTGTAGAAGGAGAGATGGATATTATTGACAATTATGAACAGTCAGTGACAATCAGCAGACAAACATTTAGCCGCATTGTTACAAGTGCTTTGAAGAAAAAGAACTGGACCAGTGGGACTTCGGAAAGGTCTTTCTGGGGAAGTGGCCTTCAAATTAAGTTGAAGGTGAGCAGCTGGGCACATGAAGAGTTGAGGGAAGAGAGCCCCAGGCAGAGAGACCATTGTGTGTAAAGCCTTGAGACTGAAGCTGAGCATCCCAGCAATGGTGAGAAAACCAGTAGGAGTTGGGAAGAGAATGGCTGAGGGTGAGAAGAAGGTGAAGGCAAGACAAGGTCATGTGCAATCAGGGCTTAGAAGGTCATATTAAAGATTCTGAACTTTATCCTGCAAGAAATAGAAAGCTCTAGGGTTGTGAGCACAGAGGGATATGATCTGATTTTTCAACCTAACATTACTCCTACTGCTCCGGAGAGACTGGGTTAGCTGGAGAGAAGGACTCTTAGGGACAAGGAAGATGGGCTCAAAAGCCACTGTAATCACCCAAGAGAGGGATGGTGGTGGCCAGGAGTGGGGTGGTGGTAGCAGGAGTGAAGAGTGGGCACAATTGGGAATTATTTTGGAAGTGGAATCAGCAGGACAGGCACATAGAGAAAGGGCCCTGTTGTATCTCCTCCCATTTCTTCTTTGTGAACAGCCCCATCCAAATCACATGGAGTGACCAGAGTGGCCCTGGGGTCCCAGGGGAGGGACTGTGCTGTGGGACTCTAGTTCGCTCACTTCTGCAGACTACAAGGACAACTATATTCAAGACCAGCCTGGATTTGTGTTTCCAGAAACAAGGATCAGTTTTCCATGGTGAAAGGAGTTGTCTTGGGCAAAGGGACTGCAGACTACTTGGGGTCCATTCTGAGCATGCGCCAGTCTCCACTTCTAACATTATTCATCAACAGAGATCATGAACACCTAATCACAGGGAAGTGTACGAAACCTTCAGTGAGGAAGGAAAAGCAGATTCAAGCTAAGCCTCAGGACAGCAAAAAGCATTGTTCTTGTGAGAGCAAGCACATGTTGGCCTCTTCTATGGACAGAGGCAACTGTGGACAACTCATGGGGACACAGTTACCTTGGATCACTCCTCAACCACACAGCAAGAGGCCACATGGCTTGTGAATGCAGCAGAAGTGAGGTGAGCTGGCAAATGCTTTCAGGAATACCTGTTCTTACTGGCCTTAATCTTGCCTCTCATTCCCCAGAAGGTACCAATACCTCCAGAACAATTATTTTATCCTTCCCTTCTCTTTCCACCCCTCTGCTCTTTCCTATTCCCTCTTTAGATTCTTCTTTTACAGTAGTAGATTAATGTGAATCCCAAGTTTTAAGGTTTTCTTGTCAGATTGGCAGAAGTTTAAAAGACTAATAATATCAAATGCTGAAATGGATGCCAGGAAATGCAACACTATCATTCATTTAGGGAATGTGTAACTTAGTGATGCCTTTTTGAAGAACAATTTGGCAGCATCTATGAAAAATTTTAAGTGTACATCTTTTGGCTGAGCAATCCACTTTCAGGAATCATGCGCTAAAAAGTACTTGCTCATGTGCACAGAGGAGGATGTTAAAAGTTGTTTATAGCTATTTATCGTACAGTACAATATAATACAAAGCTGGAGACAATTCAAATGGCCATCAATTGAGAGCAATTTAAATAAATTGTGGTATTATGGAATACTATGAAAACAATAAAAGAGGGAATTTTGAACTTAAATGATTTCCAAGACATATTACATAAAAACAGCAAATTGCAGAGCAGTTAGAATACTGAGTGCCCATTGATTTTTTTTTTAAGAAATGTGTATAAGGAGGGATACAAGGATGTAAATGCATGAAAGGAAGCTGGAAGGCGACGCCACACTACTGGCAGTGGACATCTCTAAGGAGAGAAGCAGTGATTAAATGGGGGTAAAAGGGGGATATCCATGATCTCCCAGATATATGAAATACCTGGAACAAATTCATAGAGACAGCAAGTAGTATAAGTGGCTACCTTGAGCTGCAGGGAAGAGAGAATGGGAGTTACTGTTTAATAAGCATAGAGCTTCTGTATGGGATGATGAAAAAGATTTAGAGATGGATGGTGGCAATAGTTGCAGAACAATGTGTATGTACTTAATGCCACTGAACTGCACATTTTTAATGGTTGAAGTGGTAACTTATGTTAAGTATATTTCATCACAATAAAAAAATGATTAATACAAATAATTTCATCAGGATTTATTTCCAGTGCCGGCATCTGAAGACAAGGAAAGACTCTTCATTCCTAACTAATGGCACTTAATGCCAGGAGGTCGCCGAGGGATCAACACATAGACCTTCCACTCATCAGACTCCATAATCAGAATGCTAACAAGGTATTTATAGGCTGAGCTTCGGCCCAAACTCCCAGGCTCAAGACCCTTTGATATGGTCTGCTTTACTGATACAACCTTCCAAACCCCCTACATCAAATGGTACAAACTGAGAGACAGACTCATAACTGTCATTTAAGAAAAAACTAAAGAAAGACCACAATGATTTAACTCAGTTCTCAAATGCTCCTACTTGGAGTCTATAGCTAAGTGAATGCTCCAGCATTTTTATAGCATGCATTTGCCTCATTGCCGAGCAGTGGCTGGCTTTCTCTTTCTGTCAGCTGGCTTCTTGGAGACAAAGCCCCTAATGATAGCAAGTCATCTCTGCAAATGAGACTAGAATTAAACTACCTTGTCCCCAGACATGTCACATTTGGCATCTGCACATCATTACTCGAAGCTCATTCAACAAAGCAGAGGAATAACATTGATTATATTCAGCCAGACCACTTTGCAGAGAGAACCAAACAAACACAAAGAAACCCAAGTCTTGTAGTGTTTCACTGTTCTTCTATAGGCGTCTGTCAGAATTAAAAAGAGGAGATGTTTATGCTGGGACAGGAAGACCAGGTCAAAGGTGAAGGGAGAAAGGCTCCAGTACTTACAAAGAACCCAGGGCAGGAAGGCAAATGTCATTGATAGAAAGGCCATCATTGCCACAGGTAACCAAATATTGTCAGCCTTTGATTTTTACAGGCAGGTGATTTATGAATCATGACAAAACAGAAGGGACATACCTTGAGCTAATGCCCATTTAGATGAGAGGATAAAACCCTGGTGTTTACTCTCGGCACTCTTAATATCTCAAATGAATACTAATCGGAGATGTTTATTGAAAATGAGAACAATGCCATTTTTCTGCTGTATCTCATGTCATCTGAACGACCTTGCACTTGAGAACTGCAAGGCAGGAATTTATTCGGTCTCCAGGAAATTGTGAAAGTCTAAATTAGCAAATTTGAGCTATCCAAGCACCACTTGAAAAATATAGAACAAAGCACTGAGGAAGAAGCAAAAAATAGCGTTTGGCAGGAAAAGGGGCACAGCCGAAACTTTCTTAAAAACCTGATATTGCTTTCACAACACAAAAGAGTAAAGGAAAACTGCATTTTCTGTTAAAAATATAGGTTGACTTCAACTCCACATTATAGGATGACCTCCCCCCGACAACTGGTCCGAGAAGTACTTAGAGTTCCAGAGGCCTTAATGTGTCCCGCCCTGCCTCCCCACTCACTGCAAGAATGCCCTCCACAGCCATGCCAGGGTCTCGGAGCTCACTGCCTCACCTTGTGGGGGACCCTTCCCACTCATGAGCTCAGACGAAATCTCTCCCCTTAGAGTTTACATCCCCAGCTCCCTCCACTCGGTGCAGTGCACCAACACCAAAGTCATCTCCCTCGTATCTGTTACTGTCTTTAAAGGTAGCTCTCATTTTTCCCTTTCGCAAACACTTCTCCAGGTAAAACATCCTCCGGTGGTTGGGCAAAGTGACTTTTCCAAGCACTAGACCTCTGCCATGAAATCCTAGTCAACATTTCCACCCCTTGCAGCTGAAGAGTCTCTTTGAAGCATAAACTTAAAATAGCAAAGATCTCCCTTTCCCCCACTAATACCACCCTGAGCTGTTAATGGTCAATTACCCTTGGTATGCAGGAGAGTGCCTAAGGCAGACTTGAAGAGAAAGGTTAGAGGAGAGAGGGAGAAGAGCAATCAAATATCGGAGTCTCCTGCTAGGAGGGAGAAGCAGTGAAAATACAAAAAGGAAGAGGAAGGAATGATGAGAAATAGCCTCAATCACAATTTTACCTAAACTGGCTATGATGCATGCATGTGCATAAACACACACACACACACACACACACACACACACACACACACACACACCCCACTCATTAAGTATCCCAGACAAGCAGCCAAATAGCTCAGTACACCACCTGACATCTTCCTTCTGACCATTAACAGATCCTGCATTTCCTCCATTTTAACATCTTAATCGCTTACCCATCATCTTCTTTCCATATGGGTTTAGAGACAGTGTTTGGTTAAAGAGCTTCAATCTCTTTACGAGCAGCCCAATAAAGATAAGTGGAATTATCAAAATTCTCTGTGAACTAAAACCTCAGACTGCAGAGATTTCTCACATTGAATACTTTCTAATTGTGACCAGGAGCCAGATGGAATAACCTAATAAAAGTTCAAACCAGGGGCAGGCAAAGCTATAATGCATATGGTCAAGTGGTCTGTTCTGATATGGAAATTTCCTTGGCAGAATTGAATAGGTTCTATAGGCATTTTCCAGACTTTAATCTCTCTGGCTGATTTTTCAATTGCAAGCCTCCATCACCATCCCCCTCCCTAACCCCGAATCTGTGCTATAACCCATCAAATCAGCTAATTTTTTTTCAAGTCATTTTGTTTTTGCATTATTAGGAAAAAGCAAAGCCCACTTCTGACCGCAAATGTCAAACACAAATTCATCATTTATTTACCTTTTGTCTAATATAATTAAGATGGGAACCTTTTTTCTCTTGCATGGTGATAAGTCTTCTAAATATCTCATCACTTCAACTGGTTTTCTTATATAGCACTAAATAGCACAATGCCCCCTTCCTCAAGTAAGTGGTGATAAGGAGAATGAAAGGGGAGTATTAAAAAGGATAGAAGGAAGTCAGCTATGGATTACTCTGTCATCTCCTTTAGTAAGAAAATATTACGAATTTGTTTCACTTACATAAGCAACTTTACAAAACACTTTCATACAAATGACCTTGAGTCTCCCGACACACTGCAGAATGAGCAGAGAAGTAGTCATTATCCCCTTTTAAACACAAGAAAACTAAGGATCAGAGAAGTCGAGGAATTTTTCCTATGTCATGATGACTCTCAAACCCAAACACGTAAGTCCAACTTGTATTTGGGATCCACCTGTCACTTTTTTGAAAAACTACTAGGACACCTGCCTGGCTCTAGCTTTCTTGCAAAATTAGAGATCTCAAGAAATTCCAGAAACTCTGGCTATGCCAACTGTCCTGACTGTGCCCCTCTCCTACTACCCAAGGTCAATGCCAACACCATCAATATTTACCAAAGTGTTTCATTGTGTTCCCTTTCCCACCTCTTCATCCAACCCTCATATGGGCAAGTCACGTGACAAATCAGTTTCCACCAAAGCATTCTCAGTGAAGCTCAAGGAGATTGAGTAACTTGCCAAAGTCCCAAAACTAGTCTGTGGTGGCACCAGGATATGAATTTAAAATTGGTGTAATTCCAAGTCTTATTATAGGCATGATAAAGTGGGATTCAGGGATTCCTAGAAATCCCTGATGCTACAATTGGGAAGTTACATTCTCTGTGTACATCATACTGGAGTTGAGAATTCTCAGCATGAAAGAGTCTCATGAACTTTATAATCCTGCCATGCAAGATCCCCAGGGAGAAGTAGTTTTGCACTAGGAGTGGCCCCTGTCCCAGGTGATATACTTTGGAAACAAAGATCCCTGGGCAGAAGTAGTTTTGCACCTCGAGTGGTCCCTGTCACAGGTCCTCACTGTGAACCAAATGATTGACCCCTCCCTCCCCATGCCTACCACCCTGCCTCTCCGATGATGTGTTCAGCTTGAAGCCAGTTCATCACCAGCAGGTACAGCCTGGTATGCCCAGACTCTGCTTCGGCCAAGATCCTTCCAAAGTAGCTAGAGAAAATTAAACTTATAGCTATATCCTCAAACAAATGGAAAAAAAAATTCTAGATTACTCTATGAAAGCCCCTAATTCAGGTTAACATTGTGTTAAGCACAGATGTATGTCAAGACCTGGTGCATGACTACAACTGGATGACAATGCCAATCACCGCTTACTGCCCTCTAACTGCATGCCACACACTGTGGTAACCCCCTGAGTAACATTATCTTATTTACCCCTCATTAACCCCCAGGAGATGTATATTATTATTATCATTATTATTCCTATTGTCAGTGAGAACATCAGAGCCTATAGTGATTAAGAAATTTGCCCATGGTTAAGTAGCAGTCCAGCCAGGATTCTTACCTGCGGTATTATCATTAAATCAATTGGGCCTAGCCAATGAAAAAAACTCAAATGCTTGAGCTGGGCTGGAACAAAACATAAATATTCAAGTGCTTATTTCAAACTCCAAATCTCCCCAAAGATGCTGAGTCCTGGCAAACAGACACTGAAAACAAACTCCTTTCCAAAGTAGTTTCTGCTCTGGGGCCAACTCTAAATACCAGATAACCAGACTTTCTCTGTGTATTTTTGGAACTTTCTCAGGCATAACAGGAATGAAAACACTCATCCACTGTAGGGGGAAATGGAGATGGAGTGTGGAAGAGATGCTTAGCAAGCAGTGCTGGCGTCAGGGTGGGTAAAGAGAAGGGCAGCAGGGCTCTTCCTCCCTGTTTTGGGTGCAGTGAAACCCGCCCCAGCTGGCCCAGCCATTTCCCCAGGCTCCTTCTCTTCTTCCTCTAAACCTTTCTTAATCCTTCATTTTCTACCTCTGTCTTCTTAAAGCAATGCTCCTTTTCCCTTGACCATGACAATCGATGAACTGCAAGGAGACACAGATAGGAGGGTACCCAGAGGAGGGGGAATTGCATTCACAAGATGGGGTTGGGGTACATCTGTACTCATTTGTAAATCTCCACTAATAAAATAACAAGGCAGTGGCAGGAGACAGAAAGCCCCTCTGGCCTGGAAATATGTAGCTCTGGATTCTAATCCTGACCAACTGGGTAAAACAGCTTAAGCCTCTGTTTCTTTGACCGTAAAATGGGAGGACATGAAATTATCTTTCAAGTTCCTCCTCAATTCTGCACCCTAGAATTTCATTATGTGAACTATGACCTAAAACATTATCACAAAATAATTGGTCCTTTCTGATGAAATTATTCCTACGTGAGACCCAAACACCATTAACGACCCTCCCCCATGGTAATTGCTGATTTGGTGACTTGTTTAACTTGATCGCTATTAAATCAGGCTAGACGATTTAGGTCTTCCAAGGTGGATATTTTTTTCCTCTTGATATCCCACTTAATCAAAGGAATCCCATCATTGCCAAACTTCTGCTTTGAGTGGCAGGGACGTACCTCATGATGACGATATTTTCCCATTTGGGAAGGGTTTCCAAGCAACAAGAGTGAATCATGTTTTCCATCTGGGTGTAAAATCCACCCCTGCTGGAGAACGTTTTGGCTTTACGTTATTTCCACACTAATGTTGATTTTGTCAGACTTCTCAGGCAGAGACAGTAAAGACAAATAAGAACAAAGTTTAGGTGCTAGGCATTAAGTATTTTCCTTTCAATCCATCTTCAGGGTCAACAGCTTCTCTTCCCAGGAGGGACAAGTCGTCTCGCTTTTAGGAGCTTATCTCCCCATCCTGGGCAAAGTTACAATCTGTTAACAAAGAACTATTGTAATCAAAGGAATTTAACAGAAAGATTTCTTTTGCTGCTTGCCTGGGAAAGAAAGTTTTTCTTTCCTTAACTAGTTATTAAAGCACTTACGTTTAAACCAGGGATATTTCAATGACAACAGAATACAACCGACCTAAGCCTTTGTGAAAACTAAAATTGCCACTTGAAAATATTCTGTTAACTTTCCATTTTCTTGCATTTCCATTTTTTAAAAATATGTTGCGACATTCTCTTAGTGGCTATCTTGATTCAATTAACCGAAGGAACTGTTTTTGTTTTTTAAAGAAGGAACATGGGAACAATAATATTCTTTGAATTTAGTTGAAGGTAGCTATTTAGAATTTGCTAAATTAGACAGACTGAACGTTTCAGTTCTATTGGACGCACTCATCTGATAAGTCTGATGCATATCTCCGTCGGTTTGTGGTAAGGGCAAAAATTAAAGGCAGGTGGGGAAAGCAAACGGAGTGCCTAAGAGGCAAATCTAGAACATGTTACAACATTGTTATTATTGGCTGGAGTCAGAGCTCTGCATCTTTCCCCTGCATCAGGAGTTTGTTTGGTGACACAGAGGGAGGCCCCTTATTGGATTCATGTCGGGCTGACAGTGGGCAGAAAAGAACGGCTCAAGATGAGAGGAGGCAGAGAAAGAGCGTATCCTGGTGGCCAGAGAACAGCGTCAAAGAGAGGAGGGTTGTACAGACAAAACTTCCCGGTTTGTTTGAACACTGTAACAACCTGTGCCTTAAATATAAGAAAAGCTATCATTATTGGTGTTTAAATTAACAGCCCACCTTGAAGGTCAAAGTAATTGTTTTTCTGCTACTTGGGAGATATTTATAAAGTTGGATCCCAAGACTGAAAGGTAACTTTAGAAATTCAAAATATGATTAAAATCAGAGATTTATCCCCAAAAAGACAATTCCTTGCTCTGCTCTTGTGTTTGTTCCCTTCCTCCTTATCATCTCGTGGAAGTAAGCGGTTGGAGAAAAGAGAAAAAGGATGCAGGGAAAGGGAAAACGGATCGGTAAGTTTCGAGAGCCGACTTTCTCCTCCTCTCCATCATCAATGTCGGGAGGTATCAGCAGCTAGACTGACTACCTTGATTTTTCTGTCTTCCATACAGGAAAATTCCCCCTTATTTTACTCTTCAAATTTATTCGTATTTCCTTGTCAGCAGACTTTACCACTGACTGAAACAAAACATTGTTAAGAGCTCAAAAAGGCTCAATTCATGCTCTGAAACTCAGACACATCACTGGGGAGAAGGGTTTGCTGTCTCTGTCAAAGTCAAGGTACAGGGCTTTTGCATACAGGAAAACGATATGGAATTTATTTCACATACCTCATGCCTGCACTGTTTGTGCACAAATTTTGATAGGCACCTGGAAAAAACTAGAGCATATGTGTTGGCTCCAGAGCAATCTACTAACAAAGCCCTGCTGGCCCTCTGGAAGCAACAACCCCTTGTTTGCTGAGTCACTCCCAGAAAGCCATTTCTAGGAGGCATTAGCCAACACCCCAAGTGCTGGGGGCTGCCCAGGGGCTGGTGTGTTGAGAACAGCCCAGGATATAGTTAAGGTGGACTTGGAGATGGGACACCTGGCTATGAGTTCCATTATGTCACCAGGTGCCCTCAAATGCTCAGAAACTTGACATTGAGTCACCTCCATCGTGTGCATGCCAAGCTGAGAACCACTTTTCTCTCCTGCTCAGGCTCCAAGCTTTGGACCCCACCCCCATGTGACATTTGACTTTTACTGCCACTCAGGGCACCAGGGAGCCACAGAAGTTGGCCTGGGACAGGATGGGATATCTTTCACCCCTGTCATCTGCAACCCTTGGGATCCAAGCTCCACTTGTTTTTCTGTTCTCCACAGCAGCTACACCGTTTTACACTCCCACAAACAAGGGTTGTGCACAAAGCTTCCAATATTTTGACATACTCACCTACACTTGTTACTTTCTGTGTACAAACTTCACTTTCACCATGCCTCCCATATCCTAACTCCTACCACCATAATAAGAGCTAACTTTTGTTGAATGCTTACCTCAACCCAGGGGCTTTCTATGGATTATTTTAACAACGAGGAGGTCGAGACAGGAAGGTTATCTAATACAAGCAACCTGCCTATATTAGTCTGTTTTCATGCTGTTACAAAGGAAAGAGCTTTAATTGACTCACAGTTCAGCATGGATGGGCAGGCCGCAGGGAACTTACAATCACGGTGGAACGAGAAGGGGAAGCAAAGCACC
Organism: Homo sapiens; assembly: GCF_000001405.40. Taxonomy (NCBI): domain Eukaryota; kingdom Metazoa; phylum Chordata; class Mammalia; order Primates; family Hominidae; genus Homo; species Homo sapiens. The sequence goes on along the minus strand of NC_000002.12, from coordinate 220,075,245 downwards.
TTCTTCACAAGGCAGCAGGAAGAAGTGCCAAGTGAAGCCGGGGAAGAGCCCCTTATAAAACCATCAGATCTCGTAAGAACTCACTAACACGAGAACAGCACGGGGGAAACTGCCCCCATGATTCAATTACTTCCACCAGGTCTCTCCCTTGGCACATGCGGATTGTGGGAATTATGAGGATTGCAATTCAAGATGAAATTTGGGTGGGGACACAAAGCCTAACCATATTACTGCCCAATGTCACAAAGCTAGCAAACAGGGATTTAAAGATAGATTTTTGAACTTCTCCAACTATGCCCTTAAATTGTATCCTACCCTCTGTTGTTGAGATACTGATCACATCAGGGTTGCCCTTGATATTAATCTGAAACCTGAGTGAAAATTGGGCAGGGGTGGAGGTTCATGCCACCACCCTCAGGATGGGCCTGGATAGAGACTGCATCACCTACCTTCCCTCAGTGCAGGATCCTGGATGGTGGTCTTAAACCATCAGTATCAAAACCACCTGGGAACCTCATAAAAGACCCACGCTCCCGGACCCTGTCCCACACCTGTGCAATCAGATTACTGAGGCTGAGACAAGGATCTTCGTGTTTAGCAAGCTTTCCAGGTGAGTCTTATACACACCACCATTTGAAAATCACAGATTAGAGAACCACAAAACTTCCCCCAAATCATCTATGGAACGATACTTGTTGACACTTTTTTTTGGTGGGGGGAGGAGTTTGGGGAGGAATTTCTCATGTTGATCTATGAAGCATCCCTATAGTGGCAGCAAATGCATTTTAATAGAATACCTCATCTGTTCCCTGACAAAACGTTTTTAGGAAAGAAAAACATTCCCCCACCAAAAAAAAAAAAAAAAAAATTGAAAAAGTGGAGAAAATTCAGTTAACTACAAGGCTATTTGGTTTGTTTTGGTTTTCACTAGCTTTGTTTTGTTTCATTTCGTTTTGTTTTGTTTTGCTCTTAAAATATTTTGATGTTTTAGCCTGCAGGGCCCACATTCCTTAAAATGTTTTTGCCCTCCAATTTCTGAGGAAATCTGGAGCTGGTGGTCCCACAGAAATAATGCCAGGGTTAGTCCCTGGGAGCTGCCCACAAGCTCCCAGCAGCCAGTGGCAGCAGAGAGGGTGGCAGCATGACCCCTTGTCAATAACCAGATATGATCAGTCTTCCGGGAAGGGGTTGTATTTTAGAAATATTGTCATGGAAATGTAGTATTTCAGACCTGAAAAGAAATTTAAAGATTGTTAGGTGGAGACCCCAACAGTTATTGTGATAGTCTAGAGACAGGAGGAGCCCACCAGCACTGGGAACCTTGACCGGGGTTTCCGACTTCTAGTCCAGATTCTGGAGAGACCCCACCAGTGTTTCCTGAGGGTCATTTATTTGTACAGCCTGTCACAGATCCATTTTCCTTCTGCCTCCCCTTTCCATCTGTGCTATTATTAACCTTCTCTTAAAACTAACGTTTTCAGTCAAGTTTATTCAAGAAGCAAATTTATAGAAGGTCCCAATCCTCCCTATCTGAACCCCCCAGAGGGGAAGGGCCAGATGGATTTAGACAAGGCAGGGGATGTCCTATTACTAAATTCTAACTAGATAATGTTAGCCACCTGGGGCTCTAAGCCTGGGGATCCTGCTGCTTCTTTGTCAAAAGGGAAGATTGTTGGGAGGCCGAGGCGGGTGGATCACTTGAGGTCAGGAGTTCAAGACCAGCCTGGCCAACATGGTGAAACCCCCATCTCTACTAAAAATACAAAAATTAGCCAGGCATGGTGGCATGCACCTGTAGTCCTAGATACTCTGGAGGATGAGGCAGGAGAATCGTTTGAACCTTGGAGGCCAAGGTTGCAGTGAGCCGATATTGCACCACTGCGCTCCAGCCTGGGTGACAGAGCAAGACTCCATCTCAAAAAAAAAAAAAAAAAAAAAAAGGAAGATTGGCAAATACCAGAGAACCATTAAAACCATGAACCATGCTACTGATTAACTGAGGCTTGCCTTGATTCTTCTGAGGATTAAAAGAATTGAAAAGAGGATGTAATTTAAAACATAATTTTAAATCCACCCTGCCTGCAGTCCTCTCCAGCCCACCAGTGTGGCCTGTCCTTTGGTTAAGGATGCCTGCACTTCGGTGACAACCACACCATACCACCCTGCGGCCTCGGGTTGTATTCCACCTCTCCCCCTTGACTGTTTCTGTTTATGCTGTGCAGAGACACTAGATCCTGTCACACGACGGAATTGGCAGTGGTCACCCTTTCCAGATAAACGCATGAATGAAGAGGCAGTTTTCTCTTTTCTTCCTCGGTGGTGGCTCTCATGCCCTAAAACAATGAAATGTACAAAGGTGAGACATGTTAAACTACTCTTCAGCTCAAACATCTTACTTGTTTCCTGCTCCCTATAAAACAAGATGTGATATAAATCATTCTAACATTTAAGGCCCTTCACCACCTGATTTCAGCACGCTTTTTACAGAATCAAAGTCCTTCAGAGTTAGGATTAGATCTGGAGACCTTCCATTCCCATGGAGTCTCCAGCCAGGCCTCCAGTACTTTGGAATCAACCAGGGGCACCAAATCCACCAGAGATAAGTGCTTCTCAGCCTAGCTGCCCCTGGGAATCACTTGGTGAGCCTTGCAAATTCCCAAAGCCTACATTGCTCCCAAGACCCATCGAATCAGAATCTCTGGAGTTGGAACTGAGGCATTCCTAGTTTTAAAAACAAGTCAAATAATTCCACTGTGCAGCAAGAGAACCATGACCCTGGGACCACACTTCATATCTACGGAAACATGACATTCACAGGATGGACCCAGGAGTCTGTATTTTAAATAAACACTCGGGGAATTGTCATATAAGATCAGATTTGAGAACTAGGACTAGTTCAGCTCCCATAGTCTATAGATTAAGAATCAGAAGCCCCATACTAAATCACAGAGCCTGCATCGAAAACTAGTTAGTAGCAAAACTAAAAGCAGAATCCATATGTCCAGATTCCCTGTCCCATGCTCCTTCCATGATGCTATTCTGCTTTCTAACCTTTCCTCACTCCAAGTTTCCCATATATCTTCTGCTCCAGCCAGGCCCATCTGTCCATTGACCCCTAAATACATTGTGGCTTCTGTCATGTTGGTACCACTGACCCCACCTGGAATAGTCTCACCATTCCTTCCAGCCTAACTCGGTTCTAGGCTTGGCTTTCTGTAAGGTTGGTTCCATTTCCTGTGTAAGCTTTCTTAGCTGCCACTGCTGCACACTCCACCTCTCCCTTCCCTCGATCCCTGTAGCACTTACAGTCACAGCTTAGCATTGAGTTATTATGTGGTAACACAGGCTAGAAACTGCCAGAGGCAAGAGACCATGGCTTATTCCCTTCTCACATCCGCCCAGTGCACTCAGAATAAACACTCAGCAAATGCTCCTCCATTCCCAGACAGAAAGGCTCAAGACTCATTCACGTATACCTTGTTGAAAATCACCTTTTAGGCCCCTTTCACATATCTGTTGCAAAGAGCAAAAAAGAATTACTTTCCGGGTTTCCTTTCTCCTATTTCCTCTTAAAAGAATGGCCTTGGGTTTATGTGAATTTGATGTAAATTTGATGCCCAGTAAATTGATGCCCAGAGTACCTAACATTTCAAGAGATCAGCATGACATATGCATAGATATTATGCGTCTTTTGTGTGTTGTCATTCAGCAAATGTCAATGGCTTTTCAGAATAATAGACAATCCTGAGCTATTGCCACACCTGCATATGTACTGCCAAAAACCACTCAGTTCTAGAAATATGCAGAAAATCTCCCTAATGCCTCAGGAAATGAAGGGACATACAAATATGGCAGCTCTCATCATTTACCTCATCAGCACTTAGCTCAATTACCATCTTCAAATCAAAAGGCACTGAAGCTTCCAAACCTGGAGTTCGACTTTAAGGTTCCTCATCAAGAAAATTCTCCAGTTTCTCAATGGTTTTTATTAGAGCCATAGTAAGCTAATGGATATTTTGTGTGCATAAAAAGTGACCAACCACGCCTGTAATCTCAGCACTTTGGGAGGCCGAGGCAGGCGGATCACGAGGTCAGGAGATCGAGACCATCCTGGCTAACACGGTGAAACCCCGTCTCTATTTAAAAAAATACAAAAAATGAGCCGGGAGTGGTAGTGGGCACCTGTAGTCCCAGCTACTCGGAAGGCTAAGCCAGGAGAATCATTTGAACCTGGGAAGCGGAGGTTGCAGTGAGCCGAGATTGCGCCACTGCACTCCAGCCTGGGCGACAGAGCGAGACTCTGTCTCAAAAAAAAAGAGAAAGAAAAAGTGATCAAGATATAAATGACCTTGTGAGTGGTTTACATGGAAGATTCTATGCTGGTAGAAATCTATAATGGTGCGGTCACTTTGAAAAATAATCTGTCAGTTCTTCAAAAGGTTAAACATAGAGTTACCCTATGATCCAGCAAGTCCATTCCTAGGTATAACCCAGGAGAAATAAAAACATACGCCTACAGAAAAAAAAATACATAAATATTCATAGCAGCATTATTCATAATAGCAAAAAAATGAAAACAACATAAATTTCCATCAACTGATGAATGGTTAAGTAACATGTGGTATAGCCATACAATAGAATATTCAGCCATAGTAAGAAATGAAGTACAGACACATGCTGTAATATGGATGAACTTTGAAAGCATTATGCTAAGTGAAAGAAGCCAGTGACAAAGGGCTGCCTGTTATATTATTCCATTCATATGAAATAGGCAAACTCACATAGGCAGAAAGTTTATTAGTGGTTGTCTAGGGCTGAAGGGGAGCAAGGGGTTGGGGAGAACTAGGGAGTGGCTGCTATGGGTACAGAGTTTCTTTTGGGGGAGATGAGAATTTTCTAAAAATTGTGGTAACAGTTGCATACCTGAATATGCTAAAAACCATTGAATTATATCCTTTAAAGGAGTGAATTGTAATGTATATGAGTTATGTCTTAATAGAGTTGTTACTTTTTTTTTTTTTTGAGATAGAGTTTTGCTTTTCTTGCCCAGGCTGGAGTGCAGTGGCACTATCTCGGCTCACTGCAACCTCTGCCTCCCCAGTTCAAGCAATTCTCCTGCCTCAGCCTCCCGAGTAGCTGGGACTACAGGTGCGCACCACGACACCCAGCTAATTTATATATATACATATTATTATTATTATTTATTTATTTTTTTTAGTAGAGATGGGGTTTCACCATGTTGGGCAGGATGGTCTCAATCTCTTGACCTCATGATCCGCCCACCTCAGCCTCCCAAAGTGCTGGAATTACAGACATAAGCCACCACGCCTGGGCCCCAAAGTTGTTACATTTTTTAAAGTTTAAAGAAAATTGAAAATTCCAATTCTTCTTTGAACCTCTTAGTAGCAATATAATCTCGAGCAACTTGTTTAACCTCTCTAGGCTTCTATTTCCTCATCAGTAAAATGTACCTGCATATTGTAAGGATTAAATAAAATAATCCATATGGAGGGTTTAAACTTATAGAAAGCCCTCCATAACTGTAGCTATTTTTTCTGTGATTCCCTAATTCCTGGAGGAAGAGTGTAAATCTAGGAGCCTCCTGCCACAAATCTAACTGAATTCTATATATATATAAAAAAAAAAGCAGCAGCCATAACATCAGAAAAGGACTCAGAAATTAGAGGAAATCTTCCCCAGAATCATTCTTTCCCTTGGTCCGATGGCCCAACCCCACCTTCTCCTTGCCTCCACCCCCATCACCAATGTGAAAAAAAAAAAGACTTAAAAGATCCCTTTCCCTGTCTGCATCATTTCCACTCAGTGAACTGCCATTTCAGCTGCTGCAGTGACATTCCACAACTTCTGGAGTCTTGGAAGAACTAACCAGGAGAAGCAATGTGCATTTAATTAAAGCAACGGGTGGAAGGCAAATGGAAGAATGCTTACCTGCTGGGTACACCTCACACATCTTCACAGGCTCAGGAAAATTCCACTCTGAAGGGCACTGAAGCTATTACTATCTGGAGCAGCCAGCCAGTGAGAAATTATGCTCTGGGTTTTTGCTCAGCCAGCTTTCATTACTGTTGAGAAATATCACCATATAATTCAACTTAGCTCAAGTCTTACCTCCCCTCTGAAGACGTTCTGGCCATCCCAATCCACAGCGATTACTCCCACCACTGAGTTCCTGGAGGATTCATGTGATAACATGAAATCACCCAGGACTGAGGCCAGCACATTAGCAGCTGCTCAAAAACCATCTCCCAGCCATCCTATAGCACTTATTATTGGCACTGGTCCTTTGGCTCCTAGCAAACTCCACCCTGTGTTATCATTTATCTTTTTATATATCCATGCTCCATCTCCCCAGTCCCTCTGTAAGTCTGGGGAGAACAGGGATCCTATGGTATGCTTTCCCATTTCCCAGCATCATGAGCTCCTCTGGAATAAGGTGCTCAATAAACATTTGTTTATGATGATAACACCCATCCCCCATTTTTTGCAGGATAACGACTGCAAATATGTGGGGGAAAGTAGTACCGTAATATTTACACAATTTAAATGCACGTTTTGCCACTGAGACTTCCAATCAAAGTTGCATGAATCAATGGGAGGATTTTCTTAAAACAGTGGAAGGAAGAAAGTTGTACTTAATTATGACAAACTGTACTCAAAATGTACTTATAGCTAACCTAGTTGACCTAATCCTCCCCAAACCTCCATCCAGTTGCTATTACAAATTCAGGGCTGAATCTGAGGAGACAAGGTAAGAAGCATTATAGAAGTTTGGCCAAAGATAGGTTATTGAGTCTGAAAGAAATTCATTTGCATCCTAGTCCAACCTTGTTCTTGTTGGACACACAGAACAACACTGAGCCTCAGTTTTCTTGCCTAGCTCTTCTAGGATAATAAAATATACATTTTACTATCATTGTGAAGTAAAGGCACAATGCTCTGGCTGGGTGTAGTGGCTCACGCCTGTAATCCCAGCACTTTGGGAGACTGAGGCAGACAGATCACTTGAGTCCAGAGTTCAAGACCAGCTTGGGCAACATGGCAAAACCCTGTCTCCACTGAAAATACGAAAATTAGCCAGGCACAGTGTCAAGAACCTCGTGGTCCCAGCTACTTGGGAGGCTGAGGTGGGAGGATCATTTGAGCCTGGGAGGTCAGGGCTGCAGTGAGTGGGGATCGGGCCACTGCACTTCAACCTGGGCAACAGAATGAAACCCTGTCTCAAAAAAAAAAAAAAAAGCACAATGCTCAATAAATAGCAATTATAATTACTGCAGTGCCTTAATCATTAATTTTTGGAGGTCCCAGGGCTCCCTGTACCCCCAAATCCTTTCTCTTCCTAGCTGAGTTATCTTGGACAAGTTATAGCTTCCTTACCTGTTAAATGGGAATCATACTTTCTATAGTCTGGTGTCTGTGACAAAGACCGCAAGCTATCCATCAGACATTCCATTCCTTTTCTTCCTGACTTTCAGCTAGGCTACATTTACCAGTCAACCCTGAAGTCCTGGGTGTCTCTGAGACTCAGTTCTAGTCAACGAAATGGGTACAGAAATAATCACATGTAACTTCTAAGCCAGAATTATAAAACTTCCCAAACTCACTTCTCCATGCTCTTTTCACTCCCTCCCTCTGGATGTTGACATCAGAGGTATACTTGGAAGCTGTATGTTGTAGAAGTCTTCCATCAGCCTGGGTCCCTGAATCTCCATGTGGAACAGAGGCCCCACCTCTGTCACTCACCCCATCCTTGATATCATTGTCCTGAAACCAAACTGAGCTATGTTGTAAAGGAAAATTATTGTGTTAAGCTACTGAAATTCAGGGATTTATTTGTAATAGCAGTTTAACGCTAATCCTAATATTTGTCCATAAAAACTTTTGATATTTTGATAAAAAATAAAGATACATATCTATGATATTGAACTGTTATGACTCAGGAGTTTATATATTTATAAATATACATAAATTTGAGCTATCATCATAGCTCAATATCCTCCTGAGTCCTGAGTCATAATAGCTCAATAATGGTTTATTCCCTTCTATTCATAAGTCTGCTACCCACCTGAAAATACACCAATAAAATAAAGTGGGAATTTTTGCTTTGGAGAAAGAGTTTCCTAGGAATATATAAATGTACAAATTAGAGGTAACTCTTGTAAGTTTATCATCAGGCAACATTTTTAGGAGAGTTGTGACCATTTACAATCTCAAATCTCTCTGTGATCTGGGATATGATGCTTGAAACTTGACTTGAAGCTGAGAGAGGTAGAGGTTCTAACACAAAGACTCCCACCTCACTCTCTGCACAGCAGAACCTTTCAAGTTTTCCGGAGCAGGTCAAACTTGTCTGTAACTTACCAGACATTCTGTAATCATGTATAACGCATCCTTTTATTGTGGCTAATTTGGAACTGTTTGTTTTCTAAGCTTCTTTTACAATGGAAATTTTTTTTCACTCTAACACCTTCTTATTAAGGTCTGGATATAGTTCTTTTAAAAACTAATCCTGACTGAAGTCAGCCAGCCATGCTCCATTCCACACCCACGCTCATCCTACCCACTGGCAGGGCATCTGTGGAGGCTGGCACCAGGTAGTGGAGTGAGGTGGGCACAGGGAGAAATTGGGAGGGTGGGGCTGGAGGATGGGAGGATGGGATTAATAGAGGTGGGGAGAGAGAAGCCAGGAGCAAGGCCAATGTTGTGAACACAGACTATGACTTTGCAAGTCACTTATTTCAGGCAGAAACAGGAAATCCATTTGCAAGAAATAATAATATTAGTCATTGTTATTTAATGGGGAAATAATTGCAGATGGACTGGACTAACATTTGTGGGAGGCAGGGATTAGGGCCAAGAGTTCATTATGGACACGACCAAGAAGTGCTGTGCTGCCATGTCTCCTACTCTGGGCACTCCTGGGCTGCCCATCACTTGTGACAGGCAGTGGTCAGAAAAGTGAGTGACCGCACCGAGTGGCCCTGGCCACAGAGTGGTCTCTAGGCATTTGGGTGCACCAGGCAGCCCAAAAATTGGGGGGTCACTTCAGATTGATATTCTTTAAATCCAGTATTTATTTAGTGGGGTAGAGAAGGCATTAGAAAGGAGTGTTTCATTTTTGAAGTTCCATTTGGAGGTACTGCCTACTTCTCTGGTTAAGTGTAATAACCTGAATTAATTGACAGGCTGTTTCCAATTTTCCAGTGACGTCTTAACACTTCTGAGCAATTGCCCAGCAGACCTGCCCCTTAATTGGGCTCCTGAGTGATTTTCCCTGTTGAGGGAGTGCCAGGGTGTAAACAGACAAACCAGACACACCCCCAGATTTTGACCCATCCCTCCTCTTCCCCACCTGGAAAGAGGATCTCCTTTCAGGACTAAGAACCTTTAATATCTAGTAATGACTTACACTTCAACGCAACCAAGTGTGGGATCACATCCTACGTTTCTAATGACTCACTTTGGGAAAGGAGGAATGATAAGGCAAAGAGAAATAAAATCTGCATGACTGGGGGAGAAATATTTCCAACAGAAATGTCTATTAAATTAATATACAATCTCATGAGAATGCTGGTGCAATTCAATATTGAGCTGAGGAAGTGACAAGAAAGTGTTTTACTGATGAGGCAACCTGTCTCTGGGAGCTTTCTCCAGGTTGCCTGCTGTTTTGATTCTACTTCTACTCTTCAGTCTTCTGACTGGACAGTTTCTTCTCAGATATTGTGTATGTGCATACGTGTGTGATTATATATATATATATATATATATATATATATATATATATATATATATATTATGTATATATATGTGTGTGCATACATGTGTGTGCCTGGGCATGTGTGCATGTTTGAATTGCAGTTTGCAAAACCACAAGATATTTTAGTATTTCATTTTCCTGGATTGTACAAACCATAAATTCATGTGACAGTGTTTCCAATTCAAGGCTAAATCATATTGAAGGAACAAAAACATTATACATTTTTTTCAGGTGTTTACATCTGATCAGAAGTACCGAAATGGTACAAAATCATTGTAGTGAAAAACATTTTTGTGACAGAACACAAAGACCCAGGAGGTAGAGAAAAACAACTTTAATTTAGAAAACCCACAATGTCTAGACCTGTTCTGTAATATATAATACTTTGAGTCATTCTGTGTAGTTCCTTAGTATTGCAAAACTAAATGGATATTTCTTCCTGAGACTAAAAATATACATATAATTAATAAAATTTAATTCTTTACCCTTCCTCTCTCTCAAAAAAATAAATTACCTGACCTTCAAAACACGTCTGTGTCTAACTTTGTTAAGGGTTGCCTTTGTGTTTTCTTATAGCAGGAGACTGGTGGTTTAGTCCAAGCTGTCACTCAAACTCTGTGGGTTAAAAGGTCTCCATTTATTTATCTTGGTGCTCATATTAACCAGTTAAACGGTCGAATAGCAGTCAACGACTGGGAAAAACAGATATTTGAGAAGCAAAACATCTGGTACTTGGAAAATTACAGAAGTTCTTTGGTGGAATTTATTATTAACCAATTATTGACTAAGCATAAGAAGTTGCATATTTTCCTACCTTTGAAAATAATAAATCATGTGAAGTGACACACATCGTTTACAAATAGTTGGTAAAAATTGTTCTGCAGACCTATCAAAAAAAGAGGCCTCAGGGAGCTTTTATTTTCCGACTACTGACATCCTGGGATGTGAAGCTGACATGTTACCTGCCCTTCCCCCAAAACACACACACACAGACAAGGCAAGAGAAAAGCTGAAATGTAGAACTGGGCTTGGTGACATGAAGTTGCAGTGACTCTATGGAGAAGGAAGGAGCTGTCTACACTTTAATGAGGCCAGAATCTACTCTTTAAAAGCAAATGCACCAGCTGCCCACTCAGCATGGGTCACCTTCCCGGCTTCCTCACATCTGTCAGTAACACTACCAGTCTCCGAAGCAAGAAATCCGTCATCATCGGCCACTCTCGGCCTCCAACCCTACACGCAATCTGTGACCAAGCCCTGTCATCTCCACTCAGAGCCTCTCCATTCACCCTTCCTGGACCACAGGGAAGAGTTGTTTTAAGTATAAACAAACACAAGGGAATGCCGTTGTCAGGACATCCTGCCGGTATCACCACCCTGGTCCCAGCCTTCTATTCTGCCAGTGAAGACACAGGCCACCGAGACAGGATTTGTTCTGGGGATGAATGGAGGGCACGCAACCCCACTGACACCTTGATTTCAGACCTCACGCCTCCAAAACTGTGAGAGAATAAATGTCCGTTGTTTTAAGCCACCTACTTTGTGGTAATGTGTCACAGCAGCCACAAGAAACTAATACAAGGGCAGAGAGAATTATCTGGATCATTCACAGTTTGCCTAAAATAGGTGATTGAGACACAATTAGCTTGAAGATCTAAGTCATCTCCATATTTACCTTGTTCTCCTCTTTACTTTGGATATGTACAGGGATATGTAATAGTCTCTGAGCTATTAATACTAATGATGGTCATTATTTTTATAATTTTATCTATCATTTATTAGGTGCCAAGCTCTGGTGGCTTACAGCAATTATCTCAGTCTGTTTCCTACATCAGGCAGATCTCATTATCAACCCCATCCATTGAAGACCTTAGCCCATAACAAAAAAGTAACCTGGAAATAAATCCATTTATTCCTCTAGATATTTACATAGCTCTTTCTGCTGAAAGCATCTAACCTACGCAAATTCTAGATTTCTGTTCATCTATTCCTCACACCATGGCAACTGGGAGCTCCATAGGTCTCTTGAACTGTATTTTTCTGTAGACTCTGTTCTTGCTTTTGATCTTCACTGAGGAAACACACGGGCTTCTCCAAGGATAGCCTAGCCCCTGGATCACATGCTGTTCCTGCAACAGAGCCCCACAGCTCAGCACCAAGCAATCACTTTCTTTCCTGGGGCCTCTCTCCAAAAACCGATCAGAGGAGATGTCTGATGAAGGATGCCCATACCATCCTTGTGTGCTCCCTGGACATTCCTGCAAATGGCACTGTTGTGACAGGAAATGACAAACAGATGCCCCTCGACCCTTGCTGCCCCCAAGGTGACTGATCACTAGGTCAGCACGTGGCCTTTGCATTTGAGCAGAGCCGAAGCCCAGGCTTTTTAATTGGTGGTGTCGTAAGTTACAGCTGCGATTGATTAGAGACAGATTCTCTTCAAATAAAGCTTTTCTTTTGTTGTTGTTTTTGTTGTTCTTAACCCGAAGTCATGCAGAGGGGAAAAATGGAAACTTATTCAAGTGCCAGGTAGGGAAACAAAGTATCTTTTGTGATTAAATAACAATAAGAGATTGCATTTATAGCTCAGAAGAATGACATATCCAGTAAACTTCCAGAAGGAAACTGGAGTAGAAACCTGTACTCTATCACAAACATTTGCTGTGATCTTTAATGCCAGACTTCAAAACCAAGTTTCTCTCTTATTTTTCCCGCCAAAATTTTACTAAAACAACAAGATTAATTGCACTGTGCTTTTTTCTCCTCTTTAGTTTTTCCTTGGGTAAGGAAGACACTTTGGTGAGAAACAAAACAAACCTGTAATGTACCAGGCCTGGTTTACGACAAACCTACTAGACTGGTACAACAAACGAGCCTGCCAGCTTCCAAGAAGTTATCTTAGGAGACCAAACACTTAACACTTACTCCAGCAATGCCAGGACTTTATTCAAAAGTTCTTGGCATTTCTCTTTGGAGAATTCCTTCAAAGTCTGTTTCTGAACCAACCACATGAAAAGCTGGAGCAGTGCATCATACTCAACCTCAGACTTAGGTCCAAAAATGGCATTGTTGTGTTGGCAGTTCTTTGTACTCAACAGACCAGTGCTTCTCTGCAGAGGTCGGGGGAGGGTGATTTTGCCCCCACCAGAGGACATCAGTCAGTGTCTGGAGACATATTTGATTGTCGCAACTAGGAAGTGAGGTGCTACTGGCATCTGGCGGTAGAGGCCAAGGATGCTGCTGTGCACAGGACAGTCCTCCACGATGAAGAATTATCCAGCCAAAAATGTCAGTAGTACCACGATTGAGAAACCCCACACCAGACTCAGCTGCAATTGACTTCAGGACAGTGAGATCCTCCCTCTGAAGATTGAGATGTTATTAGGAAGAATTTCTTGAGTCTTTTGATAGGATTTCATCAGTTAACAACATATTGAACAAAAGCAACATCATTAGGAAAAAAAAATTGGTTTCCCCAAAGGAAAATTTTGAAGAGGAACAACTCATTTGATCTCTCTGCTCACTCAGGTGGTTACCAAGAGAGCTGCATGTGCTCAGGGATGCCTTCCTGAGATGCTCCAGTTACACTGTCTCCCAGGCTACAGGTTCTTAGCTTTCTTTTTGAAGCTGCTAAATCTCTTCTCAAAATGCAATTGTGGTTATGTGAAGTTCAATATTAAAAACAAAAAAAATTATAGCGTTTCTCTACTTGCAGAAAGGGTAGACAGGAAGGGCTGGAACCTTCCTTGTTCATGGCCACCCGTAACCATCTCTGCCCCTCCCCATTGTACCCCGTTCCTAGGACCCTGCGAGTGTTACTTTGAAGACCACTGTCCAGCAACCGAGCTGTGAAGGCGCAGAACAGTGTGTATCAGGAGAATTCATGCGGTGGTGTGCTGATCCACTTCATGACACCACGTTCTGACCCTTGGGCCCTAAAATATATTCCCTTGGAAATGTTTCTGTCAAGTCAATTTATCTACTAGGTTCTGAGGAGCAACAGCATTGGCTGTCTTTCCTTGAGGACTCCTATTCTAACTAATTAGAAAATCACTTATGCGAATAACACATAAGTATAATTTATAAAGCAATAGAAGTAACCACAAAGCAGGTGATTTTTTAAAATCTATCATTTTAGCATGCCTTAGGCACTTTTCTGCCCTCCCGACACCTACCTTCAGTGTGCTGAAAATAATGCTATGCTTATAAAGCAAAAATTAGAAATGTTGATTCTAATTTGCCATTTGGACTCTAGGAAATAGGATGGCTTAAGGCCAGATTGCATTCTACACTCCTAACTACATGGGATGCTAATCTTTGTTCCAAATAGTCAAAAGCAGCATCAGCTGAAATAATGTAACTGAATTGTAAAAAGTGTTTGGATTAAAACTCCATAACATTGATAAGGAAATGTGTCAGTCCATTTAGTCTGCTATAACAAACTACCTTAGATTTGGTAATTTATAAACATAAAATTTGTTCTTTTTATAGTTCTAAAGGCTGGGAAGCCCAAGATCAAGGCACCAGTATCATCTTAGAAAAATGAGACATTCAGGGAACTTCCTAGCAGAAATTGAAATAAAAACCTATGCTCTATCATAAACATTTGCTATGATCTTTAATGCCAGACTTCAAAACCAAGTTTCTCCCCTATTTGGTGTCTAGTGAAAGCCTATTTCTCATAGAAGGAATATTCTCACTTTGTGCTTACATGGTGGAAGGGGCAAACAAGGTCCCTGGAGCCTCCTTTATAAGGGCACTCAGCCCATTCATGAGGGTTCTGCACTCATGACCTAATCACCTTCTACACGCCCCATTTCTTAATACGATTGCACTGGAGTAGGTGTCAACATATGAATTTGGGGGGGACACAAATCTATAGACCATAACAAAGGAAGAAAAAGAGAAAATTATCCCCAAATACACCAGAGACCACCCAAACTGGGCATCATCTAGGTGGGAATCTCTTAAAATGCTATTTTCTGCTTGAGATGAAAGGCCCTAATTCTGCCTGCGATCATCAGCCTTCAAGAAGCGTGCTCCACCCTCTTGATAGTCACACTTTTGTGTAGTCCCTCCCACACTGCTCCAGGGCTGAGTCTATGTGACCAATAGCATACGGCAAAAGTAGTGATATGAGACTTCCGAGTTTCCATGTTGTAAACTGACCTATGGAAAGGCCCACATGCTGAGGGGCTGATGGGAGGCCCCCAGCCAACAGCCAGGAGCCTGTGAAAACTGAGGCCTGCCAACAACCATGGGAATTAACTAGAAGAGGATCCTCCCTCAGTTGAGCCTTTAGATGAGACTACAGGCCCAGCCAACAACATGGCAGCTCACAAGACACCCTGAGTCAAAACCTACCCAACTGCATCACTTTTGGATTAATATCCCTCAGACACTGTGTGAAATAATAGACGTTTGCTATTTTAAATGGATGAGCTGTTATGTAACAATAGATAATTAATATTCTGCCTCAACCATATCCTCAGGCCTAAGAGAGATGGATTATGAAGGAAGAGTTTTATAAGATATCTAAAAGTAGGATCAAACTAAGGGAAAGATGATCAGAATTGGGTAGAGAGGGCAGTGAGAAATAGCCACTGTGATAACTCTGTAACTACCAGGACCAGCTCGTTATTTTTATTATCTCCTATTTCCATGAAGTAATCAACACATAAACAAAAAGAGCCTGTGAACTTTCACTAGGACAACAACCAGGACTGAACAGAAAAAAATGGACTTCTTCTCTGTAGCCAAGGTTCTAGGGGTAGAAGAATCCCAAGAGAAGGAAGCAGACAGACTCTGGGACCTTCCACATGGAAGAAGAGGAGAAAACGTGGAAGCGCTTTAAGTCTGAAATAGGGGCTGAGAGCTTAACTCCTTGAAGCATTCATTGAACAAACATTAACTGAGTATCTATTATATTTAGTGTGCCAGACACTGTGAGAGCTGCAGAGCAGAATGTTATTCAGGTGGAGGTGTGCATCAGATGCCACGGGAGACTAGTGAAGAGACAATTACATTGTAATCAAGAAGGAGGAGTCAAAAAAGCCTTTCAAGGCCAGGTGCAGTGGCTCACACCTGTAATCCTAGCACTTTGGGAGGCTGAGGCAAGCGGATTGCCTGAGCTCAGGAATTCGAGACCAGCCTGGGCAACACGGTGAAACCCCATCTCTACTAAAATACAAAAGAAATTAGCTGGGCGTGGCAGTGTGCACCTGTAGCCCTAGCTACAGGTGCTGAGGAGGCTGAGGCAGGAAAATTGCTCAAACCCAGGAGCCAGAGGTTGCAGTGAGCAGAGATCATGCCATTGCACTGCAGCCTGGGCAACAGAGCAAGACTCTGTCTCTACAAAAAAAAAAAAAAAAAAAAAAGGCTTTCAGGAGTAGTGGAGAGTTGTGAGTTTTGATGAACTAGTGAACCAGAAGGAAAACTAGAAGAAAAATATTCCTGGAAAATGCAACATGCACAATGACACAGAGGGCAAAACATCATGACAAGCTAGGAGAATTGCAGATAATGCAGGATAGTTGGAGGGAAGAATACATTCAGGAGGCTTGTAGAAAATGAGGATATAAAGAGGTCACTAGGGCAAAATCACAAAGGTATTTATGGATAAAAGTATTGAGTTTCAACTTGGAAATTAAAATCTATGGTTAACCATTGAAAAGCTGTAAGCATGCGTGCATTCACTCATTCAACAAATATTAATGGAGCATCCCCCTGAGCAAGACCTTATACTGGCATAGCACTAGGGATACCTCAGTGGACAAGATAGATGTGGTCCCTGCCCTTGTTGCACTTACAGTTCAGAAGAAAAAATATGCAACTGAATTCATATTTTAGCAGATATGATCCCTTTAGTAGTTTTGTAGGGAATGGGCAGGCATGGGAAGGGGAGGGAAGAATGAAGGTTTTTCAGATGCATTTCCAAAACCATCCTCATAGTCTATCCTTCCCTCTGGCCTCACCTGTCTTCACATTTACCAAAGACACTCTAAAAATTCCATTTCTAGGATACCAACTTTATATGTGCCAAGCAAGGATCTTTCAAACCTATCCTGTTTAAGCTCCTTTCTATTTTCTCCATGGCAAGAAAGACTCACCAAATGTCAGAATTGAAAGAGACCCTAGAGACTCTGATCCAAGCATGTACGAATATGGAAACTGAGGGCCAGAAAGAGCAACGAGCACCTGCAAGCTCCCAAGGATGGTTGCAGCAGAGCCGGCAGGAACTCAACTCTCCCGTGTTCCATTCCAGTGCTTTTTTCACCGCACCTCACTAATGCCATCATCCTTGGACTGCTATGCTTCAGCAGCCGGCAAGAGCAGCATGCAAAAAAAGCCGGGAGCATGGCAGAGATTTGAGCCTCACTGAAACGTGATGGCTTCATTCGGCAGCCATCCAAGGTCCCAGTGAAGGCTGTTTTCCTCCACTCAATTAGACAGAGGACTGGGGGAAGATCAGGCTAGGAAATTCTCTGGGGTCTCATCTGTTAATTGAAGTCACTGTCAGATTTTCCACAGTATGACAGATGATCAAAGATTTCTTCTCCTTTTCTTTATTGCCCTCTTATTTCAAGGCAACATTAGGCCAAATTACAAGTAAGAAATAGTACAATCTATTTTAAAATGGAAATAAAACAGTCAAAGGGGAACGGAAGGGCCTAATCACAGATATTTTCAAAGTCTGATGCCAAGGAGCATCCATTTTTCAAGGGGGAAGAGAATTTCATTTTGGATGATTCTGTGGAATTGTGTGAGCTCCATATTGGCCCAGTCTGTCTCAGCCATGTGCCAATCCCCTGCTGTTTCAATACGTGCAAGGTCTCAGGTCCTTTGGGCACTGGACGCATCAGTGATCAGCAAATTAACAGCCTGTGTCTATATTGACATTCATGTTCTCAACTTAATGGTTAATTTATTTAATGAACCGCTTCTGTCCTCATTAAAAGTGTAGGATGTCAAAAGTGTATTGGACTAGGCAATATGATAAATAGATAGGGAGGGGTCCTCATTCTCAGGGTGAATTGTTTGCATTTCATTCATTCCATGAACATTTACTTCTGAGTGCCTATTATGTGAGTGCCTGGTCCCGGGGTAGGTCTGGGGCCTCCAGCTGAAAGGTGCTCCCTCCACCCAAAAAGAGCTAAGCAATGGTTAATATCAACCAGTTTACAATCACCCAACAATTAGGTGAGTGCCCTGAAACTCTCTGAGCTGAAAGAAGATTGCTGAATAAAGTTACCATCAGACTGAAGACAGAAGTGTCAGCCTAAGCACAAATCTATAAATTTCCTGATTGTTGATAGGTAGTACTCCCAAATAATAGGCGGGGGAAAAAAAAAACTCATCCAACAGGAATAAAACCAAGAATTGCCCATTCCGAATAAAAAGGGCAACAAAAGTTCTATCCAAAACAAGCAGAACTCAAACCAACAATTATCTCTAGGTGAGATTTTCTAATCACTAAAATCATGAAGAAATATCTTTCCTTCCTCCTTTGTGCTGACAAGGCATCAGCTTCTTAGGGCACTGATTGCTTTCTGCCTTTCACTATAGCTATTTGTAGATATGTCTATCTCCCCTACTCCATGGTAAGTTCTTGAGGACTCTGAGTTCCCGGTGGCTAAACCACTGCCGGGTCATGTTGATTTCTCAATTCATGTTAGATGCATTGCAGTGAAATTCCAAAATGAGGGATATGTTTTTTGTCATAGATAGCCCATCCCTCTCCCCTTACTCAAGACCATCAATATATAGAGAAGTGGTTAAAAGCACAGATCCTGGAGTCCAGCTGTCTGTGTCTAGATCCTGGCTAGCACTTACTGGCTATGTGACCTTGGGATAAGTTATTAATACATACTGTATGCCAGTTTTCTCATATACAAAATGAGGATAGAAACATTACTGCCTCACATTGTTGTGAGGTCCGAATGTTTTAACATATGGAAAATAATTTGGGTGGGGAGGGGGGAACAAAGTAGGGAAATCTTGCAAAATTTGTCCTCCCCAGGGGCAAAAAATGTCACTGGAAAACTGCTTCCTATTATAAGTGGATTTGCTATTTCCAGAAAGTTGCCCATTTTAGGGTCTGAGTCACATTTTAGCTGAATCTCAGTCCCAAACTTAAGAAGTTTTCCCTTAATTCTTCTTTTTATTAAAGAGAAGCTCTAACAAAGACTAAGCATGTGTTATATAGCTCAGTGGTTCATACCTTTAAAAAATGAGAATTAAATGAAAACTGACAGCCTCAATAATATTTCAAGTCTCTCATTAATCTACTCTATACCCTTTTAAGTATGTGTTACATGGAAGAGACCGTGAGCCCCATGGAAGTAGAAATCTTATTTTTAAAATCTTTGATGTCATATCACTTAATACAGCATCAGATGTATAGTAAGTGCTCAATAAATATTTCATGAATAAATAGCTCATTTTATTTTGGGTCACATTTTTTATGTATTTCCTTGATATAAATAAAGCTACAAATTACATTAATACATATATACGTGTGTGTGTGTATTAGTCCACTGCTGATAAAGACATACCCAAAACTGGGAAGAAAAAGAGGTTTAATTAGACTTACAGTTCCACATGGCTGGGGAAGCCTCAGAATCATGGCAGGGGGCGAAAGGCACTTCTTACATGGTGGTGGCAAGAGAAAATGAGGAAGATGCAAAAGCGGAAACCCCTGATAAACTCATCATATCTCATGAGACTTATTCACCACCACGAGAACAGTATGGGGGAACCGCCCCCATGATTCAAATTATCTCCCACCGGGTCCCTCCCACAACATGTGCGAATTATGGGAATAAAATTCAAGAAGAAATTTGGGTGAGGACACATAACCAAACCATACCATTCTACCCCTAGCCCCTCCAAATCTCATGTCCTCACATTTCAAAAGCAATCATGCCTTCCCAACAGTCCCCCAGAGTCTTAACTCATTTCAGCATTAACCTAAAAGTCCACAGTCCAAAGTCTCGTCTGAGACAAGGCAAGTCCCTTCCACCTATGAGCCTGTAAAATCAAAAGCAAGCTAGTTACTTCCTAGATACAATGGGGGTACAGATATTGGGTAAATACAGCCATTCCAAATGGGAGAAAGTGGCCAAAACAAAGTGGTTACAGGGCCCATGCAAGTCCAAAATCCAGTGGAGAAGTCAAATTTTAAAGCTCCAAAATGATCTCCTTTGACTCTATGTCTCACATCCAGGTCACGCTGAGCTAGACAGGACTCTAGGTCCAAATCTACCTGTAACAGGAAGCAACTTTCCAGGGACATATTTGCCCCTGGGTAGGACAAAGAGCTACAGATTTTATTTTCTAATTTATGCAATGATTTCAAAACACCAAATCATAAATTGTGTACCTAACATTTATAATGGTTATTTCTAGTTCAAATGACACTGGTAATTCCAAATAAAATGCATCAGGGAGGAAATGCCCCTAAATGCCATATACAGCGACATAGTCACAGGAAAGAGATCAAGCAACATAGTTTCATCAGACTTATCCCCCACCCGGCTTTAGAACCAAAGTGTTCCTGGCTTCTTTGTAGCTTCACTGGGAAATGTAGAAAATTCCCTTCTCATTCTCTCTTGTAGCCCCCATTGGTGGTAAAAAGCAAATCACATGAGATGATTTATCTTTATGAAAGTAACAAAAACTAATTCAAATATTGTTCCCTTTACTTCCATTTTCTGTCTTCTTTGTGGTGTTACCTTTGGTAACCCAGATGCTAAACAAGACTGTTAATAAAGTAAAAAACGATTGTATGCAGATTAGGTCCAATAGGTTTCCAAACTCTGTTAACTTATATGAGGGGAAAATTTTGAAAGAATTCTGAGTGGCAAAATACTATATGTAGTATAACCAGTGATAAACACAGATCTTAATAAAGAGCTACCATTTACAATCTTTTCCTTCAATATTTTAGGAATAAGAGAATAATTTTTGCAAGAAGCTAAAGAGAAAAGTTTAAATTCAGGACATTTTAGATAACCAGGAAGACTAACCGTGTCTAGATTACAAGAGAGAGAGAACTCCCTTACTTGAAAAATGCAATTAAGAAAAAGGGATGTTAATGAGAATGGTTCTAGGAGAATCAGAAAGTGGGAAATAAAGTCTTTTTGCTAGTTTAACATTAAGATCATGTTTTAGCTTCATTATGCTAAAGAACACATGAAAATTATATGATTTGTTTGTATTTTCTGTAAGGCCAATTTTCTTCAGTTTGTATCACATTTTTTTTAAGTAAGCATATCATATTTTTGTCCAATGTTTAGCTTAGGGACTCACACTAATGTCATCAGTGGAAATGCAGGCTAGACTGCTCAGAACATATGCAACTCCACTGCCCCCTGATGCCAATATACTAAAATTGCAGGGGCAGATCTTTAAAGCAAAAATTCCTCTAAGGAGACTTTAAATTTGCATAACAAAAACTGCCTTGTAATTTCACAAAAAATACACTTTGACATTAATGCAAATGAGAAAAATGTAATGATTTTTAAAAGCTAATTAAAAGGCTAAAGGAGGCAAAATTTTTCAGTCTTGATAAAATTAGCAATATAAAATTTTTACATGACTTCACCTCATTGTTATATTATTATACTGTAAAATTTGGTGTTCTCTTTCTCCTTTTGTAAAAATACTTCCAGAGATTTGAACAACTTCTTAAATGGTGGCTTACACAATTGCATTGGTCAGGTTACTGGTACAGCTGCTGTGAGAAAGAAACCCAAAATCATAATGACGCATATAAGATAGAATTTTTTTTTTCCTCATTTAAAAAAACAAAGAGCCAGGCATGATGGCTTACACTGGAACCCCAACACTTTGGGAGGCCAAGGCAGGTGGATTGTTTGAGCGCAGGAGTTGGAGACTAGTTCCCGTCTTTACAATAAATACAATAATTAGCCAGGCGTGGTGGCACGCACCTGCAGTCCCAGCCACTTGGGAGGCTGAGGTGGGAGGATTGCTTGAGCCCAGGAGGTTGAGGCAGCAGTGAGCCATGATCATGCCCCATTGCACTCCAGCCTAGGTGGCAGAGCGAGACTCTGTCTTCGCAGAAATAAAATTAAATAAATTAAATATAACTTTTTAAAAGTAAATAATAAGAAAACAAGGTATGAATATTTGATAATATTAAATAATAACTTTATTTTCTTAAATGGGATAATGGCATGGTAGTTATGTTTTGTTTTGTTTTGTTTTAAGTCCTTAAATTTTAGAGAAGACTGAGAGGAGTGGGGGTGATTAGGTAAGACTGCCAAGGGCTGCTAGGATTCCTTCACAATTATCAGAGATATCTTGTTGATCATTCTCCTTTCCAAGGAGCACTCCTGCTTCCACCAGCACATCCTATAACATACTGCAAAAATGAAAAATAGGAGAAAGGAAAAACACATTCTTTGCCTATAAGGACTTGATCTAGAAGTTGTACACATTACTTCTACTCACTTCTTAACTGCCCAAGATTTTAGCCCCATGGTCATATCCAGAGAAATGTGATGGACACATCTTGCAAATGAAGTCTTTAAGAGGGTGACCATGTACACAAGTAAAAATTCTGTTAGTGTGTAATTCTATTACAAAAATTAAGGGAAAGCTGGTGGCCTCAGTAATATTTTGATTCTTTCCTTTACTCTAGATGCTTGTAAATAGGTATTACTTTGAAGGAAGACTAGTAAACTGTTCCAGAGCAGAGAGGGCCAAAGGGATATGAAAACTGAATGCAACACACACTCTAAAGGACATTATTAGAACAACTGGCAAAATCTGAGTAAGGTTTACAGATCAACTGATTGTATTGCATTAATATTAATTTTATAACTTTGATTGTACTGTGGTTGTGTAAGAGAATGTTCTTATTTTTAGGAAATACATCCTGAGGAATTCACAAGTAAAGAACCATCTGCCTGCAACTTTTTCTTAATTTGTCAAAAAATATAGACAGAAAAAGCAAGAGAGAGAAAACAAAAGCGGTAAAATGTTAACACTGGGGGACTCTGGATTAAAGGCATCTGAAAAAACTTTGTACTATTCTTGCAACTTTGCTCTTCAGTCTGAAAGTATGTCAAAATAAAAAGTTAAAAACAGTACTACCTTAATTCTGACTCAAATTAACTCATTAGATCTTTTTTAAGGTGGTTCATTTACAGTTTAGCCATTATATAACACCTTGGTTGAACTCAAATTTCAGAAAATTGAGTAGACTTAGTTGCCATATTTGGTCTAACTTACCCTCCCACCCACCATCTTACAATGAAGAGGGTTATAATGGAGAAATGATTTGCAGCATTACAAATGGTGAGAGGAAGGCCACACAGGCACAGCTAAAGTAGGCAGGAATCCAGAGGAGGCAACGAGGAGAATTCCTGGACCAGAAGCAAGGGCAGACACTCTACCCCAGCTTCTCCTTCTGCCAGATTTGGGGAAAAAGCAGAATTCTTGTCCATTTATGCTCAGGCTCACATTGCCATGACAGTAGCAATCTGTGCACTTCCATTTCGGGGATGCATAGGAACCTCAGATCCTCCCAGTTCTTAAACCAAATTTGGCATCAGCCAAGGCTTTATCCTTGTCAGAGCAGACAAAGCTGTTCTGATGCCCAGATGTCCCTGTGTGATACCTCCACCTCCAGCCTGCAGTATTGCAGAAAGTCAGTCTTCCCACACAATCTTCAAAGAGTAAGAACCCTAAAACCGTCTGCTCCATAAAGCTTTTTTCTGATGGAGAGATGCTCCTTGCTTTGATCTATCACAAGCAGACTGCCTACAGACTCTTCGCCTTCCCCTAATGGTGATATCTACTTTTAGCATGGGACAAAAATACACATCTAACTCCAGGGTCCTGACAGTCAACAACAACTGCTGATTGGTTATACTTCAATTTTGTTTTAAGCACCAAGCTCCTCCTTCGATGCTTAGATTGTGACATATTTTTCCAAGCGCCCACCTTCACCCCAGTGGTTGAATAGCTCTTAGTAGCACCTCCCAAACGGGACACTTCAAGGGCAGAGCCCAGGTCCAGGGGTGAGTGGAGACTCTGCCACCATTCAGCTGGTTATGTCATGCCAACTTGAAAGCAGGGAGCAAACGTCCTCCCCAGGAGCTCACCAGGCTTTGCAGCAAGGAGCTTCTCTTTTGCTGAAGTTACTCAAAAACAAAACCGTAGGGAGAAACCCTGTTGGGGAAGCAGAGGGGGGCCCTTCTCCCTCTTTATGGCTTGCTGTACTCAAAAGAAACGGGAACTTATTCAATGTTTTTAATATGTACAGCTAGTAATCATGGCCTGCACTTGCCAGATAGCATTCACATCTTCTCCCTTTGGATTTGAAAAACACATACAGATGCTTCTCAACTTACATCCCATTAAACCCAACATAAGTTGAAAATATCATAAGCTAAAAATGCATGTAATACACTTCACCTAATGAACATTATAGCTTAGCCTAGCCCACCTTAAGTATGCTCAGAATGCTTACATTAGCCCACAGTTAGGCAAAATCATCCAACACAAAACCTATTTTATGACAAAGTGTTGAGTACCTCATGTAATTTATTGAATACAATACTGAAAGTGAAAAACAGAATGGCTGCATGAGTACTGGGAATGCTTCACAGGGGTGAGTAAAACGCTATCTCCTCCCCATGTCTTCTAAAAGTGTTGGATAACTAGATAAGTTCAAATGATATTCAGCATCATCACAGACCTGTAATCTATAAAATGCCAAATCATCTTGGGAGAACAAAGGAAATGTTGCATGCTCTAACCCTGAAGGTAGTTTATTCCTACTTGTTTTAAATCCTATTGCTCTACTCTAATTGGATTCATGAGTTCTATAATGCCTTATAATAGCTACACAGAAGCAATGACCTAGATTCTACTCAACCTTTCTCAAGCCAGGAACTCAGAATCCAACACCCGAAGGTTGGCCTGTTTTAACTGAACAGACTATTTCAAGTGGCTCTGATCAGAAGCTACAATGCATTTGAGGCTATGGCTATTTTCTTGCCACTAAATTTGCCTGTGTACCTGTCAAATGTTCCTTTTCTCTGCATGACCACTGATCTGATGAGGGAAAAAAAAAACTGCCTTAGCAAAAAGTATGTGTTTCATTTCCTGATCTTGGCAGCTCTAAGCTCCTCAAGACTCTTGGAGCCACCACTGAGCAAATCTTTTCCCTCCACCAGTGATAAATTTGTTGCAAAGGAGAAGGAAAATTGCATGACACTTGTAAATAAACAGCTTCTGAAATCAATGAAGACAGAGAATTACTTTTGTTCCTAATTTATTTTTCCTCCTTCACAGAAAGCTGCCAGTAACCCTGGCCTGACTCTAACACCTCTCAGGACTGATTCTCCCTCTACCTTCATTGAAAGGCTGAATACCATATATCCCTGGAACTCACTGGTGAAGGAGGGCTTGGAAATGCCACATCCACACTCTTGAGCTCAAGTCCATTGAGACTGGCATATTCTAAATCACAGGAAGAAGTACTCCTTTGTGAGCTTGTGGTTTGCCTAACCTTCTGCTAACTGGTTTTTACAGGCTTTTAGGAGACTAACATATTGGGTATGGAATCACCAGTCTACAAAGTCAGACCACAGAGGGCTTATTCTACCCTGTTTCACTTATTTGCATGCAGTTTGCACCTTGAGCAAGGAACACAGCAGCATGCCTAGAAGCCTCCATGGCACTAGAGAGGCTGAGGACTCAGTCCTTGCTGGAATCATTTAATATTTACTCAGGGTTTATCTATACAGCATAATGACTGATCCCAAGGGCCCTGGTTTGAATCCCAACTGTGCCACTTATTAGTTGTGTGACCTTGAACAAGATAATTCACTTCTTTGTGCATCAATTTTTCTCATCCATAAAAGGAAATTACTTTATAGAGCTGTGAGAATTCAAAGAGCTCAAATGCATACAAGTCTTAGAACAGAGCCTGGCACATAGAAGACTCTCAATAAATGTTAGCTTTGTTGTTATAAGCTCCTCTTAATAGCTATCAGCTGTTTTCATTAATTTTGGCCATGTCTACGGGACCTGAAAAAACCTAAGTGAAAGGTTCACTCATATTGGCTACTACCTTAGGCCATCCCAAATGGAGCAAGGACATAGGTCAATTAAGAGCTGGAGAAAGGGGTGATTCTAAATGCCAACTCAGAGCCTCTGACACTGATCAGATTTACAATGTTATTGTTACCACCCACGCATTCATCATTATTTTCTCTATGGTGACACCAATCATAATTGGAGGATTTGGTAACTGGCTAGTCCCTCTGATAATTGGTGCACGCAATATGGCATTTCCCCAGATAAATAATATGAGCTTCTGACTCCTCCCCACCATTTTCCTACTCCTACTTGCATCCTCAATAGTAGAAGCTGGTGCTGGGACCAGCTGAACAGTTTATCCCTCTTTAGCAGGGAACCTAATACATGCAGGAGCCTCCTGTGGATCTAACCATCTTCTCACTCCACTTGGCAGGTGTTTCTTCTATTTTAGGGGCCATTAACTTTATTACTACGATTATTAATATAAAACCCCCAGCTTTATCCCAATATCAAACACCCCTTTCTTCTGATCAGTCCTCATTACCATAGTCCTTCTACTCCTCTCTCTTCCTGTCAGGGGTTATCTCCCACCCCCAACACTCCAGTAGACTTTCAAGCAATGGCAGCTGGTATAATACCCATCACCACTGTTCCATCTTCTCCTTTTACCCCTGTCTCCTAGGTCATTTCTTCCATTCTTATTCTTCTAAATTCTTACCTTTTTAGCATTCTTTCTTTAATACCTATAGAGGTGGTAGGGCTTTGGGCTTCATGAGTGGCACTGCTTAGCAACACTAGACTGGGATTGCTGACCCTAAACAGTACATGAAAAGTTCATAAGATTCGTGCTCTTCACAGCTCAAATGTCTGTCTGGCTCTCCCCACTGCCACACAGACTCTGTAGGATTCGTGCAGAACATGCCAAGGGGGAAATTCTTCAGATGTGATGGGTTGATATTTTGAAAAAATATTTACAAAGGAAACTTAAAGTAGTTTCCGAGTTGTTGTTTTTTTTTTTAATAAATCCCTATTATCTCAGCCCTTGTTTTCCTGTTTCTTGGAGCAATGCAAGAGCATAAGCCAGAAATGGCAAGACTGGCTTTCGGTAACACTTCTAACATTGACTTAGCATGTGACCTCAGACTAGTACATTTCAGGATTCTCATCTATTTAAAATACAGATAAAAATGTCTGAGTTTATCTCATTGGGTGTTACGAGGGTCCAGTGAGATGATATATATGAAAGTGTTTTAAAAACTGTACAATTTTTTACAACTATAAAATGATATCATTATTTATGACATACTTGATGATGAGTCCTGGAAAGGATAGAGTAGAGATCGTGTCTGAGAAGTAGAAAGGCTGGAATTTTAGTTCCAAATCTGCCACAAATTGACCTGATAACTTTGGGCAAATAACTTTCTCTTTCAGGTCCTGGGTTTTCTCATCTGGAAAACGAGTGGATTGGACTAGCTGAGCTCTAGGTTCCCTCCCAGAAGAATAGTCTATGAATCCAAGCCAAAGAAAAAGAAGGAAACTAATTAAGTTCAAGCGACATATTTTTAAAAAGATTACATTTTAAAATAATAATAAAGAAGATGCAGAAATGCAGATATGGCTTATGATCATGACATTCTCTCCACAAATCCATATATGTCCTCATAGCCTGATTTGCCATTAACAAGTAGTTTTTGCAATGCATTATCTCAAGAAGGAGATTTTAAGATAAATGATTTATGGGCAAAGAATCCTCATTGCAAATGGACTAATCATAGAAGTCTGCCTGCCTGTGCCTATGTACATGCATGTACACATGTACCCACACACACACAATTCATTGATACAGAGGCCGACTCTAGTAAAGGTTACTTTGATGTCCGGGAAGCAACGCCTCTACAAATACTCATTTCTTATTCAAGAGAGTAAGATGAACTTCCAAAAGTCAATGGCTATTTGGTGACCAAGAAGACAGCTCACCTGACCTGGTTATGGCTTGTGTCCTGTGTTGATACCTTCTTGACTTTGACACTATAATCAGTCATAAGTCCCAATATCTTATCCACTGATGTTCTTCCAAACTGAGATGTTTTTCTAGCAGTTTTGCTTTTCTTAGGAAATGCCTAAGATTACTCTTCACCAAGTCTCTCAGCATCCACATCTTTCTTGTGTCACGTCTGTTGGTTGAGGTTGAAAGCTGTTAACTTTTACATGTATAAATTCTTTGTCTCCTATATATCAGTCATCTGCTCACAATTCTGTTTAAATTTCTTTTTAATTGAACTGTAGACATAAATTAAACCTTCAGTTTGTTATTTTAATAGTAATTGTAACAATTAACCCATAATTGTTTTTATCGCTAACATAATTATTAAATAATAACTGGTGTGTTCATTAACATAATAAGTCTCATTAATTGCATGCCATCTCGCAGTGAGATTAACCTATGAAGATCAGGCAGAAAACAGAATGTAAGCAGAATCAGAGACTCTCCTCAGAGCTGTCTGGGAAATTTTTGAAAAAGTTAGGCTTCAGAAGGTAGAGGCAGAGTGTTGAGAGGGCAGGGGGTGCTGCCGTGTCAAGAGTAACAATATCAAACAAAGCAATAAGTGTACAAAGCAGGGTTATTGTGTAATTTTGAAAGATGAGTGTCTTAGGGAAATAATACTAACAAAGAATTTTAGGAATGATTACAAAATAAAGGCCTTGGTCTTCAGAATGAGAGAAAATTCTCTCCCTCTCAGCTACATATGCCCTAGGATCCACATTGATTGGTTTACTGATAACGCCCTGGTGCTGTGTCTTAATCTCTTCAGCTGCTATAACAAAATGCCTTAGACTGGGTAATTTACAAACAATAGAAATTTACTGCTCACAGTTCTGGAGAATGGGAAATCCAAAGTCAAGGTAGCAGCAGATTCAGTGTCTGCTGGGGGCTGCACTCTGCTTCCAAGATGGCTCTTCCTTGCTGCGTCCTCGCTTGGTGGAAGAAGCAAGTGGGCTCCCTCAAGCCTCTTTTACAAGTGCAGGCATCCTATTCACAAGCGCTCCATGCTTCTCATCTAATCACCTCCTAAAGGCTCCATCTTTTAGTTCTATCTCATTGGAGATTAAGTTCCAGCACATGAATTTGCAGGGGGACACCAACATTCAGAGCATAACATGCTGATACTATATGTGCTGAGGTTAAATCAGCAACTACTTACCTTTTTGTGTTTTCATTCTTGACTGTTTTCCTTCCCATCTTTATTTCTACTCATTGTTAACTTACCTGCCTACTCACCCTGCCACAACTCCCATTTGCCTGCAAAATTTCTCTATCTCAGCCCACCATCTTTCTTTTGGACTTCTTTTGCGTTTCATTTTCCTGCCTATTGGTGGTCATGCTTACATCAATAACACATACATTAATGTGTCAGTTTGTCCATTTGATGATAGGATTGAACTTGCCATTTGCACACCATGCCCCTTATTTTCACCCTGCAACTGAGTTGCAACATTTCAGTTCTTGAGACTCTCTCTCTCTCCTCTCTCTTTTTTTCTTTTATTTTTCTTTTCTTCTTCTTTTTTTTTTTTTTTTTTTTGTTGTGAGACAGGATCTCACTCTGTTGCCTAGGCTGGAGTGCAGTAGCCCGAACTTGGCTCACTGCAACCTCCACCTCCTGGGCTTAAGTGATCCTCCTGCCTCAGCCTCCTGAGCAGCTGGGACAACAGGTGCACACCACCATGCCTAGCTAATTTTTGTATTTTTTGTAGAGACAGGGTTTCACCGTGTTGCCCAGGCTGGTCTTGAACTCCTAGGCTCAAGCGACCCACCTGCCTCAGCCTCCTAAAGTTCTGGGATTACAAGTGAGAGCTACTGTGCCCGCCCCTGACTCTGTTAAGGAAGTACATATCTGCGTTCTCTGAAAGATGCTAGGCTTGGGGTTAAACATGATGGGACCTGAATCTTCCTGTGACCAATCCTGATCAAGAGATGTCAGAGGCTCCTCAGGGCATACAGAATAAGTTCCAAACTCCTCAGCCTGTCCTTCAGAGCTCTCTACAGGTCATTGTTAAACTATCTTGTATCCACCTATACCACCCATCTAGGGTAGTCACTTGTTCTCCTGAAAGGTCGGACAGTGGATTAAATTGACATTGCACTATTTTAATTATTTTGTGTGTGTGTTTCTAGAAGTTCTATTTTATCCTTTTCCAAATCTGTTGGTCATTTTGAATGGTCTCCTGTTTTTACTCATACTTTTGACTTACTCTTTTATTTCTTTAAATTTATAAAACATGGCTATTTTATATTCTATATCTGATAGTTCCTTTGTCTGAACCCTGTGTAAGACCACTTCTGCTGTTTGTTATCTGTTCTGACTTCACTCATGGTTTCTTAGTTCCTCATGTGTTTTGTTATTTGTGTGTATATCCATGTGTGAGTTCATGCCTATTGGAACTTTATGTGTGGGAATTATATAAGCCACATGTTGGGTGGTTTATTCCTCCAGAGAGGATAGGTATTTGCTACTGCCAGGTACCTAGGGGCACTATCAACTTGAAACTACTTTAAACTAAATTCTTGGATCACCCTTATACTTTGTGTGCATCCAGGCCCCAAATCTGCATAAGGGCTAGTTTGTGTTATGAATTATCAGGGGAAGATTTTTTCCTTATTCTGAACCAAAGGCCAAGATAGCAAGTTTCTTTCTTATCTCTCCTTGTGTGCCTTTATTTTCTAGGTCAGCCTTTCAGTAACGATGTTGTCCTTCAGGATGTTGTCCTGGTGTTACTGTGAGGGACTGACAATCCAACTCCCTGCTGTGCATTAGCCCAGGGCACTGTCTCCTGTTTCCCCAAGTGATCACCAGGGATCAGAAAATTCCCTTAAGCCAACTGCCAACTTTGGTGCACACTCAGCCATCTGGGCTTGTGTTTCTACCTTGTTTGATGCCTCTGAAAATTACCCTTAATTTTTTCCAGTTCAGCCATGCATTTAAAGAGTGGTTTATTTCTATTTCATGAGGCTGTTTTTTAGCAGGATTTCAAGATGTCAAATTCACATTATTGCAAAAACCAGAAGACCTGCAATTTATAATCTTTTTCAGCACTGTTTCTTGCCCTTAGAACCTTGACATAACTATAGTCATCTTGCTGCCGAAATGAACAACAACAAAACATTCTAGCACTGTGCTTCCATAACACCCCAGAACCAAGGAACTCTAATTCTCACTTCAGTGCTCTAGACCAGAGATCACTAACTTTTTCCATAAAGTGGCAGATAGTAAATATCTTTTGCTTTTAGGCCATATGGTCTCTGTCACAATGACTCAACTCCACCACGATAGTGCAAATCAGCCATAAACAAAACATAAACACATGCGCATAGGTGTGTTTCAATAAAACTTTATTTTTGAATGCTGGAATTGGATTTCATATATTTTTTTACATGTCATGAAACACTATTCTTTAAATTTTTTTTAACCATTTAAAAATATAAAAAAAACATTTTTAGCTCATGAGTCATACAAAAGCAGGCAGCAGGCTGGAATGTGGCATGTGGTTCATAGTTTACAGACCCCTGCTCCAGACTGTTCTCAACTGGGGGTACAAATTAGGGCCATTTATGTAGCTTTTATAAAACAGAAACGCTCAGGCCCCAATTAAGACCTACTAAGTGAAAATTGCTCCTGATAGAGCCCAAGGTTGTATGTGTATGTTTCTTGGTTTCCATAAATAAATCTGATGAGCACCCTTAATTCTGACAGGGTGCTCAAGATTCTGCTCTTGCTTGACGTTCTCAAGGATTTTCACACAATAGTCTACTGTTCACAGTCACCTCATTTTTTTTACTCCAAAGTAGGCCACATAATTGCCTAGTCAAAGGAGCCTACCACAATGCAAATATGTAAATTTTTTATATGTAAATGAAAGTGACTGATTCCAATAGCTTTTGATATATTTCTTATGAAAAATGCCTAAAGCTTGCATGCACACACACACACACACACATACACTTAATGTCTGATAAAGAAGTCATCACAAGGCAAAAAGGAACTCAGTCAGCAAAATAGTTTTGTAATTTGGAAACAAAACTGATGTATACCTATATCTCACACCATACACTAAAATAAATACCAGGTGGCACCAAAGAGTAAAAGGTAAAAGAATTAAGTCATCAAAAGAACCTAAAAGGTAACTGAATAGAATATTTGTCAAACCTCTAGAGTAAAGAGAAATTTCTAAGTTTAAGAGATTAGAAAAAGCCACAAAGAAAGCTACATGGATTTAACTGCATAAAAAGTGCAAATCTCTGAACATAATAAGATAAAATAACTAAAATAAAGAGGTTAATTGAGAAATAAATTTGCATGGTGAAGGAAGTACAACTCATTGACAAAACATGGGGGGAAAGAATCTGAATAATAATCAAAGTAATACGAGTTAATCCCAAATACCATTTTGTGATCTATCAAGTTAGCAAAAGGTTTTCAGATAGAAAAAAAGACCCATGCTGGCTAGGGAGTAGCCAGCATATTGTATATTCGCAGTCTGGAAAGGGAGGAAAAATAGATTTAGATAAGGATTTCAAATCTAACTCTAACTCTGTAACCTGTCCAAAAAAACTGGAAGCAACCTATAGGTCTAAAAGAGAGGATTGGTTATGGGAACTATAATATAGCCACTTAATAACAGATTATGAGGCCCTTAAATATTATGTTTACAAATACCATAAAATAACATGGGCAAAGGTTACAATATATTAGGTGAAAGGAGTAGGATATAAAATTATGTAAATACTGTGGTTACAATTAAATAAAACTTAAATAAATCTATTCATAAGGGGGAAAGGTGAAAAGAAATACACAAAGATATTAACTATGTGTGGGTAGTGTATGTTGGTAAGTTTTTTTTTCAGATTCTGTTTAATAAGACCACATTATAGTTACAATTTTTAAAATACACTTTTAGAAAAAGAAATCGTTGTGTGAGAATCAGAGTGTAACAGACTAGCCTGCAGGAAATGGTAATGTTTCGAAGCCATATTCTGAAATCTCACTATAAAAACCCTGATTAAAGTGAATAGTTCATGTGGCAAAATCCCAGAGTACAAAGCTGAGAAATAAGTATCAACTCTGCCCCGCGCTTTCTTTACATTTGTTATATCATTAGGACTATAAAGTAAATAGCTACTGTTCTCACTGATAACTAAGTAAAGCCTAATTGTGTGGTTTTAGTCTCAATTAAAATTGCTGAAATTGTGGAAGTCTCTCTAACACTCTCACAGATAAATAACACTATAAATGCACAGCCTTTAAAGTGCTTCAGATTGGGACTGGGAACTATTTAAGATTTCCTTAGCTTCCTGGAAATCTCTGCACATAGATCTTCGGTTTTAGGTATTTTCATGACACTAAAATTTACCCTTCTGCTTTGTCTGACCTTCACATAATTTCCCTATTTGTTAAAGGACATTTGAATTTCAAGACAACATACAATTCTTTAAATGACAATAGCATGCAATTTCAGCATCCAACCCACATCTGCCACAAGCCTTTTGTCTTCAATCAAGTTCGGAAGAATCTGCTTGAGTTCACAGTGCTTTCTAGGAGGAATTGGCAAATCATAAACAAGATCTCCCTCGAGAAATTCTCCGTGGACCCTCATTCCCACCCCCACTCTTTTGTGCTTCAGTGCTTTCGAACCTGTCTGCTAGAATGTGGGAGAATCATCTGCCTGCAAGTGAAGGCAGCATTTTTCACAGAAACATGCACGGTCTGGTTTCCTTGTTCCTGCCGCCAATGCCAGAGCGAAGCCTCCTCCTCGTTAAGTAATGTCTGCCTTTGAGGGGATTGCTTTTCTCCAGGTGGTCGAGATGGAAACTGCCTTCACACACAGACTGATAAACACTGTGTTACAAATCTCATGTGGAGTCACAGTCAACTCTTCCTGGAGACCCTGTTTTAGGGCTTTGCAAAGTGAAGGACCGTCCATTACAGCCGGGCATTTATGCCTTCAAAATGCTCATTTCTTCTTATGAGACAATAAAATACTTCCTGCAGCAACAGCAGGTGAGCACAGAAAGCATCTTAAATATCTGACCTGAAGTGCTAAAGATGCTTAATAATCTTTAAAGTTACCAACAATATTGTTTCCTCCTGTTACCAGGATGTTGTAAAATGTCCTAATTAGTCTTTATGATAATGCCAACACCTCCACAGCACATAAAAAGGACTTTTAATTTTTAAAAGGACAACTCTGGTTGGTTTGATTTTTATCTCTAATTGGCCTATAATGTCTATATCCCTCTGGCACTCCAGACAGGCAAACATTAATTTAACAAGAAACTCATACACCACGGGAGACCAGAGAATCGGGTCTGGAAAAGAAGGTTCCAGTGTTCAGGACACAGAATTGGCTCCACTCTCTTTTACCTCCTAGAAGGTGCTAAACAAGCTTGTCTGCTGCTCAAAGGGGGACCTTCTAAGGCAGCAGCTTCCCAAGGACATTCTAAGGACCTCAGCCAAGTCTCTGCTGTGGCAGGACCAGGATTTGGCAAATCCCAGCGACCCAACCCAGGAAAAGCCCCACAGGAGACCCAGAAGGAGCAAGGCAATGGACCAAGCTGAGAAACTGAGGCTAGGAGAAAAGAGGAGAGGTTGGTACAGCCCTTGTTCTGTACCAAGGGCTCTGTGGTCTTAGACGGGTCACTTATCCTCCCTGGGCTTGCTTTCTCAGCAATAAAACAAAAAGGATTACCTAAAAAGAATATCCAAAGTGCTTTCCAGCTTTCACACGCCAAGATTTACTAGTAAGTGCGGCTCTGCCAATAGCACAGATGATGAGCCCAGGTTCTCCGGCAGTGGTAACACAGAGACAGGCTCAGGCCACTGGGAACCAGTAACCCTCCTGCAACATACAACACCAAACACTGTCACAGCCCAGCTCCGCACTGCCCAGGACATTCTAGAGCAGCCCAGAACAGAAGCCAAGTGAAGGTTGGGCACACTACAGGTTTCAGGATTGATTCTCCCCAGCCTCTGCCTAAAGAAATATATTCTGGATTTCAGGAGATTCCGCTGAATGATCCTGATTATGTTGCTCCTGAAGTGGGAAGCTATAACAGTAGACCCTCCTGAGTCAAAGAAGCATCACCTTTGCAATGAAGGATAGAAAATCTTCTGTGTGTTAAAAATTGCTTTTTCAAGTCACTCCTCCAGATATATCTGAGGGTTGATATGTGTTTGGGAGGCCTCAAGGGTTTTTGTTGCAATGGAGCCATAGCAGGAGGTCACCACATACTGACCCCAGATGATTCCAGTTGTTGACTAATGAGGCTCAACTGGCTGCCCCACTTCCACCCCACCCCCTTTCAAGCCCCATTCTCCTCAATGAGCTGCTGGCAAAGAAAGCAGGAGCTGAATTGAATAACATTGCTGTTGAGAGGCTTTTTTCTTCTAAAACCAAGAAAACCATGACAATCTTTTATTTATATATCCAATGCTTCGATTTAAAAGCAATAAGTGCAGTGGTGCTGCCATTTCCCTAGCCACCCTCTCTCATAATGGCATCATTGCCAAGCATCATGCTCAGCTCATCAGCAAGTCCAAGGAGGGCAGGAATAAGCCCAGGGAAGTTGCTGTCTTACAGGCTGGCTACTCAAAATGAAAGGTGCTCAAGCTTGATGTTCTGCCATTGAGAGAGTGGACTCCTGGTCAGTCTCTCCAAGTATCCGTTAAATCAATCATGCTGTTAAACACATTAACACCACACACATACATATTTTTAACTCCAGTACTGTGAAGTCTGAAACAAAACACAAATAAGGTAAGGAAACTTCGAGCCAATTTTTTACTCAAACCGCAACAAGGCCTCCACTCAACTGTTCATCTGTTCTACTCCATTGATATTTCTCCCCTCATTCTCTTAGCCTCAGTCCTAATTAATTACAAGGTAGGAGGAAGATAGAAAAATGCCTTACAGCAGTAGTCAAGGCTAAAATTTTGGTTTGTATAAACTTTGAATAACACTCAAACTTAACCTTTTCCTGCTGAACGTTACTTGTTTTTTTCTTCCTTTTCAGGCCATCTGGTACCCATCAATTCTAAATTCACTTTCTTATGTTCTGTACAGGGTGGGATCTAATCACTACTTTAAAATAGAATTTAGGATATGTTGATTTGACTTCCTCTCAGCCACAAAGCTTGGAGAGAAACAATATTTCTCATACAGAAATGCTGACGTCTTAAAGTGGTAGGATCATTACAGTCCTCTGTGAAAATAAATCAGATTACGTGCTACCTGTGGGGTTATGTAGGAATCCTTAAATTATGAAAGACCAATTTGCATAACCATTGTCCACTAACCTTTAAGTCACCTTGGAGGAGAATTGCAAAGAATGATATGCTCACTTTCCATCCTGGCTCGGTGGGGTAGCATGGTATACTGGGTAGATTGGGGCTTTGGAGAATCACAGATCTGGATTTATTTCCCACCTCTACCATTTACTATGTGCTGTTAGTCAAGTCGCGGAGCCTCAATTTCTTTACTCATAAAATGGGAGTAATAATAACTTGTAGGGTTTTTGTGAGGGGTAAAAAGATGTAATTAGATAGATATAGACATATAAAACAGCACAAAATAGAAGAAAATCAATAAATGATACTATTATTATTATTATTATCAAAGGCAAAATAAAAACAAAGTAAAAGCATACTCATCTAAGAATGTAATGATATTTAGGATTTATCCAAGAGCTTGGTAGTGATATAAACAACTTCCATAAGGAAACCTCATATTAAACTGATCTATTTGCTCACCTTTCCAGAACACAGAGCTGCCTCTCACATCTTCCCAATACAGATCTCAGAGAGAAAGAAAGAAATCAACTTATCCACAAATTCCTGTATCATCCTTAGGAAATGGGCAACAAATGTGCAGCCCCCATGAGCATGACTGTCTAAAGATCTACAAGTCAAATATTCACAGACATAGCCCTGCTGGTCATTACTAGTAGGACTTAAATTTGCCCAGTTTCCTCTTTAGTAACACCCTGTTACAACTCAACTGCCTCTTCCACTCCTTCTGGTATGGTATCTCCATCTGACTGGCCCAGCCTTGGCCATGGATCCCAGACTGGTGCTCAGTTTGATCCTCTCCATAGCACTCCCCACTCCATAGTCTAATCCTGCCAGCAGACTTTATGTCAGTCAACAACTGGTTAGGAATAGGACTCTATGTCTTATAATACAAGCATGCTCATCTAAAATTTTCCATAGGACCCTGCTGGGCAACTGCTAGAGTTTATCTGCAGTTATCCTTGCAGTATTAAAATCTGAGACTCTCCTGAAACTTATAGGGCCACTAAGTCCTTCGGGGACCCCAAGAATCTGCTCTATGAATGGCCACCTCCTCTGACAGCCCATGGCTGGATCAGACTGTCCCGTCTGTCTTCTTGAGATGTTTCATCAACAGAGCCTGATGACAGCATGTGACAAGACTAGCTCACCAACAACAGTCCTGGAAGATTTATCTTACAAAAAGAAACAAAACAGGGCTAAGTGGGAAAACATCCCTGCCTAGAAAGACATATGCAAGGTTGAGGGATGGAGTGGCTGGGCTTGGAAATGAGAAGAGATGCTTCAAACTTCCATTAATATCATCTCCAATGAGGCAGATGTAGCAAAGAGCAGACAGAAATCAAGGCAGAGGACAAGGAGTATAGGTGAAGATGTGACCCTTCTTGAGTAGAAGCAGACTACCTATGCTGCAGAGGTATCACAGACCCAAATCAAGAGGCAGGAACACCTACAAAAGCTGGGTGTTGCCACACCCCTCTGATGCCTGCCTCACTTACCAACTCTAGAACTATAGCAGCTGCATCAGACAGATGGGTACTTTCCCTCTTGGATGCTATTGCATTCAGGATTCTTCTACCAAACTGCTTCCCAGGAGTATAAAAAGAATCCTCCACCTGAACAATAGTAAGCAATACAGCTGATGATTCTTATGGAGCAGCTTTTACAGAAAGCACATTTCAGTGTGTGTAAAACAAGTAAATAATACCTATTTTCAGTGGTAGCTTTTTAATTTAGCCTTATTCTTGGGATGTGTTTAGAATTCTTTCCAAATCATCCAGAATTATAATTACTTCAGAGTCAAAACCTCCTTGGGATTGCTTTGGACCTTAAGCCAACTTAGAATCAAAAACCTCTATTGCTTTTCCCAACTGCCAGCTGTGGTTGTTTCAGTCTAGGAAATTGTGATTTTCCTCTTTTACAGCTTAATTCTGAGATATCACAACTTTCAGCCACAGAATTCTACTTTCCTTCTGTATACTTTAAATAAAAAGGAAACAAAAAAAGTTATGCCAGAATTCTCTACAAAGCTTTGTTGGGATTTTTCTGTCTAAAGGGTGTTTTCCATTTTGTGTGATTTTTTTTTTTTTTTTTTGGAAGGAATGAAAGACCACTTTCCCATGTCATCTCGCTTTTACCATTGCTCCATCATCACCCATTTTGGGTTTTTTTTTTTCTGTCTGGGCTCTTATTTAAGGCATTTTGTATACAATAGTACTCTCAGCAAGGGTTAGCAATTTTCAACTTTTTAAGGTGCACAGTAAGGAGTCTGTTCTGAAAGACAAGAAGTGGATACATTGAGTTGCCTACCCCACCAATTTCTCCCTCTCTTTCCATCCTTTCAGAACTCAAATTTGTTCAAGTGTCTACATGACTCAGAGAAAGGCAACTTCACCCAAAACTCCAGGGGGTAGATCCTGATTTGTTCTTATGCAAGCATGGTAATCATATTCTCCTTTGCCAAATGTTGGTCTATAAATGAGCATATGTCCCAAAATTCTGACCAATGAGACATGAAAGGAAATCTACTTTGAGCTTCAAGGAAAAGCTTCTCATTTCTAAAAAGGAAACACTGGAAGAGGTGTGCCCTCTTCTTCTTTGGGAGAACTTCTACATCCCATTTTCATACCTAGAACTACTAGACTAATAGTATGAGGATGAAATCAACATACAGAAGAGAACAGGGCCACAAAAAGAGAAGTGAAGCCTAGGCCCTGATGAACTGAACCTGTAGCCCATACCCAATCTCTAGGGTCTTCTTAGGTGAGATAATACATTTTTCTATGGTTAGTCCAGACCGAATGGAGATTTTTCTCTTCCTTGCAGCCAAAAACGCCCTAATAGCTACAAGGCCCTATAGCAAATAGAAAAGTTTAGCAAAGGCTTTAGAACACAGATTTAACTTGGTTGCGTATCTCTCTCCTTGTCCTAACACACAGTCTGATTGCTGTCAGAAGTGTCTGTAATGTGATGAGAAGATGTATGGGTAGAAGTGCTTAGTTTGCACTAAACTCTTAACATTGCAATTATATTAAATGTTTGACGGCTTTAGTGAACGACTCTGTGAAACTGGTATGTTGTAGAATTGGAATGAATCTTTTTTTTAAGGCAAAATCGGTGGAGTTTGAAGTCCCAGTGGCTGAAAAAGTCCTAAGAGATAAACCTGGAAGCAACAGTAATGATTTCCAAGGGAAGTAGACCATGGAACAGAAGTATCTCTTGTTCAGGACTAGAAGGTTAGTGATGAATAACTACATAAAATCATAAAATGTGGAGAGAAAAAGAATGTTATTTTGTGAGGATATAGGACTCATGGAAAAATACACGGTGGAACCAGGAATTGGGTTCAGTGACAGCCATGTTTCCTAGGGCTTTATATATTCCTGTTTGTGACTCACATCTGGCCCTTTTTCAGGGCCTGAATTTTTCCTTAGGATTTTGTTTTTTTTTTTTTTCCGAGATGGAGTCTTGCTCTGTCGCCCAGGCTGGAGTGCAGTGGTGCGATCTCTGCTCACCGCAAGCTCCGCCTCCCGGGTTCACGCCATTCTCCTGTCTCAGCCTCCCAAGTAGCTGGGACTACAGGCACCCGCCACCACACCCGGCTAATTTTTTGTATTTTTAATAGAGACGGGGTTTCATCGTGTTAGCCAGGATGGTATCGATCTCCTGACCTCGTGATCCACCCACCTCAGCCTACCAAAGTGCTGGGATTACAGGCATGAGCCACTGCGCCCGGCCAGGATTTTAAAATTAGGAGTAGGATCTGAATTTTACTAGAAATTTACCTGAATCCTCTTAAGCTCTGGCACCACTTTCACGTGTGCGTCTAATAATAATAATTAACATTTATGTAGAATTTATGCTTTTCAAAACACTTTCACTTTTATTATCTCTCTCGATCATCCCCATATCCCTATGAGATAAAATTGTTACCTTCATTTAATCAATGAGTAAACTGGAGGAAGATAAATTAAATAAGTTGCCCAAGATCATACAGCTAGCAAATAGAAGAGATGAGTACCAGTGTCTTCCAACTTCAAGTTCAAAGTTTCCACTTCACTCTGGCCCTTCCTGCTTCCTCATTCCTGTAGGCTGTAACAAATTTGAAGTTATGCTACTGATCAGCAGCAGTTGGTTTGAAAATAAGAAATCTTTGTATTCAAATGTAAACATGAATATTTGAAAATTGCTAATGTGGGCCAAATGTTGGACTCAAAATGATTGCCAACCTCTTTTGTGCACACAAGCTCCCTTAAACCATTTGTTTTCATGTAACATTTAGCTTAAGATGTAATACACAATACACATATAGTGTTTCCCATGTACAATGTTTTCCAGCTTCTAATTCACTTTAGGCCATCAAAAGAGAACATAAAATAACTCCAGAGCTTTAGACTTTTGCTATTACATTGTGGAGAGGGAAAGGAAAGAGTGGGAAGAGTTTTTACAACTGAAAAAATCCAGATTTCTTATTAGTCATGGTCTAAAAATGACAAACCCCTGCCTATTCAGCAGCCTTCCCCCACTCTACCTTCCAGCCCACAGGCTGCAGCTGGCAGAGCCTACTGCAGATCTCATTTTTCTGCCTGGCAATTCATCTATAGACCTGAGCAGGGAACCCATTTTTGCACAAGCTGGACCAGTCCCCGTGGCCTTGGGGACACAGTACCACCCAGGAAGGTGGGAATGAAGCATGCTAGAGTATCCAGCTACAGTTCCAGCCCCCAGCCATGGCACCTGGCCACCCACGGCCCAGCAAGAAATGGAGCCAATACCAAGATCTCACCACATATGCAAGCCCCCTTCCCCTACCAAGAGCACACGGGTAAGCTAAACAAGGTCACCCTGAATACTGCCCTGCACTTCCCGTCCCCCGGAGGCTTTGTTTATTCAAGTTGATGGCAGTCAGGAGAGGCTGGTGAATGAGGTGATGAAGGTTACCTTCCCATCATTGCTGGCAGAAAACAGGGCAGCCACAACTTATAGTTCAAAAGGAAAGGAATGTGTGATTTCTGAGAGGCTGGAAGGGGTCCCTTGCTCCCAAATGTATTTCTCGAACAAAACCTCCAATACAGGCAGCCCAGGATGTCTTTGAAAGAGTTACCTCCTTCCTCTGTTTCCCTCTTTTACTCTGAATTCCTCATCACATGGCCCCTGTTACAAAATGTACTTCCCTTTACAAGAACACAAGTCCAAGTCCTCTCCACAACCCCCAACTCTACCTCCCCTGTTCACAAAACCCACACATTTTCCCCGAGGCACAGAATAACAATCATTCATGAATTTAAACCCCCAACAGAGGCCTGGGCTCCAGATGCAAACAGCTCAGAGCAACATAGTTCAAACTTGTTTATACCCTTTTCCCAGGAGGACAGATACTTTCCATCCAATCAAGGTTCTAGGCCTTGGCTTCAAGGACAAGCACCAAAGAATTGGTTTATGTTTCCACTTCTATTGTGTCTTAAACTGGGGTTCTTGGAAATAGGCCCTGAGATGGAAAGTTGTCTTCTGAAGGTTTACTGGGGAGTGCTGTCAGGATGTAGGGAAGTGAGGAAGGCAGGATCATGCAGAGGAAAAAACTGACCCACAATGTGGTTGCAACACAGATTTCAGACTATCCAGTGGGAGACTCTGATGCTGGGATGGCCCCTGAGAGTTGTCCCAAATTGAGATAAGAGGCCAGGCCTTTTATACCCACATTAGCCAGCTATTGGCCATCAGCTGTCTTGTAGGAAGGGGTGCACACCTTGGATGAGGCAGCTCTCTGGAACTGCAAAGCAATTTCCACTGAGGGACAGAGCCGTGAGCCATTATCAGCAAATATTCCCAGGAGCTAGGAATGGATCCATCTATTCTAAAGAGGGATCTGAATGGAGCAGAACAGTATCAGTTGCAGCCTACCCCTTACAAATTCAGATCCACTCGCTTTTTATAGCAAAGCCTGCCCCCATCATAGGAACAGTTTTTCCAATATTCTGGTTGATCTTGTTTTCAGAAAAAAAAAAAAAAAAAAACTTATAAGACAAAGACTTACAAAAGAAAATTCTTGCTGTTACAGTTGGTCTCAAGGCTGCAACCGATACTTATCATTCTCTTCCACCACATTTATTCTAGATTCCTTTCACTCTTGGCTAGAACTTCTGTTAGTCCAAATGGTGTATCTGGTGGGATGACCCAGACCTTTCTTTCTGGGGGTTCCTAGCTCCTGATTCTCATGTCATTCTCAGGCAGTAGTGGCTTCACTTTTGTTATTATTTTTTTAATTAAAGCCAAGTAAGTTATCCCAGCAAATCACATAGGAGTCAAATATTTTCTTCCTCACCCTCTGTTTATAGCAATAGCCTTCCCTTTTCCTAAAAATGAGGATCAATTACTCGTAACAGAATGGAATTTCTTTCCTTGGCTGCTGGTCTCTTGGCACAAGGAGCCCAAAGTGACTAGGTAGCAGCCACAGTTTAAAGGTCAAAGGGCCACAGCCAGTGGCAGAAGCATCCTTCCTCTGAGAACCAGGACTTCCAGACCCACAGAGCCTACAGTGGTGGGAAAGGAAAGGAGCAATTCCCCAAGTGAGTCATCAAGGGTGATGGTGAGGGACCATTACTACTTCTCCCATGGTTTCCAGACCTATGCATTCTACCTATTGAAAAACACCATACAATGGCCATTGGGTGTCCCACTCCCATCTTAAAAATGGAATGCTGATGGGCTGACCTTGCCTTATGACTTGGGGGGTTAGACACCAACTGCTCATAATGGACAAATCATTTGATGTCCCACAGTCAGATATGCAATCTCTACCAAGGTCCAGCAGTGTGCCAGGCATTGCTTGCTGAGTGGTGTATACAGTACTTCTCTGCTGATGATGAAATGGCCTAGCTTCAAAGTCCTAGAAATCCATATTGATATTTTCCTATTGGCAATTCCCATAAATACCACGCATTTGCTGTCTTTTTTTTCTTTTACTACCACCAGTAGATCTAGTTCCATAGACATGGCCAGGCCATGTGGCCCAAGCAACAGAGCTGCTTCCTTCATAGCCTAGGCCTACTGCAGAGCTCTTTCTTTCTCCGGGCCCCACTTCAACCAGACAGACTTCTATGACCTCATGTCAATAGGTAAGAATGGTACAAAATATGCTGCCCCCAGAACGTGAAGCACTGTGCTTCTTTTTTGTGAGTGAGAAATGCAAGTTGCAATAAATTTTCCTTTACTTGAAGAATATGTCCCAGCATGGCACACACCATTGAACCCTAAAAGCTTCATTAATGAGACAGGCCCCTGAATCTTCACAGAGTTTATTTCCCATACTCTGGAGGACATACAACTTATCAAGATCTCCAATGTGCCTGCCACTTTCTGTTCATCTAATCTGATTAACATAACATGATCAATATAGTAGACTATTGTGATATTCTAAGGAATATTTAGATGGTTCCTGTCCCTTCAGATTATACAGGACAAGGGAGAAAAGTTAACATAGCCCTGGAACAAAATTATAAATGACTATTCTTATGTGTTATACTAAATATAAACTGTATTTTCTAATAAAAATGGAAGAAGACACATTTGTCAATTTGTCAGATTAATGACCACATACCTAGCCCAAGGCTGTGTTAATCTGCTCCAGGGGAAAAAAAAAAAAAAAAAAAAAAAAAA
Organism: Homo sapiens; assembly: GCF_000001405.40. Lineage (NCBI taxonomy): Eukaryota > Metazoa > Chordata > Mammalia > Primates > Hominidae > Homo > Homo sapiens. The sequence continues at coordinate 220,031,397 of NC_000002.12, read as the reverse complement.
CCCTTACCTCCAGCTTGGGACTTCAATTGTGGAAGCTACTTGGTCAAGTTTAGAGTAGCCACTATCATCTGCCATGATCCATCTGGTTTCAGGGAGCTATACTGGAGAATAAAATAGGGAGATGACCAGTCCTGCCTTCTTTAGTTCTTTGATGTCAGAGATGCAGTGTTGTTTCTGATTCATTTTTAGCTCAGAGAGGGAGGAGGCACTAGCAGAGACTTCCACTTGGCTTCTTCCACTAAGATAGCTCTTACCCTTCAGGTCAAGGGGATTTTGCCAACTCCCAAGTAAGTCCATTCCAGTTTCATATTCAGGGACTAGGAAAATGACAAGCAAGTAGGTCTAGATCCAGAGGAACCACCGTAATCTAGGTCTGCCCCAGGATTTCTTTACTACCTGGCCCTGATAACCTTCACTTTAAAAGTGGGGCTAGGCTGGCACTTGGGGTTCCTGATATTACTATCAGTCCAGACTCTCTAACAATCATCAAAATAGCTTATTTCTCTTTCCCCAATGCATAATTATCGGAGTAAATGGGTCCTTTGTGAAAAAAATCTAGGGAATTACTACTGACTACACTTGCCACACTAGAGTCCTTCTTCATAGGGCCCAGCCCAGATTCCATCAATGGGTATGGAACTGAGAAATAGTTCAGGCCTAGAAACTTGACAAGAGATCACAAGTTTTTATTGAGGTGACAACCATGAGCCTCTTAATTCTTGTTTTCTTTTGATTTGTATAAACTAAGCAATATCCTTGTTGGCTGTCCTTCCAACTTCCTTCTAGGAATACCATGTTCCATGATCTGCTAACAAGCCCCTTATCTTTCTATAGGCTGGCCTCATGGCTGTTCTTCTGGCTTTGACTGCTCGTTGTAATCATTCACCCCACTCCTTGATGCAGCCACCTGCCTCTCTCCCTTCAGTAGCCTAGCATCCCTATAATCAGGGAGTCCTGTTCTATTACGACATCTCCTGCCATCATTCCTGGCCTACAGGAGCCAATCCCTATTGATATTCTTATCAATGATGGTGTCCCTCTAGGACTCCCTGTATAACTCAGTCAACCAGTGGGTTTTCTGGTCTTAACGCAGTGTATCTACTCTAGCATGCCCACTTTTTTGAGTCTTTTTATTCCTCCCTCTGTCATTTGTCATATCCTCTACTTCACTTAGTGTAGGTGGACCTTCACTTTCTCCAAGTTTCTAGGAGCCATTTTAGAAGCATATTGGAATCCTTGTACCATCTCTTGGAATCCTTGCTAGTGTATTAAATTATATATTGTAGAATTCCATATTGGTAAACTCTCCCCATCCAAATTTATGCCCCACTTATTCTTTAGGCTCCAGTCCCATGCATAGTCTCCCAGTTCCTGCTGGTACATGTTGGCCAGGACCTGTGGCTACTTTATTGTATGGTCCCGCTCCTCCCTCAGCAGGCCCAGCTCCTCCCAAGCCTGGTTATATCATAACTCAACCCTCATTATTTGTCGAATGGAAAAAAAAAGAAAAGAAGAGAAAAAGAGGGGACATGGAGAGGTAGATGTTGAGACAGCAAGGCATTATCTTATAAGTCATCTGCTTCACTTGAGCCCTCCTCAAGAACCTCAAGCAAACAAAGGGGAACCACTATTTTCTAACAAGGGGGATGTGCCACTTCTGCAGGCCCAGCAAGTTTGGAAGAACCTGAGAGCTCAAAATTCTAAAGTGCATCCACTCACATATTCCCATCACATGAAGGTAGCTCCTTCTCCTTCTCCGTAAGGTCCTCAACTTTAGCATAGGAGACCTGCCAAGGCTTAAGAATTCAACCCTCTCTGCAGCTCCACTACTCTGAAGAATAAGTTCTCTAGTCTGTCTTCCCTCTACCTGTAGATTAGGGTTTTCTTAAATGCTGCCAAGGAGACCTCTAGCTTTCACATTTTGAAATGGTTGATTAATCACCCTGAGCCTGCTATTGCTGCTCTTCAAGGAATTAATGGCACTCAGCAACAGTCACCCAATGCCATAGTCCTTAAAGTTACCACTTTCCTCACACTCCTCAATAGCCAATAATATTGCACCAGCCCCCCTTCCACTAGTATCCCATTTCAGCTCACTGTTAGTGAAAGTTTTAACAATTGCAATAACTCAGTCTGCTAGGGACTATCCCACCAGGGCTAGATATTGCCAGCCATCACTGGCTATAAATGGTGAATAAATGGTGACTCATATCCAAAATTCCATTTTGGAGTCAGCATTCTAGGGACACACCTAGGACTAACTATATTAGATTGAGTTGCCCAAAAATAATCTCTAATATGGAGAATTGCATGCTGAATGTTTATCGGGTTGTGGATATTTTACAAGAGATAAGCCTATAAAGAATAAAAAAAGAATGTGAGATTGGGAAGAGACCTCACAATGCTTTGTGGAGCTAGAATGGTCCTTGAAAGTCACCCCAAATTGAGTCAAGAATCCCAGACTTTCGGATCTCCACATCAAGAAGTCATTGATCATGGGCTCCTCTCAGAAGAGGGGTGATGGATATAACTTTGGGTAGTTGCCTTCTGTAGGGGAAGGGGGAATTCCCAGTAATAGGTACAGCTGTGAACAGTCATATTGCCAGGATTAGGATGGGTACATCAACCCTGGAGTAGAGATCTGCACACAGCACTATCAACCCTGGAGTAGAGATCTGCACTCAGCACTACAGTATCCACAACACATGGATACCGCATATATCCAGGAGGAGTAAAAACATAGGAGCCAAATATTTTCTTCCTCACCCTCTGTTTATAGCAATAGCCTTCCCTCTTCCTAACAATGTGGATCAATTATTCGTCTAGGTCTCTTTTAGAAATGTATCTCCTGGCTCTCTCCTCCTTGCTCAACACCCCTCAGCCATATTAGCCTCGTGTCAACACCCTTGTTGATGCTCTACCTGGAATTCCTCCTTCCCTGGGTCCCCATATGTCTGGCCCTTCCTCATCTGTCAGGCCTCAGCCTAAGTGTCATCCTCTCAGAGGCCTTTCTTGACCCCACTACACAAAGTTGGTTTGCTCTCACACCCACCATTATTCTTTATTATAACACTTTGTATAGTTCCTACTTTGCACTTATCGTAACCTGAAATCTTTGGTATGTTGTTTGCTTATGTATTTATTGTCTGTGTCTCCCTCCAGAATATAAGCTCCATCAGGCTAGGGACCACATCTGGCCATTCATCATGGTATCCCTAGTTCCTGGAACCTAATAGATGGGAGCTCCATACGAATCTGTTGAGTGAATGAATTGAGGAAGAGAAGTCACAAGTTTAATAGACGAAGAAAAATTAGTCATTGACACGAGCAACAGGGCTATAGAAAGCAACTGCCAGGTTGTTGAAGCATCTCTGGGTATATGCGGAACTGTCTAAAGGGACAATGGCATGATAGGCGAAGTTTGATACTAGCACCTCTGCTTCTCATCCCTACTTGTCATTGATACCCCTATGTGGCCAGATATCCCAGAAAAGCCTAAGCTAGGAGCCCAATCTACTTTTGTCTATGCCAGCGGAGGCCATGAGCCAGAAAAACATTGGTCCTAATGTTACTGGGATCTTGTTTGTACTCACTAGCTGGTGAGGTCTGGGTAAATCCAGAGTGCTTTAGGACAAATTTGAGCCAATATTTTTCCCAAGGGTAGTTTTCATAATTAGACATTGGGCTGAAAATTAACAAAAGGGGTATCTCCCTCATTAAAGCAAAACCTAGGAAGATATATATTTGGGAAGATATAGAAGTCATCTTTAGATCACAGGACAGTTTGCAGGGCCCATTGGCTCAGTTCTTTATCAGAATTAGATCAAAACCAGAAGACAAACCTTAAGAGGCCTGCTAGTCACCATCAGCCATTAACTAGCCATCTGACCTTCTTAGTAAGTCACTTAACCTCTCCAGGGTACAGTCTCTTTGTGTGTAAAGTGACAGTTAACATGGATGTGGTGAAAAGAGTTTTGGATTGGGACTGAGCATGATCCTGGCCCTACCAAATTCCTGTGTGATCTTGCACAGGTACCTCATCATTCTCAGCCTCAATTTCCAATCTGTGAATACAAGGCTGGATATGATATCCTCTCAGATTCTTCCTTGTTCAGACGGTCATTATTCCTTTCATGTATGTCCGCAACCCTAAAGCAGGTGAGCCCAAGACTTCCAAAAATGGAGTTAATTTTTATGCCAACAACTTTCTTATGGAAAGTTTTAGGTGAAAGAGAACCAGCTTGTAAAACAGACAACTGAGCATTTCTCAAAATAAACATTTGCCAAAGCTAAGTTAGGGAATTGCCTGGAGTTATGAGCTTCAAATACAACATTAAAAGTCTTAATGGATTTGGAGATTCATTTGGAGATTCAGTATTTATTATTATCCCCCACTGATTCTATTTTCCACTCCAGATTCAATGCAAATGCTATTTTTACCAGCATATTTATTACATTCATTGAATGGCACAAAGGCATCTTGTCGAATTACACAGAAATATCCTGAAGTTGCTTTTAGAAATTGCTATTTTTATTCTGTAGGGTTAATTGAACCTGCTGCTATATATCTAATTTATGCAAAACACAAAGACAGCAAGTTGCTAAACAATAGTGTATTTGGTGCATAATATTAGGAATCAGTCCCTCTAATGTTATGAAATATAGGCTAACAAAATGATCTTTCTCCCCTAAATGGAATAGCTGAACTTTATTTATAGTTGTATATTATATCTATATAGATCTATGTGAGGTGATAAATATGGTGAGATGCAGCAATTTTCTCTACTAGCATTGACAGATAAAGTTACTTAAGTCAATATTTTGGTAATTTAAGCATTGATAATAAGCTCTTGAATATATTAATGATGATCCATTTCACTACACATCATTATCTGGATCAATTTGTCTGTCCCCTCTTTATATAGATTTAACTGGCTCAACTTCCATTCACAGATGTAAAGTATCATCAGTACACATTACTTTTTAGTACGCCTCCCCTCAAATATTGATTTTTAATTTTTTTCTCAAATAGAATGTGTGCTCTTATTTTTTGCTACCAGGATACACACACATACACACTCACACATCGGGGTGAAAGCCATCACGTTCTATATAATCTCCCTAAAATGTAGGTGCTCTTATGCATGACCATCGGTAATTTTTTAAAGTTATTTCTGTTTCAAGAAACAGAAGCTGATTCTGGCCTGTTTAAGGAAAGATGTTTATTGGAAGGATCTCAGGTTATTAGCCAGAATCAAAGGAGAATTGAATAAGCAGGACTCAGAAAGCACAGGCGCCTCAGAGGGCTCTCCTGGCCCCCAGCAGGAGATAAGTAACTCAGAAATGCTCAGTATTTACTGTGTAACGGGCACTGCTGTACACATTTTAAAGATGTTTTCTCATTTAGTCCTTGAATCAATGTCACGAGGTAGGTATCACTGTCTCCATTTGACAGATGAGAAAACTGAGGAAAGGGAAATCAGTAACTTGCTCCAAGTTACAGAGCTGATGAGTGTTGGGAGTCAAGACTCCAAGCGACCTTCTTTTTAGAGCACAGACTCCATGCTGCCTTCTTTTCAGAGCACAACTACAAAGTGATGGCGGCATCCGCTGCCATTCTCCAGGTGTCACCGCTTCAGATTTCAGATTCGTGGGCAGGAGTGGGCAGGAGACCCTCCCCTCAACAGGGAGGCAGGGCCATACCGTACAACCGTGGCCTATGGGATCAATCCCCCTGTGTCACAAGCTTTGCATAAATTAGATATATAGCAGCAGGTTCAATCAACTCTACAGAATAAAAGCAGCAATATCTAAAAGCAAGCTCAGGATATTTCTGTGTAATTCTACAAGACGCCTTCATGCCATTCAATGAATGTAATCAATATGCTGGTAAAAATCCCCCTGTGTCTCTTCCCAGAGAAAGAGAAGTCCTTGCAAGCCAGGCAGCCCAAACAAATGGCATCTATTGCATCATCTCAGTGGGAAAACACTGAGCCTGGCCTCCAAACACCTGGGTTCTAGTCCATGCCCTGGAGCAAATACTGTAACTTTGGCAAAGCTTAATCAACCAGGGTGTCAGTTACTCCATTTGTAAAGTTAGGCAACTGGACTAAACTTACCCTATTATTTCCACCTCTAAGATTCCATTATATTTAACAAAAACATGAGCTTTATATTCTTAGGAGGCATCTCCTTAAGCTGCCATGCACTTGAAAACTCTAAGCTACACAGTTTCCTCACCTCCAAAGCAAATCTCCAAAGTCTCTAAGAAATTGGTCACAAGAGGCTGGGCGCGGTGGCTCATGCCTGTAATCCCAGTACTTTGGGAGGCTGAGGCAGGTGGATCACCTGAGGTCAGGAGTTCGAAACCAGCTTGACCAATATGGTGAAACCCCATCTCTACTAAAAATACAAAAATTAGCCAGACGCAGTGGCGGGTGCCTGTAATCCCAGCTACTCAGGAGGCTGAGACAGGAGAACCACTTGAACCTGGGAGGCGGAGGTTGCAGTGAGCCAAGATCACACCACTGCACTCCAGCCTGGGCCACAGAGCGAGACTCCGTCTGAAGAAAAACAAAAAAAAGAAATTGGTCACAAAAGCCTCTTACCTTTGGTGAAACTCCTATGTCTTCTTCATTCAGACAACATCAAGGCCAGAAATGCTTCTTGTAGTCTGTAGCAACAGGAAGTCATCCTAGAAAGCCATTCCCAGTATGCCATCCAGCCCTCCTTCCACAGGCAGAGATGTCCTAGCAGGATTCTGGCCTGAATATCAATAAAATACAGATTTTATTACCTCTTGTCTGTATCTAGTGGCCCCACGAAACCACTGAAATCAGTCTCTCTTTGACCATTTTTCTATATCTTACCATAAAGGGAATGGTCAAAGGTCAAGGGGTCAGAGACTTAAAGGCAGCTGGCAGGGAAGTTTAGTAGGGCTGTGCAGCTGAGCTGTTAAAGGCTTTGGATTTAAGGCTTGAACACCTGAATGCAAGTGTTTGCCCTAATTCCCAATCTTTCTAATTCCACATAACCAATTAAATTACCAAATATAGTGCCATTCTAAATATGCAACGATTCATCATTTCCAAATACAAGATTTTTATTCTGACCTATACATTTTTAAGAATTGTGGTATTCACAGGCAGAACAGTGGCTACCAAAAATATCAGGTCCTAATCCCTGAAAACTGTAAATGTTGCCTTACATGGCAAAGACTTCACAGATGTGATTAAGTCAATGATCATGAGATCCGTGTGGTTTTCCGAATTGTCCAAGTGAGACCTAAGTGCCATCACAAGTGTCTTCAGAAAAGGGAGGCAGACAGAGATTTGGCACACATGGAGAAGGCGATGTGAAGAAGGAGGAGAGAGAGAGACTTGAAGATGCTTGCCTTAAAGATTGGAATGATGTAACCACAAGCCAAGGAAGGCTGGCAGCCACCAAAAACTGAAGACACAAGGAATGTCTTCTTCTCTAGAGCTTCTGGAGAGAGCGCAGCTCTGCCAGCATCTTGGTTTCAGTCCAGCCACAGTGATTTTGAACTTCTGGCCTCCAGAACTTGGAGATAATAAATTTCTGTTGTTTTAAGCCATCAAGGTTTTGGTAATTTGTTATAGCAGACTTCAGAATAAGTCTGACCCTGCCCACTGATGCAGAACTTGGCCGTGAGACCAACTGTCATCTCAAGGCAAATGGAAACTGTGTCTCTGCCCCTTCACTTTGGACTCAGCCCCATCACTTGCTGGCCAATGGCATGTTAGTGGATAGGACACAGGCAGAGGCTTGAGCTGTGCTTGCATAGTTGGGCTTTATCGTACATGCATCTTACATAGTTGGACTTCATCTTACATGTTTCTACCATTGCCAGAGAAGAAAATGCCTGGGCAGCCTGCTTGTTTCAGAAGAATGAGAGCACCTGACACCAACTTGAACAGAGCCCACATCCTAGAGCCTGGCCCAGAGAGCCTAGGCTAGCCCAGGGCAACCCCAGGAGGCCTGCACACACACACAAGAGTGGTAAATGCATGCCTGTTGCTTATACTACTGAGGTTTTGCAGCTGCTTGTTATGGTTGGAATATGGTTAAATACGGTGGAGATATGGTTGGAATAATTAGATCTAGTTATAATATTTTATTTAGTTATACATATATACTTTAAGATTTATAAAAAATCATACAACACTGCCTTTTCAATTCTCACAATTCATCAAACAATTGTATTAAAATCTTCACAAACAATTCAGATAGCAGTGTGTTTATATTATAGTTTTCCAGAGCAGACCATCTTCACTCCCATCTAGGTTGTGTATGAAATTGAACTGTTAAGTGTTGCACTGGATATTTTATCCCAATGCACAAGTACCCAGTCTCCTAACTGTAGAACAGGATGTGTTGTCGTTCATCAAAATTCCTATAACGTAATATCTATTGCTTTTTCAAGTGGTCTTTAAAAGGCTGGTTGATAATGGCATCCAATGCTTGTAGTTATGAGGCCATCACCTCAGGATTAATTAATAAATTGCACTAAATTTTTTGCCTCCTTCTTTTTTAACCTCTGAGTTAGGTGATCAGCTAGCATTCATCGAAATCATTTCAAGATAATGTGTCTTTTTCAAGCTGTTCTCTCCCAGTCAGTGACATGATCTTTTTGCAATTACTTGGTGAGTTTGTCACAAAGTTCAGTTGAGGATTCGTAGCAATGGTGCATATGGTCAATTGCTTTTTAAAATGTGCAAAAGTAAGATATTTTAGTTGCCGTGTGTTAAAATTAGTAAGGCTTTCTGTTCACATTTACTATCTATCCAGCTTTTCCGTCATGCCAGGTGTTAGAGTGGCCATAGCCATTTTAGAAATCAAGCTAAAAGGAAGTTGAGTTGGGGCACATTTCGTCTGAGTTCAGTGGGTGTATTTTGGTGGTTCACAGTCACTTCTGTGCATAGTGAAATTACTGATGACTGTCCTGGTGTAGGAACACCCCTACCACCCACTCTGCCCACTTATCTGGCACTAGGACCAGGGCCAAAGGCCATATCAAAATACTCAGAGTTCTTACGGCACCCGGGAGGGAAGTATGTGGGTATTAGAGAAGAAATGTAATTTGAAATGTATGGAACCAGAAGCCAGTCTGTGAAAAATTCTTACAATCATCAGAGATTTACAAATGTAAGTGGAAGATTTGGTTCTTATTGCCTAATAAGAACAAAGGTTCTCTCTTACTGAGGAAATACATTCAATAATGTAGCATATATAATTATAAATGCGCCATTGATTTTTTTCTTTTTCATGGGAAACATGTGAAATAAATTTATCAGAATTATTGGATCTACTGGAAAAAACCCATAGCAGCACCACAAACTAAGTACATCGTCTGTAACAGCTCAATTACAAATGAAAATTGCTAGCGGTTTTCTCAAATCCAACAGCCAACCTGAATGTAAATGACATTACCAAGAACAAATTATGAAGTTCCAAGGAACTTTACTCAATTATTTATAATTTTTTTAAAGTTCCAACAAACTGAATTATCTTTATGTTCTTGTTATGGAAAACAATATTATAAAATCCTTGACATGAAAACACACCTTTGTTTCTAGATTTTGTGGTGGTTGTGATATTGATCGGCTTGTTAAAAATAGATTGCTTCCTTTATCATTCTAAGTAACTGTTCACCTTTGGACAAATTTTGTATTCTTTTTCTTCAAATGCATCCATGAAATTTGATTCCCGAAGGTATATTAAACTTAGAGTGATCATCACAACGGGGTTTGAGTCTGAACGTAGCTCTCGGCTCCACCCAATCCTTGGTGCTCTTGGCAGGGGCACGCTCTGCTGTGTGTATCACAGATGTGCTTCACCCACCAAATCTCCTTTCCTTTTACTCAAATGCGTCACAGACCCAGTAGCCTCACAATGAAAGTATCTAAAGCAGAGAGGGAGTAGAAAAGGAGGAAAGAAAGATTTACTAAGCTCTACTATTGGGGTTCAAATCCTGACTCTTCAATTTTCTAGCTATGTAATTTGGGGTAAATTACTTAATCTCTGGGAATGATCACAGTACCTCCATCAAGAAGCCTTTGTATTAAATGAGTTAATTTGTGTAGAGGATTTAAATCAATACCTAGTATGTGGTGATAAACTCCCACTCAAGATTAACTCTTATTATTGTTATAGTTATTCCCACCTGCCAGGCCCTGTGTTCAGTGCCAGCATAATCAGCTTTATCTTTTCCATGTTGCAAAAGAAGAAGTAGGTTTCAAAGAGTTTCACCATTTGTTCAAAATTATATCACATAGCTAATATGAATTAAAGAGGGAAAATTCTTATCCACATACAGCCATCTGACTCCACCCTCCCAGTTTCCATTATACCAAAGACCTCAAAAATTGATTTTGTTCTCATATCACACAAATGAAAAAGATGGATTATGTCAGGCTAAAAAAAATGTTGACATAATTGCTATGAGGAAAATAATAATTGATGGTTGGGCTGTAGAAGGGCTTATTTGTTTTGTAAATAAACAGAATATCAAAAAATGTTAAAGAAAATTTGAGTGTATGCAATACTTGTTACTTCAAACCATTTACAAATCTAGAGCTACTTAATTTAGAAACATAAAAGCACATTTTCTATGGATTGGTTTTCTCTTAAAATTAGTCTGTTAGATTAAAGGCAAAAGCATTTTTATTCAGACAATCCCAACAAATTTTCCAATTGTGCTACTTCTGAGTTGTTTTTTATTTTTGCTAAAAATGGAGCTATAAGCTGCAGAACTTTAAGGAATCCAGCAGTGTTCTGTTTTTTTTTTTTGGTTTTTTTTTTTTTTTGCCAGTGTATAAGGTGACAAACAGTTGAGAACAGAAGAACACAACCACACTAATAAAACAAAGAGCTATTATGTTATGTGGAGTAGGTTTTCTTTACAGTGAGGGGTAGAGACAAAAAGCACTCATTTTCAGAAAAAGAATTCAGAGGAAAAAAAGAAAAGCCCCCTCTTCTTCCAGGCTCCCCAATGGGCTGAACACAACAGTCAAGCTATTTGTGATTTTGGTGATTTTTTTAAAAAGAATATTTTAGCCTCTGCACAAAATTCTGAAATCCTTACCCATTCTTGAAACCCTTACTGATAAATATTATCACCATAGACATACACTATTCTCCTGCAGTAAAGAGATTTGTCAACCCACAAACCTGGACCAGAAGCTGCACCTGATGTCTCACAGGCAGCATCCTGTCCCTGGGTGGATTTCTTTTGGCCTACACACGATGCTAATACTTTCCTGAATGTACGGCCAATATTAAAATCGAGATATTTCACATTAAGGTCTGGAATGTTAGCTTTTCTTTAAAAACTAGAACTTCTGTACATGCCTTACCCCACAGCAAAAATCAGCATGCACTGAAGGATAGCTGTGCTGCTTACACAAAGCATGCATTTCACAGGCTGCCACAAACCCCATCGCTCCCTCATCGCTCCCTGACAGTGAAGCCAAGCCAAGCATTAGCTGTTACTTATCATCATTCTTGAGCTCCTTTACTTCTTATACTACAGTAGCAGTTCTTGAATATTTGGTCTCAGGATCCCTTTATACTCTTCAAAATTATTAAGCACCCAAAAAGCTTCTGTTTATGTGTGTTATGTCTATATTCACTATATTAAAATTAAAACTGAGAAAATGTTAAAATATAAATATATTTCATGTTAAAGGCAACAAATATTTTTAGGAAAAATTATTATTTTCAAAAACAAAAGATTATGAGAAGAAATACATTGTTTTCTATTTTGGAAGGTCCTTTTTAATGTCTAGCTTGGTTGAATGAGCTGGATTGTCATATCTGTTTGCATTCAATCTGTTATGATATGTTGTTTTGGTCCAAACATAAAGAAAACCTAGCCTCAAACAGCTGTATGAGGATAAGCAGTGAAAAAAAAATGGAGAAATGTTTTAATAGCCTTTTCAGATAATTACAGGTATTCTTCTTTGATATTACATTGAAACTCAATTAGTGATAACTTAAATGTTGGTTGCAATGTGGACTCTGAAACCATATCAAGTAATTCATTATGCTCTGTTACATTAAAATCCACTGGTCTAGTTTACACTTTGAATGTATCTTCTATCAGTTAGGCTAGTCAATTCTTGTTTCTAATGCAAATTCCTCTGGGAGCATTAGATGTTAGTAATCTTTTTTTGTGAGTATTAAATTATAACAATTACTAGGTAAAGTAGTCGTACTAAAGTAATGTAACTGTTCCAATCAGGGTAATAAAAAAGGAAAGAATGAATTGCAGCATTGGCTATTGGAGAAAAAAATCAAGAAAGAAAACTATGAGAACGCTAGGTATTTTTATATCCTATCTTAGTTAATCTTCTCAACACTCAGTGAGGTAGGTTTTATTAGCTCTCCTCTACAGGTAAGGACATGGGAGATGAGAGAGAATAACTGACTCACCCAAGTCTATAGATGATAAAGCTCACCCTATCTCCTATAGATGAGGGGTTGACAAACTACAGCCCACAAGCCAAACCTCCAGTGCACTGCCTGCTTTTGTAAATAAATTTTATTGGATCACAGCCATGCCCATTTTTATACTTATTACCTGTGACTACTTTCATGGTACAACAGCCTGAGAGACTGTGAAACAGACCATATGGTCTGCAAAGCTGGAAATATTTACTATCTAGACCTTTGCAGAAAAAGTTTGCTAATAGCTCTAGAGTAGTGTTTTCAGCAGTTGTGCTGTCGTGATTTTTATTGTTATGATTTCTTTTTAATTTGGTCTTGTGGACTCTATTTCTTGAGCATGACCGCAAGCCAAGATAGGCACTCTGTAGGTGAGCTCTGATAGGGGAAAGTTACATTCGGGTGTCAGATGAGACACAATGAGGAAGTGAACAAAAATTAATAAAACAAAAGAAATTTATTACTCACAAGTCTCAGAGAGGTTACAGGTGCCCACAGGGGGAGTCTGGAGGCAGCAGGGAATTCAACCAGTAGGGATAAGTGGGGGAAAAAAGAGAAGACAGAGGGGGAGAGAGGAAACGGGTAGGGAGGGGAGAGGAAGAGAGAGAAAACCTGTGAAATTATCCCTTTATTGAGCTCCACGGGTATTATTATCCTTAAGGCTTTCCTGTGAGGCTCATTGATTAGCTAATTTAAAGAAAACCTCTGTGAAGGCGGGGAACTTATTTACATAAACCTGGTGTTGACCATTAGGTTTTAGTGTGATATATTAGTCCGTTCTCATGCTGCTAATAAAGACATACCTGAGACTGGGTAACTTATTTTTTTAAATTATGCCTTAAGTTTTAGGGTACATGTGCACAACGTGCAGGTTAGTTACATATGTATACATGTGCCATGTTGGTGTGCTGCCCCCATTAACTCGTCATTTAACATTAGGTATATCTCCTAATGCTATCCCTCCCCTCTCCCCCCACCCCACAACAGTCCCCAGATTGTGATGTTCCCCTTCCTGTGTCCATGTGTTCTCATTGTTCAATTCCCACCTATTAGTGAGAACATGTGGTGTTTGGTTTTTTGTCCTTGTCATAGTTTGCTGAGAATGATGGTTTCCAGCTTCATCCATGTCCCTACAAAGGACATGAACTCATCATTTTTTATGGCTGCATAGTATTCCATGGTGTATATGTGCCACAATTTCTTAATCCAGTCTATCATTGTTGGACATTTGGCTTGGTTCCCCGTCTTTGCTATTGTGAATAGTGCTGCAATAAACATACGTGTGCATGTGTCTTTATAGCAGCATGATTTATGTTCCTTTGGGTATATACCCAGTAATGGGATGGCTGGGTCAAATCCATCTAGATCCCTGAGGAATCGCCACACTGACTTCCACAATGGTTGAACTAGTTTACAGTCCCACCAACAATGTAAAAGTGTTCCTATTACTCCACATCCTCTCCAGCACTTGTTGTTTCCTGACTTTTTAATGATCGCCATTCTAACTGGTGTGAGATGGTATCTCATTGTGGTTTTGATTTGCATTTCTCTGATGGCCAGTGATGATGAGCATTTTTTCATGTGTCTTTCGGCTGCATAAATGTCTTCTTTTGAGAAGTGTCTGTTCATATCCTTCACCCACTTGTTGATGGGGTTGTTTGTTTTTTTCTTGTAAATTTGTTTGAGTTCATTGTAGATTCTGGATATTAGCCCTTTGTCAGATGAGTAGATTGCAAAAATTTTCACCCATTCTGTAGGTTGCCTGTTCACTCTGATGGTGGTTTCTTGGATGCCCTCTCTCACCACTCCTATTCAACATAGTGTTGCAAGTTCTGGCCAGGGCAATTAGGCAGGAGAAGGAAATAAAGGGTATTCAATTAGGAAAAGAGGAAGTCAAATTGTCCCTGTTTGCAGATGACATGATTGTATATCTAGAAAACCCCACCGTCTCAGCCCAAAATCTCCTTAAGCTGATAGGCAACTTCAGCAAAGTCTCAGGATACAAAATCAATGTGCAAAAATCACAAGCATTCTTATACACCAATAACAGACAAACAGAGAGCCAAATCATGAGTGAACTCCCATTCACAATTGCTTCAAAGAGAATAAAATACCTAGGAATCCAACTTACAAAGGATGTGAAGGACCTCTTCAAGGAGAACTACAAAACACTGCTCAATGAAATAAAAGAGGACACAAACAAATGGAAGAACATTCCATGCTCATGGATAGGAAGAATCAATATCGTGAAAATGGCCATACTGCCCAAGGTAATTTATAGATTCAATGCCATCCCCATCAAGCTACCAATGACTTTCTTCACAGAATTGGAAAAAACTACTTTAAAGTTCATATGGAACTAAAAAAGAGCCCGCATTGCCAAGTCAATCCTAAGCCAAAAGAAAAAAGCTGGAGGCATCATGCTACCTGACTTCAAACTATACTACAAGGCTACAGTAACCAAAACAGCATGGTACTGGTACCAAAACAGAGATATAGACCAATGGAACAGAACAGAGCCCTCAGAAATAATGCTGTGTATCTACAACCATCTGATCTTTGACAAACCTGACAAAAACAAGCAAATGGGGAAACGATTCCCTATTTAATAAATGGTGCTGGGAATACTGGCTAGCCATATGTAGAAAGCTGAAACTGGATCCCTTCCTTATACCTTATACAAAAATTAATTCAAGATGGATTAAAAACTTAAATGTTAGAACTAAAACCATAAAAACCCTAGAAGAAAACCTAGGCACTACCATTCAGGACATAGGCATGGGCAGAGATTGGGTAACTTATAAAGGAAAGAGGTTTAATTGACTCAGAGTTCCGCAGGGGTGGGGAGGCCTCAGGAAACTTACAATCATGTGGAAGGGGAAGCAAACATGTCCTTCTTCACATGATGGCAGCAAGGAAAAGTGCCAAGCAAAAGGAGGAAAAGCCCCTTATAAAACCATCAGATATCATGAGAACTCATTCACCATCACAAGAACAGCAGCATGGGGGTAACTGCCCCCATAACTGAGTTACCTCCCACTGGGTCCCTCCCACAACACTTGGGGATTATGGGAACTACAATTCAAGATGAGATTTGGCTGGGGACACAGCCAAACCATATCATGTGGTCAGCAGCTGTGGGATGTGTTAGGTTTTGGAGTTGTAAGACAATGAACAAGTGGGCCATATCACAAACAGGAAGAAGGGGTGTTTTAACTAGGCCAAAAATGATAACTTACGTCAAACCTGAAAAACTAAATAACTTCTGTCATGCCTAAAAGTGGATGCCAAGGTAGCAATAATATTAAAAAAAGTATGACAGCAATTTTCTCAGATAAAAATCTTATCAGAATGCTCAACATACACAATAGATAAATAGCCAAATATTGTTAGCACTGCATTTTATAAATTCAAATTTATATAACATTTACTTATTGGAAATTCAATCAACATCTTTGAAAGGTAGCTTTGAGTAACACAACATTTTAAAATAAGGAGTTTATAGAGCTTAATAGCCGTCTCATATCAGCATTGATGTACAGTTAATACTTCTATTTAGCTTATTTTCAGGATATCTTAAACTGACCCAGAAGCTTGAAGAAGACCGCTAGGAAACATTTGCTTTCCAAGTTAAATCTCCAACAATATCAGCATTTCTACTTATAGCCATAAAATTCAGACATGAAGATAATTAACAAGCAATAAGTATTTATTGAATGAGCAGATGGAAGAATTATCACAATGTGATAGTTATGATTTCACTATTATTGCACAACACACTTTTAATTCAATAAGCATCACTACTTGCTCACAATGAATTTGGGTGTTGGCTGGGCCCTTTGCATACAGTGCAGATAAGATTTATAGGTCCCTGTCTTCAGGGAGTTTAGAATCTAATAAGAGATGCAGATGTGCCCGGGCTTGCCTGGGTCTAACTGAGCAAGGAACACACATGCTACAATCATGTACTTGTTTCTACAACTTTGTATGAACAAAAATTTAAACCTGAGTGCTCACAAAATGATGGCAAGAGAGGAGCTAGAGAAATGGCAGATTATACACTAAAGATGAGAAAAGAGAGATGAAAAGACATCAAAGATATAAGCTTTTCACTTTGCATTTTTTTTTCCTTTGCCCTGAAGAAAAATGGAAATTTACCAACAGCAAATGCCTAATATATAGCACATTCTTCTGGATTATTCTTGTATATTATATTTAACCTTCATAATAACCCTTTGAAATAGGAATTCATTTTGCTGTTATATAAACGCAAAGACTGAAACTTGGGTCACTAATAAATTGAAGGACCAGAATTCAAAGCACATCTAAAAAAAAAAAAAAAAAACAACAAACTATACAATCTAGGTTTTCTCTGTTACTATATATGGTGTGCTCACCAGGGCTTTAAGATACACAGGCTTAAGTTAGATAACAAGCTGTTTGGGAAGTACATACCTCTGCCTGAACTAAATTAGGTAAGTCACTGGGAAATTCATCTAGTCATACCCAGTTCCGTTCTGACTCTCCAGTAAACTAATGTCTATGTATTCCTCCTTACCCTAGAGGGGAATAAAAGACAGAAGGAAGACAAAGAGAGAGGCATTGCTCTTGCATTTGCCCCAATAGAAAGACCAGCAAGTGTAAAATCTTACCATGCATAAGCAATGGTAATATTTTAACATTTAAAATGAGCTTTTCTTTTCTCCCTTTCTGAGTACACTACTTTTGCCCTCATCCAACTTTGCGACCAGATTCTGATCTGCAAAGGGGGCAGTCAGAATTTGTTCATGAAAAAATGCAAAGAGCTATGTGAAATAACTTATACCTTTTGCCACTGAAAAATAATATTCTGCAGCAAGCTAATGTCTTTGATGATACCAATCCTGCTTCCTGCCTCTAACATTCAAGAGTTAATTCAGGACAATACAATTCATTGAGTTCTCTCAAGGTATAGAGTCATCACCTATGGTTGTGTATGTTGTACATGGCACAAAGTAACACCTCTGGTTGGGTGACATTCACATTGTGGATCTCATAGCTTCACTTCCTTTTATAAAAATGTCTGATGTTAGCAATCGAGCGTCTTGTAATAGCATAATCATTACAGTAGTCTCCTTATCCAGTTTTGCCTTCTGCAGTTTTAGTTACCAGAGGTCAAACAGTCTGAAAATAGATGAGTACAGTAAGGTATTATGAGAAAGACCACATTCACATACCTTGTATTATAGAATATTATTATAATTGTTCTGAGCCAATTTATAAATTAAACTTTATCATAGGTATGTATATATAGGGAAAAACATGGTATATCCAGGGTTTGGTACTATCTGCAGTTTTAGACATCCACTGGGGGTCTGGGAACATATCCCCCATGGGTAGGGGAAGATAACTACTCTATATGGGAATTTTTGAAGATGGGAAAAAAAGCGTTCTTGGCAGAGGATCACTTTTGTTAATTTTCAAAAAGGTGCTAAATGGGCTAGTAGCATTCTTATGTATAGCATATTCTCTTTCTTTCTATGCTTCTTGGGCTTTGTATTAATTAGCTATGGCTGCAATGATGCTAAGTAACAAACAACTCCAAAAAATTCAGTGACTAATGGCAGAGCTGCTGTTGTAGGTCACTGAATTTTAAAAGAGAGAGAGAGAGAGAAAGAAAGAGAGAGAGAGAGAAAGAAAGAGAAAGAAAGAGAGAGAGAAAAGAAAGAAAGAAAGAAAGAAAGAAAGAAAGAAAAGAAAAGAAAAGAAAGACAGACAAAGAGAGAGGAAGGAAGGAAGGAAAGAAGGAAGGAAGGAAAATTTATTTTTCATATGTCTGTAGGTTTTCTGTGCTCTGCTGGACTCAGCTGGATTTGGACTCACTCACTAGCAGGGTTTAGTTCTGCTCCATGGTCACTCATTCTGAGATCCAGGCAACATCAGCTACAGCTACCTGGAGCATGCTCATCTCATGGCAGAGAGCAGGGGCTCAAGAAGTTAAGCCAAACCACATAAGCGCAGCTAAAACCTTTGTTCATGTCACGTTCTCTTAGCTTCCACTCACCATAACAAGCCTCATGGCCAAGTACATCAGGGGATAGTAGGGAAGTATATGACTCCCACAGAGGAGGAGGGAGAGTGAATCTGGCCACAGATCTACTCTATTGTACTCTATGGTAGTAGGAAGATACGTTGCAGCCAAAGCCCAATTCTGTTACAGCCCAAGGAACATTAGAAACTATCTCCATATTGAGACAAGCCATTTCCTATATGCTACTGCTTTTTGCACACTGAGTCTTATACACTTTTAAAAAAGATCAGTCTGTTTATTTTTCACCTTTTTGTATATTACTGTGATAGCTGATGAGTCAGAAGTCAGCTTATGAAGGACGAGACAGTAAACATTTTTGGCTCTGTGAGCTATATGGTCTCTGTTACAGCCACTTAACTCTGCCATTGTAGTGCAAAAGCAGCCATAGGCAACACTTAAACAAGTGGACATAAATGTGTTCTAATAATACTTTATTTACAAAAATAGATGGTGGGCCTGATTTGGCCCATGAGTCATAGCTTACCAGTCTTATAATAAAGTATAAAGGACATATATATATATATATACACACACACATATATCTTGCTTTCACCACCTATTGCTTCATAACATACATACACCCCAAATTCTAGTGGCTTAAAACAATTATTTTATTGTCTCATGATTCTGTGAACTGACTGGGCTCAGCTGGGTGACTTTTCTGCTCTATGTGAAGTTTTCTGCATCTGAAGGGACATAGGGTATCAACAGGGCTTAAATATTAAAGATGGCTCATTCACCTGTCTGGCGCCTTGGCAGAGGTGAGTGATAGGTTGGACTCAGCAGGAACACAAACAGCTAAGTCCCAGCTGCTGTGCCTCACTTCTCAGTCATGACATGGCCACCTAGGATTCCCCAGGGTGAAAGGGAGGAAACCACCTGGCCTCTTTAAAGCTTAGGCCCAGAACTGTCATTTCTGCTTATTTCAGGAAAACTCACAAGCCATGTTTTTCCTCTGCTCTCACACCATCACAACAACAATCAACCTAGAAGACTTCTGTGAATAAATGGGCGGGGGTTTCTCCCTACCACCAAGCAAGCCACTAGTTCTGCAGCACAGACCAGCTGGGTGTCTTCCAATTAAGTTCCAAAATTATCCACCTGGAAAGAATGTCGGACCTCCCCCCATAGGCTGGGGGCTCAGGCCTCAAGATGCCCTCCCCATAAGACACCAGTCACAAGTTCAGGCCTCTGGAACTTCTGACCAGCCTGCTTCAAGTTGGGGTTCCCAAGACCCCCTCTTTGTGTTCAATTAATTTGCTGGAATGGCTCACAGAACTCAGAGAGGCACTAACTTATGTTTGTTCATTTATTATAAAGGATATTATAAATAATACAGATAAAGAGATGTGTAGGGTGGCATATGGGGGAAAGGGTGCTGAGCTTCCATGTTCTCCATGGGTGTGCCACCCTCCAGGAACCACCAGGTGTTCAGCTATCCAGAAGCTCCCCAAATCCTGTCCTCTGGGGTTTTCATGGAAGCTTCATGATGTCAGCATTCCTTCCCACATGGTATCAGGCAGTGTGGGACCTTCTCTGGAATGAGGGTCTCTTGACTCACAATCAGAAAGGGGAGGGAAAATTAGATTCTGTTTCCTGAGGCCTGCCCCTGACACCTAACACACCCAAAGTTATAACAAAAGACTGTAACAAGGGCTGTGGGAGTTATGAGCCAGGAACTGTAGATGAAAATCAAAATAATAATTTTATATATTAAAAAATATCACCACACTGCCACATCCTACTGCTAAAGTACCTCATCTTTCATCTGTCGTCTGTGACCCATCTCGTCCGTGCTCTACTCTGGCCTGTGTCAGAACGTCAACTTTCTTACTTCTGGACCTTCAAATGTGGTGAAATTCTTTTTAATGCTATACCTTCACACGGCAGAACAGTTTCCTTATTCTATGACACAACAGCCAAACACCCTACTCCAAGGACTTCCCTGCCCAGGAAACTGGTGCCTCAGTCCAGACACAGGTGATCTTAATTAAGGTAAGTTAGCGTAAAAGACAGGAGTTGTCTATGCCTTGAGACACTCTGGGCATCCCCTAAATGAACTGATTGTAAGTGGGTCTCCTCTACACAACATCGGGCTCCACATGCCATGGAGAAGCCCACACAACAGAGCTTGGAAGTAGCAGGGGGTACAAGGGGTAAGCAAATCCCTGAGGCCTGGGCACAGTTTTAAATCCAATTCAATTATAATCAATATAATACCCACGAGGGACAACCGAAGGGACCCTTTGCTCCTAAACCTGAAAACTCCTTGAAAATCATCATTGTAGATTTTAGAGTAGAGCTATCACCCTTCTAAGGCCACATGCGATTCTGATCATGCACTAACCAAAATGATAAACTTCTACACTGGACTTCTGCCTGGTTCCATCAGTCCGGCCATTCTTGAGGTGTCTCAGTCATCATCATCTGCCTCTGCCCAAGACCTACCCTAAGTCATACCAGCAAATGGTCTTGTTGACTTTTGCCTCAAGCCACACCATCTATGCACATTCACTTTCTTGATCACCACTTCCTTCTATCCTGACCTGTCTGCACCTGTGATCTTCATCCAAGTCTCTACCCCAAGACTCAGCCTCTAGCTCAAGACAGGAAGCTGGAGAAGGCAATAAAAGAAACACGAGATTATCACAGATACTTTTTCCAGCTCCACACCTAGAATCATGCAAAGGAGATGACCCAGAAGAGAAGTCAGTCATCAGGCTTTAAGTGTGAATGTCCCAGAATATTCCACTGTACTTTCATTGAGTGAAATGGGGGCTGCCCACTCCATCCCATATTGCATGGAAGGCCTGAGGGATGGTGAGTCAGGACAGACCCCTTCCAGATCATGTACCTTTAGTCCAGCCACTGTGCACCTGCACTGTATTCCATGCACTGTGTACCTGCCAGACCATAAATCTGAGCTGTCAACACCCCAACAGAGCTCACAGCAGGCATCCTGGAACTGATTCCCTCTAATCCCTTTCTGATCTGCTGTTTGTCTGGCAACTGACTCTTGGTTCTATCTCCCATTTATAGTCCTGCTGGCTTGACAGATGAGTGTATTCTCCTGATCTCTCAACTCCCTGTCAAAGGCACTGGCTTGGTCTTACTCACCAGCTCTCATGTTTTTTTATTTTCAGGATAAACCCCCACACACACTCAAAGTGCCTGTGAAGACCCCACTGAGCTCCACTCACATCTACTGGGGCCTCTATGGGGTGGGGGTAGGGATTGACAGAAGTTGAGTCTTTTTATCCTGAGGACATGGTCCAAATCAGGGACTCATGGAAGACTGTTGAATAACTGAGTGATGCATAAGGACCTTGACCTCATAAGCAATTGTCCTTCCAAACAGAGAAAACTGGCCCACAATGAGCTATTTCTGAATGAGTTTGCATAAAATGCTGGTGAAAAGTGATACCCAGAGGAAGACTAGCCAGACTGAACTACTTAAGGAAACAAAGCATCTTTGAGAAATAAAATTAATTAACTGCTTCCAAAGGGAGCAGAAAATAGGAGGCTGGGAGGGGCCGGGAAATTTTATATAAATTTCCAAAGGACTAGGAACTTGAAAGTAAACTAAGGGAATTTCAAGCTCTAAATTAAAAAAATGCCTTCCAACATCATGGCTTAGCAGTATGCGATAGGCACTCAAAACTGGGATTTGGTTATGTACAAAGCAAAGCTCTGACCAAGGAAAACAATAAATTAAATGCAAAAATCGACAGGATTTGGGCTTTTTAAAAGTTACTGCACAATATTCTCTGAGGGTGATTTCAGACTAGACCTTGACAGAGTGAGATTGTGAATATAAAAGTGAGCTTTTGTCAATCAGAAGGCACTTCTGCAGAAATAAGTTTCTAGAGAATAACCAAAGGGGATTTCAAAGATCTAGTTTACATTCTTTGTGTCTTCAGGCCCATTTCCTTGGGATTTAAGAAACCATAAGGATTTTGAGATCATGAAACAGTCATATGAAACACTGCTTAGTATGGGTCTCACTGTATATGGTACCCCAGTCAGGGACATTTTATTTTTGTCTGTACTTTGACCAAATTCCTTTGCCCACCAGCCCCCATTCCTCCAATCTTTTAAGGTTTGCCAGCTTGTTAGTGGAGAGGAAATAGTAGTTATATCCCATCTGTCCTCCATGACTCTCACAAGCAAATCAGAAAGTGGTGGGGACATGCCGATAGATGAGGAGGTTCCAGAACCAAGATACACCCACCCTGGGAAAGAAACATTCTGTAAGGTAAGGTCACATAAACTCCAGGAAAGGGGTTTCTTCTGCCAGTATCTGCACTAAAAGAAGATTCTATTAAAATTAATAACTTTTCTTTATCAGGCACTGTGTGAGGAACTTTATATACATAATCTTAATGTTGCCATTTGATCATAAAGATAATTCAACTTCACAATTTGACTCCAGCAGTATGTTGATCCTGCTATATCCAAGAATTTAGCATCAACAAACCAGAACAACTGTCATCTCCTTGGTATGGGGGGTGTGTGTGTGTGTGTGTGTGTGTGTGTGTGCACATGCATGGACATTTTCCCTGTGTTGCTCTTCCTCTTTGCACCTGTGTTTCTTTCCCTGTCTCCCTCACTCTGTGTGGCTGCCCCTGTAAATCTTCCACTTTCCCTGAGTCTAGTCTATGCCTTTGTCTATGTATTTTCCTCTCTATCTTTGTGTATGTGTGTTTGTGAATGTATTCCTTTACATTTCTCTGCTTCCTTATCCAGGCAAGGACAACAACCTGAGAGGCAGTGGGCCTCTTCCTGTCTTCCTTCTTGTGCTGAAAGTCAACAGAGAAGAGAATCAGTCCTCAGGATCTCACTGAGCCTTTTTTAGAATATCCATCACCACCCCTTCCTTTGCTCCCTGTTTCTCCAGGCTCCCTTCTCCCAGCAAACAACCAACTTCGTTCCACACTCATGTGCATGCATATGCATTCATACATACAGGGCTGCATTTATTCCTGACTTTCTATCCTTCATGTGATAAATAATTGTTAACACTTATTAAAAGCTACTATGATCTGAAAGTTTGTGTCCCCCCAAAATTCATATGTTGAAATGTAATTCTCAACACAATAGTACGAAGAGATGTGGCCTTTAGCAAGTGATTTAGGTGAATGGGATTCGTGATTAGGCATTAAGAGAGCCCCAAGGGAGCTTGTTTGCCCCTTCTGCCACCAAAAGACACAGCTAGAAGGCACCATCTATGAGGAACAGGCCCTCACCTGATGTCAAATCTACCTGCTCTTTGATTGTGGTCTTCCAAGGCCCCAGAACTGTGAGTAATAAACTTCTGTTGTTTATAAATTATCCATTTTTTTTGTTTCAACAATCAGAAAGGGCTAAGACAAAAGCTAACTACATACCAAGCACTGTTTGAAACACCTAATATTTACCCATTACAACCCCTTATAAGGGTTATTATTATCTCTACACTCCAGATGAGGAAACTGAGGCATGGACAATGTAAGTAACTTGCCAAAATTCATACAATAGCAGGAGAAAAGCTGACATTCAAACTCCACAGTCTATGCCATAAACCACTACACCATATTGCCTGTACCTTACAGCCAGTGATTAGCAGATATTAGTAGAGAAAGCGACGTGTCCTCTTTATTCTCTAATGAGCTCCCAGAACTCCATACATAACAAGCTTCTCTCAAGATCAAACAGTTTTAGTATGCTGAGCAGCACAGAAAATTTGGGGTCATTATGAAAGGGGACTAACTTCTTTGAATACTGGGGGAAAAAATCACATTTCCCCCGACTTCGTATTTAGAGAATAATCAAGAAAATGTTCCCCTTTCTCTCTTACTGAATACAATTTATCTTTATCAAACCAGAAAAGAATGTACCTCCAGCTGGAAGTTTCTCACAAAGCCTGTTGAGATGAAAGGTACAGTAATAGATACACAAAGCAGTTGCTTTTTATCTGTGAAGAGCTGGTTTCATATAATTCTTTCATAAAAGTGAAAAATAAGACATTGTGTTTATGTGGAGCATACATTTGTCTGCATCACAAAAAAAGAGGAGTGTGACCGTCTACTGGGACAGCCTAAATCCTTGACTGTTTGCATTTGGTCTGGCCCAGGTGCTCCATTAATAGTGGAAAACCTGCTTTTTCAGCACATGAAGTGGCCAATTTAGGCTCAAAGTCACTGCATTTGTTATCTGTCCTAAACAGGAGCCCAACCCATACTTTTTGCTCAGCTAAAGAAAAAGAACATTGAAAATTTAGTAAACAGGACAATTGATGGCACCTGGCTTTGTGTCAAGCAAAAGCCGGTCTCTGCAGTGAAAAGTCCTGACCTTGAAAAGCTGGTTAAAATGGATGATGCGTGGGCTGCTGGCTGGAGAGCCAGCGGGAAGTAGGTCAGTGAAGCTATAGGCTGGCTTCTGTCACTCCCAGCCTGAGCTTGTGCAACTCAAAGGGGAAAAAAATGTTCTCAGACAGAAGAGGAGACTGTGTGTGGTTCCGGGCAGCATGTAATATTGACAAAACCATCACCACCGAATGAAATCATCGAGGAGAAGCTGTCAGCCCCTGCCACATCCGGGAGCTATTTCTGCTCCTTTAATTAATTAAGGGTTGTCTTGTCTTAGTTTTTATTTTAACCACAGAAACGAACTTTGTTGTCCACTTTCTCTAGGCCCCACCACACTGCCAACTCTTACAGGCTGTCCACCAAGCATTTAATGGCCCTGGCTGGGCTGATAGACAGGAGGGAATAATGAGGAAGCCCAAATTGCAAAGGGACTTTAGACAGAAGGCAGAAGCTGTCTGTGATGGAAGTCAAGCCCTGGACCATCCTATCACCCACCCACCCGCCCTCCTCACTTGCTCTCCAAGGAGCTGCAATGCCTCGTTCAAGAGCAAAGTTTCTGGAACCTCCTGGGCTTCCTTAGCTGTGTGATTTTGGGTCCATTCCTAACTTTCTGTGTCTCCATTTCCTCACATGTGAGGTGGGAGTAATGAATGACCCTCATAGGGTCGCTGTGTGGAACATTCATGAGAGCCCCAGGAGAAAGCAGATGGTGCACTCAAACTGGGATAACCCAAGGAGGGTTTCATAAAAGAACTATTGACAAAGGAGTGTGGAGAGTGCAGAAAAAGCACAAGGGAGGGTGCAGCGCCCGAGGATAGTAAAGTGGGTGCCATTATCAGTCCCGAAGGGGCACCTGGAAGAGTGTGTGTATCCACATCCAAAGAAAGTAGGAGCTCCGTGATGTGAGCTATGACCTTCAATGCAGGCACGCAGCCAGCTGGTAGCAACCTGACAGAAAGGGAGGCTTATGAATAAATGCATCAACCACACTCTCCTCCTCCCCTTGGGGTCTCCATACGTCCCTTCAGCTGAAACCATAAGAACCCAACAGACAAGGCAGCCCCTTAATGCATTCCATATGAGGCACCCAGCAGCAAGTGGATCTGCAGGGGCAAATGGGAGACACTGAGCACCAAGAATTTGATGAGGCAAGGTAGTAGATTGCTTAGTGCAGTGCCTGGAACATGCATTCAGTGTGTACTAACAGCTTCATATGTGTTACTAGGCAGGGATGTCACACAGATGAGGCACCCTAGGGAAGGAAAACTGTGGGCCAGGAAAAGACCACTCAGCCTCAGCCTTTCCTGGTTCTGAAGTTTCTGCCTCTGCAGGAGGATCCAGAACCTCAGGGTTATTGCCCTGCCACTGATTCTGGGATCTTAGGCAAGCCCATTCCCCACTCTGGCCTTTGTTTTCTTGTCTGTTAAATTAAGATGTTAGGGGATAAGATGAGTTTAGGTATTTTCCAGTCTAATGTGCTGTGATTCAAGCACATTTTGTGTTTATAGCCAAATTTAAAGCAATTTATAACCAGTCAATCCTAATTGTATTTGTTTTGGGACACAAGATGAATTGCAGGACTTGGGCAACACAATGGGAATTGTAGGTGCTCTGCACATAAGGTTGAGATATGCCTGGTGCAGCCATTGCCCCTTCCCCATCCTGTTCCAGGGATTCTCCCAGGTTCCTGCCAGCCTCACGGTTTCACACCCACTTCCTAAGAGGAAGCAAAATCCTAAAGTGAGGGGAAGCTGGCCTGAGCTCCTCCAACATTCCTTGACCCCTCTCCCCTGTTGAGCTCACCTTCTCTCAGCATCCACCTAACCAGTATTTTTTTAATTGCCAAAAGATACCTTTAGTAACACTTTACACATAGCTAGTATGTATAATATAGGGAAGAGTTAAGATACCTGGTTCTAGCTAAATTACAGTCAGACCCACTGGGCTAGCACCTTAGCCAATACTGCTGCTGAAGCCCCTCAGTGGAAGCCAAGGGCTTCAGAGAAGACAGTTTGAGGACCCTTCCACCCACAGCATCCTTCTCATGTTCCTCACAACATTCTCGGTCCCTCTGGAGAGTCTCCTCTTCCCTCCTGTGTTCCAAACTAGAGAACCTCAACTAGTCAATTACTATCTACAAGGAGATTTTGCAGCCTACACAATAGTAATGGCATCTTACCATTGTAGAGTGCTCAGCTGATTACACAGCCCTTTCACACACATTATTGTATCCCCAGAACAACCCTGTACTTCCCCAACTTCACACCAAAGTAAGCAGCACAGTCAGGCCCGGAACTCATTTTTTTTTAACTCCAAGTTCACTATTCCCACACCAATGGCCAACCAGAGACCGCAAGCTAAATACCAGCATCTTTTGTTGTGGTGTCCTAAATGATTTTTAAAATTATTATTTGCATTAGTGCCACCATCTTCTTTTCTTAACTCTATCTAAAATCCTTCCCTCTCGTGCATTGTCTGCCTCCTCTCCTAAGCTCCCCAAGATGAAGGGCTGCCTGTCTCACACACGATGGTATCCCCCAATCCCTAACCCAATGTCTGACACTCAAAATGCATGCAGTAAGTGCTTATCCGCTGAATGAAACACAGAATCCCATACTCCTATTCTTTTAGGTCATTTACCCTCATTAGGTTTCAAGGCTCCCAAAACTAAAAATAACCACGTTTGACTCAGCAGCGGGTGAATGTCCAGATTACTTTTAGTTTCTGGGTTAAGGAGGAAAACTGGGCCAGACCCAGACAGAACAGACTACCTGGTGGTGCATCCTTGCTGGAGGAATGTTAAAGACCCTTGTGTAACAAATATTGATGAAGGCTGATTCTACTTTTCATTTTCCCAGGAGTCCCAACCGAAACATCCTACAGTTTCTAGAAGTGTATGATTCTCTCCCACAAAACTATGAGCTATTTGGGAAGAAGAATTCTGCCTGGCTGCTCTTTTTTTTCCCCTAGAAATGAGAAGTGGATCACGCAAGGTTCTGCATAACAGTTTGACGAATGCTTGAGATTGGCCAGCAATGCAAGCCTCAGCACCAGAGTGTGGAATCGTAGAATGTTAGAACTGGAAAGGATTTCAGCAACATCTCAAACTGCTCTGTACAATATGTTAGCCCCTAGCTACATGTGGCTATTTAAGAATAAATCAAAATTAACTGAAATTAAAAGAAGTTGAAAGTCTTCAGACATACTAGCCACTTTTCTAAGACTCAAAAGCCACTGTCTAGAGGCCACTGCATGGGAAGGCACAGATATGAGAATATTTCCATCATGGCAGAAAGTCCCTTTGGATAGCACTGAAAGGATCTCATTTATAATGAGAGAATTGAGTCTCAGAGAAGGAAAGTAATTTCCCCCGAGTCACGCAGTGAGTGAGAAATGAAAACATGAGCTCTGGCTTAGGTTCTTACCTAAGTCTCCCGGTTACTGCTCAGCACTTTTTAACCATTACACTGGATTCACAAATTGTGAGGGCCTTGCCTAGAAGAACAACCACATGTCCTCTTCTTTCAAGGCAGCATAACTCTGGATAGCTAGTAAGAAATCCTAGATGCACATGGCAGAGAACAAATGCTAGACCCAGCAAGCAAATGACAGGAAACTGTAGCTTCCCACAGAAAGCTAAAGCACCAGAGATCTGAAGCAGGCCGCAATGTGGGCTGTCTTTTTTTTTTTTTTTTAAGCTTCTCAAAATTGTTTTCATTTCAATGTTGGAGGTTAATACCCAAGACGGACACTCTTTTTGAAGAGTCCCTTTTGATTTTAATTTCTTAAAGTCTTTATTTTAACTCCCCTTTCTGTTTATATTATACCCATCCCACAAGTTTTCTTTCTTTCTAGGTAACTTGATCCACGAAAATGTGCAGAATCCATTTATGCCCACTGCTTTTAATTAAACATCAACTCGTTCTTTCAACTGGGTCTTTTAGGATTTTACATTGTCTTTTCTAAATGTACGTGTCTTTTTCTGAAATTACATCCAATCAAGTTCTCAAAAATGTATTTCCTAATCTTTAAATAGCTGGGAGTGAGTTTTGGCAACAGCTCAAGAAAACCTACAAAAGGGAAGAAGTCGGCTCTACCCCTCTCTCCTGCATAGGAGCAGGGCTCATAATCCAAGTCAAGGTCTACACACATAGACCTCAGGGCATTTAACATCCAACTGAGGCCTGCAAACCCCAGGGTACAGATTCCACATCTGAAAGAAGCCTACACATCTTGTCACAGAAACAGTGACAGTTTCTATCTGTTTTTATTAAAGTCACATGGTGAGAAGCAGGATCCAAGGAAACAAGCATTTGCTCTCGATGGTCCAGACTTCCAGCAGGAACATTTGCCACAACAGACACACCAACAAATGACAGCAAGCCGGGTCCCCAGAGTCACAGTGTTCAACAGCGGGCCTGGAGGCTGCTGGGAGGACCTGAGAAGTGTGGGGAGCAGTACTCAAGTTCCCAAGGTTCTTGAGCTCCCAAATCCAAGCATCCAATTAGGCTATAGACGTCTTCAGAATCTGCAGAGGAGGCCCTCCTGATGGACAAATGTAGTAGGGGGAGAGAGTATTTAGGAAAATTCCACTGATGAGTCATACTTTTTTCTGGTATGTCTCCTAGGGTTTCTGAAGATTTCATTATCCTCATAAGTGAAATTCTTAAAATTACTGAAAGAGGTGCTTATTGAAACCTATAGCTCTCCATCCCTTGGCAGGCTTTGATTTGAAACATTCAAAACACATCCAACAGCCTCTTCTTCCCTGAAGACAGGGGCTTTAATGTTTAAAAAAAAAAAGAAGAAAGAAAAGAAAAAAGCAGGTCTCCTTATACTAGCCAGTTCCCTCCTCTTAAAGAAAAATGTTACCTAAAAATTAAGGTACTGAAGCCAAAATAGAGTAGGAACCTTTAAAATATACTGCCTGCTCTTTGTTCCTAATGAACAAAGAAACACAATTCCCATAACCTGAAGCCATGTGTGCACACAATTTCAGAGCCAGGACTGGAGTTGTAATCTAGGCCAACCTCTTTATACTGCAAATGAGGAAACTGAGGCCCAGAGAGCTTCAAGAATTTTAACAGCAAGCAGATGCTGAGCCAATACTTGGGCCAGGTGACCAGAGTCCAAATCTTTTTGAACAAAAGAAAAAGAAATCATTCTATTACAGAGTAAGGAGAGAGCCATTTAAAGGTGGAGCATTAACACAAGCTCCTTACCCTCCCCAGCTCAGCCATGGATCTATACAATCAAGGGTCAGTTTCAGACAAAAATATAAAGTAATTAAAGAAGGAGCACAAAGGAAGGTAGTGGGGAGAGCATTCGCGCTTTATATTCCATGACTGATGGAAATAAAACTCTCTGCCTACCTCAGAGGCAGTGAAAATGCAGTCATGCCGGTAAAAGGACTCTGGAACCACACAGTGCTGGGAAAATGGAAGTGATTGCGATTCTAGTGGACCTTGTATGAGTGTCAGGGGCCAGCAGTCTCCTCCAGAAGCTGCCTGTACCCTATGTAATGTGGCATCTACAGGCAGCATCCCTGCCCTCCCTCCCTTGTCCATCCACTAGGAATGACTACCATGCAGGTGGGTCAGGTAAGAACCATGAGGAGTCCAAGGCTTTTTTCTTTCCTCGCGCTTCTTCTCCAGAGCAGGGAGGGATTAACGACCAAGAGGCCAGGCCCCGCATCTTTCTCACTGGCCTTATCTTTTTGAATTGCCTTATTAGTCATGGAGAGTGTTTTGCTGTTTCTGTGTGCCCCAGTGTGTGTGCACCTTTGCCTCCCACATTCACATCAAGGCTCCTCTTGGGAGGACTGCCCTCAGGACACTGGAGCACTTCCCACACACAGACAGCCAGGAGTTCTTGGGAATTTGCTTCTCTCCAGGAGGCCCTTGACCAGTGGTGTGGAGGTACACAGGCCCAGTTCCCTTGGACAACTCGGAGTGCAACTTACACCCCACAGTGCCTCTACCCATCAGAATAAAGTCACTTCTGGGACCTTTGGCCTGAGATTGCACTTGCTCACCTACATCCCTTTCCCTAACCTGGGAGCACTTCCTTAATAAGTCTTTTGCGGCAAATCCTCTCTTCAGCATCTACTTCTAAGAAACCAGACCTAGAACTTTCATCTCCCTTCTCCTCTTTGCAGCTGTCCTTGTGTTTGGGAGGTGCTGCCTAGCTAGGTCTTGCGAAAACAACTCTTCTCCAGAGGCTTAGATACATAGTTGCTTTCTTGTACATTCTTTGGAATGCTTTTCTATCCAGGATTTTTGCTGTGGTCGATTATTAATGTCTGCTGTGGGGTAGGAAGGAGCTGGGGAAGACATATTAGCCCATATGTGAAGTATTTGCCATCCCTGGCCTAGAGGAAAGGATGCAAGAAGGTCTTTTTATTCTAGCCCTTAAGTCAGCCTCTAGCATGGCCCAAAGGAGTCCAGACTTTTCTAAGCAATCCACCTCACTAAGACCTCCAGGGTTTATTGTACAACTAGCAATTGTACATTGACCTGAAGTGATCAACTGTAGGTGCCCCCAGGAATTTGTGGCAGCTGTGGGCAGCTGATGGAAATATGGTATGAGGAGTTCTGGGGCCTATCTCATCATGAGTACCAAGTGTTGGATTAAGGGGGCCGGAGAGTGCGGAAGGCAGGCCCCAGAAAAGCTACTTTGGTGCAGGCAAGCTCTGATAGTATCAGCTCACCTTGAAGTCGGGCAAACCTGAAGTTGAGCATACACTGTACAAGTATCAGAAGTTAGTGTCAATCTTAGAATGCGTTTGAACATCAAGCTGTAGGCAAATAGCAGAGCTGATATTGGGCGATGCTAAAGAGCATAGTCCATCAAGCAAGCTGGTGTCAGGAGTCTGGAAATAGAGGCCAAGTCCCGGAAGTCAAAGACATAGAACATATTACCAGAATGACCCTGAGTCTTTCTCACTCAGGTCCCCTTTTCTTCCTCCTTCAGTTTTATTGAGTTATAACAGACACACTATACAGTGCATAAATCTTACTTAAGTGAATGAGTGAATTTTTACTATTGATGTAACATTTCCATCAACCCCAGAAGGCTTCTCCTTACCCCTTCCTAGTCTACTCCCTTACCAGAGGTAACCACAGTTCTGCTTCTATCACCATAAACTAGCTTTGCCTGCTCTCAGATGTCACATGAATAGAATGCTATAGGATAGATTCTTTTGTATCTATTTTCTTTTGCTGCATATTACATCTGTGAGATTCATCTATGTTGTTGTATGTATAAGTAGTATACAAGTAGTTCATTCTTTTGTGTTGTCAGGCACTATTCCACTGTATGATTATATCCAATTTACTTATCCACTTGGGTAGATCCCAATGTCTTACTATCACTAATGAAACTGCTGTGTACATTTTTGTACATGTATTTTGATGGACATGTGTGCCCCCTTTCCTTGGTGAAAGCTTTCGGAGTAGAATGACTGGGTCACAGGGGAGACAAATATTTACCTCTAGGTGGTGCTGTCAAGTAATTTTCTAAAGTAATTGTACCAATATACACTCCTACCTCCTATGTATAAGAGTTCTACTTGACCCACAGCCTTGTCAACTCTTAGTATTATCAGTCTTTTTAACCCACTAGGGTAGTAGAATCTCACTGCGGCTTTAATTCGCATTTCTTATCTACGGTGCCCAAAAGTTGGCTGTCTCTTCCATGGCATCCTAAAGTTTCTACTTTACCTGACACATAGACAGTCACTCTGAACCCATGGGCGACCCCTGGCACTTAGAAACACAGTTAGCTCAGGACAGAGACAGATAAGGAGTGTGATAAACAGATCTTACTGTAGAACCTTAAGGAAACTGATGGCCACTTGACTCTGACACATCACTGACTTCAGCAGCCACTCTCTGTCCCAGAGTCTCTCCCGCTGAGGTGAAACTTCTAGATGCTTCTCCAGATCAAACTCCAACCAAGCGTTCACCTCACCCAGCAGAGCTGAGGAAGCCAAACTGCCAAGTGAGCTTGGAGAAGGGAGACTGTGAAGATGGCATGACACAGAAAACAATGCCCAGAGCATACAGTATGCAGATGTATGTAAATCATATATAAAAGCCAGAATGCAAGCCTTCAAGTGATAATGCTCTCCAGCTGTCCTAAAGGCTGTCTCCATTCCGGAGAACACCAGGGTGCGCTGGGGAACCAGCAGGCAGCATAGTTCAGCAAGAAGGGTATGGTTTTCCTCTTTCCTTTAATCTGGGAGCATGAGTTCACTAAGTCCCTAAGGATCCATAAAATGTGAAAGTCTGTTTTTTTTTTTTAATTGGTTGTCCATTTGTGTTCAAGTAAATGAGGCACAGCTTCTTCCAGTTGGTCTGCAGCTTGAGTCAGATGGCAAGAGAATGTCACCATCCGAGGCACCTGCTGCAGGCCTAGGAAGGGGCACGGCGGCTCTCCTGAGAATCTGGGATGGTGACCCAAGTATTTAACTCAGAATCAGTAGCCTGACTTGTGTCCCTAAGTGCCACTTATGACCTTGGGCAAGTAACTTCCTCTCTGTGAGCCTCATTTTTCCCATCTGTAGCATGAGCAGATTAGACTAGGATCAACTCTCTAAGGTCTCTAGATTTCTCTGAGCCTGTGATTCCAGGTAGAGTCCCTTCAATCTAAACGCTGATCAGAGTGAGTCATTCTGCCAAAGCACCAATGAATCCATTCCCACGTAGAGCAATTAGAGCTGCGCGAGTTCCTGCCACACGTCCAAGATGATAGAAAGCCCAACCCAGATTCTGTGCTGTATCATTGAGCATTAAGACACAACAAGGGCTCTGTTGCAGCATAATAATGCATGCCTGGCTGATTTATGAAGCATCCAACTTAGAAGCGCATTCTTCGGTAACGCCTTGTAATTTAGGCAGCACTCCATGAAAAACACAGGTAGTGGAGGCAGTTGTGCTCAGATCCGGTTACCTCCCACAACTTCCAACTTCCCTGCCCCTGTGCTGCCAGCCTTCATCTCCCCTTCCACCGTGTTCAGAAGCTTGGCTGCCCCTGCCTTGATCACACCTTTTTGCACAGCCAGTTCTCCCCAGTCTGTGGCGCCCCCTATTGGCTCTGGGATTTTGTCAGACGCTCCAGCTCTGCGTCACCAACTTCTAAGCTGAGCAATGGGAGCTAACGTCACTGTTGCTGTAACCCGTGAAATCTTAGCAATGAGGCCAGGCAGAAGACAACTACTACCAGAGAAACAGAGACATGAGCCTCCACCACAACCCATCTCCCACCCAGCCTAATTTTCTCCATAGCACTTATCTCTACCAATGTTTATATTTATTTTTACTACTTTTGTTGTCTGTCTTCCCCTTTGGACTTAAAGTCCAATGATAGCAAGGCCTTTGTTTTGTTCTTTACGGGATTCCAGCACCTAGAGAGTTGGCTGGCATTAAGGAGGCACTCGGTAATATTTGCCGAAGGAACCATTTATTCATTCAAATAAATAAAGATGTCAGGTGGTAGCAATGGCTATCGAGCAAACTAAAGCAGAGTAAAGGGGATGGGGTGCTAAGAAAATGAGAAGGTTGCTATTTCTGATAAGGTGGTCAGGGTGGGCTCTCTGCTAATGATACTTAAGCAGAAACCTGAAGAAGTAAGAAAATGAGCCGCTCGGAGATAAAGGGAGAAAATGTTTGAGATTGAACAGCTGATGCAAAGGCCAAGCAAAGCCTTGGCATGTTTACAGAGGACAGTGGGCTAAAACAGAGGGCAAGAGCAGAAGGTAATAAGGCCATGTGGTGTCAGGGCCACATCACCTAGAGAGGAGGTCAGCGAATCACGGCCTGTGGGCCAAATCTAACCTATCACCCACTTTTATAAGTAAAGTTTTGTTGGGACATAGCCATGCTTATTTGTTCACATGTTGTGGCTGCTTTCCTGCTGCAGCTGAGCTGAGTAGTAGCCACAGACGCCAATGGTCCACAAAGCCAAAAGTATTTACCATCTGCCCCTTTGCCAAAAAAAAAATGCCAGCCCCTCCCTTGATCACTGTAGGCCACTGTGAGGACTTCAGCTTTTTCTCTAAAGAACATGAGACACCATTAGAGGAGTGACATGAGCAGACTCACAATTTAGGAGGATTGGGATGGCTGCTGAGCAAAGAATAAATTGGAGGGGTGGAAGCAGGGAAATCAATTAGGAGGTGAAAAATGAAGGTGGTTGGGACTGGAAATGTAATCAGATCAGAAGATGCACAAAGTCTAGCCATTCTCACAGCCTGGAGTGAGCAGGGTGTGTTTTGCCCTAATAGATTTTGGCCCAAAGCATCTGGGTTTGTGGGAGGGAGTTGGGGAGTCATCAAACTGAAAGTAGGATGACTTTCATCCAA
This sequence comes from Homo sapiens, assembly GCF_000001405.40. Taxonomy (NCBI): domain Eukaryota; kingdom Metazoa; phylum Chordata; class Mammalia; order Primates; family Hominidae; genus Homo; species Homo sapiens. The sequence continues at coordinate 219,996,152 of NC_000002.12, read as the reverse complement.
AACTGAAAGTAGGCAGTTTTTTCCAAGGCAGGAAAGAAGCCACAGCAATGGTGCTAAAGGTTGCAACGAGCTAATACCATTTTCCAGTGATCTCCTTCTGGCTGCATAGTCTGGGCTTGGGCTGGGGTCCAGACAAGACCCTGGTTCACTTCCTGGTACCTTTGGTGCCTCATGGCTTCCCTTACTAAGGCAGACACTCAAATGATTTGAGGGGGCTTGGGTACAGGCCCAGACAGAGGCGTGGGCCAGTGCGTGGAGTGACAACACTGATGAAAGATTCCAGAAGTCAAAAGGAGGTGACAACACAGACCAAAGATCGTAGAAGTCAAAAGGAAGAGAAAAGGAGGTGGTGCCAACAGGAGATGCTCAAAAAGAAAGTGTAAGAGGGTCTCACGTTCTTACAATCAGCCCATGAACTACCAAGACCAGGGACGGGGTTTCGCTTCCCACCATTGCCCTCTGCACACCACACACGCAGGCTGCCCTGTAAATGAGACATGTTTTGCCTGTCAGCTCTGTTCTTGATGTTCTTTTAACCAGACTTCTAACACACACAGTTATTTGAGAAGGGCTCGGTGAGATCATGAGGAAGTCTAAGAAGTCTCAAGAGAAAGGGAATAAAAGAGGAGTTTGGGAGTCTCAGAGCCCTGCACTTAAACTTCATAACTATAACTTATTAGCTGTGTGACCCACTGCAAGTTATTTAACCTCTTTGTCCCTCAATTCCATCACTTGGTAAACAAAGAGGATGAGACAGCAGAGTTGTTATGAGGATTGCAAATAATGGATAAGAAGCCCCTGGCCCATATCAGCAGCTATTATCGAAGGGGTAATATATTATTATATTATAGAAGGAGTAAAATTATAGAAGGAGTAAGCTTCATTTACCAGATGTATAATCCTGAGAAAAATAAATAGCCTTTCCCAGCTTCATAGTTTCCCTGTCTGTAAAATGAAGACGATATCACCTTTACCCTAGAGTCTGGGGATTCAATTCACTCAGAGCAAACTGCAGATATAAAGCACTTAGTGGAGTGTTAGCATAGAACAGACACTCCAGGCAGCCCAGACACCTTTGTTATTTGTGAAAGGTCCTCTGAAGTCAAGACCTTCATCAAGAGGGTAGGAGGGAGACTGACAGAGCAAGCAAGAGACCTCAGGTTCACAACAGGCCAAGGCCAGAGACGATCAAAGGTCAAGGGACCAGGACTGGTAGAGATGTAAGGGTGCCCACCCAACACAGAGCAGCCATGCCCAGTTGAATCCACGTCAACCCAGAACATGAATGGCTCCAATGGGCTTCGGTCCTGAATGGATCTTTCCTTCCCTTGCAAGATCCAGGGTTGTGGGGTGGTAGAGAACAAAGGAGTTGTGGTAGATGACCAGGAATCCCTGGGAGGAAGAGGGAGAAATTCTCCTTCCTTGTTTGCTCCTACTTCAGGCTTCCTCACACCACCGACAGGTAAGGGTTGGCAAGCCCTGGGCATTGCAAGGACAACACAGAGCAGGTGTCTGTGAATTCAAAAGTATTAAGGAATCTGAAGACTAGGAAGGATATATAAGGTCACCTGGGATTGCAGCAGCACAGTGGACAAATCTTTTACTCTCTCTGAGCCTGTTTCTTCATCTGTAAAATGGGGATAAATGGTCCCTGTCTGTTTCATAAGTTTAAATAGTTATGACATTTAGCTATGGTTTGAGAAAAAGGAACTAAGTAATCAAGACCATCTCCATTCAGTCCATTACAAGTTCCATCTCAGAGACAGGAAGATGGAAAAGGAAAGAGAAGGGAATGTGTTTAGATGCCTCCCAAACTCCCGGCCAGCCACAGAGTCAGTGCAACAGCCCAGATTGCCGACCCCAACTCTAGGCATCAGACCTGCCTTCTCCATCATCAAAGGGTGCCTATTAGAGTAGGAGGCTGTGTTGGGACCCTGAACTGCCCCAGTGCATCCTAAAAGAGCAGTTTAGTTGGACCTAATGGGTGCTCTAAGGAGATGTGAGAGGAGACATCATATGGCTGATGAAGGACACACAGCAATGAGCAAGGCAGGAGTGATTAGAAGGCTCAGTCTTCCTGCCTCTGGCCCTCACTGCCAACACCTTGCCAATATCTGAACCCCAAATGGGCCTGAAATTGGCAGAGTCTGCTGAGCCCCTAATGCCTTATAGCACTTATCTAATCGTCCACCATAACATGCTTATGGACCACACAACGAGAGCTCCAAAACGTCCTGCTTTATTAAAGGAGTGAATGAATGAATGACAAAATGAACACTAAATTTTCAAATGCTTATGTTTGATTTCTGCCAACCTCAACTAATACCCGTGTCATGAAAATGACACTCTGGGGCTGAGCGCTGTGGCTCATGCCTGTAATCCCAGCACTTTGGGAGGTTGAGGCAGGCAGATTGCTTGAGCCCAGGAGTTTGAGACCAGCCTTTGTTTTTGGTAGAAACCCCTTCTCTACCAAAAACAAACAAAAAATTACCCCAGTGTGGTGGCAAGCACCTGTAGTCCCAGCTACTCAGGAGGCTGAGGTGGGAAGATCACTTGATCCTGGGAGGCAGACGTTGCAGTGAGTAAAGATTGTGCCACTGCACTCCTGCCTGGGTGACAGAGCGAGACCTTGTCTCAAAAAAAAATTAAATTAAAATTAAAAATAGAAATGAGAGTGACACTTTGTGCCATCTGAGCTGTAGACTAGAAAGTCCCAAAGGACAGATGTCACCTGGGATCAACCCAACCTCTTCTCTTCTCCATAAAATGACAGTGGCAATGGCTTCTGAGTTTACTTCACAAGTAATTGAGAGAGTCAAATAAGAATGGGCATGAACATGCTTTAAATGTAATAGGATGTACAAGGACCTGAAGTTTTCAGAAGCTTCCATGGACCCATTTGAGGTCAAAGGGAAGAACATTACATGTTGGGGTAAAAGGAGGGAGCTTTGATTCTCCAAGCCAGCAAGGCCTTGAATGGTACACAGCCTGCTCCCATGCATTCTTCTCCAGAACTTCATCTCTTAGGCTAAGGAAGGGAGTGTCACAGGAATAGATATAGCAGGAACAGCAGCAGCAGCAGCAGAAAAAAAAAGTTATATTTAATGAGAGCTTACTATATCTAGGGCTCCATGCTAAATGCCCCTCATCATTATCTCATTAAGTCTCCAAAACATCTGTTTCCAATGGGAGTAGTAATTAGATTATGGTTCAGTAAATATTCATTCCCATCTCCCTCCATAGTAGGAATGCATTTCCTACTCTGTAGGAAATTGAACTTGTAGACGCAGGACTTGGCCATGTATCTTGCTTTGGCCAATGGAATGGCAGAAGTGACAGTATAAGAATTGTAAGCTGAAGAAGCATTGCAGGTTCCCTCTCACCCATCTGGAAGCTTCAGAGCTCCACCAGAAGAGCCAGCTCCAGCAGCCACTGCTCTCTAGCTGGGGCCCCAGAGCAACCCACATGGAGCAGACACAAAACTTGGGTCCAAGATTCATGCTTCTGTGATCTGAGAAAGTTTGCCTCCATTGACCAACAGCCCTGTGAGTGAGAAATAAATGCTTCCTGTTGGGCGCCACTGAGATTTTTGGTTGTTTATTATGTAGCAATAGTAGATACTATTAATAATTAAGTTGATAGGTGGGGAAACCAAGGCTCAGAGAGTCTAGGTAACTTACCTAAGGTCAGCTAGCATATAAATGGAAGAACTAGGGCAGAACCCAGTTCTTCTAGATCCTAAAGACTGGGTTCTGCCTCCTACTTGTTGTCCAAGGAGGTGTGTTTTGTGTCGAGCTGTGTGCAGAGAATAGCCAGAGCAATTAAAAGTAAACAAGATAGCCCAGGGCCTAGCCAGAAAGATACTGAGACTGAATCCAGAGCAGCTCTCTCCTTGCTCTCCTTGTACAGATGTTTGTCCCTCTGCACTCTGGAGCCCTGCCCATACCAACTGTCCTTCTCTAAGTCTAGGTCCAAGGCCATGAGGGGGATCCACAGAAACCCCCCAAAGCCAGGAGCAAGCTCAGAGCTCCCTACCTTGCAGTGGGAACCCCCGCTGATACTCTACCCTCCCCGCGCCACCACCAGACCTCACCCCAGCAGAACTATTTCATGAGACCCCAGTAGACTCCTAATTTTCAGACTGAGGTGGTAAATAATTACTTGAACATTCTCAAACCAACTTTTTAAAGTGTAGGGGGGAAGGAGATGATCTAATCCAGCCACATTCCTGCTTTCAGGGAATATATTTGTCCTTAATCAGAATGACTTCTTGTGTACAAAGTGACATTTTTAATTCCCCAAAATGTATCCTGCTTCTCCCCAATTCACTCAGAGGTACACAGTTCTTTCCTAAGGCATACTAAGATATCCTCACCTCAGTCAGAGCTTTTTCTCTCAAGCAATGTAAAATTAGTGAAGAAATGAACAAAGCAGTTGTTCACTAAATGAAATTCCTCAAAGGGCACAGAAACCCAAGGAATTCATTGGACAAGTTATTCAGAACACTAATAAAACTCTGAACCATAGGGTGAAGTGAAATTATGAGAAAAGGCCCAGTCTGAAACACACATGTGGAACACCAGGGCTTCCTACTCTGCTGGGCTTCTCCTCCCTGCCCAACTCATATTTCCTTCCAGCTCCTGAAAACTCTTTAACCCAAGACATCAGCAACACACTAGACTCTTGGAAACCCCCCATATCACCCAGTTATCAAGTTTGGCTGCATGTAATGGAAAACACACTTAACAGTGATATGGATAGAATGGAGATTATTTTTCCTCATGACACTAAAAGTCCAGAGATAGATGGTTCCTGGCATTGGTTTGGTAGCTGAGTGCCTCAGGGCAAGGTCTCTGCAGTTCTGTTGGCCTTTCCTGCATGGTCATAAGATGACCGCTCCAGTTCCAGAAATTTCACAGGCATTCCAAGCAGGAGGGAAGAGAATTGGGCTGGAAAGAGGAAGGAAATACGTCTATATTTGAAGAGCAAAATTTTCCCAGACATCCTCAGCAGACTTCTCATTACATGCCATTGGCCAGAACTGCTGTCATGTCCCACCAAGCTGCAGGGAAGCTGGGAAATGGAGTTTTGCAGATGAGCACTGTATTAGTCTGTTCTTATGCTGCTAATAAAGACATACCCGAGACTGGGTAATTTATAAAGAAAAGAATTTTAATGGACTCACAGTTCCACATGGCTGGGGAAGCCTCACAACCATGGTGGAGGCAAGGAGGAGCCAAGTCATGTCTTACATAGCAGCAGGAAAGAGAGAGCTCATGCAGGGGAACTCCCTTTTATAAAACCATCAAATCTCATGAGACTTATTCAGTATCATGAGAACAGCACAGGAAAGATCTGTCTCCATGATTCAATGACCTCCAACCGGTCCCTCACATGACATACGGGGATTGTGGGAGCTACAATTCAAGATGAGATTTGGATGGGGACACAGCCAAACCATATCAAGCACGTTGGTGGTTCCAATAACTTCATACTTAAGAAAAAAAGCGGTGACAGGTTATTCTAAGGGGGCTAGGAGTCACTGAGAAACTAACCCACCAAATTTTCCAAGTTGGCATGAGCCTTGGTTGTGTCATCCAGATCCAGTTTGAGGGACAGTTTCAAATTCGTCCCATTCCCTATGTTAGTCACGGCCCCATTTTCTTCTTTACTGTAGGGCATTATTTCCCAAATACTAAAGAGGTGTAGGTGGATAGAAGACAATTAATGCAAAGCAGCACTTTTGAGCATCCAGACTATGCTGTTGACGTGAAGTTCAGAAGGAAAGGAGGCCCCGGGATTTTCCTTTTAAGATGACAACAGTTGTTTCTAATAGCAAATGACTTTCATGTCTGGAATAAGCCACTAATAGAATTAACCAAATGAAACTGACAAATATGAAAGTCTAAGGATATGACCCCAGCATCTGTTGGAAAAAGGTAATCAGACAAATTAGGGTCCCCATAGTAAAGGATTTTTCTGGATTATCTGGAGGAGGTTTTCAGAAACCAAGCAAATTGTCTTGGTGCAGCTGCCCTACAAACCCTGCCCCGCTGCCTCATTAATGCTTAGATGCAGCAGGATAAGGATTTCAAAATGCACAGCACTGTAAATAGATTATGATTAACGCAACCAAGAAAAGGAGGTGCTGCTGACTGCACAAAGTGCAGAGGTGATAATTCACAGTGAGCACCAACATCGCTTACTGCTGAATAGGAAGACCAGCATTAGGATAACAATGCCACTAGCAGGAAGAAAAGAGGTAACGTCAATTCTGTGCATACCTGTCTTCTCTCCTTGAAGACAGTTTCGCTGACAGAAGATACAGATGTTTGTTACGCCCCCAATAAAATGAATTTACAGAGAATTCTTTAGTGAATGTTAATTCCCCTACGAAGACTGAATTTCTACATTATTTATGAACTCTGGAAAGGATAATGCCAATAGACTCGCTCTGTTGCACAAGGGCTGAGACAGAGTTGCCCAAAGGTAATGCAATGGGCCTTCTTCTTTGTTGATGGAAAGAAATCTAAG